>NC_000004.12:138921381-139546381 GCF_000001405.40 Homo sapiens | reverse complement strand
GTTGCCTCTCCTCATGAGATTGATGAAAAAATGCTTGGCAAAGTTCTTCAAAGCCACATCATTGCAGTCCCAGTAATAAGACATAAACAGGTACACACAGGAGGGCAACTCTCTAGACTTCAATTTTTTAAATGCCTGTCTTTGGGATAGTTGGTCTTTTTGTGTGATAATTTAATACTAATGTCAGAACTATGATTTTCCACAGTGTACCTCTAGTTACAGTATTTTTCACAACAGGATTTCTTTTATTTTACTCTCATCCCCTGTCTGAGGACACTGAGAGGGAGAGGCTCCTTACTCGCTTGTGATAGATAGGAATGACTATAGGACGTTTTTCTTTCAAGAAGAGATGGGGTTGCCCAGGCCCAGCTTCCCAACAATGACTTTTAGGCCCTGTCAGCTTCAGGAGCAAAGAGTGACCATGTGAATTTCTCAAGCATTTAGTGGAATTCAGAGCCGCAAAAGGGCTAGCTATTTTCAGACCCGTTGGTTGGGTAAAATGGAAACTGACTTCACCAAAGCAGGTTATAGGATTCTGTAGGATACCGCACCACTTACTAAACTCCTGACATTGGTAATAGGCCAGAGCTTCCTTTGGGAAAGAAAATGTCTAAGCTGACAACTGAAGGGTGATGTCAGGGACTGGTATGTGACCCAGAATCCCTTTTCTGCAGGCAAAGTGCGTTGTTTTAAAGGGGGTAACATTTCTCAGGCTCTCAATGATCTGATGCAATGAGGGGTGAGAACAGCAATAAAAACCTTCTAAATGACTTTTGTAAAATTTCATTTTAATTATAATTCCAACCTTCATTTCCCCGTTGCCCCCAACCCCACCTTTTTGTAAAGCAGAGTTTTGCTTACAAACTGTAAATTTTAAATTGTCAGATATTTTACTTCCTTTCTTTTGGGTGGATACTTGAGTGCCATAGAGGCCCATTTCAGTATGTTGGTATTGGCCTGGGCATGTTGGCTCACATCTGTAATCCCAGCACTTTGGGAGGCTGAGGCAGGAGGATTGTTTGAGCCCGGGAATTTGAGAACTGACCAGGGCAACATAGTGAGACCCTGTCTCTGCCACGAGGTGTAGAGACCTTGGGAACTGTGGTCCCAGCTGCTGGGGAGCTGAGGCAGGAAGATTGCTTGAGCACTCCAGCCTGGGTGACAGAGCAAGACCCTGTTTCAAAAAAAAAAAGTTGGTATCACTGCTTTTCTTTCCTATGACTCTTTTAACCTATCCAGAGGGAAACTTTTCCTGCCCCATTTCCACTGCAATTTTTTTATAGCTCTTTTTTCTGAAAAGTGTCACTTTTAACCTTATTCTGCAAATTTTTTTATTCGTTCAACAAGTACATATTTATGTAAATGTCTCCTTCATCTCCAAGGACAGAGGTTTCCTTGAGGGCAGAATCTGTGTCTATTACATCTTTTATGCTTCATAGCACTTTCTCTTAATTTGATACTAAAAAGAAGTCCTTGCTAAGTGAGAGTGGGAGCTGAAAGAGAGGGTAGAATTCACCCAGAACACCCCCTCCGCCTCCCCCTCCACACACAAACACACACACACACACACACACACACACACACTTTAAATCTGGTAGTTTGATGATGATAGCCAGTAACTGATTGACTCTGGGAAAACAGTCCAGCAGATTTGTTTGAATTTGGTGTTGGTTACCTGCTTGCTTTATGGGGCTGATACACAGAGTACTGATGGGCTAGACTAAAATTCTGAACCAGTGTGCCGAGAATGAGCTACTTGTTAGCTTCAAGATGCTGATCCCCTCAGCCCTAGGGTAAGATAGCAAAGTGGGGCCTGAGACTTCCTGGGCACCTGTCTTCTCATATCCAGCTAGTAACTTCTAGCCCCAAACAGCTTCATCCGCTTACCCCAGTGTGTCAGACAAATGCATTAATTTGCAGGTGTGTCACGATATGAACAAGCTGAAGCACCAGGCCAAGTGGCAGCACTAGCCCAGTAACTATCTATAGGCTAGAAATACATTCATTGATTTTTTTTTTCCTTTTGAGGCACGAATTCACCATTCTTTTTATTTTATTTTATTTTATTTTATTTTATTTTATTTTATTTTAGATGGGTTCTCACTCCGTTGCCCAGGCTGGAGTGCAGTGCCATGATCACAGCTCACTGCAGCTTCAACCTCCCTGGACTCGGGTGATCCTCCCACCTCAGCTTCCTGAGTAGCTGTGACTACAGGTGCATGCCACCACACCAGGCTAATTTGTTTTGTATTTTTTATAGAGATGGAGTTTTGCCATGTTGCCCAGGCTGGTCTCAAACTCCTGAGCTCAAGTGATCCACCCGCCTCAGCCTCTCAAGTGCTGGGGTTACAGGCGTGAGCCATTGTGCCCAGCCTAACCAATTCACTAATTTTTGTTTGTTTGTTTGTTTGTTTGTTTGAGATGGAGTCTTGCTCTGTCTCCCAGGCTGGAGTGCAGCGGCGCGATCTCGGCTCACTGCAAGCTCCGCCTCCTGGGTTCACACCATTCTCCTGCCTCAGCCTCCTGAGTAGCTGGGACTACAGGCGCCCACCACCACGCCCGGCTAATTTTTTTTTTTTTTTTGTATTTTTTTAGTAGAGACGGGGTTTCACCTTGTTAGCCAGGATGGTCTTGATCTCCTGACCTCGTGATCCGCCCGCCTTGGCCTTCCAAAGTGCTGGGATTACGGGTGTGAGCCACTACGCCCACCCAATTCACTAATTTTTATATCTACCACTCAAACACCAGTGGAGATGTTGATTAAATAGAATCAAGGAAAAATAGTGTTAGCGAGGACCTCAAGAGATTATCTTGGTTATCTTCAGATAGACGGGAGTTAATATCTTAAGGGGAAAATGTCAGTATCATTGGTTTTATTACACATGATGGAACAGTGTGGTGACAGGATCTCAAAAGGTCGTCCTCATCTTCTTAAACCCAAATACTGATCATGTTACGAGACATCTGCTAAAAGGATTTGCTGTAAAAATTAGTAAGAGAGTCTTACAACTGAATAAAAGGTCGAGAATCTACCAGGGTTTTCTAAGGCAGATGTGGGATTTGATTATGGATAAGTCAGTTGTTTCTACATGAAGCAGTTTTTATTTATATTTGTCTATTACTTTTTCTCCCTGTTCCCATCCCCGGCTTTTAGAGCTTGATGTGTTGGGTAAAATTAAGTGGGAATGCTTTGCCTTTATTGTCAGTCATCAACCTTTGGTCTGGAAAAATTCCTTAAGAAAGGCTGGCATTAGGTTTTGAATAACAAGCGAGGAGACAAAAACTTTGTATTGAAGAAAGTTGTTGAAACCTGTTATGCTGATTTGTGTCCCCATCAAAGAGTTTGTCTGAAATTGTGGGAACCCATGTTCCGACAAGGAAAGAGACAAGGAAAATCACAGTGTAGTAATGGAAGACTTGGCCTAAATATTCTAATTTTATATGAAAACTGAACCCCAGAATATGATTTATGAGAAGTATCCAAACAAATATAAACATATCAAGAAAATTATAGAATCAGTGTTTCCCTTGACATCGAATGAGATAAATCTGAATAAGAATTTCAAATATCCAGATAACTAGGAAAAATAGCCCTGTGAAATTTTAAAACCAAATTTGTAAATAGAAGCAGAATATTTTATTTTATTTTTAAATTGCAAACATAACAAATGCTTAGTGGAATAAAACAAAACTTCAAGAAATTCAGAAATGTGAAAGTGCTCCCCCCCGCTTTTTTTTAACCCCAACCCATGCCATAGAAGTAATTACTATTGGCAGAGAATTTGCACATCTTAACTAAACATATTCAAGGTAAAATATAGAAATAGGCATTTTTAAAGTTTTATTTTAATTGACACATAATTCTACATTTTTCTGGGGTAAAGTGTGATTTTGATACATAAACACATTGTGTAATGATCAATCAGGGTAATTAGCATATCCATCACCTCAAAGATTCATCATTTCTTTCTGGTGAGAACATTCAAAATCCCTTCTTCTAGCTATTTTGAAGTATACAATATATTACTGTTGACTGTAGTCACCCTGTTATGTAATAGAACACCAGAACTTATTCTTGCTATCTAACTGTAACTTTGTACCTGTTGACCAACCTCTCCCCATCCTTCCCTCCTGCCTTCTACTCCCCAGCCTCTGTTAACCACTGTTCTGTTCTCTACTTCTGTAAGATCAGCTTTTTCAGATTCCCCACATACAAATGAGATCATGCGGTATTTGTCCTTTTGTGCTTGGCTTATTTCACTTTACATGATGTCCTCTAGGATCATTCATATTGTCACAAATGACAGGATTTCGTTTTGTTTTTATGCTGAATAGTATACCATTGTGTACGTATATACCACATTTTCTTTATTCATTCATCTGTTAATGGAAACTTGGGTTGATTTCATATCTTGGCTGTTGTGAATAGTGCAATAAACATGGGAGTGCACATACCTCTTCAGCATATGGAAGAAATAGCTATCTATTTCTAAATCAGTTTAAATAGCAAAAATGTACATTGTTTACCTGTTCACAACTGTCTCAGATTCAAAATGTTTGCTAGTTTTGAGATCATAATATTTAGTCTTTTCTTCATTATATGACAAAATGTGGAAGAGAAAAGCTAAGTTACTACAACCAGCTTATTAAGTCAGAAACCTAAAATCAGAATACTCATGCTTTACCAGATGGTTTGCCCTACAAATAAGGAATGAATGAGAACATAACCTTATTTTAAAAATTGTTTTTAAAGTAGATATTGTGTCCATTCCCGCCTCCTCTATTAAAAGGGAAGAAGAAATTATCCTGAGATTCAGTAACTGGGACTTCTTTACATCCACTCGGTCCCGAGATAAAGGAATTGATGCAGCGTGGTGACAGGAATCTTGAGGCTTTGTTGGTGTGGATCTGGAGTCTGTCTGGTACCCGTGGATTTGCTGGAGTACCATGGGGTGTGATGAAAACGTGTAGTGTTCAAAATACTTTGATACACACATCTCTAATTTTTATACTAATCCTAGATTCTGGATGTTTATTTTCATGTATCTTTCTTTAATTGTTCTATTTTGACCATGATTTATGAACCTAAAGGCAAGACTTTTCACAATCCTAGAATGGTGAACAAGAAGGAGATATTTCTTCAGATTGGCTTTGCGGGGGCTATGGAATATTAGGGTCATGTGGTTTTTAGCCTAATTATGAGGTGGAGATGAGGTCATTCATTCAGCTTTATTTGTTTATATTGTTGATGCCTCTCCTTCACATGCCAATTTGATTTTAAAGGATTTACTACTCCACGGCTTCTTTCTCCTGTGCCCAAGTCCTTTTCTGATGTTGCTTGGCTACATTTGCCAAAAGGGCTCCGTGTAATTTATCACTGGCCAAATAACCTGAGCAAGGTCACCCGTCTGATGAGCCACTGAGAAAGGATGGCATTCTCCAGGTGTCAAGTCTATGCAGGATTTCTTGTGTTTAGTTTTCAGAAAGTGCTTGATCACAATTCAGAGAAATTGGAGTTGGATCGGATTTCTGAAGTCATGCATTCCAACCTCCCACATGCGGCAAAAGTTTCTTTTGTGTTCCTGACAGTCCTCTAGCTTTTGTTGGAACCAGACCCAGCAAATATATTCATCTGTATTCCAACAAACAGTTCTGATTGAGGCCAAAAATTTTTGTGACATGCAAGAAGAGAGTGCAAATGAAATGGGTAACATTGAATAACTACCATTTCTTCAACACTGGACACGTGGTCTTCATAACAATCTGGGAGGTGGGTTTTATAATCCCATTTGACATACGAAGAAACTAAGGCACAGAGTGGCTAAATAACTTGCCCCAGGTGACCTAGTTAAAAATGATTGGAGCTGAGACTCACACCAAGGCGAATTCAATTCTAGAACCAACCCTCTTTTTCACTACATCTGCTACCATCTTCCAACTTGAAACAGGGAAATAGCTGTGGGCCTGACTGCCTTTCTTCCATTCTTTAATTTTCCTTGAAGTTACTCATCAGCCATAGTTGTGAAATGTTAAAAGGAGTTCTGGAGTGAATTCAGTTATGTTCTTGTAGGGGCCTTAACAACTTGGGAAGAGCTTGGAAGATTGACAGAAGGTTTTCCTGAGGAATCAATTCAGAAGAATTCTGTTCTAGCTATTTGGCCTCCCTGAACTTCCATTTACTTAATTTGTAAAACGGAGATAATTATACCTGCTTTTCAGGATTGCTGTGATTGAATGAGAAAACCTGTAAAGACCCTTAAAGTGTAGGACACTCAGAAGGTGCTTAGGGGAAAAGATGGATTATTTTATCATTGTTGTTGTTACTATTATTATTAATAATTATTAGGAGAGTGTCTTAGTTTGGGCTGCTACAACAAATTCCATAGACTGGGTGGCTTAGACAACTGAAATTTATTTCTCACAGTTCTGGAGGGTGTGAAGTCCAAGATCAGGGCAGCAGTACACTTTGTGTCTGTCGAGGGCCCACTTCCTGGTTTGTAGATGTCCATCTTCTCCTGATATCCTCACATGGTGGAAAGTAAAGGGAGAGAAAACAAGCTTTCTAATATCTTTTTATAAGGGCATTAATCCCATTCAAGAGGGCTCTGCCCTTGGGACCAAATTACCTCCCAAAGGCCCCACCTCTTAATACCATCATATTGGGTGTTAGGAGTTCAACACAGGAATTTGGGGAGACACAAACATTTAGTCCGTAGCAGAAAGTTTTCTTGAGGTTTGTTTTTAGAAAGCAAAACTAAATTTCATTATTCACTCTTCAAATATTTTACTGTTACTTTGAGGCTTTGTAATAATTAGATCTATAGTAGACTCATAGATCTTTTCTTAAAGGATAGAAAAAGAAAACCTTCAAAGATAGACAGTATGTTATATTATATGGAAGCATTAGAGTTCTCCATCAAACTTGCTCCAACACCTTGGGAGAAGTTGAAGTTTCTGGCTGGAAATAGTTCTAGCAGATGGGTTGCATCTCCTTGTTGCTGCTCTTTGCTTAGTTTGCAGTGTTTCAAAAGATAATATATATTGTCATATAAAATAATTCCTAAAATAATGTATATACTAAGGGTCACAATTCAATTTGGTTAGAGATGGGAGTTTAAGGAGTGATTATTCATTTTTAAAATTTCCTCTCGGTTATTGTATTGCTATGGCTGACAAAAGGAAGGGAACACAGTGGAAGGAAGGGAACAGAATTTAGGCCCCAGGAGGCGGAAGGTCCAAAACCTAGACCCCAGAACCATGAAGAAAAGCCAAAACTGTTAAGTCTCTAAGAACAGTTTTCTATATTCAAACACTAACAGGAATTTTTAATGAAAATACAGCAATATCTGAATAAAATGCAGATATGTAAGTCTAGGAAAACAACTATAAAATTTATCCATTTCTTTGTAAGTTAGATTTCTTAACTGATTTCTCGAAATTTAACTCTTAAGTACAAGAGGTTGGATAAAACAGGAAAAATTGATCTATGTGCAGAAAAAGAAATTTAATTAAAATTTATGTTTTAATTTCCTCAACATTTTCCAGTTTGATTCAGATGATGGTACCAGGAAAATCAAACAATTGCAAGACCATTTTTGTAATTTCTTAACATACTAAAGAATTTGCCAAGATGTTGAAAGGAACTTTAAGAAAATACAAGTTAAGCATGTTAAGAACATTATGTATAGTATGATCCCATTTTTATTAAAATAACAAAAACAGAAGGTAGGAAAATGCGTGGTATAGAAATGAAAAGAGTGGCCAGGAGCGGTGGCTCACACCTGTAATCCTAGCACAGGCTGAGGCGGGTGGATCACTTGAGGTCAGGAGTTCGAGACCAGCTTAGCCAACATGGTGAAAGGCATCTCTACTAAAAATACAAACATTAACCAGGTTTGGTGGCACACACCTGTAATCCCAGCTACTCAGGAGGCTGAGGCAGGAGAATCGCTTGAACCCAGGAGGTGGAGGTTGCAGCAAGCCGAGATTGCACCACTGTATTCCAGCCTAGGCGACAGCAAGACTTCATCTTAAAAAAAAGAAATGAAAAAGTCTTAAATACTGTATGTGAAATTGGGGAAGAGGACTGAGAATTTCTACTTTCTGCATCTTAGTATTGCTTGAATTGCTTTTTATGTGTTTGTTTTACAATGAACACATATTGCTTTTTTTTAGAGGTATTTATTTTCTTCCAGTCAATTGGATCACTCATAAATTACTGCAGATAGGAATTTTTCTTGCTTGTTCTTTAAAAATAGATTTAATGCAGTTTTATAAATTTCTTTATTTCAGTGTTTCATAACTGTTTCTTTGATGATGCTTTTTTTTGATGATGCTTTTTAAACCCAGTTTTTTAGTAGAAAGCTTGCCATCATACACATGAATATGCATGTTTAATAATAATAGCTGCTCTTTATTTAAGCAATCACTATGTGCCAGACCATATTCTAAGCATTTGATATATATTAACCCATTTAACCGTTATAACAACACTCTGAGTAGTCCAGTTTACAAATGAAGAAATGAAGCATAGGAAGTTTAAGAAACTTTCCTCACGTACAGCCTGTATGCATATCGAATTCATATAAGAATGCTCCCTGCACTTGAATAACACTGTTATGTTCCTTCTCAATCTTCTCTTCTCAATGCAAAATGATCCCAGTTTCCATTTCTATTCTTTTGCTTAGGAATTATCAACATGAAGTTTATATGTTGGGGGGATACGTGGATGCATATTTCCTAATTTGTTCCCATAAAGGGCTTACAATCTAGTTAGAGAAATAGGACACGTAAATTTAACATCGATAAAGACATGGAGTGTTCTGTAATAGTACATGCCTAGGCTCTGATGAATAATGTGCATGGCAGGGCTGCCAAGATCAGGATAGATTTACTTTGTAGGAAAACAAGGTTCCCCGCGGATGATGAGTAGGCTCTGTTTAACACAGTGACCAGCAGACTTGCTCTGAAACCCAGCTCTCAATCCAATTTCACCAAGAAACATTAGAAGGCTATTTCTATGTACCCACTTTTCAAATATGACCCGATATTAACATTTTAATGGATACAAGTCTCGCTCTGTTGCCCAGGTTAGAGGGCAGTGGTGCAGCCAGGCGCGGTGGCTCACACCTGTAATCCCAGCACTTTGGGAGGCCGAGGTGGGCAGATCACTTGAGGTCAGGAGTTCGAGAACAGCCTGACCAACATGAAGAAACCCCGTCTCTACTAAAAATACAAAATTAGCTGGGCGTGTTGGCGCGTGCCTGTAATCCCGGCTATTTGGGAGGCTGAGGCAGGAGAATCACTTGAACCTAGGAGGCAGAGGTTGCAGTGAGCCAAGATTGTGCCGTTGCACTCCAGCCTGGGCAACAAGAGTGAAACTCCATCTCAAAAAAATAAAAAATAAAAAAGATTGCAGTGGTGCGATCTCGGCTCGCTGCAACCTCTGCCTCTTGGGCTCAAGCAATTCTCGTGCCTCAGCCTTTCGAGTAGCTGTGGTTACAGGTGCCTGCCACCATGTCCGGCTAATTTTTGTATTTTTAGTGGAGACAGGGTTTCACCATGTTGGCCAGGCTAGTTTCAAATTCCTGACCTCAGGTGATCCTCCTGCCTCGGCCTCCAAAGGGCTGGGATTACAGGCATGAGCCACCATGCCCAGTCTATTTTTTTTTTAAGACAGAGTCTCGCTGTCACCCAGGCTGGAGTGCAGTGGCACAATTTCAGCTCACTGCAACCTCTGCCTCCTGGGTTCAAGTGATTCTTGCACCTCACCCTCCTGAGTAGCTGTGATTACAAGCATGTGCTACCACCCCTGGCTAATTTTTGTATTTTTAGTAGAGCTGGGGTTTCACCATGTTGGCCAGGGTAGTCTTAAACTCCTGGCCTCAAGCGATCCACCTACCTTGGCCTCCCAAAGTGCTGGGATTACAGTCATGAGCCACTGCACCCATTGGCTTCTTTCTTTTTTGATAGAAAAATGCCAGAGATTTCAGAGTATTCATTATTAGTCCATGATTATTTTTGTTTTCAATGAAGAAAAAAGAAAAGAAAAAAAATCATAACTTTTTTTCCCCCGGCTGGCCTTAAGGATTTTAAAAGTTTGCTCCCATATGTATTATGGAAAGCAAGGAAAAATATAGTGTGGAAGCTAAGCTAAATAAAGGTCAGTGAGTAAACTTTCGATATGAGCAGAGCTTTTTAGAGCAGGGATTAGCAAACTTTTTCTGTATGTGGTGAGAGTAAAATCGAGGCTCCGTGGGCCACATACGGTCTCTGCTGCAGCAATTCAACACTGCTGTTGTAGTATGAAAGCAGCCATAGATGATGTAGAAAGGAACATGCATGGCTTTGTTCCAGTAAAACTTTATTTACAAAAGCAGTCAGCAGGCCATAGTTTGCCAGCCTCCTCTGGAAAGAACAGTTAGAGAGAAAGGTAGTGCCTTGAATGCCAGTCTAAGAAACGTATATTTTATTTCCTCAATGACAGAGGATTTTAAAAAATCACTTTTATCACCCTGGAGAACCCAGTTTATGTGTGTAATATGCCCTCTTTTGTCATCAGATTTCATCTAACTTACTATTAAAAGTTGCCAAGAAAGCTAAGCTGTGGCCTCAAGCAGATGGCTGAAAAAATAACGCAGTAAGATTTGCTTTCCAATGCCTTAAGAGTTTGCATTTGTGTACTTTGAGTCAGTTGGGCTAAGAGGGAAATAGCAGTTTGTTCTTCGTACTCTGATAGATGGGATGATGGGCTCCATGGGTAAGGGAGGTTAGGACAAGCCACTGAATACAGTTGGGGGAAATGTCTGCAAGTCCATATTATTTTTTGTCTGATTTGCAAGACCTGTTTCTTGTAGATTTGATCATAACCCTGAGAAATATTGGCAGACTAGTCTGTCAGGGAGTAATATTCTACCCAAACTCACACAGGAACATTTTGAATGCTGCTGAGAGTCCAAAGTCAATAGGGTTGCCAGGATGAGCAAATAAAAATCTAGTTAAATCCAGGACACCCAGTTAAATTGGAATTTGCTCAACAAAAAAAGTAAGTATAATTATATCCCATTCACTATTTGGGACATTCATAAACTAAAAAATTATTTGTTGTTTATCTGAAATTCAAACTTAGCTGGGAATCCTGTATTATACCTGGCAATCCTAAAAATGAAGATAAATGAATAGTTTCTTGCACTACATAAATTACATCATTATGTCACTTGATTAGTACCCTTCACCAATGATTTTTTTTTTAATTGTGGGAGTCTAATGACAGTTGAATCTCATTACTTCCAACCTCACTGTTTTAGAATTTTGATTATTTATGCAAGAGCTATGCTAAAGTGCACTTTATTCTCTTCATGAATTTAGGAAGCCTATTTGTCATTGATAGTACAAATAAAACTGAAAGAAAACTATTTATCTCCTTGGGATACTACAAATAGTATAATTACCTTTTAACCAGAAGCTATCATTATTTAGAATCTGCTTTTCATTTAATAATTATAGATCATTCACAGTTGTTCATTGAAATAAGTCAAGACTTTACCAGACAGAGTCAGGTGCAGCCACCTAAGTCCTGATGGCCCGCTTTGCGTCCCATCTGCTCCAGTTCACAGTGTGTCTTGCCAGTCTCTCCTATACCATTGTGTTTGTTTTGTTCCTTATCCGCTCTAGAGCCTCACACAATGCTTGCTACTGAGAAGGCACACTGTAAATGTTGACTAGTTGTGGCTGGGAGGCCGAGTTGGGTGGATCCCTTGAGCCCAGGAGTTCGAGACCAGCATACGTAACATGACAAAACCTCATCTCTACAAAAAAAAACAAAAATTAACCCGGTGTGGTGACACATACCTGTGGTCCCAGCTACTTGGGAGGCTGAGGTGGGAGGATGGCTTGAGCCCCAGGAGGTCGAGGCTGCAGTGAGCCATGATCATGCCACTGCACTCCAGCCTGGGCAATAGAGCAAGATCCTCTCTCGAAAAAAAAAATTACTAGTTGAATTAATGAATAAATACTCTCTGCCTATGTTAAAATAATCAAGCTGTCTTTGTTTCAAAATTTTCTTACATTTTAAATTTTAAAAATAATTTGAGTTGGTCTTTCCCTATTCCAAATTTTAGTACTTAAAGGGAATTTTGGGTGTTTCATTGCATAGGGCCTTTCAGAGGATAACAATGAAAACATGTTCCTGAACTTGCAAATATATATTACAAGGAGAGAGATGGAGAAGTGCTGGTAAAATCACGTGAGCATCCCTGTGAGCTTTCTTCTGGTATAGGACCGTGGGTCTCAAACTATCAGGATGCTAATGATATCAGCAGGGTGGAGCATTCAGTCTTCCTTACTTGCCCCTACTGGCCATGATCATGGATGTATGTATATACATAGATATACATACATACATACATACATACATAGATATATAGATATACTTAAATAAATCCCCATATGTCTTCCAAGGAGATGGAAGGGATTTCATTTGACTGGATACCAATTACGGCTATTAATGATAAATAATACATTAGTGACTTGAAACAAATGTGTAGACATTCACACACTTTAAGCCACATTTCTATCATTAGAGATTACTATATACAAGCCATCTGAAAGACCCTTGAGAACTACCAGTGAATTCTGGAGCACTCTTGAGGGAAATTAGACATGAATGGTTTGCTTGTGGAACAGGTAACACCAGAATTTCTATTGCCTGAAAACATACTCAAGTGAACTTGTTCTCAGTTTCCATCAGTAGCTTTTTTCTTCTCTATTTTCTCCAGCAGAGTAAAAGGATTCCCAGGAACCATGAGATTGGGTATTAAATCTCCGTCTTTCTTCTCAGTCTTACCCACGTCCATGAAGCACCTTTTCCTAGCAGTCGATGATAATTTAGGAGGCTGCGCTGAATCCATGTCAGGGCTGACACAGCTGGGCATGCAGTTCCTTGGATATGATCCTTTCTTCTAAGAGAGTCAAGTCATGGTCTGACTATTCCTTTTTGTTTTTCCTTTCCTCACAGCACCCTGGAGGGGTATTATGTGGATGATGCCTTGCAGGGCCAGGGAGTTTACACTTACGAAGATGGGGGAGTTCTCCAGGGCACGTATGTAGACGGAGAGCTGAACGGTCCAGCCCAGGAATATGACACAGATGGGAGACTGATCTTCAAGGGGCAGTATAAAGATAACATTCGTCATGGAGTGTGCTGGATATATTACCCAGTAAGCCGTGTGACTGTTCACTCTGCTGGAAAGTAACATACTGTGACTCTTCACAATGAAGAGTAAAATGTATTCTGTGTTAGAACTTGGGAGCTGTGAAACCTGAGAGTCACCACAGCTGACACCAAGAGTTTATGAGGCATGCCCTCTCACTGTTACTCACTATTGGCTTAGATTGTTGGCCCTTGAATCCGTTATTAATTATTTTTCAGCGTTGTTTTGGAAAGGAGTAATTAATCATGATTAAAACAAATTGAGACAAATTGGTTTTATTGTATCACTAATAAAGGCAAAATATATTGCTTTTAATTCTTTTGGCACATAGAGGGAGATAGTGGAAATTTTCATTGTTGCTATTAGTTTTATTTCCTGTTTCTCATATGTAAAAACCAGTCCAGCAATTTTTAATTTGGGAGAGCTTACTGCACTGTTGTTACTTGATTCTACAATTCCACTAACTGCTTTTTAAGGTATTTTATGGTTTATATTGTTTAAATTAAGGTGATTAAAATTAACTTACCTTTGAGTATTTGATAGCATTTTATGATATTTCTGGAGTCTATTAAAGTAAAAAGATATGGCAGAACCCATGGTTGGAAATTAATGCTCTAATTTTTGTTTGCATTTCAAATGTCCCATCTGTTGTTACTGAATTTCCAGAAAATGTTACAGAAAATACACCTTAGAAAACACTTTATCTTTATTTTATTTTATTTTTTATTTATTGAGACAGGGTCTTGTTCTGTTGCCCAGGCTGGAGTGCAGTGGCACGATCTTGGCTCACTACAACCTCCATCTCCCAGACTCAAGCCATCTTCCCACCTCAGCCTCCTTAGTAGCTGGGATTACAGGCCTATGTCATCACATCTGGCTAATATTTTTGTGTTTTCTTTTTTGAGACAGGGTTTCTCTAAAACCTAGTCTCGAACTCCTGGGCTCAAGCAATCCACCTGCCTTGGCCTCCTGAAATGCTGAAATTACAGGCATGAGCCATTGCACCTGGCTAGAAAATATTTTGCTTAATACTTTATTTTGTTCATAACTTAAGTCAAAATACTCTTTTTTTGTTTTGAGACAGAGTCTTGCTCTGTTGCCCAGGATGAGGTGCAGTGGTGCCATGTCGGCTTACTGCAACCTCTGCCTCGTGGGTTCAAGTGATTCTTCTGCCTCAGCCTCCCAAGTAGCTGGGATTGCAGGCACAGGCCACTACGCCCGGCTAATTTTTTTGTATTTTTAGTAAAATGGGGTTTCACCATGTTGACCAGGCACTGGTCTCAAACTCCCGACCTCAGATGATTTCCTTGCCTCGGCCTCCCAAAGTGCTGGGATTACAGGTGCGAGCCACCACACCAAGCTGAAAATATATTTTTACTCTGAAACCTTATGATTAAAAAGTGCTAATAAAAAGAAATGATCAGTTACATATATAACAAGAAAAGTAACCCCAGCTAAATCCACTTACACATCATTGTTCTTAAAAAATAAGTTATAATCTAGGAATAGGGCATAAGAAAAGAATGTTGTAAAACATTTTCTAAGAATTGCTAAAGCATTTAAATATCCTCTTGGTAGGATCCGTGATAGATCAAAAGTTGTAACACGTACTGCTTAGGAGAAGAGAAGCAGAAAGATCAGAAGCGGTGGAGGTGCTGCCCAGGGTAGGAGGACCGAAACCTGGCCTCGTGAGTAGCCAGGGTGGGCATCTTGCTGCCCAGTGCTGGGGCGCTGCTGATGTGACAGTGCATCTTGAAGTCAGGGGAAGTGGAACTCTCTACATAGAGATGAGTATAGGAAGCAGGCAAAGTGTTGGATTACTAGATTCTCCTACTACCTGTCATTTTACTTGTGACATAGTCAATGAAAGTCCCTAGATGGGATCAAAGATGCGCCAAGATTGGTGAATGGATTGGCGTCGCTCAACATGGTTGCATTTTGAAAACCAAAAATATAGCTACATTTTAACCTTTAGCCTTGATTATCATATTAAATCTCAAAGAAGACTCTGCCTTAGGAAGGAGCATTGGTGAGCAGAAAAGCAGCCTTTGTCCTCTTAACCCCTACCCAGTAGAGAAATGGGTGTCAGTAGGTGTCAGACCCTGGCTGCTCACCAGTCAAATTAATGATTTCTCCCCCCACGAGGAGGAGCCAGTGAGCAGAGGAGAGAAAGCAGCCGTTTCTTTCCCCACACTCCCTGACGCCTGATACAGCAGAGGAGGAAATTTCTGTAATGGGCCATAGCAGGAACAAGGGGAGAAAAAAGTGATGATTTTCCCTACAGTCCACACTTGTAAGCTCACCCTAAGGACAGTGTATTTCTTTCAAAAATTTACCTCGAAAAAGTTTTTCATATAAGGTTTTTAATTAAAAATATATAACTCCTTTTGGAAATGAAAGAAGAATTTCTACTTTATCATTCTGGACAAATAAATTCACTCCCTCTGAAACCAGAAATTTAAACATTTAAGGGGAAAGGTGTGAGACCCTGGAAAGACAGACTTCTGTTTTAAATAAATAGTAATATTATCTTATGTTAGTCATGGATTATAAGAAGCACAAATGCTCTTATACCCTTCCATTCAATAATCATCACTAAAAGCCTGAAAGCAGATCTTGCAGGAAGTATCATCTCCATTTATGCTCAATTATTAAGAATTAACTTGAAGAGAAGAAAGAGCAATGACTATATCCCTAGTGCACTTTCTATCCATTAAAAATGCTTCTAAGTATTTTTCTTTCTATGTAAGTGCCATGATTCATTTTTAAATTTACATCCCTTTTCCTAGAAGGCAAAAAAAAAAAAAAAAAAAAGGCAGCATTTGGGATCACTCAAAAGTCATCCTACATCATTGGCTTTGAGTAGCTAGCTGTTCCTAGATCCTCAAGTTGGAGAAATTAACCAAGCTTTTAAAAGATGTCATGGCATTACTATTGTTAAATCAAACTCCCTAAGGTCTTAAATTTTCAAAGTTATACCATGAGGACCTTCTGGATGGAAAAAAAAAAGAAAGAAAGAAAGAAACATCTCTGGCACCCTAGCTTAAATTATTCATTACTTTTTGGTAACCCTGTTCAATTTAAAAAGCGTTTAAGAATCACCTACTGTGTCCCTACCACTTATCAAGGTATAGAATTATATGATAGCCTCTTCCCTAAAGTACTCAATGACCCCTAGCAATGAAGTAAATGGAAGAGTTAAGCATGAAGCTAAGTGCGCTGCTCTGCTAAAAGGAGGCAAGAGGGAGCAGGAAATAGAGTGGAAAGAAAGAATTGAGATGGGAGTGAAATTTAGTTGATCTTTTTTCACTTTTCCTTCTAATTCTAAAAAAGGTGATGGTATAGGAGTCTCAGAAAGGCAGTGTCCAGACATCCTTTTGTTTGCCTCTGAAAAAGTGCAGATAACTCTCTTTACTTGTGTACACTAAATTAATTCTTAAGTACATTTGAACTGAATATTTTCCTAACACACTAGAAATCCAAAATTTAATATTGAGAAGGGAGATCTTATGAATAGTGGGTAGGAGTGTCTTGCTAAAGATCGTCATCATATTTGATTTTGGCCAAAAATAACACTTAGTTACATTTCCTTTAAATATTGGTAATTGATGTTACAAATATCAAAGAAACATCATTTATTTCTTAGTAAACCAACATAGAGTATCAGTAACTTGTCCCGGATTACAAACTGCAACGGAATTTCCCACTCTCTAAATCAGGCATACATGCCCCAAATGCGTATGACTTTCTAGCAGTATATTTGTATGGAGCTGGATGAGGAGCTATGCATCATGTTTTTCTTACCCAGGTGAAAAGCTCTGGGTTCCTAAACTGTTATTATCCCTACTGGTGCTATATTAATAATGGGACTGCAGAAGAGAAATTTCTTGGGACTCATGTCCTAGACATACTATATATAATATTTTCTGGTTTTTGGTTTCTCCCATCAGGATGGAGGAAGCCTTGTAGGAGAAGTAAATGAAGATGGGGAGATGACTGGAGAGAAGATAGCCTATGTGTACCCTGATGAGAGGACCGCACTTTATGGGAAATTTATTGATGGAGAGATGATAGAAGGCAAACTGGCTACCCTTATGTCCACTGAAGAAGGGAGGCCTCACTTTGAACTGATGCCTGGAAGTAAGTTGAATCTGCTTCAGATGGGTTGCTCCAATTCCAAAGCAGGTTGTTAGGGCTGATTTGAGACAAGCTTCTTTTCTTTTCCTCTCTGTATAGTTCTCTTTAATCGTGTTTATTAGTCAGGTTTTATTGCATAACAGACACTGCACCTCCCCAGTGGTTTACAACAGCAACCACAGCTCTGCCGAGCAGCTGTACTCCAGCTGGCTGAGGCTGGGCTTAGGGGGCCAGGCCAGACTTGAGGCTTCTGGTCAGGTTTGAGTCAGCTCTCTTTGTCTTAATTCTGGGGCCTAATCTGAAGGGACAATGGCAATGTGGGGCAACATTTTCCCACAGTGGATCACAGAAGTGTCAGAGCATAAGCAGATACCTGTGATGCCTTTTGAAACCTCACCTTGGAACTGACATGGTGGCACTTTACTCACTTTTCACTGGTCAAAGCAAGTCACATGGCCAAGCCAGACATCAGTGAGACAGGGAAATTACACCATACACATTAGTGGGAGATACTGAAAAGTCATGTGACAAAGGGCCTAGGTATATAATTCTCATATAGGGAGGGAATAAAGAAATGACAGCAGTAATTCAACTGATTTCAAATGGTTATCTCTCCAAAAAACTGTACTATGATAATAAAGAACCAAATCAAGTAGATCTCTAAACTGTAAAGTTGATTGAGCCTGAGCTGTGACTGGAAAATATAAATGCATATTGGCATCTCGAGCCCAACATCTTGCGTGGAGCACAATGTATGAGTGAACCCAATGGAATCCATATTTGAAAAAAGTATTATTTTCCTTTTAGAAGTACACATGTCACACTAAACATTTTTTCTGAGTATAAAATTACTAAGTGTAGAAAATCTGGAAAATATACAAAGAAAAATCAAGATTTTGCATTTTGAGTGGCACAGCTTAAGAAAGCTATTTGAATTGGTCTGATTCCCTGAAAACAATATATGCATGTATTTCTGAGCCAGGTTTGGTTATAGGGAGAAAAAAACAGAAAAGACAATAAATCTGGGCATTAATAGGCTTAAATAGTATTTAGTTATTTGGGATCTGAAGAAGAATCTCCAAAGGAAGCTTGTCCAAAAGTGGAAATTTTAGCATTTATATTTAGGTCCAATTTGGGTTGCTTTAAATGTCTTTTTTGTTTTTTTAAGTTAAAAATGGAGACAGTCTAAATGCAATGTGGGATTCTGGATTGGATCCTGGAAGAGAAAAAGGACATTAGTGGAAAAACTGGTGAAATCTAAATAAAGTCTAGAGTTTTGTACATAGTAATGTATCTGTGTTGGTTTCTTAATTTTGACAAATGTACCATGCACTGTAAGAAGTTAACATTAGGAGAAACAGTGAGGATGCTCTGTGCTTTCTTTGCGACTTTTCTGTATACAGTCATGGGCCCATAACAACTGTGGTACCATAAGATTATGCCATATTTTTGTTTTTATTTCATTTTATTTTTTAAGGGACAGGATTTCACTCTGTTGCCCAGACTGGAGTGGACTGGTGTTATCATAGCCCACTGCAGCCTTGAGCTCCTGAGCTCAAGCAATCCTCCTGCCTCAGCCTCCCCAGTAGCTAAGACTACAGGCATGCACCACAATGCCCAGCTAAATATTTTTAAATTTTTTTGTAGAAACAGGGTCTTGCTGTATTGCTCAGGCTGGTCTCAAACTCCTGGCCTCAAGCAATCTTCCTGCCTCGGACTCTCATAGTGCTGGGATTACAGACATAAACTACTGCACCCAGCTAAGATTATATCATATTTTTACTGCATCTTTTCTGTGTATAGATATGTTTAGATACACAAATCCTTCCCATTAGGTTACTGTTGTCTATGGTATTCCCTATAGTAACAAGCTGTACAGGTTTGGAGCCTAGGGGCAATAGGCTGTACCATTTATTAATAGCCTAGGTGTGTAGTTGGCTATACCATCTAGGTTTGTGTGAGTACACTCTCTGATGTTTGCATAATGACCAACTCACCTCATGACACATTTCTCAAAATGTATCCCCTTCATTAAGTGATGCATGTCGTATATTTGAAATTACTCCAAAATGAAAAGTTTATTTTTTTAAAAAAAGGAAGCAGTAATCTTTGAACTACAAACTGTGATATCTATGCCCTTGATCTATGTTCTGAAAGGAGACAGTGTTATAATATTTAGAAATGAGGAGGCTCGAAACAAGGGAGGATCCCAATTGGTGATGCCAGTTTTAAAACTTCAGAAGTAGCAGCATTTTTAGTGGCAGGTGCCTAAACTTAAGAATCACCTAATTTGAGACCTAGCTCTAACATTTACTATATTATCCTTGGGCAAGTTATTTATTTTTTCAGAACCTGTTTCCTCATTACCAAATGTGGATATTAGCACCTACCATAAAACACTGTAATGAAAGTTGTTATTACATTCTTCTTGCTATAAATAAGAAACAGTAGGCCAGGGCTGGTGGCTCACAGCTGTAATCCTAGCACTTTGGGAGGCTAAGCCAGGTGGATCACTTGAGCCCAGAAGTTCAAGATCAGCCTAGGCAGCATGGTAAGATCCTGTCTCTCCTAAAAAATACAAAAAAAAAAAAAAAAAATTAGCTGGGCATAGTGGCATGTGTCTGTAATCTCAGCTACTTGGGAGACTGAGGTGGGAGGATCACGTGAGCTCAGGAAGTCAGGGCTGCAGTGAGCTGAGTGCACTGCACTCCAGTCTGGGCGACAGGAGTGAGACCCTGTCTTTAAAAAAAAAAAAAAAATTGTTGAGAGTGAGAATTCTAAAGGGAATTATTATTTTTTTAGAATTTCTGGTTGCTTTAGCTGGGTGTGGTAGAGTGTGCCTACAGTCCCAGCTACTCAGGAGGCTGAGGCACAAGAACCGCTTGAACCTGGGAAGTGGAGGTTGCAGTGAGCCAAGATAGCACCACTGCATTCCAGCCTGGGTGACACAGAGACTCTGTCTCAAAACAAACAAACAAACAAACAAAAACAAACAACAACAACAAAAACCTTCTGGTTGCAAATAAACATTCACTTCAAATTAACTTAACGCAGAAAAGAAAGGGGGGATTTATTGGCAAGATTCCTGCAGACCTCAGGTGTTTTGAAATGTTGAATAGTTTGAGCCTCAAAAGGGCCAGGAACCATGGCTGCTCTGGCACTCTGAAGATCCTATAGACCGATCTTTAGTCTAATGTTCTGCCATGTTTGTATCTCTCCTCTGCCCCTTCCAGTTATAATTATTGACCTGCTGACTGGCCAGTGGGTTAGGGGGTACAGGGTCCTGTGACTGTAGCGTCCAATGGTTGGGGAAGGAGAGAAATTAATGCAAATATCTCACATAAAACACTCCTTGACCTGTCGCCTCACCAGCTTCTCCATTTCTCTGTGTGCTTTTGTAACCACAAACTACTTCTAATTCTCTACTTACTTCCTGTGGAGTTTCTCACCTATGCCACTGCTTCTCACCTGATCAGCCCTACTCCACATAGTAACTGCTTTCCTTGGCTAATTCCTACTCCATCTTTAAGGCTTAACTCACTTTTTATAATGAATGTTTGTCCATTGAATAAATGAATTCTAGTCAAAGGGCATAGCATACTATAGAGGAAAGGAGGGAAAGTAAAGGATGTGTAAAATCTGTAAAAGTAAAGGATGTGCCTGCAGCCTGGGCATGTCTAAGGCAGCAGAAGAAGAGACAGTAGGCATTGGAAGAGATAGTGTGCACTCCCTGAAAGCAGCAACAGAAGTTAATCCTTATTGTATCTACACAGTCCCTAGTGTTGTACATGTAGCTGGCACTCAGTAAATTTGTCATAAAAATTTTAGTCTAAGGAGCTAGATGGAATTCATAGGAAAATTTCCACTCAATAGAACATACATTCCACACACAATTTTGGTTATTTATAAAAAGTGACGGCTGGGCACAGCAGCTCACGCCTGTAATACCCGCACTTTGGGAGGCTGAGCCAGGTGGATCACTAGAGGTCAGGAGTTCAAGACCAGCCTGGCCAACAGGGCGAAACCCCATCTCTACTGAAAATACAAAAATTAGCCAGGCATGGTGACAGGCACCTGTAATCCCAGCTGCTTGGGAGGCTGAGGCAGGAGAATCGCTTGAACCCGGGAGGCAGAGGTTGCAGTGAGCTGAGATCACGCCATTGCTCTCCAGCCTGAGTGACAGAGCAAGACTGTCTCAAAAGAAAAAAAAAGTGGGGGAGGGTGGTTTAAATGCTTTTCGTGGATTGCTTGGTGGTCTGTTACCACTTTGCTCTCAGATCCAATCCATTCATCATTCTTTCACTGCCCGCTATTATTGCAAGAGGCTGCTGCCCCTTGCAGCCTGCATTTTTCAGGCTCCTGTGTGTCTGACTTCTGTCTGAGTTTGGCCAAAGGGAGGCCACTGGCTGGCTGGGGACAAAGCAGGAGAAGGCAGCAGGAAGAAGCCCTCTCTGTGTCAACCAGCATCTCCAGCAGTGGCCCCATCACCTCCTGATTCCATCTCCCATGAGGAAGGCCCAGGCTAGTTCCAACTACCCCAGCTCCAGAGCTCCAGGAGCAGCACTGTGCCCTCTGTCCCTCCGGCCTCCAGTGGCAGCTTCCTGCTCTTGCCAGTGTCTGGGCTCTTCACGGCTCCATCTGGCTTGTCAGCATTCCATCCCCTGTATGACCAATTCCCTGAACTGAATTCTTTTTGAAACACTCAAATGGTCCGTTTCTGTGCGGACACTGACTGATTTGGATTGGTTTCTGACTTTTAGTTTCAGGTATTCATTGGGGTTTTGGTTGTACAAAAAAAGCCACTCACAAACAAACAGAAAGAGGACCTAGTAACCATTAGTAACTACTGAAGAATTGCTTAATGGGATTATGAGTTTTCCCTCAGTGTATATAATCATTTGTTTTGCAGGAGTAAGCCCTCTGATTCTAAATCTTGTTTCTTTACCTATCAGTCTTCAGAGCATCTATCTTTAGTGCTGTCTGTGAGGATTCTCTAAAGCTAATCCTTCACAGAGAGCCAGTGTTCCTTCTAGGGTGGTTGTGTGCCTTGATTTCTAGAGTAAATTACTAATTGGCTTCTGAACTACCGTAATAGAAAGGAGATTACTTTGTTAATGCTTTATCAAAAGCAGTGCTGTTCTCCTTAATTCTGGTGAGGCAGAATTTTATTCTTAGTGAAGGAGACAACTGCCAGTGTTCAGTTGTTGGATTCTGTAGACTGTATCTGTAATGAAGAAAACCACCAGAAAAATTTAAAACCATCATCCAATTTGATCTGAGCCAAGAGATCTCAGAATTTCATGACAAAGCATTTTATTGATTCCCAAGCATCCTTTAAGTCATTTTAATAAGGAAAATTCAAGAGTGAATTGGAATGTTAAGAGATGCATCTGATGGCTGTTCATGAAGGCCTGAAAATAAAACTGAAGCGTAAATCTAAAATGTATCCATTTAAATTGAAGAACTTCATTCTAGTTGGTATAACTTGATTAAGATTTTTGGTTTTTTAACTCTTCGTTGTCCCATGAATAGAGAGAAGTGTTATAAATGCTCTTCCCTAACTCTGCACCTATACTGGTATTTTTGTTTGCTTTTCAGATTCAGTGTACCACTTTGATAAGTCGACTTCATCTTGCATTTCTACCAATGCTCTTCTTCCAGATCCTTATGAATCAGAAAGGTAATTTCCTCCTTGGGGTTTTAATTGCACTGTTTATGTGAGGTTAAATAAGCCTAGTGGTAGGAACTTATGCACCTCTTTGGCTCTCTGCCCAGGCTGGGTTCCAGCTCAGACCAAGCTCCTCATGAAAGTGTCCTTTTCCTTTGCCAACCCTCAAATAAATATTTCTATATTCTGAGGAAGAGTGTTTTTATTCTTATGTAGAATCTGACCCTGTAAGAGAGTTTCCTCACCCATAAATCACAGAACAGCTTGTGTGTCTGTCCTAGAGTAAAACCTCCAGGTAGAAAGAGCAGTTGAGGCCAGGCATGGTGGCTCATGCCTGCAGTCC
Organism: Homo sapiens; assembly: GCF_000001405.40. Lineage (NCBI taxonomy): Eukaryota > Metazoa > Chordata > Mammalia > Primates > Hominidae > Homo > Homo sapiens. The sequence continues at coordinate 139,523,022 of NC_000004.12, read as the reverse complement.
CAGCATTTTGGGAGGCCAAGGCGGGCGGATCACTTGAGGTCAGGAGTTCAAGACCAGCCTGGCCAACATGGTGAAACCCCATCTCTACTAAAAATACAAAAATTAGCTGGGTGTCATGGCGTATACCTGTAATCCCAGCTACTCGGGAGGCTGAGGCACAAGAATTGCTTCAACCTGGGAGGCAGAGGTTACAGTGAGCCGAGATCATGCCACTGCACTCCAGCCTGAGCAACAGAGCAAGACTCCATCTAAAAAGAAAAAAAAAAAAAAAAAAAAAAAAAGAGCAGCTGGGCCAGGCAGCCAGCTGTGTCCTGGCCGAGCATTCCCGTTCTTAGGGTCTGTGCTGCAGTCACATGCTGGCCCTCTAGGGGAACATTTCATGCTCTTTAAAGCTCTAGCCTGTGCACACAGGATGCCTCCATTTCATCTTAGACCAGCGGAGGTGTTCTGGAACACAAGACAATTTCTTTTTTCACAAACAGAAGACAAGAGTGAAACAAAGAAAGTATAAGAGGCATAAAAACATTCTAGCTTATAAATGACAAGTTTCTGGTTTGTAAGCCCACTCCCAGAGGGTCACATCCTGTTCTACTTCATGTCTTATTTATGAGGATGGCTAAACTCTAGCTCTTGAGTCTTGATGTGGCTTTTTCTGGTACCCTCTCTGGGATTCTTCTTATTCCTTAGCAACAGATCTGTTTATGAATAAGCGTACTATCTGAAATTGGTTTTCTCTTTGCCTCGTGTTTTGTAAGCATGGCTTACCTCCCATTCAGTTTCTGTTCCCATCTGAGAAATAGGCCTCTTCCTCCATTCAACTGACAGGGCTGACCCCACAATGTCACAATGATGAATGGACTCTTTTTTGACATGAGGCTCTGGCCCAGTTACAAAGGGAAGGGTTTAGCTTCTTTGTTAGCTCCGAAACACAAGACCATAGCCATACGTGTTAGTCTTTTCTGTTATTATTGTTGTGATGAGGCTGCATAATGATGCCCTCAGAACTTTCAGTGGTTTACAGAATCAAACATTTTGTTTTACACCATAGTTCTATAGGTTGGCTGAGGTTCAGCCACTTCTGACTGGAATCAGCTAAGCTCAGCTGGCCTAGGCTGGACTCCAGGTTTCAAGTTGGGTTCAAGTCTGTTTCACATGTTTTCTTTACAAGAGAAACAGGGAGCAACAGCCCCCTAGGGCATATTCTTCTAATGGAGACAGTGAAAAGTCTGGAGGAGGCCAGCAGAAATTTGCCCCAGCCCTTCACACCTGAGACTTGCCTGCAGCCACTTCTGCCCATGTTCTACCAGCAAAGCAGATCAGATGGCCAAACGAGAAGTCAGTAGGGCAGGATGTATCCTCCACCCACCCTGAGGGAGGCACTACAAGGTCACGTGGCAAAGTGGCAGGATGTATATAATTCTATCACAGCGAAGAAATAAAGAGTTGAAAGCAATAAATCAGTCTTCCAGTTCATGAATAAGCATAAGAGCCATGTAACTAAAATTACAGATGATCAGTTCCTGTAGGGTCATTCCATCCCAGCGTCTGGTTAAATCCAGTTCCGTAATTATGAGCGCTTTTTTCTTTTTTTTTTTTAAGACAGAGTCTTGCTCTTGTCGTCCAGACTGGAGTGCAATGGTGCAATTTCAGCTCACTGCAATCTCCACCGCCTGGGTTCAAGTGATTCTCCTGCCTCAGCCTCCCGAGTAACTGGGATTACAGGCACCCGCCACCACACCCAGCTATTTTTTGTATTTTTAGTAGAGACGGGGTTTCACCATGTTGGCCAGGGTGCTCTTGAACTCCTGACCTCAGGTAATCCACCCGCCTCAGCCTCCCAAAGTGCTGGCATTACAGGCATCAGCTACCACGCCCGACCAGCTGTTTTCTTATAAACCAGTGGTTGGCAAACTTTTTCTGTAAAGGGCCACATAGTAAATATTTTAGGCTTTGCAAGCCATATAATATCTGTTGCAACTACTCAATTCTGCCTTTGTAGAGCTAAAGCAGTCATAGGCAATACTAAGCAAATGGGTATGGCTGTGTCCCAATAAAACTTTACTTACAAAAATGAGCAGCAGCCAGACTGGACCCTCAGGCCATAGTTAACTGACCCCTGTTATGAACCCTTTTGCTGGGAAATGCTTATTGGATATATCTTATTAATTGTTTGTCACTGTTGCATATAGAAGATACATCTTGAGGCTTAACTAAAACAGCCTCCTTTCCCTCCCATCTAACACTGACAAACTTAGATATAGCTTTAATTAACTTTGAAAAAATGTTTACTTGTCCAGTAAGGCAGTGAAAATTGTCATCAACTAAAAACATAAAATTCTTCCAAAAAATACCTCATATCAAGCACTGAGCATCTTTATGAAAATATAATGATAATTTCTATATTAGAAAGCAAATTTTAAACACCACTCCTAAAAGAGACATAACTACCGTTTGTTTAATTTCCAATGCCAAAATATTGTGGTTTAACTTTTTCTTCCTCCCTCCCTTCTTAGTTGGGTTATGAATTGACATTTTGGAATCAGTAGCCTTAATGATATTTTGGCAGTTGATGTAAGGAATGACATATTAAGCTGAAAAGGTCACTATTCAACTCTTTTTTCAATTTAGGGTTTATGTTGCTGAATCTCTTATTTCCAGTGCTGGAGAAGGACTTTTTTCAAAGGTAGCTGTGGGACCTAATACTGTTATGTCTTTTTATAATGGAGTTCGAATTACACACCAAGAGGTGAGTGGGGCTGACAGTGGAAAATCAACTTTGTTGGTTAAAGGGCTTTGCTTCAAACAAAATCCCTTTACCTTAGTACTCACTAGAAAGTTAAAGAAGCAGATTGGCTTTTTTGTAAAAATGATTGGACATTTTCATCCTCTTTATTTTAAGCCTTAATACGATTTTTTTTAAAAGTTCCAGAGCTATTTTATAGAGAGTGGGGTAATGCCATCAATAAGACAGTAATTGGTATATTAGACTGTACCAATGTCTTAAAAATTGAGATCCAGTCAGACTCTGTAAATAACTAACTCATGACCTTGGGTGGGGTGCTTTATAGGAAGGCCCCTTACATCTTCTTGTGCAAAAGCCATGCTATACTATATCCTACATTTTGTCAGGAAGAGTTCTTTTGTCAAAAAAATTAAAAACAAAATGTTAAAGAGTTGAATCACCTCTTACCTTTAAGATACAATCTTTGATATATGTCAAAGGCTTCATATATGTTTTCTGTTTTTGTTTCTTCACTTTACAGTTAATTTCCCTAAGTGTCTGCCTAAGGGCAAAAGTTCAATGTTTTTAGCACAGCTTATGCGCTCCTTCCTTGTCTGACTTATATTACGTGTATGGGACCTTAAGCTTATGGCTAATATTCCACATTTATGTTCACCTTTGCATTTATTCCGGTGGAACAGTAAGAGGGAAAATGCTGTGAAATAATAATAAAGTTATTACACTTTCAAAGCAGTTGCACAGGCAAAAGAGGGCGACGTATTCAAACTGCACTATGGTCTGTCAGACTACGTCCCATGCAAAGGCCAGACTTCTGTCAGCAATCCAGAGAAATTCAGCATACAAAGGGTGACTTTGGGATATTGATATATGATTTACTTACTCATTTTACAGATAGGGAAACGGAAGCCTAGAGAGATTACACAACTTGCTTAAAGTCAAAAATACAGCAAATAGCAGAGTTCAAGTAGGATTTCAAACTGCAGAATCTGGCTTTGTGCTGAACCTCAATATGCTCTATTGTATAAATGAATGTGACACCCTTCTTGCCCTAATGAAATTTAGATTCTGTTGGGGAGATAAGAAAAATACACAACTAATGGCAGCCTAAGGTAGATGGTACCAAGTGCCACATATCAGTATCACATGACTGGTTTTGAATATTAAGGTCCATGAGGCTTTTTTCCACTTTTGATCACTGCTGTATCCCCTGCACCTAGAAGAGTGCCCGGCACATGGTACCGCTTAGTAAACATCAGTTGAGGGACTATCACATATGAATAAAAGCACAATTACAATTTAATAGTGGGGGAAATGGTATACCTTGAGAGTCAACAGTTTTGTATGAAAATGTCATCCTGTTGGCTTCAAAAGGCTGGGCTGCTGTCATCACCAGCTCCTGGGGTGAGTTCATCAGGAGTGGTTTGGAGAAGAGAAGCCTGATTGTTACACTGTTAGTAACCCCTGTTGTAGATAAGAAGGCATGCTGGTAATCGATGGCTGCCTCCTGGTCACAGTGATTTCCCACCTGTAACAAAGGTGGAGGACTTGCCTAGAGTACATTCTTGCATCCCTTACATTTCTGGTTCCATTTGTGTTCTTACTTTGTTTTTTTTTCTTTTGCCTCCTCTTCTTTATCTACTTTTAATACAAGCTATCCAGTTATATTTGTGTGTGTTTTCATCAGGGACTTTAAATCCTTTTTTTTCATATAGAACAAGGAAAAATGAATAAATAGTTAAGTCGAGCTGCCTGGCACTGACCACACATGTCATTTGCACTCTCAGTGTGTGGAGACATGCCTTGTTTTGTTTTGTTTTATTTCATTTTGTAGTGCTCAAACCTTGAAGTTTTGGCTGAGTGTGGTGGCTTACACCTGTAATCCCAACACTTTGGGAGGCCAAGGTGGGCAGATCATCTGAGGTCAGGAGTTCGAGACCAGCCTGGCCAACATGGTGAAACCCCGTCTCTACAAAATATACAAAAACTAGCCAGGCATGGTGGTGCACACCTGTAATTCCAGCTGCTCAGGAGGCTGAGGCACAAGAGTCGCTTGAACCTGGGAGGCAGAGGTTGTGGTGAGCCAAGATCACGCTACTTGCGCTCCAGCCTAGGTGACAGAGTGAGACCCTGTCTCAAAAACAAAAATAATAATAAGATAAATGAGTTAATATCTCTGATGTCCTTTGACCTTTGGGGAGAAAGGTCCTCTCTAAGGCTCGCTTTCTTGTTTTCTGCAGGTTGACAGCAGGGACTGGGCCCTTAATGGGAACACCCTCTCCCTTGATGAAGAAACGGTCATTGATGTGCCTGAGCCCTATAACCACGTATCCAAGTACTGTGCCTCCTTGGGACACAAGGCAAATCACTCCTTCACTCCAAACTGCATCTACGATATGTAAGTATTACCCAGAGCTGCTGGGGCGGATCTATGCCTCAGGGCCCTGAGACGGAGGAGGGCAGTAAAAAGTGTTATTCTGCCTCAGATAAAGGCTGCTTCATCTGAATGACCATGGGTCCTCTGCTATCGGCCTCAGGGTTATGACTTGAAACTCAAAATCTAAACAGCCTCACTCTGTGGCTTTGGCAATCTAAGAAATGGAAAGTGCTTTGAAGAGGAGAAATGGTATGGAAATAGTATACCACACCGAGGGGTTGCTGTTTTATAGCCGCTTTTCTTGTCCTTCAGTTTTCTCGTTTTGGACAATTAAAGATAGTGTTATTTGAAATAATAGTAAAAATTTAAATTACTCTGCACAGTGGAGAAGATGAAGGAGCCCTTTTTTTTTTTTTTTTTTTTTTTTTTTGAGATGGATTTTCCTTCTTGATGCCCAGGCTGGAGTGCAATGGCGAGATCTCAGCTCACCGCAACCTCTGCCTCCCAGGTTCAAGCGATTCTCCTGCCTCAGCCTCTCAAGTAGCTGGGATTACAGGCATGCGCCACCGCACCCAGCTAAATTTTGTATTTTTAGTAGAGATGGGTTTTCACCATGTCAGTCAGGCTAATCTCGAACTTCTGACCTCAGGTGATCCACCAGCCTCGGCCTCCCAAAGTGTTGGGATTACAGGCGTGAGCCACCTCGCCCAGCCGGGAGCCCTTTTATGATGTGAAAGAAAGAAGGAAAATAAAGTCCTAAGCCTAGGGCATGACATCTCAGCGTTGGAAAAGACCTATAAAATCAGAGTCCCTATTATTTGATACTAAAAAGGAATGAAGTACTGACATATTCTACAACATGGATGAGAATTGTAGACACTATGCTAAGTGAAAGATGTATGATTCCATTTATATGAAATGTCCAAAATGTAGGAAATCCACAGAGATAGAAAGTAGATTAGTGGTTCCCTAGGGCTGGGGAGGGGTGATAAGGAGTGTGTGCTAATGGGTATGGGATCTCACTGCGGTCTCATTTTGGACTGATTAAAATGTTCTAAGGCGGGTGTTCTAAAATTAGATGATGGTGATGGTTGCCGAATTTTGTATGTATTTGTGATATTCAGTGGTTGAAAGGCCACTGAATTATCTACTTCAAAAGGTAAATATATATAAAGGAGTACATATATTTATACTCTGTATATAAATTATATATTAACAAAGCTGTTTTTTTTTAAAAAATCAAATAATCCTCTTAGAGTTTGAGCCTTCTCTTCCATCTGCTCATTGAACCTCTTCTTGGAAACCTCCATTGGTGTGGAGCTTACATTATCCACAAAGGTCCAGACAAATAGACAAATGAAATAGACATTACAAAATTAGCTTCTGGGCTCCAATGACTAGAAAATTCTTTTTCATTGTTTTTTTTTTTTTTTTTTTTTTGAGACAGAGTCTCGCTCAGTCTCCCAAGCTGGAGTGCAATGGTGAGATCTCGGCTCACTGCAACCTCTGCCTCCCAGGTTCAAGCAATTCTCCCACCTCAGCCTCCCGAATAGCTGGGATTACAGGCACCTGCCATTATGCATGGCTAATTGTTGTATTTTTGTAGAGATGGGGGTTTCACCATGTTGGCCAGGCTGGTCTTGAACTCCTGACCTCAGGGGATCCACCCGCCTCAGCCTCCCAAAGTGCTAGGATTACAGGTGTGAGCCACCGCCCCCGGCCTAGAAAGTTCTTTATAATAAGCCCAAATGGGTTTCCCTGAAATATTCAGCCCTTGGCTCTAATTGTCTCCCTTTTTTTCCTGTGTCCCATGTCAGACTCTCTTTTACATGGTAGCCCTACAAACACTTTAGTAGTTTTTACATGACCCCTGAACGTGTTCTTCCCAAAGCCAAACATCTCTGACTGTGCTCTAGAGGATATAATTGGGATTCTTTGTGCCATCATCGTTGCTCTCCTTAGCTTGGCCTGAGAATGCCAGCTCTTCCTGGGAGCCAGTGAGCTGCCTGCAACCTTTTCTGTTCAGTTATAGCTTGCAGTCCCTCGGTCATCTTGCTTGTTAGCATAAGCAAAATCAGATCATGTGCATTTAATCTGTAGGCAAATTGCCAGGATTTGGAGGTTCCTCAAGAATGTCCATCCCTGCATCCTTGAAATGGCTTAAAAATTTTCCTGGCAACGACTTGCTCTCCTTGGCAGCCCTTAACAAGCACTGAAGCTACAACTTCTGTTTAAAGGACGGGTAGAAATGGCAAAGGACATGTGTCATGTGAAATGAAACTGACACTGTGATTAACTCCAAGGCTTTCATGGCCAGGGTGAATTAGGCCAAAGTGTCATTCCAAGCTGCACACAGCTTAACAACAACCCTTTAAAGGGGTGGTAACAAACAATCATAAATGCTACTTAAGACCACTCCTTTAAAACAAACCAGGTTGTTGATTTCATTGCAAGGACATGATTTTTCTCACCAAAAGGAAGACAGCACAGGAGACAAGAGAAGATTTCATTTGTACAAAACCAAGTCCCTGTACTCTGCAGGTTTTCATTTTGTTTATTGTTGTTTGTTAGTTTGTTTGCAAGCAAGCCCAGGGTGACCAAATCTTAGTTATTTGGGGTAATGAGAAGACTACTTGAATAATAACCAAATATGAAATTCAGATACCAATTTATGGTATTCATTTGTTTCAAAAATCATTGGTATTGATATGTACCCTTTTTTTTTTTTTTTTTTTTTTGAGGTGGAGTTTTGCTCTTGTTGCCCAGGCTAGAGGTGCAATGGTGCGATCTCAGCTCACTGTAACCTCCACCTCCCAGGTTCAAGTGGTTATCCTGCCTCAGCCTCCCAAGTAGCTGGGATTACAGGCATGCGCCATCACGCCTGGCTGATTTTTGTATTTTTAGTAGAGACGGGTTTATGCCATGTTGGTAAGGGTGGCCTCAAACTCCTTACCTCATGTGATCCACCTGCCTCGGCCTCCTGAAGTGCTGGGATTACAGGTGTGGGCCACCATGCCTGGCCCTGATATGTACACTTTAACATAAACAAAACACTTCCATAAGCTGTTTGAAACGCAATCTAGTACAAAATGCCAAATGGACAAATAGATAAGAGCTGCTTTCCTAGACAACCTGTAGACAAGAGGCTAAGCCACTTGGCACAGAGGTTTGGTTTGACTGCTAATCGTGTAGCTCACGTTTATAGACCACTCACTACGGGCTGGTGCTGTGCTAGATGCTCTTCATGCATTGTCTCATTCAGTCCTCCCAGTAACTCAGTGAGGCCACTGCTATCACCATTGAGATCACAGACAGGAAAAGCAGGTCTCCAAGGCAGAGCAGTTAAGGCTCTTAACCACTGTGCCTTTGGGTCATCTTCAACAATCAACACCTGAAATTGAATTCTTTCTTTTCAGTCTGTCCCTTATCTACACTCTGAAAATGATGATGATAATGAACAGGAAAATGTAAATAAAAGAGGATTATAAGAGAAGCTCTAGGCCTGGAAATTCAACACAGGGTCTGTTTTTTGGTTTTTTTTCAGTGTACCAGAGGTTAACCAACCTGTATTTCAGGAACATTTTTTTTAGTGAAATATGTTAATTTACTTTAATTTTTTTTTTCTGAGATGGGTTCTCTGTCATCCAAACTGGAGTGCAGTGGCATAATGTCAGCTCACTGCAACCTCTGCCTCCCAGTCTCGAGCGATCCTCCCACCTTAGCCTCCCAAGTAGCTGGTACCAACAGGTGCACACCACCACCCCTGGCTAATTTTTTGTATTTTTGGTAGAGGTGGGGTTTCACCATGTTGCCCAGGCTAGTCTTGAACTCCCGAGCTCAGGTGATCTATCCGCCTCAGCCTCCCAAAGTGGTGGGAATACAGGCATGGGCCACTGCACCCAGCCAAGTGAAATATTTTAATTTAAGCAAAGAGTTGTGATTTTCATAAGGAATTCCTGAATCCACAGTCCACGCATCTCTTTGTGGTGGAGTACAGGCTGATAACTGTTCACTTTTGTGTTCACACATGCATGCTCACAGGCAGGCAGTAACCAATATTAGTTGAATCCTACTTTGTGCCAGGCACTGTATAAGGTGCTTTCTATATGTGACCCCATTTTGTCATGACAAAGACCCTATGGGATAACTATTACTAGTATTATCATGATTTTACAGATGAGGAAAGTGAGATTCAGAGATATAAGGTGAACTTTCCAAGAGGATGCAGTAAAAATGTGTTGAATCAGGACTCACACCAAAGTCTTCTGACACCAAGTGTCCTTTCCACAAAACATGATATGATACCCAAGAGGGTGGACATAGAGGCCCCTTTGGTGTGAGGTAAAGGTTGTTCCTTTTTACTCCACATAAAAGAAGTCCCAAAGCTATAGACATGCCCATTCCTCCACCACTGATAGAAGGAACCAGCCAAGTACTTACTATCATGCCCCAAGCACCAATCTTTTTTTTCTTTTTTTTTTTTTTTGAGACAAAGTCTCACTCTGTCATCCAGGCTGGAGTGCAGTGGAGCAATCTCAGCTCACTGCAATCTCCACCTCTTGGGTCCAAGCGATTCTCGTGCTTCAGCCTCCCAAGTAGCTGGGATTACAGGTGTGCGCCACCACACCCAGCTAATTTTTGCATTTTTAGTAGAGATGGGGTTTCACCACATTGGCCAGGCTGGTCTCCAACTCCTGACCTCAAGTGATCCACCCCCCTCAGCCTCCCAAAGTGCTGGGATTACAGAGGTGAGCCACCATGTCCAGCCGCCAAGCACCAATCTAACTTAGGGCCTGGAACCTTCTCCTTTGCTGTCTCACCAACCCTTTGTGCAAAATATGACTATAAACTGGGCACAGTGGCTCACACCTGTAATCCCAGCACTTTAGAAGGCCAAGGTGGGCCAATCACTTGAGGCCAGGAGTTCAAGACCAGGCTGGCCAACATAGCAAAACCCTGTCTGTACTAAAAATACAAAAAATCTTCTGGCCATGGTAGCACACACCTGTAATCCCAGCTGCTTGGGAGGCTGAGACATGAGAATTGCTGGAACCTGGAAGGTGGAAGTTGCAGTGAGCCAAGATCATGCCACTGCACTTCAGCCTGGGCAACAGAGCAAGACTCTGTCTCAAAAAAAAAAAAAAAAAAAAAAAGAATAAGAAAAAAAAAGACTCTAAATGAATGAGATTGATTTGACCAGATGCATATAAAAATAAAGCTGATTTCTTCTGGCCATGCCTTACATGTATCCATTTCAGCAGCTGTTAGGTGAGCTAAGTCTATTTATTGCTTATTTATCTGCCTGTTCTGCAGGGAGCTGTGCAGATGAACAGGATTGGGAGCCTTCGGCAAATGAACATAGCCATAGTGTTAACCTCGTTTCTGGTCCCAAGAGGACTTGTTGTAGGAAGGAGATACTGCTCTCTTCATAGGATGCTTCACAGGGAAATACTAAATAAACAGGTTGGCAGAGAGGTCTAGACTTCCCTCTTGGGAAGAAATCTTCATCTACTTTCATGCTAGAAAATAATATTTCCTCTCTATGTATAGGGTGGAATACAGAGTTTTTGCCTTTGAAAATCCACAGGGCTCTTTCTTACAACTCCAAAAGCACTCTGGTGAAGCCTTCTCCCTGAGATACAGCCACGTAATCTGATGCTGCTGGCCAGACAAGCTCAAATGCTGGCGGGCTGCACTGGATCTGATTTCTCATTAACGACAGATTTTTGTTGTTGATCATGATTGTTGGTTTATAAATGCAAGGTGCCAAATATGCTTTAAAAAACAGAGCAGTGCTTTTCAAACTTTAATACACCAGTGGATCGCCTGGGGGTGTCGCTAAAATGCAGATTGCAATCCAGCAGGTCTGGGATGGGGCCGAGATGCTCCATGTCTAATAAGCTCTCGGGTGAAACTGATGCTGGGTGACCACACTTTGGGCACATACCAGGTGTGCCCAGGGAAGAGTGCCTGGGGGTGATTCCTGTATCAGCCCCTCCCTAGCCTTTGCTTCCAACCTCCTGGTCTGGCCCGGGAATGACTGTGTGCATCTTGATGTTTAGGTTTGTCCACCCCCGTTTTGGGCCCATCAAATGCATCCGCACCCTGAGAGCAGTGGAGGCCGATGAAGAGCTCACCGTTGCCTATGGCTATGACCACAGCCCCCCCGGGAAGAGTGGGCCTGAAGCCCCTGAGTGGTACCAGGTGGAGCTGAAGGCCTTCCAGGCCACCCAGCAAAAGTGAAAGGCCTGGCTTTGGGGTTCAGAGACCTGGAATAGAAACTTGGATCTATGCACTACGTTTATCTGACAATGGGACAACCAGGGACTGCTCATGCTGTGACGTCACATCCTCTCACCATGCGTTAGCAACGACTTTCTCGCATACTAACTAGGTTTGACTGTATTACTCATACCAGATTTAAAATTAGCTAGCCTTGCAACAACGTCCTACTGAGAGGTATTGTCGAGCATTTGACATAAGACAGCGTGATGTTCTTTGGTGGTTCAAGTCTAAATCTGTACCACATTCGGAGATGCCAAATGATTAGACTGAAACAGGGAAACGGGGTTTTTCAGTCATTTTTAGTCAGTGGTTTTTCCATAGTGCTTTTTTCCTATGGCCAGTGCAAATTGTGTTAGCACACTTGCATATGTGCCGTATTAAGGGTTGACAATTACTACATCTTTATTCTCTAAATGTAGTATAATTTGCCTTTTAACCTTTGATCTGTATCTTGCAATAGAATGGCTTTGGTTTTTTTCTTAGTAAATAGGAGCCCACTTCTAAAGTCATTTCACCCCTCAGCCCTATTCTCTTTCTTAGATACCCTTTACAAGAGAAAACTTCCAAATGGATTTTTGCATCAATAGCAGTGTGTAGGTCTCTCTGGTTCTTTCTATATCATCATTTTATTATTATGTCCTAATATAAAGTACTGGCTCATAGGGCCAGGGTATTATTATAGAATATTATTCTCGCATGTAAACAAAGATATCTTTGCTTTAAGATGTGAGAAGAAATGAATTTACTTTGTTTGCATTAAGTTATGGAAGAGTTGTAATATATACTTTAAGAAAGAAGAGAAGAAAACTAGTATCTCTAAGCGGTAACTATGGCAATTTTGCAATATTTTCAGTAGTGCTAGTAATTTTTTCCTCCTTGAGTACACATTAAATGTACATAACATAGCGCGGTCAGGCTTGTGGCACAGTGCATTGAATTCAAAAGTCAAACAGCAAATTTGAATTCTAACAGAATTCAAAAAAAAATTTTTTTAGTCAGTACTACTAAGGCAGACACACTGATTACTAGGTACAAATCAAACCTTGATGCTAAAACTCTTCATCATTGTAATTTCAAAGCACTTACCTGCTTCAAAACATTGTAAACTAAGACTGAACACCTGTATAGTTTAAAAGCAACACTATCAATAGCATTTCAGCCATTTTGCCAGCCATGTGTAATCACAACTGCAGAAATAAGGAGAAAACCCCTGTTTTTTTAGTTTAGCTAATTAGATCTGTAACATCACTGGGATTGCTCTGAATGAATCCTGAGAGTTTTGTTTTTTATAAGCACCCTCACCACATGCCATAGCTTTGTCTCTTTTAGACACCTCGATGCAGCGGCTGGAAGGACTGGAGAGCAGCTGTTGTGCTGATCTGTAGCTGTCAGCTGTGATTCCTGTCACCTGAGTCAGTTTGGTCTGGAAAGCGAAGGCCTTCCAAGCTGTAGCAGATAGTGAGCTCCAGCTGATGAGAGAAGGCTTCAGTGGAAGAAGAGTGAGGACATAGGCAGAAGGAAGTTTGCTATTTCTTGTCAGTTGCACATTGCTTTATGAAGACTACAACAAAAGTGCTTAATCCCAGGCTGCTCATGACTTTCATTTCAGGTGGCCCTTGGGCACATTGACAGAGTTGCCCTTCCCTTCTTTGCAACACCAGGCTTCCTAGAGCACCCGGTTGCATGCTTTGCAGCTAGGTGGCAGTGGTTTCAGGGAGATCCAGTTGGATCCCTGCTTGAAAGCTTAAGCCAATGGTTCACCCATGAGAGGAAGTTGTCAGTGCTTCCAGGAAGATTGCCCACCAAAGGAACTGAATAGTTTTTAGATTTAAAGGCACCAGGATAGGGTCACTCTTACTCTGTAGAAAGAGACCGTTCTATACACTGTGACGGATGGGCCAGGGCCTCTGGACTTGCATTCTGATAGGTGCTTTAATTTAAATGTGCCCAAAGGGAGTGACTGTCTTCAGGAGAAAGATGGCTTGCATTAACCTCGATCAAGTGGGTTGTGCAGCCAGGTCAGGGAATACGGTCAGGGAGAGGATAGTGCTGGTCATGCCCCCGATGCAGCTATGCTCTGAATGATTTCATTCCTGAGAGTGATAGCATTCTGGTCCTGGCTGCAGTGGGGTACAATTTACGTCCTAAGTGGGGGCTACTCTAATTATCCCATTCAAATGGAATTTTTTTCAACATTGGATAGAAGGAATTGAAGAGTTGTAAGTAGTGATTAGTCTGCTAATCAGTTCTTCAGATGAGATATTGAATGGTAACACTCTGAGCTTAAAACTCAGCAGTGTGTCTGTGACCTCCACGCAAATCAGAGGAAGCAATGCATCCACGCTGAGCCTCACCATGTCTTCCTCCCAACTCTCTTCATACTCTCTGTGTCTTCCAGCTCTTCTTTCTCTGGCCGGCTCTCTTTCCTCTTCTCTCTGCATATGTGAGAACGCCTGGGCATCCTGGGTAACAGCAGCCCCAGCTGCCCTCTCCTGTTCCCTGTTCCAAGTCCCCTGCACTGACCTTTCTTGAGTCTCTCTGGCTCTGTGCATGTCTTTGGGACTCTGCTCATCTGGCTTTTCCTCTGTGTGTGCCTCTCTGTTTGCTTATGTCTCTGGCTCTGTCTTCCCCACCCCTCCCCTCACACACACACATACTCCCAAATGTAAGGCTCTGTGGCAGGTTGGAATCGGAGTAAGGCTTGAGATTCACTGAGTTCTGTAGGTAGGGAAAGAAGTCAAGGGAGTGGAGGTTCTATAAGGAATTAACAGCTGAGGACGGAAGGGTTTGTTTCCCGTTTGAACCTAAACGCAAGTGGAAAAGAATACTCAGAATGTATTTTTCTACTTTACATCTGCTGGGGAAGGAAATGTGTCAGGAAGCCGCTGCATCTGGTCATTTCATCGCATCAGAATCACAGCAGACGTGGAAGATTCCATGTGGTGGGGAATAAAGAAATAACTTTATGCTCTCCTGAAAAACAGCGGGAGCCTATGTGTGTGTGCGACACTGTAATCTCAAGGAGATTCACTCAGAGCTGTCTCAGTCCAACTCCTGCATGACCAGATCTTCCCTTAGCATCTTTTCTGTGATGAAATATTATCTTGTGTTAGAGTTAGGAATAGGAACTAACCTGTAGGAGCATGTCCCCAAATGGACATTTGAATGGACTAACAAAAACAACTGGAAAGACTGAATTTCCGACACAAAGGAATGATGGGATCAAAAAGAAAGCAGTGAGGAGTTCTTGAGTCTTGTAGTACCTATTCTTATTTTAACTTGCTTCATCCTTGATCTACCTGAGACACTAAGAAGGAAATTAGTTTTCCAAGAGCTCTTTGAACCTGTCTAGGACTGTAGTTAAACCTATTTGCCCTATGGGGGTTCTTCACACTCGAAAAACTATTTCCTTATCACCAACGACCCACCCAGAAAGGCCAATGAGGCCAAATGTAACAATTTTTAACATTTAAATATAACTATTAAAATTGCATTAATTGTGAACAGTGAATTAAAGGGTTGTCTTCTCCAGGAGACAGTATGTGGCACTTTTCGTAAATTTCATTTAATATATAAAAATTTAAATCACTCACTGCAACATGCATTTAAAATCTTCCAAGAAGGTAGAGGTATCATTTTCTGTTTTGCTTTGTTTTAAAACAGTTGCCTCAAGCTTCTGTCTTAAGAGTAGTGACTTAGAATCCAGATATCTTTTGTTTTAGAAAAACAAGCAAAACTATGTTGCAAGACTGACAGTTGTAATGTTTATTTGCCACAGATCAAAGGTTCACAAAGTATATCAAATTTACATCTACTTGGGGTACCTTGATAGATTATTATTGTTTTTCTTTTATCTTTCCCTTCAGGAATTTGGAAACTCGTTGTCACTTTTTTTAATTTTAAAAATACTAAATTGTAATAGTTTTCTTTTGCCAAATGTGTGCGTACATATTCAAAGCAATGAAACTATTTCAAGCCATACAACCACAGGGGTGGGAACCCTTTTCACAAATTTTAATGTGTTTGTATGTAAATAGATGTTTGTATGAAATATTTTCATGATAGAATGAATATATTTAAATGAAGTTGAATTATTCCAGTGCTACTTAAACACATTACAAAAATTTTGGTGAGAATTATCTGAGTCTATTGAGATGTAATGCAGATCAATTTTGATTTTTAAAAATCAAAAGCCTACAATAACTCTGACTCTCAGCAACTTCCTCGGCGTTGTTGCACCTGACGTGGAGAGAGCTCGTAGGCTTCCCCAGTGCCTCAGCCGCTTCCTGGTGGAAGTTAGGTGCTAATGGAGGTGTGTTCACCTTTTAGTGATATCACTGCAGGCCTTTGAGGGGCCTGAGAGTGAATCAGAGGCATTAGAGACACCGGTGCAGTTATCTGGAGCACAATTTCTTTGCAGGGCAGCAGAATCAGAAGCCAGACTTGGCCATGTGAACCTCGAAACTCGGTTTCCCGGCCGCCATCAACCGCCACCCTTACTGCCTAGTCACACACGTCAGGGAGGCTGCCCTCAGTGGAGTTGGGGTTGAGACCCCAGGGTGGGACTTCACAGTTTTGCCAGCAATCTCTACCTTCTGACTTCTGCCTCGCAGAGAGGAAGGAGAGGGGAGCATCTGGCAAGGGGCCCATTTCTCAGCACAGTACATTTCCTGTCTCAGCTCTGGAAGACTATGCACCCAAGCACCAAACTTCCAACCAGAGAGAGAGACGTCCTCCGATAACAAAAATCCTTGCTTCCTCTGTCTGTGACTTTACACACAGTTGTTCAAAGTTGTTAAATGTCAAGAGTCAATCACATCCCTAGGACATACCTCCCAACTCTCCTGACTCTTATGTTATTGAAAAAACAAACAAACAAAAACTCCTTTATGATGATATTCAACTTGAGTGGGGTTTTTTTTCCACTTTGGTCCTGGATATAATGAAATGATACATATTAGGATAAATTTTCACTGTGTATAGTAGCAATACGAACACACATGCCAATGTATCAACATATCTACTTGGTTACATTTTGGTTTATGATAATTAACCTTGATTCATGTATTGGGAAGCTACAGGGACTACGTAATACCTGCTTATCACATAGGAAAATTATGTCCATGATTCTGAGCTCCCTTCTTCAAAAGTTTCCTCCTGGGTGTTCTATGTTCTCTCTTTATCCTGAAATACATTTATTAGGTTGTGAGGTATGTTGAAGAAGTAGAAGCCAGGGGTATGCTTTCAGCATTTATTGCAACCAAAAGTTAACCCCATCACGGTTAACGAGCATCTTTGGTCTCTTGTGGAATTTGAACTAAAACTATGAGCCTTATTCAATATCTATAATTCTATGATTTTTTTAAATTATGGGAAATTAATGAAAGATGTTTACATGAATAATGTTTGCCCTTACTGTGTTATGAATGAGTTTTTTGTAGTGTGTCTGGGTGCATGATGCAAGAGAGTAGGAAAAATGTTTCTGAAACAAAACTTGACAAATATTTGTAATGAAAGTAAATTTAAAGATTGCTATAATTGCGCTATAGAAACAATGCAAGTATTAAACAAAATATACAATCATCTGTCATTGTCTTCCTTTGGTCATCTAGGTTAGAAAAGCAATAATGGTTTTCTTATAATGTGTCTACCTGTATATTTAAATTACTAAGTGAACTTTACATTTTAAGTTGTTTTAAAATATTATTAGCCATTTATCATTTTCAGAGCATTCTAGTAAGAGCGGAGGATTTGATATGATTCCACATACACCCATAAATCCAGAAGGATTAGCCACACCAACAGAAAGTGTCGGATTGAATACATACATGGTAAGGGTATGGAATGCAAATGAGATGATCAGGGCAAATAGCTGAAAGGAAACTTCAATTCATGATTTAAAGAAAATATAGAAATTTTGTTAGACGTTGTGGTAGATTTTGGCAGTCTGAGGATGAGTCTGAGCTGAGAACCCTGGCAATCCCTTATTCCTGCCCTAATCACAGTCAACATTTCCGTTTTTTTTTTAATCTGAGATGAAGTCTCACTCTGTCACCCAGGCTGGAGTGCAGTGGTGCAATCTTGGCTCACTGCAGCCTCCACCTCCGGGATTCAAGCGACTCTCCTGCCTCAGCCTCCCAAGTAGCTGGGATTACAGGCGCTTACCACCACACTCAGCTCATTTTTGTATTTTTAGTAAAGACGGGGTTTCACCATGTTGGCGAGGCTGGTCTTGAACTCCTGACCTCAAGTGATCTGCCTGCCTTGGCCTCCCAAAGTGCTGGGATTACAGGCATGAGTCACCGTGCCCAGCCAGTCAACATTTGTAAAGCACAAAAGCCAGTGACAAAAGGAGTCAACATAGTACCTCATTATTAGCTGGGCCTTCTGCCCAGGACCCCAAAGAAGTGAATTCTAGGAAGTTTGGCAGGGCTACACGAGGCACAGTTAGGCCTCAAACTGAAGCAGGCCATGAGATCTCCTGCTTTATTTTACCTCCCTCAGTTGCCCAATCCTTGATTTTATCACACTTCCTTCCATGGAAGGAAGGAAACAGAAACGAGTGAGATGACTGGGTCCAAACTGATGTTGGATCAGCTTTTCCACCTGCACAGACACATTCACATGCTAGATCTTTCAGGCAAGGCTTCACCCTCTAACACGCATGGGTCAAATCACAATATTAATATTCTTCTTCCTTGTGGGAAAGGGGAATACAGGATTAAAAATTTAATACAGACTGAGGGAAGCTTAAGAAGCTAACCTTGAAAGTGAAAGATTGGGCAACTTTCATGGGTTAAGATGATTGATTTGGGCCCAAATGTTGTAGAATGAGGTAATGTGAAAATTAAGACAAAATTATGTTAGACCAAATTAGTAACCATCCCAGCTATACTAATGGGATGGTTACCAATATCTGCCTTTGGGTTTAAATGTTTGGAATCATTCAGACTGCTAGTTTATATTAAATGTGAAATTGTTTCAGCAGTCATCTCTAGAACTAGGTAACAGCTATCGAAGGACTTTATGCTGTAGTTTCATTTAGTTTCAATTCAGCATCTGACTGATTTGGGATTGTTCAATAAGAAGCCTCTAGTTGAAAAATAAGAGGAAGAAGAAGAAATTCCATTCCTCCTCTTGAAGCTGAAAAAAAAAGGAAAAACAGAAAAGGGGTTTCTGCTCCAAAAGTATTTCAGAAAATGACTGTTACCTTGCAGATAGATAGATAGATAGACAGATAGACAGATAGATCATGGTAATTCCCTCACGACATAGTGGTTTGCTCGATAAATGTGTTTTTCCTTAAGTTTTGTTTATTTACAAAAACCAAAAGCCAGGGTTTTGAATTTAGAGCTTCACTTCTTATAATGTACACGGAAAAAGATTAATGGATCCATCTAGATTGCTACCAAATTTTTACTTCTGTAAGTATCAGAATGCTTCCAGCTTCAAGAAACATCAAAGCTCAACTCAATATGGCCTAAGTAATAAAGAAGGTTTACTATCTCACATAACAAGAAGTGCTGAGTGGCCCTACAGTTAATTCAGCAGCTCCACCAAGTTCTTCCCATCTTTCCACTCTGCCTTTCTCAGCTTGTCTGCTTTGCCTTCAGGGGCTAGCTCCCTCACAGCCACAACATTGCTGCCCAGGTTCCAGCCATCACAGCCAATTTGGCCCCATCCAATAGATGAAAAGGAAAGTCTCTTCTATGGCCTCTATCACTGAGGAAACTCAGCCAATCACTGGCAATGGCTACAGGGGCACTATGATTATCTGAGTGAAGCATATGGCTGTGTGGCCTGAACCAGTTTGGGGCTCTCCCAGCAAGTAGGAAAGGGAAATGATAGTTGGGTTGACCACTCACAGTGTCTGCCTCATCTGCATCATGAGTTTTGTTTTCTTATTTTCCTCAGAGAAGAAGGGAGGTTAGTCTCTTCAAATAAATTAAATAAATGGATTTTTAAAAATAATTCAAATCAGTTTAGAGAATTTATCAGGGGGGCTGTAGAGGGGGGTTTACAAAGATATATTTATCTAGAGTTTTATCAGGCCGTTTTAAGTGTTTTAGATTATTCATTTAATCTTTTCAACAACCATATATATAGGTACTGTTACCACACCATTTTACAGAAAGAAAAACTGAGGCATAGAGAGGTTAAGGCACATGGTCGCAGAAGTAGAAAGCCATAGAGGCAGAGTCTGAAGCCGGGCAGCTGGGCTCCTTGCTGCTCTCCTAACCATACTTATGGGAGCTCTCTCTCCTGCCCTTCTCTCCGCTTGCTCTCCAGGGGTTAAGGCCAACCTTTAGTATCCTGTGTCTTCCTTTCCCTTGATCATCATCCACTTAGCCTACCAATCAACTGATCTCTTTGACTGGGTCCCTCTTTGATCCAATCCATGCAACACACAGACCAGCTTCTTTTTTTTTTTTTTTTTTTTTCTGAGACAGAGTCTCACTCTGTCGCCCATACTGGAGTGCAGTGGCGCAATCTCAGCTCACTGCAACCTCCACCTCCCAGGTTCAAGCAATTCTCCTGCCTCAGGCTCCCAAGTAGCTGGGACTACAGGAGCATGCTGCCATGCCCCGCTAATTTTTTGTATTTTGGTAGAGACAGGGTTTCACCGCCCAGTCTGGTCTCGAACTCCTGAGCTCAGGCAATCCGCCCACCTCAGTCTCTCAAAATGTTAGGATTACAGGCGTGAGCCACCACCCCCAGCAAGACCAGCTTCTTATAATTTTATTCTCAGCCAATTTCTATCCTGATCCCGAACTTCCACCTCCTCTGCCTGGATTTCCAGCATAGCTTCTCCATCCCATCTCATTTCTCATTCTTTGCCTCCACCACGTGAAGCATCCTCCGTGATGGGGTTTCCCTCTTCCCGCCTCTGCTTCTCTTTTCCTGCCTCTCTGCTGTGGCAGAGGGAGGGTTGTGTGGTGGAAAGGACTTGAGATCTGGAGTCAGACTGGTTTCACCCGGCTTTGCCACTGTCTGTGTGACGCTGGGCTTTCGACTACTCTCTGGCAAATAAGGATTTGCTGTGGGGTTCAGAAGACTGTTTTCATGTCCTCTCTCCCTCTTCCTTCCTGTGCTCCACCCACACCCACCCCCTTGCAGTCCAGGAGAGCCAGGCTTGCCCCGCTCTTGGGCATGTCTTTCTCCCAGAGAGCCACAGGCTCTGCCCTCGTGCCCTTCAAGTCTTTGCTGCATGAGGACTTCATTGACCACCCCACTTAAACTGCAACATTCTCCTCCCCCAGCATTCCGAGGCCACTTTACCCTCCTTTATTTTTCACCATGCTTCTCATTACCTTCTAGCATACCGTAGAACTTAGTTATATTATGTTGATTGTTTATTGTCTTTCTCCTCCCTCTAGAATAGACAGGGATTTTAGTTTGTTTTATTCACTAACATATCCTTAACATTTGATACACTGTAAGCACTCAATAAATACTCGTAGAGTGAGTGCATGAATGAGAGATTGTAATGATTAGGAGAATTGGGTAATCATCTTGGGTTGAAATCCCAGCCTTGCAATTTCTAGCTGTGTGACATAACTTCTTTGTGCCTCAGTTTTTTCTATTTGTAAAATTAAACTGTGATGACAACTGGGGGAAAAAAAGATTGAGTTTTGACCCATGGATTGAGCTCACTAACTTTGCTCCGCCTGCTCTGGGATGCCACCTTTCCAGGCATAGCCACAGCTTGCCTCCTTCCAAGCAGTCCCCCGTGAAGAGCCCCTGCCCCAGGAAGCCTGGCCTGACTCTTCGGGACCTGCCGTGTCTCCGCTGCCCTGCCACATGTGGATGGACACTGCCAGACCATTATTGTGTGTTCTCGATTGTTTAATGAGTGAAGCATCTAGCTGGCCTCTCCCTTAGATGACAGGCTTTGCGGGGATCACTAGGCATATCTTCCTGGATGTGCACAAAGCACTTTCTAGGCATGTGATGTGGGAGTGACTGAACTAGAGTACTTTTATTTATTTATTTATTTATTTGGGGTTTTTTTTTGAGTACCTTTTTAAAAAATATATTTCAATAGCTTTTGGGGTACAAGTGGTTTTTTGTTACATGGAGTAATTATCCAGTGGTGAATTCTGAAATTTTAGTGCACCTGTCACCTGAGTAATGTACATTGTACCTAATATGTAGATTTTTATCCCTAGCTCCCTCCCACCCTCCCCCTTCTGAGTCTCTGAAGTCCATTATGTCACTCTGAATGCCTCTGTGTACTCATAGCTTAGCTCCCACTTATAAGTGAAAACATAACGGGTTTTGGTTTTTCATTCCTTGGTTACTTCACTTAGAATAATGGCCTCCAGCTTCATCCAAGTTCAGCACGAATTTCTTAAGCTTTACCACATAGCAGTCCCTCTTCTGGGCCATTAGCAAATCAGCAGTGAATAAAAACAAAATCCTTGCCTTTGTGGAGCTTGCATTTTAGTGAGGGAAACGGATAAGAAGCAAGTAAATGACTGTATGTGCCTGGGTAAGTGGTATGGGACAAAGAGAGGAGAATAAAGAGGGTGAGGAGGTGTGCAGGGCCAAGAGGGGTGCTATTTTTTTGTGGGGGAAAGTCAGGGAAGACCTCATTTCCTGAGAGAGAGAACAAATTATGGAGATTCCAGGGGAAACATTTCAGGCTGAGGGGGGCCGCAGAGAGCCACGACCTGAGGTGGGAATGCTCAGGGAAGCGCAGGAGGCCAGGGGACCGGCCAGTGGGGAGAGAAGAGAATCAAATTCTACAGGGGCCCCGAAAACTATTTCAAGGACTTTGTTTTAAACTCAGAGTGCGAGGTGCAGTGGTGCAGCCAGTCACGGTGGCTTATGCCTGTAATCCCAGCACTTTGGGAGGCTGAGGTGGGCAGATCATCTGAGGTCAGGAGTTTGAGACCAGCCTTGCCAACATGGCAAAACCCCGTCTCTACTGATAATACAAAAATTAGCTGGGCGTGGTGGTGCATGCCTGTAATCCCATCTACTCAGGAGGCTGAGGCAGGAGAATCGCTTGAAACTGGGAGGCGGAGGTTGCAGTGAGCCAAGGTGGCACCACGGCACTCCAGCCTGGACGACAGAGCAAGACTCCGTCTCAAAAAAACAAAACAAACAAACAAAAACCACCAGCTTTCTTAAACTTAGTTTACTACAGTTTCTGAAAATGCTTTTGAAATTGTAATTGCTGTTAGCCCTTTCATTGGAAGGATCTCAACAGAAGAATGACAAGATCTTCCTCCCACGTGTAAAAGGATCACTCAGGCTGTTGTACTGAGAATAGGCTGGAGTGGGAGTAGGGACCCAGGTGGAAGCAGGGGGTTCATGATGATGGTGGGCAGGACAGAGGGGCCATGGTGAGGAGAAGTGGTTGAACTGGCGTGCATCATAGGAAGAAACAGTAGAATGTGCTGAGATATGGCATTAGGCATTTCACTGATTATTCAGGAATGGTGAGGCCAACAGATCAGGAGACAAATGCCGCTCTCAAAAATTTGCTGAAAAATCAACTCAAAATCAAAAGGCAGATTAATTGGAGAAAAAGCACATACATTTATTTAATGTGTATACACAAGAGCCTTTAGAATGATGATCCAAAGGTATAGGGGAAATTGGCCATTTTTATACTTAGGTTCAATGAAGTATGAAATATGTTTGGACAAAAACGGCATGATCTAATGCTAACAGGCTGAGTGGGAAAACCTAGCAAAACCTCTCTGTCTAGATTCTTCCTGGCCTCTCTGAGCATGCATTCCTTTCTTCTGGGTATGGGGCAGGGTTGTCAGAACCCAGTGGGTTCTTCTTGCCCACTGCCCTGAAAACAAAAAAACAGTGCACTGAGAACAGCAGATGTTGCAGCGAAGAAAGAATTTAATGATCACAGGGCCAGCCAAGCAGGAAGACAGGAGAAATTTCTCAAATCTGCCTTCCCAAGAATTTAGAGGCTGGGGTTTTTAAGGGTACTTTGGTGGGAAGGGGGCTGGGAAACTGAAAGGATTGATTGGCTGTGGATAAAATCACAGGGGTGTCTAAACTGTCTTCATGCAGCTGAATCAGTTCCTGGGAGGGGGGGTCTTGGGACCAGGTGGCATCTCTGGGTCTGCTGAAATGCTAAATCTGAAAAATATCTCAAAGACCGATTCTTCAGGTTTCACAGTAGTAATGTTATCTACAGGAGTAGTTGGGGAAGTTATAAATCTTGCGACTCTGGGGCAGTAAGCAACTTACAGAAAAACAAGCTTGGCAATGGCAGGTCATTGTTTAACTCAGCCTATGCTTTAGCAAAGTTCAAGCCTCTACCATAATTCTAACCTTGCGTCCTCTTGTTAGTCTTTACAAATTCGATTTCCATTTTTGAACAAGGAAGGGACCAGTTCAAGGAAAGGACTATTATGGCCTCCACACAAGAATGAGGACAAGCAAGTTAACCTGGTAGAAGCAAGATAGTCAGTTATGTCAGATTTCTCTGACTATAATTTTGCAAAGGCAGCTTTAGTGCCCTTTCTGGAATGGGGGTCTTCTGACTATAGTCAAACAAGGTAGGTCAGAAAATTTTTTTCTTTTTGAGACAGACTCTTGCTTTGTTGCTCAGGTGGGAGGGCAGTGGTGCAATCTCGGCTCACTGCAACCCCTGCCTCCTGGGTTCAAACAATTATCATGCCTAATTTTTGTATTTGTAAAAGAGACAGGATTTCACCATGTTGGCCAGGCTGGTCTCCAACTCCTGGCCTCAAGAGATCCGCCCACCTTGGCCTCCCAAAGTGCTGGGATTACAGGCATGAGATAATTTCTTTATGGTCAGTTTTTACACAGAAAGGCAGAGGGAAAGTTAGAGTGATATTTTTAGGTTTTATGGCTGGCTTTGGGGAAAAATAGTTCTGGTTGGCAGGATCTGCCTTGGGGTCTATAGGCAGCCTCTGGGAAGGATGGGACTCAGAGACAGAAGGGCAGGAGAAAGTCAGAGAAAAATCTTTGCTCCTGAAGCTGCCTCTGAGGCCTTCATTTCTGGATATTGTCTTCTGAACCCCAACAATAGTTTGTTATTCACAGTTCCCAAGAGGAGGGGGCACACCATGTTACAGGGGCCACATGGGGAAGCACCAGGATCAAGTAGGAGGTAGATGGAGTAAAGAGAAAACGTAGACAAGAACCTGTATTGTGGTGTCTGCAGGAAGAAATGGAGAGGCAGTCAGCAGGCCTGGGATTGGCTAGCTTGAATAACTTCAGTAGATTCTGGGGTGTACCGGCTGTCTTTAGTTGTCTGGTACCTGACCCTGGGGTAATGGTGGCTTGGAGTGGAAGAGGCCTAAGAAGGAAGTGGTTGTAGGCACAGAGGCTGATTTGGTTAGGTTGCATGTGAAAGGTGCCAGGCCTTTGCTATCTCTAGGAATCAGCTAGCCCTGGGTGGGGGGCAGTCCCTCCAGAGCCCACAAGGCCCTAGATGTCAAAGAGTCAGCATTAAAAGACATGCTTTAATATAATAGGAAGTAAGGAATCAGGGATGAACTCCGCAGTTTTTGATCTGAGCAACTGAAAGAATGAAGTAATCACTTAGTGCAAATAACGGTCACCACTGATGATACTGATGGTCTTACCGTAAATCTCCTGCACTTTCCCAGTTTTTATTTCTATTTCCAAAACAACCCATTAATTTCTTCATGGTCCAGCTCCCTCTTGTGGTGAGGATTTATTCTCATACTGTTTCTGACATGCTGTAAAACAAACACCTCTAGGGAAAGGATGATTTAACACATTTTAAAAATCCCAGCACTTTGGGAGGCCGAGGCGGGTGGATCACCTGAGCTCAGGAGTTCAAGACCAGCCTGGCCAACATGGTGAAAACCCATCTCTACTAAAAATACAAAAATTAGCCGGGCGTAGTGGCAGGCGCCGCCTGTAATCCCAGCTACTCAGGAGGCTGAGGCAGGAGAATCGCTTGAACCCAGGAGGCGGAGGTTGCAGTGAGCCGAGATTGCGCAACTGCACTCCAGCCTGGGGAACAAGAGAGAGATTTCGTCTAAAAAAAAAACAAAAAAACAAAAAAACAAAAAAAACATGAAAACTCAGTTGATGTTCTTTCCTATCATCAGGTTGAACTTTGATTAGCTAAATTAAGACACCACTTCCAGGGCTTTTTAAATTTTTTTATTTTTTATTTTATTTTTTTTGAGACGGAGTTTCGCTCTTGTTGCCCAGGCTGGAGTTTAGTAATGGCGCAATCTCGGCTCACTGCAACCTCCGCCTCCCGTGTTTAAGCGATTCTCCTACCTCAGCCTCCCGAGTAGCTGGGATTACAGGTGCCTGCCACCATGCCCATCTAATTTTTGTATTTTTAGTAGAGACAGGGTTTCACCATGTTAGTCAGGCTGGTCTGGAACTCCCAACCTTGGGTGATTCGCCCACCTCGGCCTCCCAAAGTGCTGGGATTACAGGCGTGAGCCACCGCACCCGGACTTTATTTTTAAATGAGCCCAAATTTCAAGAGGGCTAATAGCACTTCTGGCGCCTACAGTAAACAAAGTTGAACAAAACTGGTTTATCTTTTAAAACAAACAGAAGCATTTCTGTGTCATACAGGTCTTTAAAATCTCTCTCTGCCTGGAGCACAGTTATCTGTAAAACACGAGTTATAAGATCATTAGTACTGGCTGGGCATTATAGGCATAAGCCACTGTGCTTGGCCTCTGAAATTTCTTTATCAGAATTATTATAGCACTCGGACTCTGTGTGTGTGCATGTGTGTGTGTGTGTGTACAGGAACACAACTTATCTAAGTACGATTTACAAAACCTACAGCTATGTGGAACACAGCCAGAAACCTGAGACTGAGTGACTTCTGAGCAGTCAATAGCTATTTCAGTTCATGCACTTTACTCTGTAGAAGAACAACCATAACACAGTCCCCGTGGAACATCAGGTTCCAGCCTTAGAGCCTCTGACCCAGTGAAAAGTCAGAGCCAGCAAAAGAGAGGATGGAGAAGATTTAGAAAAATGCAGCTGGGTTTCTAAAAGTCTCCTTTCTGGCTTTTCAGCACCGTGGCTTGAGATCTATGTACCTTAATAATCTCTGAAAACGTTCTCAGCCAGTTGCTTCTCCAATTTCAGTGGCCAGAAGAATCACCTGGGAACGTGTAAAAGAAGCAGATTTGGGGCTCCACTCCCAAAGATCCCACATCTGGATCAAGCGCCCTGGGTAGAACACAGAAAAGCTGGCATTCCTCTTTATAGTGCAGCCCAAGGACTGATGCTCATAATGATGTTCGTGAGTAATTAAGAAAAGATAAAAGCGAATGGAATGAACTCTGCCTACTGATAATGGCAATTGTCAGAACATAGGCTTCCCTCAAGAACTCAAAATCGCACTCTGGGAGCCATTTTAAGATCTGAAAAGAGATACCTAATAAGTTGTGCCAGAGAAATCAATAAATAAAGTCACCAGAGGGGGGAAAAAGACCCTCAAACCAGCAGGACTTGATTAGATAAAATATCTTTTAAAACAATCAGGATATTTGGAATTTTCTTCAGGCTAATATGGGAGATAAGGGAAGTGAAGTGTGGGTGTAGATAAAACCAGACTGACCACATGTGGATAAGGATTTCAGCTGGGTGATGAGTACGAGTTCATGATCTTATATGTGTGTTTTTATATGTTTTTGAAATCTCCACAATAAAAAATTACAAAAAAAGTTTAAACCCAGGTTATTAGGTATAAACGTACCAAAAAAACAGTGTCACAGAGGCAAACATTACCTAACTCTGCCCAAGCAATCATGCTCCTTGAATTTTCTGGCCCCACTGGCAACTAATCCCTATTATAAAGTGAATATATCAGAGATCATTAAACATTACGTTTATATAACTGAAAACTCCCTGATATGGTTTGGATCTGTGTCCCCACCCAAATCTCATCTTGAATTGTAATTCCCATATGTGGTGGGAGGGATCTGATGGGAGGTAACTGGATCATGGCAGCATTTTCCCCCATGCTGTTCTCATGATATTGAGGGAGTTCTCATGAGACCTGATGGTTTAAAAGTGGCAGCTTCCCCTGCTCTCTTTCTCCTGCCGCCTTGTGAAGAAGATGCCTGCTTCCTCTTTGCCTTTTGCCGTGATTGTAAGTTTCCTGAGGCCTCCCCAGCCATGCAGAACTGTGAGTCAATTAAGCCTCTTTCCTTTATAAATTACCCAGCCTCCGGTAGTATCTTTAAGGCAGTGTGGAAATGGACTAACACACTGCCCCTGGTTCTGATTTCCTACTCACTAAGCAATTCTCTGATTGCTGAGGAAAATTTTCCAAGGTAATGAATGTGTCCTGATATAACCTCTAAAAGAAGACAGCCAGGTGAATAAACACCCCATCAGCTTGTGGTTGCCTTCCTTGAATTTCTGGAGAAACAATAGCTGTAATTTATTGAATGACTTACTCTGCAGCAAGCACTGAACTGGGTACTTTTCATTAGTTAATTCATTTAATTTTCACAGTAGAAATGATATTACTTGGAGATATTTCCATCCAAACTGGTTAAAGGAAAAAGTACAAAAGAATGAATGAAAGAGATTGTGCATTAATCTGGAAAAATATGTCCATTTTAAATACTTACTGCTTAAAATCTATAATGTCATATTCTGGCTATAGTGCCATTACATATAATGTTTACATATTTATCTCACAAGATTAAACACTGTTTTTCTAAGTAGAATTTCATGTGCATTCCCCAGCTCATTAAAAAGAATTCTAGTTTCCCATTTAAGATAATATTGTAGTAAATCCGCTTAACCAAGCTCTTTATAAACTCATATTGTCATAATCCATGAAAGTGAGTGAACCGCGAGGATGCTGCTGTTAACCACTCCATGCTGTAGAATCAGAATTCCTGAATTCCATAGGCATAAGGCATGTGCCTGTCCAACATCCAGTATCAATTTATGTATGAGATATTAATAATACTGAACTTCTGTGTCTATGTTGATATCATCTCTAGCCTTACAAACACAGAATTCTAATACTTTTCCCATACTCCAGTGGAATGTCTTTCATATCCCCTGGGGTACATGCTCTACACTTTATCATTCTGCTTGGCAGAACAATATTTCCTAGTGTAACAAAAGACACTGTTTATTGATTTATTTTTCCTCCCATATTTTAGAAGGCTCCTGTCCATTCTAAAGTTAGGTTCAATAACCTAGCATCCTCCCAGCGCCTGTTTAGTCATAATAATTGCTCAGGTATGCTGGATATTGAAGACAGAGTTGAAAGAATGGTTCACCAGTAGACACAGCAGGACATGTGTGACCAGGATCAGTTCATTGTGGGGCCTAGAATAATGAAAGGTAGTGAGAGAGTACATTCAATCTGAGATGAAAAGATCTGGACTCAAGCCCTTGCTCTATTACCTATGATCTTTGTGCTCTTTAACCATCCTCCCCCTTTATAGATTAATCAAATAAGACTTGCCTCGTCTATTTCACAGGCTTGTTTCAGATACAGTGCAGATGACCCTAGTGGCAGATACTGTGGATTGCCTACCCAAAAGACATTCACAAGCCATTTTCCCCTTGTCTTCCTGTGCCTAAAATAATTACATTCCAAGGATCTCTTGCAGCTAAGGCTGGCCACCAGATTCAGTTTTGGCCAACGAGAGGTCAGGCAAGGGAGGCAGGCAGTCACTGAGTGAGCCTCCAGAAAAGTTATGTACAAGAAGTAGAGTCCATTGGCATGCTGCCTTCATTGCTTACCCTCCAACCCACTTTTCACAAAGTAATCAGAGTAATGTAAAACAGTAAAGCAGCCAGCCGCAGTGGCTTACACCTGTAATTTCAGCACTCTGGGAGGCCAAGGTGGGTGGATCACTTGAGCCCAGGAGTTCGAGACCAGCCTGGGAAACATAGCAAAACCCCATCTCTACAAAAAATACAAAAAGTAGCCAGGCCTGGTGGTGCATGCCTGTAGTCCCAGCTACTCGAGAGGCTGAGGTGAGAGGATCACTTAAGCACAGGAAGGCAAGGCTGCAGTGAGCTGGGATTGTGCCACTGCACTCCAGCCTTAGGCAACAGAGTGAGACCCTGTCTCAAAAAAAAAAAAAAAATAGTAAAGTACATCTTGCCATCACCCTGCTGAAACACTTCAATGGCTTTCCATTGCAGCTAGAATAAAATCCAAGCTATTTACAATGGACTGGCTCCTGCTCCCTCTCCAGTATCATTCAGTCCGTTCTCCCCCACCCACTGTACTCCAGCCAGACCTTCTGTTCCTCAAACTTGCCAAGCGTTTTCCTGGATCCAGGCCTTTATACCTGCTGATTACTCTGCCTGTTTGCCTCTAGCTCTTTGCATAGCTTCTCTCTGTCACCCTTCAGCCCTTGACTCACACCGCCCTCATCAGAGGTGCCCTCCTTGACCGTCATGTCTCAGAAGGCCTCCTCAACTTATCTGCTGTCTTACCACCCAAATTGTTTCATTGTTATCCCTAATCCACAGTTATTTTGTGTATTTGTTATTCCTCTGTCTTCTAACACTGTAACATAAGCATCACTGGGGAACAGCCTTTGCCTGTCTTGTTTATTGCTACATCCTTAGTCCCTTACACAGTGCCTGAAACATAAGGGATGCTTGTTTAATATTTATAAAATAAAAGAATGAACTTTCCCTATGAATCTCCATCTCCTAATTTATTCCTCTTCATCAAAGGAAATGCAAGGCTAAACATGAGTGCATAATGGGAATAACAAGTGTTAACACAGGATTTGTGTGATGAGTGGATGACTTCCAGGAAAAAGCAATCAGAGGAGCCAATTTGGTGGTAAAAAAGGAAAGAAAGAAAAAGGAAGGAAGGAAAGG
The DNA here is from genome assembly GCF_000001405.40 of Homo sapiens. Lineage (NCBI taxonomy): Eukaryota > Metazoa > Chordata > Mammalia > Primates > Hominidae > Homo > Homo sapiens. The sequence goes on along the minus strand of NC_000004.12, from coordinate 139,492,789 downwards.
AAGGAAGGAAGGAAGAAAGAAAAAGAAAGAAAGAGAGAAAGAGAAAGAAAGAGGGAGGGAGGGAAGGGGGCAATTGTGATTGGATGAGAGCAGAAAGTAGCGGAAAATGCTGTGTCTGCATTGTCAACCAATAGCAATTTGGATTGCCACAGCTACAGACACCTCAGGAGGTCTTGGAAGAAGGCATGGGGAGGAGAAGGCAGCCTAATCAAGGTGACATACCTGCTTCCTGCAAATTCAAAATCACATGCTGGGGTGAGGTGGCTCTCACTGTCCATATGAATTTCCATTTCTTTTCACTTCCTTTCTTTACCCACCTTCTCTATTCTGCCTCCGCCTGCTACAATTCATCTCCTTTAAGGTTCCCTGTATTGGATAAATTTTAACCCAAGCATTAGGCAGCACACGTTTCTGAGAGGAGCAGAGGCTGCAGAATCAGACAAGCCTGGCTTTAAATTCTTGCTGTATTCCATTGCTCTATTCCTTCTAGCAATATTATTTTAGTAAAGTTAACTTCTCTAAGAGAAGCAATAATACCTGTCTCATAAAGGTTATTGTGAAGATTAAATGAGATACTACATTAAGAACTTGCCCCAGTATGGAGCAGAGTAATAAAGTTATATAACTTCAAAACAAGCAGGGTGAGGCTGGGGAGGAGAGGGGTGGTTAATAAGAAAAAGAAAAAAAAACAGTATTTGTTAAAAACCTACAGGAGACATCATATTTAATGGTGAAATGTCAAAAGCATTCTACTTTAGATAAAGAACAAGACATGGATGTCAGCTGTCACCTCTCTCATTTAATAACATGCTGGACATCTTGCCCAGTGCAATAAAACAAGAGAAATGTAAAAAATTTATAGGAGGTGGAAAGAATGAAAAAAACTATTTTTATTTGAAGGTGATATAATTTTTGTAGAACACCAAAAAGAATCTCCAATAATTAGGATTAATAAATGTTTCACTTGGTTCTTCAATCCAAAATTAATATATAAAAATTGGCCAGGTACAGTGGCTCACACCTGTAATCCCAGCACTTTGGGAAGACAAGACAAGAGAATCGCTTGAGGCCAGGAGATCCAGACCAGCCTGGCCAACATGGTGAAACCCTATCTCTACTAAAAACACAAAAATTAGCCGGGCATGGTGGCACACACCTGTAATCTCAGCTACTCGGGAGGCTGAGGCACAAGAATCGCTTGAACACTGCAGAGATCGTACGTAGTGAGACGAGACAAGATCACACCACTGTACTCTGGCCTGGGCGACAGAGCAAAACTGTCTCAAAAAAAAGAATTCAATCAATCAAACCCTTTAAGAAGAAAATTATAAAACTTCACTGAAAGACATTAAAGAGGCAGGGGATGGTGGCTCATACCTCTAACCCCAACACTTTGGGAGGCAGAGGTGGGAGGATTGTTTGAGCCCAGGAGTTTGCAACCAGCCTGGGCAATATAGCAAGACCCTGTTTCTACAAAAAGTAAAAAAAAAAAATTAGCCAGTCATGGTGGGGTGCACTGATAGTCCCAGCTACTTGGAATGCTAAGCCAGGAAGATTACTTGAGCCCAGGAGTTCAAGTCTGCAATAAGCTATGATTAGGCCACTGCACTTGACAGAGTGAGATCCTGTCTCAAAAAGAAAGAAAGACTTAAAGAAAACCTAAATAAATGGAAAGATTTACCATATTCTTGGCCAGGAAAACTCAATATTGTTAAGATATTGATTCTCCTAAGTGGACTGATAAATTCAAAGCGTTCCAATCAAAATCCCAACATTGTTTTTTATTTGATGAGTTAAATCTAAAATTTAGGTAAACAACAAAGGCCCCAGAATTACCAAAACTGTGGATGAAGAGCAAGATGTGGGACTTGACCTACCAAATATCAAGATAGAAAGCTTTAGGAATTAAGGACGTGTAGTACCAGCCCAGAAACAGACAAATAGGCCAATTAAATGAAATAGCCCAGAAACAGACCCAGGCATATATGGAGCCTTCATTGATAATAGAATGGTCACTATCGTTCAATAGGGAAAAAGTGGGTGACTTAATAAATGGTGTCAGGACAATTAGATATTCATATAAAAAATATAAAATTAGATCCTCAATTCATACTATATAAAAATCAACTATATGTGGATTAAAGACTTCATTTTTTTAATGTGAAAAATACAGCTATAGAACATTTAGAATAACATATAGATGGAACAGTTTTTTTACTTCAGAGTAAGAAAAATGTTATTAAACAAGACACAAAAGCACACACCATAAATAAAATTATCAATAAATTCAGTTGTATTAAAATTAAGAACATCTGTTCTGGCCAGTTGTGGTGGCTCACGCCTGTAATCCCAGCACTTTGGGAGGCTGAGGCAGGTGGATCACCTGAGGTCAGGAGTTCGACACCAGCCTGGCCAACATGGAGAAACCCCATCTCTACTAAAAATACAAAAACTATCTAGGTATGGTGGCGGGCATCTGTAATCCCAGCTACTTGGGAGGCTGAGGCAGGAGAATCGCTTGAACCCAGGAGGCTGAGGTTGCAGTGAGACAAGATCGCACCACTGCACTCCAGCCTGGGCAACAGAGTGAGACTCCGTCTCAAAAAAAAAAAAAAAAAAATCCGTTCTTTGAAAGACACTGTAAAAAGAGTGAAGAGACAATCTATAAATGGAGAGAAGATATTTGCCTCACATATGATCGGCGAAGGAATCATATCCAGAACATATAGAACTTTTACAAATCAGTAAGAAAAAGACAAAGAACCCAACAGAAAAATAAAAGACCTGACAAGAAATTCAAGAAAACAAAGACATTACCAGAATTTAACAAATAAATGAAAAGTTGCTCATTAGTAAACAGAAAAATACAAACTAAAATCATTAGAATCCATTTTACTCTCACTAGATTAACAAAACATCATTTAGTTGGATAATAACAAGTGTTGTGAAGTCCTGCCTCAGGACCTTTGCACATGCTGCCTGCTTGAGCTGGAATACTCTACCTTTACATCTTAGCAGGGCTTGTTCCTTCACTTCATTCAGATCTGGTTCAGTTGTTACCCTACTAAGAGGCTTTTTCTGACCATAATATCCAAATAATGCCCTTCAGCCTCCAACATTCTGTAGCCTGTTACCTGCTTTATTATCATTTTCAAAGCACTTGTTAACATTTTGCTACATTTATTCTCTGTGTGTGTGTGTGTGTGTGTGTATGTACACATAAGGATTCACACACATTTGTTATTATTATTTTGCAGAACCTTTTGAAAGTAGGTAGCTGACATACTAAGTGATTTTCAGATGGCGAACACTTTGGGGAAAAGGATGATTATGTAGAAAACAAATAACATTCAAATAGAGCATACTGACTGTGAAGAGGTGGAGATTATTATAAATCTTCAAGACTACTGTAAGCAGAATTAAGGAAATTAGATCCCCCTCACCGTATAGTTATTGTTATTTTGCAGAACATACTAAAAGCAGGTTGTTGACATCAGGACACTTCACCCCTAAATACTTCCATATGTATCTCCTAAGATTCTCCCACTTAACCTCAATACTATTATCACAAGTAAGACAATTGACAATCATTCCCTAATACCATCTAACACGCAGCCAGTATTCAAATTTCCAAGTACTCCTTTTAGAGGTCATAATCATATCAATTATATTGAAATGCACCCATGGTACCCTAAGGTTTTTCAGAAAATTTTTTAAAAGATAATTTTACTTCTGAAATAATTTAGCTACAATCAAACCACTTAATTTGCAATCAGTTATAGTTTCTTAGCAAGCATAGTACATGCTTGGGAACTCTTTTGAAGGAAAATAATCTAATCCACTTTGTTGGATTGAAGGACAATAATCTAATCCAATTGTTTTCAAATATAATTACATTATATTTTTATGAATACTAACATTTTATCAACTACTAATGTTAGCATTAATTTTTAGTTTGCAGATATTTAATTAAATGCTCTTTAGTTCTGTTTTATTCATTTTTATTTTCATATTTTGGGGTCAATTCTTTTTTTTTTCAGGTCTCAAAAATTTTTATAGGCCATCTGAAAGCTCCTTGGTCCTAGGCATGGTACAGAAGCTGCCTGTAGAGGCCTTGCTGAGGACAGGAGATAGCTTTCAGTGCATGGCGTCTGAAATAGAAACTGACTTAAACCCAGCACTTTCTCCCCACTAAGGCAGCTTCTGTGGTTCAAGTTCTAAAAACTGGATGGGCAGTGAGAAGTCCTGAGGCTCAGAGGGGAAGAAAGAGAGAAAGGTGAAAGCGGTTTCTGGGAGACATCGCTTTTCTGCCTGTGTAGCTTTTTAATGTGTCATTCATGGTGGAAATTGTCTTTGAGAAGGTAACAGGACATCTTCTGAGCAAAACTGGTCAGAAACTCCAGATTGAGGCACGTCGTTTGGAGAATCTGTTGACTTGTTTTGTTTTGTTTTGTTTCTGCTAAGGAGTATATCTGAAATTGAGGGTATTTAATTAGAAATCATTCAAGGCCATATAAGGTTCTGGCTGCAGTAAATTGGGGATAATGAGAGATAATACAAAATACACTAGGAAGTACAGAAGTTTGTATTAGAAACTAGTTTGTCAATTGCAGAATGAAGTCCTCCTTATGTTTCTAAGAGGATTTAATTGGTATAAGTCAATCTGATAATAAGTAAGTGTCTTAAGGCTTAAAAGGGAGCAGGTATTGTTATCATCCCCACTTTGCAGGTGAAAAACTGAGGCTGAGAGAGAGTTTCAGCTGTTTGTAGGAGTCTTGGCTGAGATGCAGCTGGCAGAACTGGATCTTGTTTGCTATCATGATACAAGAGAAAGAGATGAGGAATTCAGTATTTTAAGTTCATTGTATTTTTTAAATTCAGAAATGCAGATTTGTTTTCTTTTTCTTTTTCTTTTTTTTTTTTTTTTTTTTTGAGACAGAGTCTTGCTCTGTCACCCAGGCTGGAATGCAGAGGCACGATCTTGGCTCACTGCAACCTCTGACTCCCTGGTTCAAGCTATTCTCCTGCCTCAGCCTCCTGAGTAGCTGGGATTACAGGCACGCACCACCACACCCACCTAATTTTTGTATTTTTAGTAGAGATGAGGTTTCATCATGTTGGCCAGGATGGTCTCAATCTCCTGACCTCGTGATCCGCCCGCCTCAGCCTCCCAAATGCAGCTTTGTTTTCTTAAGCATAGCAGAGACATTACAAGCAAAGTGACTTTTAATTTTTTACTATCATGTAACAAAACTCTCAGAAGACACATATTCTAGGCAAAGTCTTAGTGCAATTTGGCCATAGCACCATGCTAGGCATAAATTGCTCATTTTCACAAACCATGACTCACCCATCATGTCAGGAACATTTTCCTCTTGTAAAGCTCTTGGAGCCAAATTGTTAAAGAATCAAGAGGAACACTTCAGGATATGAGTGATTTTCAAATGGAAAACACTTTGGGGAAGAGAATTATTTTGTAGGAAACAAGTGACATTCAGTTACAAGATACTAACCACAAAGATGTGGAGACTATTCAACCTAATGAAGGCCACTATAAGCAGAATTAACAAGGCTAGGTGCTCCTTTTCCCCACAAGAATACTCTAGGGGGACTGGAGCAAAGGGAAGATGCTTAGTATAATATAAATCCTCAAGCAGTGGCTCCTGTCTCTGCCTCTTCCCATGCAGCAAAGAGGCCATGAAGCCATGGAGCCACAAAGCTGAAGAAGACACAACTGTCCCTCCGTAAAGGGCTGTTGTACAGACCACTGACACTCTTTAGATCACACCCTTGTCAGAAAAAGTGTTTCAGCAAGCACTTCCAATGCATGTTCATTGGTTCACCGAAAATTATAATCACAAACCATACTAGCTAGTAGATTAAGAAACATTTACAAAATAGAAATTTAAAAGGATGAGGATGAAATAAATAATTTTTAAAATAATTTGTATTTCTTTTCACTTACCAGTCAAAAAAAAAAACCTGTTTATTCACAGATACCCAGCCTATTTTATTGATAATATTTTCTTTTTCTTTTTTTTGAGGCAGAGTCTCACTCTGTTGCCCAGGCTGGAGTGCAGTGGCACTATCTCAGCTCACTGCAACCTCTGCTTCCCGGGTTCAAGCGATTCTCCTGCCTCAGCCTCCCGAGTAGCTGGGATTACAGGCATGTGCCATCATGCCTGGCTAATTTTTGTATTTTTAGTAGAGACGGGGTTTCACCATGTTGGCCAGGCTGGTCTTGAACTCCAGACCTCAGGTGGTCCTCCCACCTCGGCCTCCCAAAATGCTGGGATGACAGGCGTGAGCCAGTGCACCCCTGCACCCATCCAATAATATTTTTCAAAGTCATTTTTTGAAATTAAATATGCTTCATTATTTTGAAAGTTTTGATTTACTACTTCATGATGAAGCAAGGTGAAGGTTGTTTCTAAATGCAGTTTATGTTGATGCTTGCATTTAATAACTATCAATGGTGAAAACAAATGACCTTACAAAGATCCTCAGATCCAAAACGAACAAAAGCATCATCAGCCAGGCTTGTTAAACCCTGATCCAGAGTTTTCAATTCCACCTACCAGCTATGCAGAAGGTGGTATGTTTATACTGAAGTTTAACTTCAGTATAAAGTTATGCAGAAGTTTATACTGGAATTCACTTGCTAGATTGCCATCTCCCCAAATTGCTCTTGCAAACCGATTAAACATTATATTTATATTTTTAACGAAAAGATCCAAAGCCTAGTCTTAGTTTGGAAGAATTTTAAACAGGATGGAAAATTCTAACTCTTAAATGCTTGAGTAGGAGAATTTTTATAGGTGTCACAGACTAGAAAAAAAACACACATCAGATGGAAACATTTCCAAACATCCACTAGGAAGAGATAGATGGTTTATCTAAAAATAACTATTAAGGTAGCATATTCCTTAGCATGAAATATATTTCAAACACTAGCCATCCTGGCTAACACGGTGAAACCCCGTCTCTACTAAAAATACAAAAAAATTAGCCGGGCGTGGAGGTGGGCGCCTGTAGCCCTAGCTACTCGGGAGGCTGAGGCAGGAGAATGGTGTGAACCCGGGAGGCAGAGCTCGCAGTGAGCAGAGATTGCACCACTGCACTCCAGCCTGGGCGACAGAGCGAGACTCCGCCTCAAAAAAAAAAAAGAAAGAAAGAAAGAAAGAAAGAAAGAAAGAAAGAAAGAAAGAAAGAAAGAAAGAAAGAAAGAAAGAAATGGTCAACAATTTGGATCGGTTATCTGTGGGAAAAAAAAAACGTGTAGCACATTTTTTCAGTTTAGTAAGTCTTTTAATTACTCCGTCATGAGATAAACAGTGGACCATCCAAATAGTACAAAACATCTTCATAGTCACCTCTGATAGTTTGTAGAAAGGTCCACAGGTTTTCTGACGGGCTTCTCATTCACAGAATTTACATCTCCTCCCCTTAAAACCAAGCAAGATTTTGCGATTGCTGTTCTACATGGATACAGAGTGACCTTCGAGCTAAGTTAGAAAACGCCCCAGGGCTTTTGCAGGTTTATCTTGCGCCACTTACTCTGGGTGCTTGCAGCCACCATGTAAGAAGTCCTGCTACCTTGAGGCTGCCATACGGAGCAGCACAGAGAAAGAGAGAGCGAGAGATGCCCGAGGAGTGCCGGCTGCTCTGCCCCAGCTGCTGCATATTCTTCACCTGGACTTCAGATGACGGCAACCTCAGGAGAGACCTGTAGCCTGCACTGCCTGCACACTCCTGCCTTGCCACAGCGGCGAGACAACCAATAATTGTGGTCTTATCTACTCAGTTTTGGGGAAGCTTGTTACACAACACTAGATACTACACATATATTATTTCATTCTCACAATAACCCCGTGGGTTAGTGTCAGCCCTTTTTAAAAATGAGGAAATTGAAGCATGGAGAGGTTTGACTTTTAGAACATCTAGGATTCAGGCTGGGCACAGTGACTCATGCCTGTAATCCCAGCACTTTGGGAGGCTGAGACAGGCGGATTACATCAAATCAGTAGTTTGAGACCAACCTGGCCAACATGGCAAAAACCCATCTCTACTAAAAATACAAAAATCAGCTGGGTGTGATAGTACACTCCTGTAATCCCAGCTACTTGGGAGGCTGAGGCAGAATTGCTTGAACCCGGGAGGCAGAGGTTGCAGCGAGCTGAGATCATGCGACTGCACTCAAGCCTGGGCAACAGAGCAAGACTCTCTCTTAAAAAATAAAACATAAAATAATTTGTTTAAAAAAGAACATCTGGGCCAGGCACGGTAGCTCATGCCTGTAATCCCTGCACTTTGGGAGGCCAAGGAGGGCGGATCACCTAAGGTCAGGAGTTTGAGACCAGCCTGGCCAACATGATGAAACCCCGTCTCTACTAAAAATACAAAAAATTAGCTGGATGTGGTGGCACACGCCTGTAATCCCAGCTACTCAGGAGGCTGAGGCAGGAGAATCACTTGAACCCAGGAGGTGGAGGTTGCAGTGACCCAAGATAGCACCACTGCACTCCAGCCTGGGTAAAACTCCGTTTCAAAAAAAAAGAACATCTGGGATTCAGCTTCTTTGTGGTCTCACTCCACAGTTTAAGCGCGGCGTCCTCTGCCTCTCAGCAAGAGAGGACAGAAGCAAGGGTCAAAGGCAGTGGAAGTGATAGATCCAGGTAGGAGACTAGATGTGGGAGTTGGGGGAAGGGAAGCCTCAACAGAAGCTGGAGGTTTTGAGGAAACACAGGAAGAAAAATAAATTTAAGGAGGAAGATTGAGTTTATACATTTTATTTTATTTTTTATTTTTATTTTTTGAGACTGAGTCTCACTGTTGCCCAGGCTGGAGTACAGTGGTATGATCACGGCTCACTGAAGACTCAATCTCCTGGGCTCAAGCGATCCTCCCACCTCAGCCTCCTGAGTAGCTGGGACCACAGGTACAGACCACCACAGTCAGCTAATTTTTAAATTTTTTGTAGAGATGGTGTCTCTCTTTATTGCCTGGGCTGGTCTCAAACTCCTGCGCTCAAGTGATCCTCCCACCTCAGCCTCCCAAAGTGCTGGGATTACAGGTGTGAGCCACCATGCCCCACTGTTTATACATTTTAAATTACATGTTTGAGTGGTCCACAGATACTGCAAAAGAAAGATGGCCCACATGCAGCAGCCAATTCAGGATTTCAGAGGTAAAGGTGAGGCTCTAAACATGGGTTCAGGAATCAAGTAACTCTGAAGGTGAGATCGTAAAGGAAAGGGTGTTCAGCCAGAAGAGGATGGAAGAAAAAGGCTCAGGGAGTGCCTCCCTGTCTAGCTGGTCATACACCTTATCCTACGTGATTAAGTTCCCAATGTTTTCAGAATTAAAAAATGTATGCTCCATAGCACCTTTGGATGTACAATGGAAGAATACACTCTCAGAAGTAGGCAACATTTACTAATCTTACATTTGCATAAGGAGTTTATGAAAATATAACAAATCACCAAATTAGCAAGGATTTTTTAGTTCACACTTTAGAAGTACTTCAGAAATGCATGAAAATAGCAGTATGCTGTGTTTCCCAGTGAAGAGCTTCAGAGGCGTAGTATCACTTTCTGCAGCAGATGCTGACTGGCTTACTCGACGCCTCCCCATCCTCTTCTAGTGTGCTTTCCTGCTGCAGAGCCTGGGATGATAAAACCTGTGATTCCCAAGATATATTTGCAGCTTCAGTTCTAGGAAGTGGGTAGAGACAGGGTCACAGGGAGAATGGCCTTTCTTTCCAGTGTGATGTTGAAGATTTCAGTACTTCTGGGACAGCTTTGGGGACATTTTGTGGCCAGTCCTGAGTGTCATAGGTGCTGAGGAGAGATAGTGGTGACAGTCAACTGTCTACAACATCTGGGCATTTATCTTGGCTACTATTGTCCCTGTCTTTGTAGCATCCAAATTTTGGTCCCAGGTCCTCCTAAAGATAACATAAGCTACCCCAAATTCTCTAAGTTCCTTTCTTCTTCTTCTTTTTTTTTTTTTTGAGACAGAGTCTCGCTCTGTCACCCAGGCTGGAGTACAGTGGTGGGGTCTCGGCTCACTGCAACCTCCACCTCCCAGGTTCAAGTGATTCTTCTGCCTCAGCCTCCTGAGTAGCTAGGACTACAGGCATGCACCACCACTAATTAGCCCAGCTAATTTTTGTATTTTTAGTAGAGATGGAGTTTCACCATATTGGCCAGGCTGGTTTCGAACTCCTGACCTCGTGATCTGCCTGCCTCAGCCTCCCAAAGTGCTGGGATTACAGGCGTGAGCCACCGCGCCCTGCCAGTCCCTTTCTTCTTAAATGAGCTAGGTGAGATCCCTAACGTATACCAGTTCCATAATAGACTTTACACATATATTTTCATACAGTAGTAAAATTGTGTACCATCAATTTTATCACAGACTGACAAATTTTAACAATTTAAAGCTAGATGTACTTTTCTAGGATAACTTAGATGAGGTATTAGTTAAGCCCAAATAACATTGGCTCGAACAAGATGTAAGTCTTCTACTTGACTCTCACTTACTGGTCCAAGCATAACTGTCTGGGGCTGTGATGGTAGCAGCACAGCATCTGGGACCCCGGTTCCTTCTCTTTGGTTGCTCTGCCACTCCTAGGGTGTTGCCTAGGAATGACATCTGCATGGCGCACCCATTGTTCACTAAGTCCCTAAAACGGTGTTTTCCCCTGGCGCAGGTTTAAAGGCTGGTAGAAAGGCACTAACTCAGGTTCTCCCAGCAAGTTCCTCTCCTTGAAGGACTGATGCGCTAGGGCAGTGAGTGGGCCCCAAATTGCTCCCTGACCACACGGGCAGTCCCTAAACAGGGATAGTGCAATCGTCATCCAAAAGTTTTAGTCCCAATGTCCCCAAGTCTCTTCCACATTTCACCTCAAGTGTTCTTCCAGTTAGAATTGCATTCATCTACAGGTACTCAAATCCCCTGAACAGTGGGGATTGTTTTTCTCAGCAAAATCATGAGGTAAGTAGCCTGAGCTGGTGTGGTAGCTGCAGGACACTGTTCTCCAGAGCATTTTGTAATGCCAAGGCATCCATGCCAGTGCTATAGCCTCCCTCCCACGTGCCAGCCATGGACAGAGGAGGAGGAAGCAACCAGAGGAAAGGGCAGGCCTCTTTACAGGAAAGCAAAGTTTCCCTGGAAATCCCTGGCAAGCACCTGCTCATATCTCTTTGGCCAGAACTGTGATATGTGGCCATACCTAGCTACAAAGGAGGCTGGGAACTGATTATCTAGTGGGCTATGTGGCCAGCAAAAGAAACCAGGGTTCTGTTAGTAAGAAAAGAGGGAGATGTGTTACGAGCTGAATTGTGCCCCTGCCCCCCGAAAAAAGATATTGGAGTTCTAATCCCTGGTACCTCAGAATGTGACTTTGTTTGGCGACAGGGCCCTTAACAGAGGTAATCAAGTTAAAGTGAGGTCATCAGGATGGGCCCTAATCCAGTATGACTGGCATCCCTATGAGAAGAGGAAATCTGGGCTGGGTGGTGTGGTTCATGTCTATAATCCCAGCACCTTGGGAGGCTGAGGCCGGTGGATCACCTGAGGTCAGGAGTTTGAGAACAGCATGGCCAACATGGTGAAAACCTGTGTCTACTAAAAATACAAAAATTAGCCAGGCGTGGTGGTGCACACCTTTATTCCCAGCTACTCAGGAGGCTGAAGCAGGAGAATTACTTGAACCCGGGAGGCAGAGGTTGAAGTGAGCCGAGATCATGCCACTGCACTGCAGCCTGGGCAACAGAGCGAGACTCCATCACACACACACAAAAAAGAGGAAAAAATCTGGCCAGGCATGGTGGCTCACACCTGTAATCACAGCACTTTGGGAGGCCGAGGCTGGAGGATCACTTGAGCCCAGGAGTTTGGGATGAGCCTGTGCAACCTAGGGAGACCTCATCTCTACCAAAAAAAATTTAAAAATTGGCCAGGCGCAGTGGCTCACGCCTGTAACCCCAGCACTTTGGGAGGCCAAGGCGGGCAGATCACAAGTTCAGGAGATCGAGACCATCCTGGCTAACACGGTGAAACCCCGTCTCTACTAAAAAAATACAAAAAAATTAGCCGGGCATGGTGGCAGGCACCTGTAGTCCCAGCTACTCGGGAGGCTGAGGCAGGAGAATGGCGTGAACCTGGGAGGCGGAGCTTGCAGTGAGCTGAGATGGCGCCACTGCACTCCAGCCTGGGCAACAGAGTGAGACTCCATCTCAAAAAAAAAAAAAAATTAAAAATTAGCTGGGCATGGTGACATGCACCTGTGTTCCCAGCTACTCAGGGGGCAGAGCTTGGCGGATTGCTTGAGCCCAGGAGGTCGAGGCTGCAGTGAGCCAGGAGAGAAATGGAACATATTCTCTCTCACAGGCCTCACAAGAAATCAACACTACTGATACTACCAGCCTCCAGAACTGTGAGACAATACATTCCTGTTTTTTATGCCACCCAATTTATGGTACTTTTTTCCTGCAGCCTAGGAAATTAATACAAGAGGGAAGACAAAAATTGGGTAGGCAACCTGCAGTCTCTGACACATCTATTTAAAAAAATAGGGTTTATAATCATTCTGAGCAAACTATCGCAAGGACAGAACACTGCATGTTCTCACTCATAGGTGGGAATTGAACAGTGAGAACACTTGGACACAGGGTGGGGAACACCACACACCGGGGCCTGTCATGGGGTGGGGAGAGGGGGGAGGGATAGCATTAGGAGATATACCTAATGTAAATGACGAGTTAATGGGTGCAGCCCACCAACATGGCACATGTATACATATGTAACAAACCTGCACATTGTGCACGTGTACCCTAGAACTTAAAGTATAATAAAAAAATAATGTTTATATTTAGAGCAGATTTAGGGTCACAGAAAAATGGAACAGAAACCATCAAGTTCCCACAGAGCCCCTGCCCATCCACACATACACACGGCCTCCCTCACTATGTACATTTATTACATTTGATAAACCTACATTGAGACATCATAATTATCCAGTACATAGCTAACATTCACTTGTGTGTGTGTGTGTGTGAGAGAGAGAGAGAAAGAGAGAGAGAGAGAGATTGACAGGGTCTCACTATGTCCCACAGGCTGGAGTGCAGTGGAACAATGTCAGCTCACTGCAACCTCTGCCTCCCGGGTTCAAGTGATTTTGCTGCCTCAGCCACCCAAGTAGCTGGGATTACAGGCGCCTGCCACCATGCCCGGCTAATTTTTGCATTTTTAGCAGAGACGGGGTTTCACCATGTTGGCCAGGCTGGTCTCAAACTCCCAACCTCAAGTGATCTGCCCGCCTGGGCCTCCCAAAGTGCTGGTATTACAGGCGTGAGCCACTGCATCTGGCCGAGAATTCTTATCTCAGGCAAGGTTAGTCTTTCTAATTATGACACAAAATGAGAGTCATGGAAAAGACTGCTAAGTTTCACTACATTAAAATTATTTTCATGCCAAAAACCATTAGAAGCAATGCCATTTGGCAAAAAACAAACTAGGAAAAAAAAATAAAACATCACTAACTTACCCAAAATATTCAGTATCCCTACAAAAGGCAAAAAAACAAAACCTGACAGAATGTGAACAGACAATTCAACAGAAAACAAAATGTAAACATTAAATATAAAAAGATGCTCAACCCTACTCATAAGATAAATGCCAGTTAAAACCACAGTGAGATATCATTTTTCACCTATTAATGTTCCTTCCAAATGTCAAAACCTTTGATAATAGACTGTGTTGTGAGTGTGTGAGGAATCAGGCATGCTTTTTATTACTAGTGCAACCTCTGAGGAGGGCGATTAGAAACCCAAATTGCAAACACAGATACCTTTCATCTAGCAATGTCACTTCTAGGAATTTTCCCTTTGTATATACTCACACATTTGAGAAATTACTTATGTAAAATGATATCCATTTTGGTAATGCTTGTAATAGCAAGACTGGAAACAACCTAAATGTTCATCAGTAGAGGGCTATCTAAATAATGGCCAACTAAAGGAATTCCATGAGACCTAAAAGAGAATGATGAAGCTTACATATTTTAACATGAATTCATCTCCAGGGTATACTGTTATGTGAAGAAACAGCAAATTCAGGGGCCAGGTGTGGTGGCTCGCACCTGTAATCCCAGCGTGGGAACTGGGGTGGGAGGCCAAGGTGAATGGATCACTTGAGCCCAGGAGTTCCAGAACAGCCTGGGTAAGATGGCAAAACCGTGGCTCTACAAAAAGTACAAAAAATTAGCTGGGTGTTGTGGCGTGCACCTGTAGTCCCAGCTACTTGGTAGGCTGAGGTAGGAAGATTGCTTTAGCACAGGAGGTGGAGGTTGCAGTGAGCTGAGATCACACCACTGCACTCCAGCCTAGGTTGCAGATTGAGACCCTGTCTCAAAACAAAAACAGAAACAAAAAAAATTCATGGTACTGGTTCCTTGTGATAAGAACTGAGGAGCTGGGAGAAAGAGTGGGAAGGAGAATTCACCATTTACTCTTTTGTGAATGGTTCAAGTATTGAACCATGTGAATGTATTTCCTATACAAAAATTTAACTTAAAAAAAGAAGTCCCATTACTGATCACATTTTATTGAAACATGGAACTCTCCATTTGCAGCAAGAAAAGATTAATAATGAGGAGCTGAGAAGTAATAAAATGGCTCCATATACTCTGTTAAGTTTATGGAATGAATAACCAAAACAAAAGTTGAATTGTTTTTGTAATTTAAAGAATGTTCTGGGACTCAAAAATATACAGAATCTTCTATAATTAAACTACTCAGAACAAGAAAAATACCAAAAAGCATTAGGATATACAACTTAAAAATTTTAAATGACAAGTTTCATCTGACTCAAAACACTCTGAAAAACATATATGTAAATAAATCACAAGAATCAAACTTTTGATAAAGGCAAATTAAAGCAATGTAATAATCTAAAAAATAAAACCAAAGCCTGATATTTTAAAAAAACATTTGGCCACATACATGAGTGCAACTAGCAGCTCTAGAAAAGAATACTGACTAGTTCATGCAATGAAATTCCTGACCTTGGTCTCTAACTCCTGGGGGTTTTAGTTCTGAAATATCTCAAATCTGTATTTTTCTGCCAGTGCTCCAGTTAAAGCTGTTTCTTCTAGGCTATTTCAGTAAGCTGACTGACCATGACTTCATCCCCTCACCCTTCCCATTGCCGCTGGAATTTATGGCATAAATCTAACGGTCTCACTACCTTGCAAAATGCTTTCATTAGTTACCCATTGCCTAAATAGTAAAGTTCAAATGTTTTTGTGTGGCTATCTTCTTTTTTTGCTCCCCTTCCCCCAAAATACCTTCTCCCCTAAATGTGGAAATTGCTTATTTTATCTTTTTTGGCCATTGGTCTTGGGTGGACACCTGGATCTTGCCAGGCCAATTAACAGTCTATGCTGGAAATTTCAACTTGAGACTGAGAGTTCATTTCTCTTTGAATGACTGCAGCATCCAAAAGTTCAGAAGTACTCAGTGGCCATGTTTTCTGCTAATTAAACTTAAAAAATGGAAAAATCTAGTTATAAAAGAAAGAGAAAATGCAGATGTGCAGAGAAGCTGGACCCAGAGTTAGGAAACTGTGTGCTCAATCCCAGCTCTTCTTTTAGTCCAGTCACATCCTTGTCTTCAAGTCCAGTGAGACAAGTCAGACTCCTTACATTAAAATCCCCCTTATAGGCTGGTTCAGACTGAGTTTCAGATACTGCACCCAAGCCAGTCCTAATCCCACTGCTTATGGCAACTTGGCAGTTTAACCAAAATCTACCTTGCTAGCTTCATTTCCGTGTTCTGACCACATCTCCATTCTATCACATACTCACACTGACCTAGCAGTCATTCCCCCCAAATTCAACTCCACTCTTGAGCCCTGCAGTGCATTCACCTGGGATGACTTTCTTCCCTCTCCTTTACATGGAGAATGCCTCACATTTACCCTGAGATGCTGCATAAATGCTTCCACTCATTGTGAAGCTTTTTGATTATCTACTGCTCCCATATCCAAGTCAAAAGACCACTCCATATTCTGTGCTCATTGTCCTTTGTATATGCTTCTTTGATTACACTGATCACAGTATATTGTAGAATTCCTATTTGTTCATATACTATTTTGTAAGTTCTTCAAGGACAGTGTCTATGTAGCTCCACTAACACAAATAGAGAACACATGACCCATACTTGATAAATGTTTGATAAATCAGGTTATTCCAACAAACCAAGTGCATTCGCCCTTGCCACACAGGCTGTAGCAAACGTGCTCCCAAAATACATGACGAACTTCTTAATATCTGATTAAGAAAGCAGTCCTTCATGAATAATGTCAATTTTGTGTTTGAACACAAGGGTAACTTATACGTAAAATAAACTGACCAGGGGAAGCAGAATCAACATCAGAGGCCCCCACATCCCTAATCCTATGGTGTCTAAATCAGTAACTGCAATCTTATACCTGAGACGTAGTTCGTTCTCTTTTCTCATACTTTCTATAGTTATTCATTCTGTTAAATGCTTTTACGTCTAAATACACATCAACTCCTCTTGCACCATTTGCTTTTTGCACTGAACTATTCTAAAACAAGCTGGATTACTAAAACACACAAATACAAAAGCTGTGTTATCAGCTAATTTTAATACTTTGTTGAGTTTTTTTCCTGAAGTGTTCTTTGACCTCAAATGTATACAAGAAAATAATTGTCCAATGGGTTGGGGGCTTTTTGTTGTTTTCAAAAGTGTATCATATATATAATATTATCTGGAAACCAGGAGGAAAAAAAGATTGTTTTATTTTATACTCTACCCAGTAACCAAACAAAGAAAATAAAACACAATTTCTTTGTGGCTAAGCTGGTTTATTGAACTTCATGGGGGAAATGTAACAGTGACACTATTCCACAACAAAATTACTTAGATTTCATGAGGAAACATGTATTTGCAATATACTTTCAATAATGCATTGTTATTAATAGCGAACTACATTAGATTCTGGGGTAGTTTCCTTTGGTGTTCTCAAATTAAGACTTTTCCAAAACATGTCTGATATTTTAATTATTTATTTTCAATTAAAGGTCATAGTTAAAATAAATTCTACAGATTTTTTAAATGTGTGATTTGTTCTTTAAAAATTAGTAATTAGTTGTTAGATAGCTATCATTTTGGAAGTGATTTTGCAACAGTGAAATGTTTTATAAATATTTTAAGATATTGAAAGCTTTAACCCCATTCAACTGGTATGTTTTTTAAAAATAAAAACATATATATAAAAAATTAAAACAAATTGTTACAAATGAGATACAAATATTTTAAAACTAATAAATATTACAGTTAAAAAATAAGTCCTTTCACAGAACTGTAAAGGATATTACTTAATTCCTTACAAAAAGAAATAAAGTTACTCTTTTTAAAACCATAATAATAGTAATAAAAAACCATAAATGTGCTTGGAAAGTCTATAAACTTTCTTCCCCCACTTTAGAAAATATTTTGAAAAGCGATAAACAGATTCCCTTCTTTAAAAAAATGTTGTTACACCCATCATAGTTACTACAGCTGTCATTGTTTTATTACAAAAATAGTTATAAATCAAGGTTAATTTCGATACAAGTAAAACAATTTTTAAATTCCAGCATGATTAAGAAAACATGATCTCCCTAAATGCAAATAAAGCCAATTTGAGCTCTAATACTTAAAATGGAATAATCACTTCCTATAATTATTATTTTCAGTTAGTTCATTTAATAGAATTACTTTGTCTTTATAGTTAAATTATCCAGGTAGGACCACCATGATGATTAAACAAAAATCTTAAACTAGATTAGATTACATTTTTAATTGATTTCCCATATTCTGAAAATACTGTAGTACAATAATCATTTGGCTTAATTTCCTCCAAAATTATTAAGGACAGCAATCTATCAAAATTAGTGAATGTGAACACTTCAGTTAAAGTCATGGCTTACATTCCATTTACGTAAATAGTTTAATATGTAAGCTTGCTATATTTTATGTGCAAAGACTTAAATTCAAAATAAAAGTATTTAGGTTAAAAAACTTCTTGAAATATTCTTTCCATCACTGAAGTTTAGACATTTTTCAATATCTAATTTATTTTTCATACTGAGGAGGGATAACTTGTGACCATAAAATTTAGACATCTTAAAAATTGATATGACACAATACTATTACAGAAATACATGTAGACTAATAGCAATTAGAGTTGTGCCTTCACACCTACAATCCAAATGGAAGTTGATTTGTTAACTTGGCATTTAGTCATTAAATTTATTGGAGTTGAAGGAAGAGCAAGAGATACCATATGGGATACACTGCTTGAAATTAGTAAAGGCTAAGAATAGGTCTCCTGTGTTAGCTAGAAGCTATGTTTACCTATTTTCCCCCAAGTTACAACTCTTCATGTGCTTTCAGTTAGTTTTTCACTGTTTAAATATACCAAAATAAAATATAAAGCACCTTATGTCACTTTATTTGCCTTAAAATCTGACTTATTTTTGCATATTTTAATAGGATTTAGTAAGAAAGCAACTCGGCTGGGTGCAGTGACTCACACCTGTAATCCCAGCACTTTGGGAAGCTGAGGCGGGTGGATCATGAGGTCAAGAGATCGAGACCATCCTGGCCAACATGGTGAAACCCCATCTATACTAAAAATACAAAAATCAGCTGGGTGTGGTAGTGCACGCCTGTAATCCCAGCTACTCGGGAGGCTGAGGCAGGAGAATCACTTGAACCTGGGAGGCGGAGGTTGCAGTGAGCCGAGATGACGCCACTGCACTCCAGCCTGGAGACAGAGCGAGACTCCATCTCAAAAAAAAAAAAAAAAAAAAAGAAAGAAAGAAACTCAAATAACTCTTTTAAAATAATAATGATTTTTGTAGATCTGATAAGTATTAATTAGAAAATCAAACATCTAGAACTCTTGGAAAAGTCATTCTTTATGGACTGGGAACCAGAAAACATTCTATGCCTTCTTATCCCACTGGAACTAAAGTCTTGGCTCTAAAACATACCAATAATAACAAAACTAAATATGTTAATAAAACAAAGAAAGGCCAGATGCAGTGGTGAGTACCTACAGTCCCAGTACTGGGGAGGCTGAGGTGGGAGGATTGCTTGAGCCCAGGAGCTCAAGGCCAGCCTGGACAACATAGCAAGACCCCGTCTCTATGAAAAAACAAAAAAAGTACTCTGGGGAGAGGCAAATACCAGTTTTTATCCTATTAAGAACACTTCCCATTCAAAGGACATACTATTAGGTGTGTCCTAAACCTTTAACATTTTTTTCCAATCCTAGGACAAAAGATTGAATGGTTACTGATTCCATCATGTTCTCATTTGAAGCTTCCTTCATTGGGCTCTAGATGGAGAGATGTTCAGATTCATCCTATCTTTGCTTCATTTTCAATCTCACCTGAAAACCAACTTTTCCTGTGTTGTCACAGTGACAAACTTAAGTAGATACAAAATACAAAAGCGTGACAATGACAAACAGCAAAGTGTCAAGATGACCCATTATAGTTGAGATTAAATCTTATGACTTAATACTGTCATACTTCAAAAGTATTTCTTTAGTCAAAATTAGATAATATAATAAAGACTGTTATTTAGCACCAGCACGTCATTGCAGGCTTTGGTTCAGGCTTCAGGATAATTCCATTATCAGGGGGCTGACTAAGCATTAATGGTTTGTGGCTCTTAAGCTTATGAGCCAAGGTCATAAATATAGCTTCCACATGGTCATTATCATTGGGGTTTTTAGCAGACGTTTCAAACAAAGGCATACTGTGTGTGTCAGCAAATTTTTGTGCCAAGTCTGTGGGTACCTGTATGGCACTTCTCAAGTCACATTTATTTCCAACAAGAATCCGTGGTATATCATTGGCTAGCAAATGTTGTTTGCATTCTTCTATCCAAGATGGTAGGCTATGAAAACTAGCCATGTTGGTCATATCATACACGAAGACAACAGCATGTACATTTCTGTAGTAGTGCTGAACCATGCTCTTTCTGAATCGTTCTTGTCCTGCTGTGTCCCATAGCTGGATCTAAAAATGGGAAGAAAAAGAGGAAAACTGAAAATCCCATTCCAATTATACATATCAAGAAATGTAATCATCTTGCATTGTCTTTATTATCTCTTCACTTAAAATATTTTGATTTCTCCCTTCCATAATGTCTTTTCAGTGTTACCTATGGGATCCAGACTTCATGATACCAGTTACCTCACAATTAAATTATAATACAAGTGTCGGAACTAATATTTCAATACAGGATTTTCTAAATTTCAGTAAATCCAATTTGTTTAAATAAAATTTACCTCAAAACTTTATTTTAAAATGTTAAGAGAAAAATATATCAGGTGTTAACATGTTAAGCATTTAATTCCTGTAAATTTGGTTACTATACACCCCTCTTTACCTTTCACTAGTCTAATTTAAAATATTAAACCTAGGAAAGATGTTGTTATGAGATCCAGCCTCCAAACAAACATATACATGTATGTGTATGTCTATGAAATCCAGGACCCCTTGAAAACTTAAGAAGGCTAGAAAAAAATCATGAATAAAAATGCTCAACATAGAATTAAAATGCTTAAAACTATAGATGTCAAAACTTACTACAAAGCTACAGTAATCAAGACTGTGTGAAACTGGCCTAAGATCAGATACAGAAATCAATGGAACAGAACTGTGGATCCAGAAGTGAACCCATATATCTATGGTCAACTGATTTTTAACAAGATTACCAAGAAAATTCAACAGCAGGAAAGATTAGTCATTTCAATAAATAGTGCTGGACAACATGCAAAAAATGAGGCTGGATCCCTATCTCACACCATATATAAAAACTTACTCAAAATGGATCAAAGACCTAAATTTAAGAGCTAAAACTTTAACTCTTCGTAACCTTGGATTAGGCAATGGTTTCTTAAGATACGATACCTAAAGTAAAAGCAATCAAAGGAAAAAATAAACTGGACTTCATCAAAATTAAAAATATTTGTGCAGCCAGATGCGGTAGCTCAGCACTCTGGGAGTCCAAGGCATCAGGGTCACTTGAACCCAGGAGTTTAAGACCAGCCTGAACAAACAAAATTGGAGGGTGGAGCAAGATGGCAGAATAGAAAGCTCTACCTATCATGTCCCCAACTGCCCCGCAAGGACACCAAGTTAATAACTAACTACACAGGAAAAAAAAAAAAAAAAAACTTCATAAGAACCAAAAATCAGGTGAGCACTCATAGTACCTAGTTTTAACTCATATTGCTGAAAGAGGAACTGAAGAGATAGAAAAAACAGTCCTGAATTGCCAACACCCACCCCCTGCACCCCGAGCAGCAGCGGTGTGGTACAGAGAGCCTCTCTGGGCACTGGGAAAAGGAGAACACAGCAAATGAAAGGCAATGAACTCAGTTCTGCCCTGTTAGAGCAAAAAGGAAAACCGGACCAAACTCAGCTGATGTCTACCCACAGAGGGAACACTTAACCCAGCCCCAGCCAGAGGGGAACCACCAATCCCAGCAGTCCAAACATGAGTTCCCACAAACCTTGCCCTCTGTGTCTCCAAGTAAACTTGAAAGGCAGTCTAGGCCACAAGCATTGCAACTCTGAGGCAACTCCGAGTGCTAAACTGGCCCAGAGACAGTGCGCTGGGGCAGACAGGAGACATACTGAGACTCCAGCTGGGACAGCCAAGGGAGTGCTGCCATCACCCCTCCCCTAACCCCAGGCTGCACAGCTCACAGCTCCAAAAAAGACCACTTCCCTCCATTTGAGGAGAGGAGAGGAGAGGAGAGGGAAGAGTGGGGAGGATGCTCTCTTGATCTTAGATACCAGCTCAGCCACAGCAGGATAGGACACTGGTCAGAGTTGTGAGGCCCTCATTCCAGGCCTTACCTCCTAGACGACATTTCTAGATACACCTTGGGCAGAAGGGAACCTGCTGCCTTGAAGGAAAAAATCCAGTCCTGGCAGCATTCATCACTGCTAACTGAAGAGCCTTCGGGCCCTGAAAAAACAGCTGGCATACCCAGGCACTACATTGACAGTCTTGGGTGAACCTCTGAGACTTGCTGACTGCAAGTGAGACTCAGCACATAATTAGCTGTGGTGGCTATAGGGCAAAACTCCTGCTTGAGAAAAGCAGAGGCAAAAGTAAAGGGGACTCTGTCTTGTACCTTTGGTACCAGCATGGCCACAGGGGGGCCTTTGGGGTCCCAGATTTCAGGACTTGACTCTTGGACAGCATTTTTGGACCTGCCCTGGGCCAGAGGGTACCCCACTACTCTGAAGGGTGAGGCCCAGGCCAGGCAGCATTTATGACAAGGGGGCTTAAGAGCCCCTGGGCCTTAAAGGAACATTGGTGGTAGTCTGGCAGTACTCCTCATGGCCTGGAGTGGCAATGGCTACAAGTGGGAAGCTCCTCTGTCTTTGGAAATGGGAGGGAAGAGTGGGAAGGACTGTGTCATGCAGTTTGAGTGCCAGCTCAGCCACAGTACAACAGAACACCAAGTAGACTTCTAAGATTTTTAACTCTAGTCCCTGACTCCTGGAAGGTACTTCTGGACCAACCCAAGGCTTAGGGAAACTTGCCACCCTGAAGAGAAGGACACAGGCCTGGCTGGCTTTGCCACCTGCTGATTGTAGAGTCCTAGGGCCTTGAGTAAACATAGGCGGTAGCCAGGGAGTAGTTACAGCAGGCCTTGGGTGAGACACACTGCTTTGCTGGCTTCAGGTCTAGTGCAGTCTAGACCTAGTGCAGAGGCAAAAGTAAAGGGGGCTTTGACCTAGTGCAGTCATAGTGGTGGTGGTCACAGGGGTGCTTGTGTCCCTCCACTCTCAGTATTAGGTTGCTCAGAACAGAGAGAGACAAAGAGAGACTCTGTATGTTTGGAAGAAAGTAAGGGAAGGAAGCACGCATCTCTGCCTGGTAGTACAGAGAATTCTCCTGGATCTTGTCTAAAACCATCAAGGTGGTAACTCTACGAGTCTGCAAGAACCACAGTGTTACTGGGCTTAGGGTAACCCCTAAGGCAGATACAGCTTAGATCACAACACTCAAGTCCTTTCAAATGTCTGAAAAGCCTTCCCAAGAAGGACAGCTACAAATAAGCCCAGACAGTGAAGACCACAATAAACACCTAATCCTTCAATGTCCATACACAGAAGAATATCTGTTAGCATCAACACCATCCAGGAAAACATGACTTCACCAAATGAACTAAACAAGGCAACAGGGACCAATCCTGGAGAAACACATATGTGACCTTTCAGAAGAGAATTCAAAATAGCTGTTTTAAAGAAACTCGAGATAACACAGAGAAGGAATTCAGAATACTACCAGATAAATTCAACAAAGAGATTCTTGAAGAATGCATCAGAGTCCTTTAACAGCAGAACTGATCAAGCAGAAGAAAGAATAAGCAAGCTTGAAGACAGGCTAACTGAAAATACACAGAGGAGATAAAAGAAAAAAGAATAAAAAACAAGGGAGCACGCCTACAGGATCTAGAAAATAGCCTCAAAAGGACAAATCTAAGAGCTGCTGGCTTTAAAGAGAAGGTAGAGAAAGAGACAGAGACAGAAAGTTTATTCAAAGGGATAATACAGAAAACTTCCCAAACCTAGAAGAAGGTATCAATATTCAAGTATAAGAAAGTTATAGAACACCAAACAGATTTAACCCAAAGAAGACTACCTGAAGGCATTTAATAATCAAACTCCCAAAGGTCAAGAATAAAGAAAGGATCCTAAAAGCAGCAAAAGAAAAGAAACAAATAACATACAATGGAGCTCCAATAGGTCTGGCAGCAGATGTTTCAATGGAAACCTTACAGGCCAGGAGAGAGTGGCATGATATATTTCCAAGTGCTGAAGAAAAAAACCTTTTATCCTAGAATGGTATATCTGGCAAAAATATCATTCAAACATGAAGGAGAAATAAAGACTTTCCCCAACAAAAGCTGAAGGGTTTGATCAATACCATACCTCTGCTACAAGAAATGCTGAAGGCAGCACTTCAATCAGAAAGAAAAGGACATTAACGAGCAATACATAATCACCCAAAGATACAAAATTCACTGGTAATAATAAGTACACAGAAAAATACAGAATATTATAACACTGTAACTGTGGTGTATAAACTACTCTTATTCTAAGTAGAAAGACTAAATGATGAACCAATCAAAAATAATAACTACGATGACTTTTCAAGACATAATCAATACAATAAGATATAAATAGAAACAAGAAAAAGTTAAAAAGTGGGGAGGATGAAGTTAAAGCATACAGTTTCTATTAGTTTTTTGTTTGTTTGTTTATGTAAAAAGAGTGTTAACTTGTTATCAGGTGATATGGTTTGGCTGTGTCCCCACCCAAATCTCATCTTGAATTCCCACGTGTTGTGGGAGGGACCCTGTGAGAGGTAACTGAATTATGGGGGCAGGTATTTCCCATGCTGTTCTCATGACAGTGAGTAAGTCTCAAGAGGTCTGATGGTTTTAAAAGGGGGAGTTTCCCTGCACAAGCTCTCTTCTCTTGTCTGCTGCCATGTGAGATATGCCTTTCACCTTCTGCCTTGATTGTAAGGCCTCCCCAGCCACAGAGAGAGAAACATCACATGTTCTCACTTATTTGTGGGATCTAAAAATCAAATCAATTCACCTCATGGACGTAGAGAGTTGAAAATGGTTACCAGAGGCTCGGGAAGGGTAGTGGGGCTTCGGGGTAGGGGAGATGGGGATGGTTAACGGGTACAAAAAAAAAAAAAACAGAAAGAATGAATAAGACCTACTATTTGATAGGCAATAGGGTGACTATAGTCAACAATAATTGTATATTTTTAAATAAATAATGTAATTGGCTTTTTTTTTTTGAGACAGGACATTGCTCTATTGCCCAGGCTGGAATGCAGCAGCACGATCTCAGCTCACTGCTGCCTCAACCTCCTGGGCTCAAGGAATCCTCCTGCCTCAGCCACCTGAGTAGCTGGGACTACAGGTGCAAGATAACATACCCGGCTAATTTGTTTATTTTTTTGTAGAGATGGGTTGTCACCATGTTGGCCAGGCTGGTCTGAACTCCTCAGCTCAAGCGATTTGCCTGCTTTCAGCCTCCCAAAGTGCTGGGATTACAGGCATGACCCACTGCACCTGGCCTGAATTGTCTGTAACTCAAAGGATAAATACTTGAGGGGATGAATACCCCATTCTCCATGATGTGCTTATTTCACATTGCATGCCTGCATCAAAACATATAATGTACCCCATAAATATATACACCTACTATGTATCCACAAAAACTTTTAAAAACTAAAAAAAATCAAAATGTTGTTCCATTAAAAAAAAAAAAAAAAAAAAGACCAGTCTGAACAACATAGGGAAACCCTGTCTCTTAAAAAAAAAAAAAAAAAAAAAAAAAAAAAGCGGCGGGGGGCGTGGTGGGGAAAGAGGTGCGCGGCGGAAGGCCAGGCACAGTGGCTCATCCCTGTAATTCCAGAACTTTGGGAGGCCAAAGCAGGTGGATCACATGAGTCCAGGAGTTCATAACCAGCCTGGCCAACATGGTGAAACCCCATCTCTACTAATAATACAAAAATTAGCCAGGTGTGGTGGCAGGTGCCCATAGTCCCAGCTACTTGGGAGGTTGAGGTGGGAAAATCACTTGAGCCTGGGAGACAGAGGCTGCAGTGAGCTGAGATCATGTCACTGCACTCTAGTCTGGGTGACAGAGCAAGACCCTGCCTCAAAAAAAAAAAAAAAAAAAAAAAAAGTTTGTGCTTCTAAGGACACTATCAAAGTGAAGAGACAACTCACAGAATGGGAGAAAATATCTGCAAATAAAATATATCTGAGGCCAGGCATGGTGGCTCACGCCTGTAATCCCAGCACTTTGGGAGGCCGAGGTGGGCAGATTATCTGAGCTCAGGAGTTCAAGACCAGCCTGGCCAACAGGGCAAAACCCCGTCTCTACCAAAGATACAAAAAATTAGCAGGGCATGGTGGCATGCACCTGTAGTCCCAGCTACTTGGGAGTCTGAGGCACGAGAATCGCTTGAACCCAGGAGGCAGAGGTTGCAGTGAGCTGAGATCATGCCACTGCACTCCAGCCTGGGTGACAGAACAAGACTATGTCTCAAAAAAAAAAAAGAAAAAAGAAAAGAAAAGACCCTTGAAATTCTATCTTTAGCATTTAGAAAGATATTTTGGTAATAAATTGGATGACCTATATAAAAGCTATCCAAGGGAACTAGAGCTGATTTTTTTCTCTTCTAATGACATTTTCTGTAACTCAGATGTTCAAGCATCACTTCATCAATGAAAAATGACTTATAATGTTTTAAGCAAATTATATTCACAAGATAAAAAATAAAAAGCACACGAAAAGGAAATATACCAAAATATTAGCAATGGTTGTCTCCAAGGTAATTTCTCCCTTTATTTCTACTTTTCTATTTTCCTTAACAAACATGCATGTCATTTATAAAAACAAAATTAAAAAAAGATGATTACGCAGAATTTAGACCCGCCCTCAAAGAACTGTGGATGTCCTCCACAAATGTAAGCGGTAATGATAAATGTTAACCCCAGGCCGGGTGCAATGACTCACACCTGTAATCCCAGCACTTAGGGAGCCTGAGGTGAGAGGATTACTTGAGCTCAGGAGTTTGAAACCAGCTTGGACAGCACAGTGAGACCCTGTCTCTACCAAAAGAGACCTTGTCTCTACCAGCTTGGGCAACACAGTGAGACCTTGTCTCTACTTTGTTCCTACCAGTGAGACCTTGTCTCTACTTTGTTCCTACCAGTGAGACCTCGTCTCTTAAAAAAAAAAAAGTGAGCTGGGAGTGGTGGCATGCACCTGTGCTTCCAGTTACTTGGGAGGCTGAGGTGGGAGGATCGCTTAAGCCCAGGAGATCAAGGCTGCAGTGAGCCATAATCGTGCCACTGCACTCCAGCCTGGGCAACAGAGTGAGACCTTGTCTCCAAAAAAACAAAAAAAAAAAAAAAAGAAGAAGAAGAAGTTTAATCCTAAGAAAACCCTTTGTTTTTAGATGAGACTGACTAAACAACATTCCTCTTCCCATTCCCTATTTAATAAATGGTGCTGGGAAAACTGGCCAGCCATATGTAGAAAGCTGAAACTGGATCCCTTCCTTACACCTTATACAAAAATTAATTCAAGATGGATTAAAGACTTAAATGTTAGACCTAAAACCATAAAAACGCTAGAAGAAAACGTAGGCAATACCATTCAGGACATAGGCATGGGCAAGGACTCCATGTCTAAAACACCAAAAGCAATGGCAACAAAAGCCAAAATAGACAAATGGAATCTAATTAAACTAAAGAGCTTCTGCACAGCAAAACAAACTACCATCAGAGTGAACAGGCAACCTACAGAATGAGAGAAAATTTTTGCAATCTACCCATCTGACAAAGGGCTAATATCCAGAATCTACAAAGAACTTAAACAAATTTACAAGAAAAAATCAAACAACCCCATCAAAAAGTGAGCAAAGGACATGAACAGACACTTCTCAAAAGAAGACATTTATGCAGCCAACAGACACATGAAAAAATGCTCATCATCACTGGCCATCAGAGAAATGCAAATCAAAACCACAATGAGATACCATCTCACACCAGTTAGAATGGCGATCACTAAAAAGTCAGGAAACAACAGGTGCTGGAGAGGATGTGGAGAAATAGGAACACTTTTACACTGTTGGTGGGACTGTAAACTACTTCAACCATTGTGGAAGACAGTGTGGCGATTCCTCAAGGATCTAGAACTAGAAATACCATTTGACCCAGCGATCTCATTACTGGGTATATACCCAAAGGATTATAAATCATGAGACTATAAAGACACATGCGCACGTATGTTTATTACAGCACTATTCACAACAGCAAAGACTTGGAACCAACCCAAATGTCCAACAATGATAGACTGTATTAAGAAAATGTGGCACATATACACCATGGAATACTATGCAGCCATAAAAAAGGATGAGTTCATGTCCTTTGTATCGACACGGATGAAGCTGGAAACCATCATTCTCAGCAAACTATCACAAGGACAGAAAACCAAACACCGCATGTTCTCACCCATAGGTGGGAATTGAACAATGAGAACACTTGGACACAGGGTGGAGAACATCACACACCAGGGCCTGTCATGGGGTTAGGGGAAGGGAGGGATAGCATTAGAAGAAATACCTAATGTAAATGATGAGTTAATGGGTGCAGCACACCAACATGGCACATGTATACATATGTAACAAACCTGCACATTGAATACCCTAGAACTTAAAGTATAAAAAAAAAAAAAAAAAAAAAAAAAACAGTATTCCTCTTCCCATCAATCCCGTTCAAAATTTTATGCTTTCTAATCATATCAAGTCTTCCAGAACACAGAGGTATGAAATTACCCCTTTTTTATTTTTATTTTTTGAGACGGGGTCTCACTCAGCCCCTCCAGGCTGGAATGCAGTGGCACAATCATGGATCATTGCAGCCTCCACCTACCAGGCTCAATCTTCCTGCCTCAGCCTCCTGAGTACCTGGGACCACAGGCGCGTGTCACCAGACCCAGCTAAGTTTTTACTTTTTGTAGAGACAGTGGGGGGGTGGTCACACTATGTTGCCCAGGCTGGTCCCAAACTCCTGGGGTCAAGTGATCCTCCCACCTTGGCCTTCCAAAGCTTTGGGATTATAGGCAAAAGCCATCATGCCCAGCCTGAAATAACTCTACACTTTACTGTAGAGCCATAAACGTAACTAATAATGAGGCATTTACAAAGGAATATCTAAAAAGAAGCTTCAAAATTTCTCTCATGGAATAACTAAATGATGGGAAGGCTTAGGGCTACTGCTGCCTGCTGCCTTCCAGGCCTGCACACTGAGATGAGAAGGCAAGGAGACAGGAAAGGAGCAGTGAGAGACCCAGCCAATACACGACAGGACAACTGATTAAAAACTGTTGACCATAAAAGGCTAGAGAAAACTTTGAAGGAGACAGACAGACAGACACTAGGCGAAAAGCAAAGCCTAGAAAACTCTTGAGGCTTAGCTATGAGTGGAATGGTTCATGATGTTTAAAAAAGAAGAGAAACTGATACTTTTGGACCCAAGGAAGTGAGACGCTTTCATCTGGTAAATGTTAAATTAGGAAATATTTTCAGAGAAATTTTTCCCAATTTAATACTTAAATATCTTAGGAAAAATGGCTAATATGTGCTCACAGCAATCTTATTGCCATTTTAAACATTATAAAGATAACATAATATATACTTGGCCAGGGGTGGTGGCTCACACCTGTCATCACAGCACTTTGGGAGGCCGAGGTGGGTGGATCACTTGAGGTCAGGAGTTCAAGACCAGCCTGGCCAACATGGTGAAACCCCGTCTCTACTAAAAATACAGAAAAATTAGCCAGGTGTGGTGGCACACGCCTTTAATAGGCTTGAACCTGGGAGGCAGAGGTTGCGGTTAGCTGACATCGCACCATTGCACTCCAACCTGGGCGACAGAGACTCCATCTCAAAAAGAAATTATTATTATCTTTTATGACAGGGTCTCACTCTTGCCAGGTTGGGGTACAGTGGCACAATCTTGGCTCACTGCAACCTCCACCTCCCATGCTCAAGTAATCCTCCCACTTCAGCCTCCTGAGTAGCTGCGACTACAGGAGTGTGTCACCACACCCAGTTAATTTTTGTGTTTTTTGTAGAGATGGGATTTCTCCATGTTACCCAGGCTGGTCTCGAATTCCTCGGCTCAACTGATCGGCCTCCCAAAGTGCTGAGATTACATGCATGAGCCATGGCACCTGGCCCAAATTCTTCATTTTAAAGGCAGTATTCCTTTCAAATAATCACAAAAATTTGTTACTTGTCTTCTTAGGAAGCTAAAATTTATTTATTTTAAAATTTTAACAGGGTTTAAGTGAACACAGACCAATACATGAAATGGCAGCACTCAGAATCAGTAGAGGTTGAGAGAGACTCCAGAAAGCTAAAATTTATTTCAAAGATTTGCCATTTGATTCTGTACACCAGACACACACATTTCTACTCCACATACAAAAAGCAAAGAGTTCTCTTGAGATGTCACTAATACCAGTTATGATGTTGTTTTACAACTTAAATTGTTAACAGAAGCTCTTATGTAGTTCTTATATAGATGGTCTTTTACATGAAATAATAAAAATGTGTTCTTTGAAAGAATAGGGGAAAAGGAAATTTAATAGTTAATCAGGGATGGAAAATTTGGATTAAAACCTTTAACATTTTAGGTCAAGCAAAAAGAGTATTAAATCAATTTAAAGTCAGATCATTTCTCATTTTGGATAATAAAACTACCAAAAGAGCTGTCATGGCCGGGCGCGGTGGCTCACGCCTGTAATCCCAGCACTTTGGGAGGCCGAGGCAGGCGGATCATGAGGTCAGGAGATCGAGACCATCCTGGCTAACACAGTGAAACCCCATCTCTACTAAAAATACAAAAAGTTAGCCGGGCGTGGTGGCAGGCACCTGTAGTCCCAGCTACTCGGCAGGCTGAGGCAGGAGAATGGCGTGAACCCGGGAGGCGGAGCTTGCAGTGAGCCCAGATTGTGCCACTGCACTCCAACCTGGGCGACAGAGCGAGACTCCGTCAAAAAAAAAAAAAAAAAAAAGAGCTGTCATCAACAACAAGAATCTACTATTAGTATTTAGCAGTAGCTAGGTTGCCATTTTTGTTAAAACTTGATATTGGAATTTAAACTAGAGATTCATGAAGTTTTATATAAAGGAATTATACGTATATATGAAATTTTTTTTTTTTTGAGATGGAGGCTTGCTCTGTCACCCAGGCTGGAGTGCAGTGGCACGAAGTCAGCTCATTGCAACCTCTGCCTCCCAGGTTCAAGCGATGACAGGCGTGAGCCACCATGCCTGGTCAAAATTTTTTTTAAATAAAGGATTTAATTACAGAATAATAATGGTGATAAGGAAGAGAGCAAGCAGTGAGAGAAAGCATTAGTTATCACCTTAGAGGAAAAAATACACACAATTTGGAACAGTAATCTTAGTTATCCATCCTCTTTCCCTATTCTTTCACTGCCTGTTTTTTTTCCCCACTACCATCTCTCTCCTGAAGGAATGAGCATTTACTCTTAAACTATTAATATTGATTTGGGGCTTAGCACATTCCATGTATACTCCAGGAACTCTGCTAAGTCCTTTACATGCCCTTATTTAATATATGCAACCCTATGTAATAATTACCCAATCTTCAGATGAGGAAACTGAGGTTTAAGTAATTCACCCAAGGCCACAAAACGAGTAAGTCTTAAGGCCAGAATTTAAACGTGGACTACCTGATTCTGTAGAGAATGCATGTTGTTTTCTCCAGCCTAACCCTCATTCTCCCTTCTATTAATAGCACCCTATTTTCCTTGGGAATCGGCCCTCCCCTGCTTTCCATTCACATGAACCACTGGCTCCCAGGGAGGGCATGTGACCTACGTCTGACCAATCAGAGGTTCGCACCCCCACACTCCCTGTCACTACCATAGTTTAGGAATGGGCATGTAGAGCTGCAGTTGGAACTGGCAGACAGAGAAATTTACTTCTAGGCTTTTTAGTTATATGAAAAAATAAATTCCCTTTCTGCTTAAACTAATTTGCTTAGAGTCCTCACACAGTCTCCAAAGCAAGAGATCTTGACCACTGATTCCAGAGAAGTAAGTAATTCTCTTCTCACCACCTCTGAATATACACACCAATGCTGCCTTCTTCGTCTTCGTAAGAAGTGACAGAAGAGAATCATAGGCTTCTGAAATCAGGCTAGAAAAACAACAGGAATTCTGACCTGGTTCCTGGGATCCTTCAGATAGTAGGAAAGCTTGGGTCTGTGAAAATGTATATTACTTACACCATGCCAGCCCCAGGACCAAACCCCAGCAATTCAAAGTCTTTTTCAGACCAGAAACTGCCCAAAAGTTTCTGAGCTAAGGGATCACAAGATTCTTCAGCATTCTTAGGATACCTGAACTGCGCATATTCTCATTCACTGAATTTCAATGCAAATCAAATCAAATCAAGAGAACCAGTTTGGTATCTCTCCAACCACCAATACCACATTTTAAGAAATAAAGTATCAATTTGATTCTGTTTTAAGGTAGGGTATAAGGTGACTTCATATAAAATATTTTTTGACTTATAAACATTAATTTACTTTTAATGAAGATCAACACAGAACAATAATTAGTAACCCAATTTATATTTTATATTTACACAGCATTCACTGAATGTCATCTTCATCATGCCATAAAAAAATTTAACAAAATTTCTACTATTCTCTCTAGGCATGTTAGCTACATTTTGTTCTATCCGTGCTTCCAAACTTCAACTTCATGTGCATAATTATTTCTCCTGTGTGCCAATCCGGTATTTGTAGCTGCCAATCAGTATTTCCATTTGAATATAGGATCATCTCAATAAACACATGACTAAATCATAATGTTACAGAGCCTGTCCAAATTCAATCTTCCACGTAGTCCCCCTTAGCTCCACTACCTACCTCCTGTCACCCAGACTCACAACCTCACTCATCTAGTCCTCTTCTTTCTCATCACCAACAGCCAGTTACTGAAGACTTTGGCTTTATCTTCAAAATACCTCTTCTATCACCCCTTTATTTTCCCTTATCACCTCAATTCTGGATTTCCAGAGTACCCTACCAACTGATCTCTCTGCCTCTATATATTCAACACTTTTCCCTGAGTACTTACTATGTGGTTTAAGAACTGAACTAGGCCGGACACGGTGGCTCACGCCTGTAATCCCAGCGCTTTGGGAGGCCGAGGCGGCAGATCACGAGGTCAGGAGTTTGAGACCAGCCTGGCCAACATGGTGAAACCCCGTCTCTACTAAAATACAAAAAATTAGCGGGGTGGGGTGGCAGGCGCCTGTAATCCCAGCTACTTGGGACGCTGAGGCAGGAGAATTGCTTGAAACCTGAAGGCGGAGGTTGCAGTGAGCTGAGACCATGCCACTGCACTCCAGCCTGGGCAACAGAGCAAGACTTTGTCTCAAAAGAAAAAAAAAAAAAAAGAACTGAACTAGACACTGAAAGAAGTCTATGGAATTACCAGACATGGATCCTGCCCTGAATAAAACTTAGTAAGGGAGGTAAGACAGGTATGTATGCAATGAGATAGAAATCATCTAAAGGTTCAGGTAAGGTGCTAAAAGAGTTCATAGAAGGAAGCTGACTGGAGGTGTGAGGAGACTCTTTTTTTGTTTTTAAGAGACAGGGTCTCATTCTCTTGCCCAGGCTGGAGAGCAATGGTGTGATCATGGCTTACTAGAGCCTCCAACTCCTGGGCTCAAGCAATCCTCCTGCCTTACCTCCTGAGCAGCGGGGACTGCAGGTACATGCCACCGTACTTGGCTGATTTTTTTAAATTTTTGGTAAAGATGGGGCTTCACTATGTTGCCCAGGCTGGTCTTGAATTCCTGGGCTCAAGTGATCTTTGGCCTCCCAAAGTGCCGGGATTACAGGTGTGAGTCACTGGAATCTGGCTGGCTGGAAGGTTTTTTTTTTTTTTTTTTGAGATGGGATTTGTTCTTAATAGAAACAACCCCATTAAGAAGAGGGCAAAGGACATGAACAGACACATTTCAAAAGAAGATATATCTGTGGCCAAAAAGCATATGAAAAAATGCTCAACATCACTAATCATGAGAGAAATGTAAATCAAAACCACAATGAGATACTATCTCACACCAGTCAGAAGGGCTATTATTAAAAAGTCAAAAAATAACATATGCTGGCAAAGTTGCAGAGAAAAGACAACACTTATACACTGCTGGTGGGAGTGTAAATTAGTTCATCCCTTGTGGAAAGTGGTGTGATTCCTCAAAGAGCTAAAAACAGAATTATCATTTGCTCCAGCAATCCCATTATTGGGTATACACTCAAAGGAACATAAATCATTCTGTCATAAAGACATCTACACATGTATGTTCATGACAGCACTATTTACAATAGCAAAGACATGGAATCAGCCTAAATGCCCATCAATGGTAGACAGGATAAAGACAATGTGGTATATACATACCATGTAACACTATGCAGCCACAAAAAGAACAAGATCATGTCCTTTGCAGCAACATGGAGCCGGAGGCTATTATCCTAAGCAAACTAATGCAGGAACAGAAAACCAAATACCGCACGGACACAAAGACAGGAACAACACACACTGGAGCCTCCTGAAGGGTGGAAGGTGGGAGGTGGAAGATCAGAAAAAATACCTATTGGGTACTATGCTTAATATGTGGGTGACAAAATATGTGGGTGACAAAATAATCTGTACACCAAACCCCTGTGACATGTTTAACTATACAATAAACCTGCACATGTACCCCTGAACCTAAAATAAACGTGTTAAAAAAAAAAGAGAGAGAGACAGAGACAGGGTCTGGCTCTGCTGGAGTGGCTCGATCATAGTGCTCTGTACCCTTGAACCTCCAGCAATGCTCCCACCTCAGCCTCAGGAGTAGCTGGGACTACAGGCACAAGCCACAACACCCAGCTGGAACTTTATAACATAATGGAGAATATAATATAAAGGGCACTTGAGTTAGGGGAGATAAATCTTGAAGTACAACATTAATCGGGCATTTTGGCAACAATGTACAAAATAGATTAATTGAGGACTGGGAGATCAGTTAAGCTGCTGTAACTGTTAAGCTGCTGCAACAGTTCAAAGAGAGGTTAAAAAAAGGACTTGAACTAGAATTTTGAAGACAAGACAGTTAATAGAAAGTGTGCAGGTGGAAAACCAATTGGACTCAGAGCAAAGAGAGGGGTGAGAGTACAAGGATAAGAAGGATTAAAGTAGTACAACCTAGGTGAATTTTGAATTTCATATGATTTTCATGTCATGAAATCTTGATATTTTCCCTAAACATTAAAAAATGTAAAAAATCATTCTTAGATTGTGGCCATGTAAAAACAGGCAAAAGACCATTTTTGGCCCTCAAGCATAGTTTGCTGACCCTTGTGCCGTATCATAATTCTCTGTGCTTATCAAAATGTCTTCTTTCCAGCAATTACTCATTAAATATTTGTTTTACCAGTGTGGGGAGAGGTCCTGATTATTTTCCTTTAGTTAATATTAACATTTTGCACTTAACATGGGAACATTTCATTTCTACCGCTACAAAAAAGTAAGCTACTAAAATGTTCAAGTAGGACCTGCTGACCTCTAATGGGAGGCCGGATTAAATACAACACCAGGCTTTAATGGGTTGGTGTGTCTGCCACTGGAAAATGATTGTGCTAAAGGAATACAATTAGTCATGAAGGGGATATACACACGAGGAAGGAGCATAAGGATTAGAGTTAGGAGTCTCAATTTAAAAGCCGAATGTATTTGTATTTAAGGAATTTAATTTTATAATTTTATTCGACTTCCAAAATTTTGCAAACAAGATTTTCCTCTTTCAACTACCTGCACATACTGCTTAGGAATGGATTAGCAGATATAGGCTTTCTTAAATTTCATAAAACATTTTAACGGATTCTGAAAGGGCACTGTTGTTAAGTCATGCTTTCTGAAAATTTTCTAGTCCATGATTATCAAAACATTTAACGCAATATCTCATTTTTATCAAAGAAATAATGTCTAGAATGGCATTTTACTAGTAAAGTAATAGAGCTTTCCAGCTTTGAGATGAAAAATTAGGAAAAATGTCATTTTAGATCAGGCTACAATTTTCCAAAGACGTAATATGAACATTTCAGCAGCACTCAAGATGTATTACAGGTTAACCAAAAAGCAGCAGAAGCAGCACATAGAATAAAGCTCTTTATATCACTTTTCAGTTTTCGAAAAAAAGGGCACTAAAAAAAATTAAGCTCTGTGGTTTTAAAAAATGCCCAACATAGCTATATCTTTTCCTACTATAGAAACCTCAGAACATGTCTGTAGTCATTTCAACCACAATAAAAATCTCTCTCAAGTCTCACCATTGGTGGCACAAATCAACGGCTAGGGCCTTAGAAGAAAAATGATCTCAGTATTCAAGTCCATATCAATGTAACAAGTTAGGCTAAAGTTCAGTAGAAATAATCTCCCCAAAAAATATCATCTCCTTGCTCTTCCCAACCAGAATTATCAACTCTGTGCTCCCAGATTCGTCATACCTGTGGTTCTGTCTTATTTATCACTGCCAGCACTCACCTCAGTAGTTAGGTAATTGACTTTATACACTGCACATGCTTTATATTTTTTCAATACTATTATCTCTTAAATTTGCACCTGATTCATCTGTTATCTTTAAGTATAAATGGCAACCCAGGAACAGATAAAGGGCCCTCAAATCCCAACTCCTCCCCCACCCTCATTCTCTCCACTTTTGAAAGAATTTCCTACTTCCGTTTTTGTTTTTGTTTTGTTTTTTAAATTTCTCTCCCCTTAGCTGTCTACCTATGCCCTCCACTATCTCTGCTTTCAACTTTGGGTGTACAACTGCAGAACTAATGGTGGCAAACAGGAAAAATAATGTTAAGCCACCAGGAAAGACAAAGAATCTTTTTAAAGGCACCAACTATGAACCAGGTGCTTCATATATGTCCTCATCTGATCCTCACAGCAGCCTGATAAGGTATCATGATCCCAGTTTTTCGGAAGAAAAATACAGACTCTGAGAGGTTAAAGAATCTGCCTAAGGTCCAGGGTGACCAACTATTTTGGTGTGCCCAATACAGGGGGTCCCCGGGATGTGAGACCCAGTTTTAAAACCTGGACAGTCTTGGGCAAAGTTGGTCACCCTAGTAAGGACACGCAGCCCATCCCTACCCTTTCGTAGGTTCAGATATGAATCCAGGTTAGTTGGGCTCCAAAGCCCACGTACTTCCCAGATTCCTGCTTCTCCCAATCTTAACTCCCTTGGAACTTCAGAAGCTCCATTATTTTTCACCCCAAAGGCTTCTGGGCCAAACCTAATTCTGGTGAAAAATGTTTAGCCTTTTATTCTATCTTTTCTTCTGCAAGTATACAAATCTTTCTAAATTCCCTAATACAAAGCAACTCCAAAACCACCACTGAGAGCTCATATGGGACATGAAATACTAATGTGAAAAATTAAAAGACAGAAGCACCAAAGAAAGGTTAATTTCTTTTAACCCAGCTTACTTCACCTCTACCATCATTAGCAGTATAACCCGTTGGGGTGGGGGGCGATGATTAGGGAACTGAAAAATAAATTGTTCTTGCCTCTAAGATACGAGGGTAGGAACGTCTAAAGCAAGCCTGTTCTCCCACCACTCCCCATCCCCACCAAGAGACTGAGATAAAGACGATCGCTGATTTAAAGCAGTAGTATAAGGCAAGGTGGTTCCACCTATGTTTTAAGGAGTGGCATCAACAGGTGGCATTTAGTGGTGGCTTGCTATGAAGGTGTGTCTAAGGTTTATACCATCAAGAGGCCTAAGCCTTGTCATTGATCCTCATTCCACTGTTAGATTCCAACCCCTCAGAACTTCAAACCTGCCCTGGGGCCTATACTACCTTCTCCACTATTACTGTCACTCAGTGTCCCCAGTCCCAGGGACCAAAAATAACGACTTAAAGGGAATAAAGAATTGGGCGTGTGTCTGAGGTGGCATCATGAGAAATGCTTTTGGCAACCTGAGTAGGAACTATCACATATAGAATGTTTCTGCAGGAAAATAGATTTTTCTAAAATCAGTATCATAAAGAAACTACTACAGCAAAACTGTATGCAAGAGAATACCTAAGTACTTCCTCAAAGGCAATAGGCTTTACTTCCACAACATCTAAGGCACTGCTCGAATGAATGTTTAATAACTATTACTGATTAAATGAATTTTCCATTCTCGCGCAATTTCACTGTTTTTCCTCCGTTCATATTTGACTGACTCCCAGCACACGACACACACAGTAAATGGGTCGGTAGATAAGCCCTACACTCCTGAACTCAAAGTGTGGTCCACGGACTAGCTGCACCTGCATCATCAGCGAGATTATTAAATCATAGCCTGCATTTTCAAAAACAAGATCCCCAGGTAAATCGCATGCACAATGAAGTCTGAGAAACGCTGCCTTAGAAGTTTGCAGTATTGCAATCCTTCCAATCCCCAACTCCAATCTCATCAGCGTGAGAAAAAAATGGAGCGCACACACACCGTGCACACGGCCAGCGACCAGCCCACGGTGGGGTTGGGACACCTGTCACCCTGTCCTCCCCAACAGTTCCCCATCCGCTCACCTTGATGCGCTCCCCATCAATCTCCACCGCTCGTTCTCGGAAATCCACCCCTATCGTGGCCTCGGTGCGGTCGGGGAAGCGGCCAGCGCAGAAGCGGTAGGTCAGGCATGTCTTGCCCACATTGGAGTCGCCGATCACGATTATCTTGAAGATGCGGGAGCGGGCAGGAGGCAAAAACCCTGAGGCCCCTGACACTGCCCCGCTGGACGAAAAGCTTGCCTCGAGCGACGACTCCATCTCCTCAGCCATTCCCCCGACCCGCCCCAAACTGAGGCGGAGGAAAGGAGACACAGAAAGGCTGAGAGATTACGCCACCGCAAGAGCGCGCGCCCAGCCGGCCAGTTCGGCTGCGCAACTTCCCAGGAGCCACCGCCCACCAGCCCCGAGCGCGCCTGCGCACCTTCCCGCCCCGCCCTTGCCCGCACAGGTGTGGCACCCGCCCGCCCCGCCGCACGGAGCCGCCTGCCCGCGGCCACACGCCAGGCGTCACTCGGGCTGGCGCCGGTCTACCTAGGCAGGCGTGGGACCTGTCGGGGGCTTCACGGCAGCGCGGAAGGCCAGCCTGCAGAGAGGCTGGGCCCAGCGCCCTGACTGACCCAGCCCCGCCACGTCCAAGGTTCCCGCCCTCTGGAGGAAGCCGCGCAATCACTCCGGGGGCGGGGAGAGACAGACAACTGAGAGGAAGGAGGTACCACGGGCACTCTCTCGCGAGAGGGCCGCAGAGCCGCCTTTGACGGGGGCGTGTACCTGGAGAGCAACGGTAAGGACGGAGCCGACGGCTCCGGCGTCGGGTCGGTTCCGGCATCGACGTATCGTTTGGTCGCCCCAGAGAGGAGACAGGTTTCTTCAGCTTGCCGCTGAGGATGTGGCATCGGCTGCGCTCACCGCCGCCGCCTCTGTGAACTGCGGGAGTTGGGACAGCGGCCAGGGCTAGATGGGTGGGACGCGAGTCCTCGCCGAAAGCTTGCCCTGTGCGGGGCGCACTTGGAGGCGAGCTCTGGGCCGTGGCGAGTTTTGCAGCCTAAGGTCTTGGCAGGCGCATTGCTGTGGGCTGCCGGAGAGCAGGCTGGAGTTCGAGACCGCCCACCGGAGAGCAGGCGAGAGTTCGAGGCCTAGGTACAGCGCATTTCGCTAGGCATCCCCAAGAATATCCGCGTGATCCTTGTGGCCAGAGTTTGTTGAGCTAATATCCCCAGCCCAAACAGTAGAGCACATCACATGTCGGCCACCTGGGAGCGTTGAACCTGGTAGTTACTAGGCGCCCCTGGTGGAAATAAAACTCATTATGCCCTAGTTATGTCTTAGTGCCTGGGTGACGATGATGTAGCGGTTAAAGATTAACTGAGCGCACTTAGAGGTTGTCTTTGTCTACCTAAGGAAAATATCAATAGATTAAACCCCCAACCTTAAAGAATCTCCGTGAATTTTTCTGAGGAAACGTGCAATATTGTCATACAAAAGGCCCCAAATATGCAAACATTGCTTTTTGTTAAAAGTTTGTTTTGTTTTGCAGTGACATCTGTTTGAGCAGATGAATATGCCATTGGGAAAGTCAAGGACTGTCGGAGAGGAGGACATGGCAGACCTTAACTAAAGTGAGGGGGACAGTAGAGCACTAAAAGTTCTAGGAAAGGAGATGAACTGCTTATTCCATCAGATGAAAATATAGTCAGAACAGATGAGTAGTAGAACTTAAACATGCCCGGAGTTGCCAGGAATTTGCAAAAGCCTTGATATAATTCCTGTTGCTGTAGAAAGACTTTCTACAGTCACTAATATATCAAGTTATGTTCACTAGAAAAAAAGTTTACTTAGTTTATAGAAATGGGCTGAAAAATCCTAATTACTTATCTGTGAGGTTATTTTCATGAAGGTTAATCATCCAGAAACTATTAGAGAGCCTCGGAATATATTTCTTCTAATCTGCTCTACCTATCCCATTCAAAGGAGGGAATCTGAAGATTTAAGGACAAAGAGCAGTTGAAAACTCAGAGCTGTGGTTAATGGGAGAATTTCAAGGATGGTGAAAAAAACTAACATCATTGCATCCCTGTTTTTTGTATTCTGGACTTTTTAGTTTAGCTCTTGGTAAACTACATCAGAAATTCTTTATGCTAACTCTAACACACATTTTGGGGTATTGCTAATTTAATCTTTGAATACTGTTTTTGCTGTTTCATGATTATATGTTATGTCCTACCAGCTAGATTGCCAACTCTTGACTACTGACTGGAAGTTTATTGTTTATTCAGCAAATAATGAATTAAGTCAGTGAAGTGAGAGATTTCGTGTGTAAGGATTGTTAACTTGAACATTTCACCAGTTACACACAGTTCAGCCCTACTTAAATTTTAAAAATCATTGTTGGCACTTGACATTGTTATGAGGAGTTTTGTATTTTCAACTTGTATTTTGAGAGTGTCCTCATGTGACTGAAGTATGTGCTACTCTTCTTAATTGAATAACCCCAGAATCTCCAGAATTGATAATTGGAGGAAATTCTACTGTTGGAAAGAATGGATGGATTATACAGCCCTGTTTTTTGACTGTTCATTTTGTCCTTGGAGTCACTACCACTTGGCCTCAAAGTGTGAACATGTAACCCTTTCCTTAATACTTTGCTACACAGCTGAGCAGAAACTGTAAATTTGGATCCTTTGTCAGTACAACTTAAAATGGAACAATTTCAATGGCTTAGGGTAAGATAAGTATGTAAAGATACTTTTGTAATAGAAGAAAAAACATTGGATATTAAAATCACACAGTAGTACCTGGGTGTGGTGGCTCATGCCTATAATCCCAACGCTTTGGGAGGCCAAGACAGGAGCACTGCTGGAGGCCAGGAATTTGAGACCAGCCTGGCCAACATGGTGAAACCTCGTCTCTACCAAAAAATACAAAAATCAGCCAGGTGTGGTGGCACATGCCTGTAATCCCGGATACTCGGGAGGCTGAGGTGGGAGAATCGCTTGAACCAGGGAGGTGGAGGTTGCAGTGAGCTGAAATCGCAAAACTGCACTCCAACCTGGGCAACAGAGTGAGACCTCCTGTCTCCAAAAAAAAAAAAAAAAAAAAAAAAAAGTGGGTGTGGTTGTGTACACCTCTACTTCCTGCTACTCAGGAGGCTGAGGCTGGAGGATCTCTTGAGCCCAGGAGTTCAAGTCTGCAGTGAGCTATAGTTGCACTGCTGCACTCCAGCCTGGGTAGCACAGCGAGACCCCCATCTCTAAAACATAAAAGTAAACAGGCTGGGTGCAGTGGCTTACACCTGTAATCCCAGCACTTTGGGAGGCCGAGGAGGGTGGATCATGAGGTCAAGAGTTGAGACCAGCCTGGCCAACGTGGCGAAACCCCATCTGTACTAAAAATACAAAAATTAGCCAGTCGTGGTGCCAGGTGCCTTTAATCCCAGCTATTCAGGAGGCTGAGACAGGAGAATCGCTTGAACCTGGGAGACAGAGGTTGCAGTGAGCCAAGATCATGCCATTGCACTTCAGCCTCGGGGACAAGAACAAGACTGTGTCTCAAAAAAAAAAAAAAAAGTAGAAAACAGAATAGCATAAGGATAATCTTATATACAAAATAAGACTACTCAATTTCTGAATTTTTTTTTTAACTAGATATGCCACCTCCTGATGACAGTGCCCATTTCGTAACTTGTCTTACTCAGAAACAGCTCTTAGATAATTTTACTCTTTAAGTTCAGGTCTGAGCACAGAGGACAAAGAATTCCCTTGATTGCCTATGAAAGAAAGGATTCTCAACCTTGGCACTATTGACATTTTAAGTCAGATAATTCTTTGTTGTGGAAGGTTATCCTGTGCATTGTAGGATGTTTATTTTATCAGCATCCCTGGCTTCTACCCAGTAAATCCCAGTAGCACCCCACCACCAACCAAAACTGTCTCAAAATGTTGCTAGATGCCCCTTGGGGACAAAAATCCTCTCCCTCCCTCCTCCTTGAATGCCACTGGCACTCCTTGAGCCTACAGAAGGGCTCTTCTCACAAGTTTGATACCCTGTACCTCCCAGTTGATAGTGGGAATTACTTCTCCTTTGAAGACACAATTCCAGTTACCCTGAGAAGTATGGCATTGGCCTTGCTGGCCTCCACCAAATTACTATATCACTGTGTTTGGTAACCCCAGACATCATACTAGGGCTTTAATTTCAGTATATAAATAGTAAATTAGTATCCTTGTATAGGTTAGCTTAATGAGTTTCAGAATTCTTCAAGTCATATCTTCATAGGTAGGATCACTGTGGAGTTAATGGCATTTGAACTATGTACTCAGTACTATGCTAGTGGTTGGTGCAAGGGGAAGATACAAAATAAGGTGTGATTTTAGCCCATGAGGAATTTATACTTTATCTGCAGAAGCAAATTAATATGGAACCGTTAGTGAACACCTGGATAAAACAGAATGCTAAATTTTACCCTAGAGGTGCTTGGCCTGGACTTCAAGAATTCTAAGTGAATTGAAGTATGTTCACAGTAAGAAAGGTTAAAAATGGCTCTGCCCACTTGTAGGCAGATGGGAAGCTAGGATGGCAGACTTGCCAATATTTGATATATGTAAAAAGTGCAATCATGGCCTCTGTTGTTTCCTCTTTTATCTCGTTCTC
The DNA here is from genome assembly GCF_000001405.40 of Homo sapiens. Taxonomy (NCBI): domain Eukaryota; kingdom Metazoa; phylum Chordata; class Mammalia; order Primates; family Hominidae; genus Homo; species Homo sapiens. The sequence continues at coordinate 139,449,818 of NC_000004.12, read as the reverse complement.
TTTATTAGTCCAGGTTCTCTAGAGGAATAGAACTAATAGGAGATATATATATATATATATATGGAGTTTATTAAGTAGTATTAACTCACATGATCACAAGGTCCCAGAATAGGCCATATGCAAGCTGAGGAGAAAGGAAGGCAGTCGAGTTTCAAAGCTGAAGAACATGGAGTCCAATGTTTGAGGACGGGAAGCATCCAACATGGGAGAAAGCTGTAGGCTGGGAGGCTAAGCCAGTCTAGTCTTTTCATGTTTTTCTGCCTGCTTTATATTCTGGTCGTGCTGGCAGCTGATTAGATGGTGCCCGCCCAGATTAAGGGTGGGTCTGCCTTTCCCAGCCCACTAACTCAAATGTTAATCTCCTTTGGTAACACTCTCACAGACACATTCAGGATCGATACTTTGCATCCTTTAATCCAATCAAGTTGACTGTATTAACCATCACAAGTCCACCACTTGTCAACTTAAACACATACATATCTCCTGAGATCATTCATAATCTTCAAATAAAGACAATAATAATGTCATAATTACACCTAATACAACTATCCTTTGTACAGCTGGAAACACACCAGTCCCCAACCCAAATGCTATTACATAAAGTTAACAATACTTAAATGCTGATATGAAGTAAATCTTAATGTCCCATGATAAAAGGAGGCTGGGCGCAGTGGCTCACGCCTGTAATCCCAGCACTTTGGGAGGCCGAGATGAGTAATGGCTTTTGACAGTAATAGAGGGTCTCAACCTGATTTTTCTTAAGTTTGCATAAGGCTTAGGAGAGGATAAAATAAGGCAGGATCTAGAGATTGGTGAGGAGAAACGGAAGTCCTCATTCTTGACAGCTCTCAGCACATGCAGCCCTCCCCACACACACAGTCACACTCACACACACTCACAACCAGATTCACATTCCTACCCATGCACACACTAACACACACTTGTGCACTTAAACTCGTGCACTTACACATTCACATTCATATACTCACATGCACACATTCAAAACACACACATACTCTACAAACACTCATGTTGCAAAAGGGGATTTGTAAGCTGAATGTTTAGAACTCAGAACACATATTTTCACAAAAATAATATTATGGTCGGGCGCTGTGGCTCACGCCTGTAATCCTAGCACTTTGGGAGGCTCAGCTGGGCGGATCACTTGAGATCAGGAGTTCAGGACCAGCCTGGCCAACATACTAAAAATACAGAAATTAGCCAGGCATGGTGGTGCATGCCTGTAATCCCAGCTACTCGGGAGGCTGAGGCAGGAGAATCACTTGAACCCAGGAGGCAAAGGTTGCAGTGAGCCGAGATCCTGCCACTGCACTCCAGACTGGGCAACAAGAGCAAGGCTCCATCTCAAAAAAAAAGGAAATAAAATGAAGATATTTTCTTAGTACAAGTGTATATATGCACAAACATGTTTTTAACAAAAGGAGGAAATACTCAGGACAATTACAATCCTCATTTCTGCAACTGTTCACTTGGTTGTAGCTGGTATGGATGACTAGCCTTCTACTACCCATTCTGTATTCCCTTTGCCTTCAGCAAGCACCTCAGCAGGTCGTGGTTTTTTTCCTGGTGGCGTAACCCAAACCTTCATTTCTGAAGGGTCTGGACCATTTGTAGTCCTTTCTGGACTGGGCTTTTATAGTTTCCCATTGACTTCAACCACAGGGCATGGTAATACTAAGAGACACCTTAATAGATCTCTGTATTCCATGCATACTCTTCCTTACCTCAGTTGTGGAATAGTAGACTGATTTCATCTTGATGGTCCAGGTCAATCACCCCAGCCAACACTGTAACTCCCTTCTTAGACTGTTGACTTAAAAGTAGTAGACTGGGCCGGGCGCGGTGGCTCACACCTGTAATCCCAGCACTTTGGGAGGCCGAGGCGGGCAGATCACGAGGTCAGGAGATCGAGACCATCCCAGCTAAAAACGGTGAAACCCCGTCTCTACTAAAAATACAAAAAATTAGCCGGGCGTAGTGGCGGGCGCCTGTAGTCCCAGCTACTTGGGAGGCTGAGGCAGGAGAATGGCGTGAACCCGGGAGGCGGAGCTTGCAGTGAGCCGAGATCCCACCACTGCACTCCAGCCTGGGCGACAGAGCGAGACTCTGTCTCAAAAAAAAAAAAAAAAAAAAAAAAAAGTAGTAGACTGATTTCATCTTGATAGTCCGGGTCAGTCACCCCAGCCAACACTGTAACTCCCTTCTTAGACTGTTGACTTAAAGGTAGGAGGAGCCCCAAGTGTCCAGGTGACAATCTTAACTTCCTGTTTAATGGAATTGCTGTTGTGTCTCCTGGTGGCAGTGTTCCTCCCTTTGAAACTAAGACCTCTAAGCCAGCAGAACGTAATGTCATGGGAACAGGAAGCAAAACTTTTGCTAGTGACTCTCTAAGGGTGATGATGAGTGGTGCCACTTCCACCCCTTGATTCCTGGACCTGTGAATCCTGGCTATGAGAGAAATAGTATCATATATTGGACGCTGATTCAGGGTATACATGGCCTTCTGGAGAACTTTGCCCCAGGCCTGCAAAGTGTTGTCACCTGGTTGATGTTGTAATTGTGACTTCAAAAGGCCATTCCGTTCTATCATTCCAGCTGCTTCAGGATGACGGGGGAACATGGTAAGACCAGTGAATTCCATGAGCATGAGCCCACTGTCACACTTCTTTAGCCATAAAGTGAGTGCCTTGGTCAGAGGCAATGCTGTGTGGAATACCATGACAGTGGATAAGACATTCTGTGAGTCCACAGATAGTAGTCTTGGCAGAAGCATTGCATGCAGGATAGGCAAACCGATATCTGGAATAAGTGTTTATTCCAGTGAGGACAAACCTCTACCCTTTACATGATAAAAGAGGTCCAATATCATCAACATGCCATCGGGTAGCTGGCTGGTTACCCCAAGGAATGGTGCCATTTCGAGGGCTCAGTGTTGGTCTCTGCTGCTGGCAAATTGGGCACTCTGCAGTGGCCGTAGCCAGGTCAGCCTTGGTGGGTGGAAGTCCATGTTCCCGAGCCCATATGTAACCTCCATCCCTGCCACCATGGCCACTTTGTTCGTGGGCCCATTGGGCAATGACAGGCGTAACTGGGGAAAGAGGCTGAGTATGCACAGAAGGGCTCATCCTATTCACTTGATTATTAAAATCCTTCTCTGCTGAGATCACCCATTGGTGAGCACTCACATGGGATACAAATATCTTCACAGTTTTTGACCACTCAGAGAGATACATCCACATATCTCTTTCCCAGATTTCTTTGTCACCAATTTTCCAATTATGCTTCTTCCATGTCCCTGACCATCCAGCCAAACCATTAGCTACAGCCCATGAATAAGTATATAATCGCACATCTGGCCATTTCTCCTTCCATACAAAGTGCACAACTAGGTGTACTGCTTAAAGTTCTGCCCACTGGGAAGATTTCCTTTCACTGCTGTCCTTCAGGGATGTCCTAGAAAGGGGCTGTAGTGCTACAGCTGTCCACTTTTGGGTAGTGCCTACATATCGTGCAGAATCATCCGTGAACCGGGCCCTAGTCTTTTCTTCCTCTGTCAGCTGATCATAGGGAACTCCCCATGAGGCCATCGGTGCAGGCTCGGGAGATAAGTCAGGGTGGCAGGAGTGGAGACCGTGGGCATTTGAGCCACTTCCTCATGTAACTTATTTGTGCCTTCAGGACCTGCTCGAGCCTGATCACGTATATACCACTTCCATTTGATGATGGAATGCTGCTGTGCATGACCCACTTTACGGCTAGATGGGTCAGAAGGCACCCAGTTAATGATAGTCAGTTCAGGTTGAATGGTGACTTGATGACACATAGTCAAACGTTCCGTTTCCGCCAAAGCCCAGTAACAGGCCAAAAGCTGTCTCTCAGAAGGAGAATAGTTATCTGCAGAAGATGTCAGGGCCTTGCTCCAAAATCCTAGAGGCCTCTACTGTGATTCACCTATGGGGGACTGCCAAAGGCTCCAAACAGCATCCCTTGAGGTGTCACTGACACCTCAAGCACCATTGGATCTGCTGGGTCATATGGCCCAAGTGGCAGAGCAGCTTGCACAGCAGTCTGGACATGTTGTAGAGCCTTCTCCTGGACCCCAGTCAAAACTGGCAGCCTTTCGGGTCACTCAGTAAATGGGCCAGAGTAACACACCGAAATGAGGAATGTGTTGCCTCCAAAATCCAAATGGGCCCACTAGGCGTTGTTCCTCTTTCTTGGTATAGGAGGGGCCAAATGCAGCAACTTATCCTTCACTTTAGAAGGAACATCTCGACAGGACCCACACTACTGGACCCCTAGAAATTTTACTGAGGTAGAAGGTCCCTGAATTTTAGTCAGATTTATTTTCCATCTTCTGTGTCACCAGTAAGTCCAGTGTATTTGCTACTTCTTGCTCACTGGATCCGATCAGCATAATGTCATCAATGTAATGGACCAGTGTGATACCTTGTGGAAGCAAAAAGAGATCAAGTTCTCTCCAAATAAGATTATGACACAGCCAGAGAGTTGATATACCACAGAGGTAGTACAGTAAAGGTATATTGCTGGCCTTGCCAGCTGAAGGCAGATTGCTTCTGGTGGGCCTTATGGACAGGAATGGAGAAAAAGGCATTTGCCAAGTCAATGGCTACATACCACGTACCAGGAGATGTGTTAATTTGCTCAAGCAGTGAAACCGCATCTGATACAGCAGCCACAATTGGAGTCACCACTTGGTTAAGCTTACATAATTGACTGTCATTCTCCAAGATCCATCTGTCTTTTGCAGAGGCCAAATGGGAGAGTTGAACAGGGATGTGGTGGGAATCACCACCCCTGTGTCTTTCAAGTCCTTGATGGTGGCACTAATTTCCGCAACCCCTCCAGGGATGTGATACTGTTTTTTATTTACTATTTTTCTAGGTAGAGGCAGCTCTAATGGCTTCCATTTGGCTTTTTCCACCATAATAGCCCTTACTCTACCAGTCAGGGAGCCAATGTGGGGGTTCTGCCAGCTGCTAAGTATGCCTGTGCCAATTATGCATTCTGGCACTGGGAAAATGACCACAGGATGAGTCCAGGGACCCACTGGACACACTGTCAGTTGGACCTGAGCTAAAACTTCATTAATTACTTGAACTTTATAAGCTCCTATGTTAACTAGAGGACCACAGTGACATTTTGGGTCCCCTAGAATCAACGTCAGCTCAGAGCCAGTGTCCAGTAGTCCCTGAAATGTCAGATCATTTCCCTTTCCCCAGTGCACAGTTTTACCCTGGTAAAAGGCTAGAGATCTTCTTGGGGGAGAATGAGAGAAAGATTAACAGCATAAATTGTCGGTAATATAGCGGGGTCCTTCCTCAAGGGGACTGGCCTCCCCTTCATTCAAGGGGTTTTGGGTCTATTTCCTGGACCCTCCCAGCTGGGATGAGTAGGTCTAAAGTGGCTAATCCACTCCACCATCCCAATATCCTTAAGCCTTTGGATCCCTTCCTCTACATTAAATTGAGAGAGATCAGGCATTTCCAGCTCGCTCATAGTGGGCCATTTTTTAATCCATATTTCAGCTAACCAAGCAAATAAACTATTAGAACCTTTTTTAACTCCCCGAGCTGCAACATTAAATGCAGAATCCCCACTTAGTGGGCCCAAATCAATAAATTCAGCCTGATCCAACTCTGTGTTCCTTCCACCATTGTCCCACACCCTTAATATCCATTCCCATGCCTGTTCTCCAGATTTCTGCTTATATAAATTATAAAACTCAAGCAGTTATTTTCGAGTATAGTGCACCTCCTCATGGGTCACACTCTGAACCTCACCTCTAGGGGCCTGCCGGGACTTTAGTCTTGTTATAGATCCAGAAGCAAACAAGGGTATTGGGGGTGGCTCCTGAGGAGAATCAACGTTATCTTGCCTGGCAGCTGCCTCAGGGGAGGCCATCACTGTTGCCTCAGGCAGTGTAGGGTTTATCTCCTCCGACAAAGGTAGAAAGGCTGATGACAGTGTGGGTCAGGGAGGGGATGTTGCCGCTACTTGCTACCCGGGATGGGGAAGCTGTTTCTTTTGGCAAAAAAAGTTCATCAGCGTTTACAAGCTCAGTGTCCCCATTCCAACTTACAGTGTCCCATTCTTTTCCAATCAATGCCCTCACTTTAACAGTAGACACCTGGCAAGGCTGTGCATGCACCTTTTGTTGCAGGTCAGCCACTTGCCTAATAAGAGCTTGTGTCTGTTTTTCCACAATTTCAGTTCTTTCTCTACAGGAGATAAGACTCTCACTTAGGACAGTCTTAGATTTGAGGCTCAGTATCTGCTTCTGGAGCGAGGAGTTAGAATCCCTTTGGATTCACTTTGTCCAGTGAACTTAGGAACAACCAACCAACTTAATTATGTTCCTTTGTTCTCCACATAGAGTCAAAGGTATTATGTATAGAGTCACTAAACTCCTTGCCTCTCACAAGTGGTGAATCAGGAGTGTCAAACGCATTTATTTTTCATAACTCTCTAAAAAGTTCATGCCAGGCCGGGCGCGGTGGCTCAAGCCTGTAATCGCAGCACTTTGGGAGGCCGAGGCAGGCGGATCACAAGGTCAGGAGATCGAGACCATCCTGGCTAACATGGTGAAACCCCATCTCTGCTAAAAATACAAAAAATTAGCCGGGCATGGTGGTGGGTGCCTGTGGTCCCAGCTACTCGGGAGGCTGAGGCAGGAGAATGGCGTGAACCCGGGAGGCAGAGCTTGCGGTGAGCCAAGACTGCGCCACTGCACTCCAGCCTGGGTGACAGAGCAAGACTCCGTCTCAAAAAAAAAAAAAGTTCATGCCAGCGACTATCAGTGTTCTCCATACTATTAGAGTCCTTAGCATTTTGGGGTCTAATCATATTAAGCAGCCAACTTCAGAAACCCCAAAACCAACAAAAGAACTCCATCCTTAATATTCTGTTCCTGTAGAATCACTCCTGGTACCAAAATCTGTATTAGGTTTCTCTAGAGGGAAAGAACTAATGGAATAGATATATATATTTATATATAAAGGAGAGTTTATTAAGTAGTTTTAACTCACACCATCACAAGGTCCCACAATAGGCCATCTGCAAGCTGCAAGAAAGGAAGCCAGTCCGAGTTCCTGAAGAACTTGGAGTCTGATGTTTGAGGACAGGAAGCATCCAGCATAGGAGAAAGGTATAGGCTGGGAGGCTAAGCCAGTCTAATCTTTTCACGTTTTTTCTGCCTGCTTTATATTCTGATCATGCTGGCAGCTGATTAGATGGTGCCCACCCAGATTAAGGGTGGGTCTGCCTTTCCCAGCCCACTGACTCAAATGTTAAACTCCTTTGGCAACACCCTCACAGACACACACAGGATCAATACTTTGCATCCTTCAATACAATCAAGTTGACACTCACTATTAACCATCACATTCTCTTTCTCCTCACCTTTAAATTGTTTGATTATATACCATTCTTTGTATTTGAAACCTCAGCAGGGAAGTAATAGACAATTTTTAAAAGAACCTAAGTAGTAATACAAGATTTAACAGCTATATTAAACTTTATAACTTGCAGATAGAGAAGTTGCCTTTAATGACCAGGAAACATTTATAAAAATTGATTTTTAAAATTACACCCAAAAAATCTCAATTTTAAGTTACACACTCTGTTAACAGCACTAAAAATAATTTTTTAGATAAAAAGATAAAAGGAAATTCATCTAATTGGAAGCTAAAGGGAAAAATGCCTTAAATCTGGGTCAAGGAGAAAATCGCAACCGTGATTGCAGATTTATAAACTATTTAGAAATTAATCACAATGAGAACAAAAAAAATAGAAACATGAGAGTTCAGCCAAAGTAGTATATAAAGTCACAATATTAGATGTTTAATATTAATCAATATAGAATGAATGAAAATGAAACAAATAGGAGAGGATTCTAGGAAAATGGCAGAATAGGAAGCACCAGAAATCTGTCTCCTCACCTAGACAAAAATTACACTGGCAGAGTCTGTCTTATGTACAGACAATCCCTGATTTACGACGGTTTCACTTATGATTTTTCAACTTTACAATAGTCCAAAAATGTTATAGATTTTAGTACGCTTCTCGACTTACAGTGAGGTTATGTCCCAGATAAACCCGTTGTAAGTTAAAAATAATATGTCAAAAGTGTGTTTTTGACTTAAGATATTTTCAGCTTGTGATGGATTTATCTGGGATATAATTCCGTCATAAATCAAGGAACCATCTGTATTTTAGAACTGTAGAATTTATTGAAACTTGCAGCTTCCAGAGGAAGACTTGGACAGTACATTGTGGTTAAATTTTGTCAATTTCTTTAAAAAAAAATTAGTGTAATAGACACTGTCATAGCCTGAGTCCCTTAGAAAATAAAGCCTAAGGCAAAATATATATGCTAATGCTTTGAAGAGGATTGCAGAAATGTCTCCAGTTCTCTGTTCCTCCCTATATTCATTCATTTGCAATGTGTCTCTGTAACTCCCCTCATTAAAGAGTGGAATCTATTTCCTCAACCCTGGAATCTGAGCTAGCCGTGTTATGAAGTTTTGCCCAATGGAATGTGGTGAAAGTGATCATGTAGTTGTTTTAAGCGTAACCTTTAAGAAGTCTTGCATGCTTCCACTTGCTTTTCTGGGATCCTGCTCAGCTGCTATAGAACAAACCTGGGCTAGCCTACTGGGAGATGAGATTATGTGGAGCAGCAGTGAGCCATCTGTCTTAGAATAGCCGACACTTAGCCAACCTAGCAACTGGGGGAAAATATGCGGGAATGAGTCCAACAGAGACCAGAAGAATTGCCCAGCGGAGCCCAGCCCAAATAGCCAATCTATAGCATTGTGACCCAAATAAATGCATGTTGTTTTAAGACCAAAAAAAGGAAAAGAGAGGTGGGGTGCAGTGGCTCATGCCTGTAATCCTAGCACTTTGGGAGGTTGAGGTGGATGGGTCACCTGAGGTCAGGAGTTCAAGACCAGCATGGCCAACATGGCAAAATCCGTCTCTACGAAAAATATAAAATTAGCCAGGCGTGGTGGTGAATGCCTGTAGTCCCAGCTACTCTGGAGGCTGAGGCAGGAGAACCACTTGAATCTGGGAGACGGAGGTTGCAGTGAGCCAAGATCACCTCACTGCACTCCAGCCTAGGTAACAGAGCGAGACTCTGTCTCAAAAAAAAAAAAAAATTGGTCAATTTCCAGTCTTGGCACAGCAGCAGCTAACCATCTCCTACCACTGAATCTCATGGCACGCAGCTGTGCACATGTTCCTAGAGTGGTTTGCACACAGCTTGTAGGAGCTAGGGGGGCAAAAAGTACATTGTCCTCAAAACGTTAGATCTGTGCTCTGATTCCTAACTGCCACTCGTGATCACAGAGGTGCAGAGAGTCATTAGCCATTGTTGCACTTCCATTGTTGCAAGCCCCTCACCTTCTGGTTGAAGTGACTTCCAGGAGAATTAAAGAGCTGGTGTTTCCCTCCCCACTCCCATTCATTTTTCTCATTTTCCCCTTTTGGGAGCCAGACATAAACACAATTGCATATATGAGAGAAATCAGAAAGTCATGGCACAGCCTAGGGGATGGTGCAGGCTCAGAAAAGACCTCTGAGAAGACCTTAGATTTATACTTCAGACTCATCTTAGGCAAAGAGGGCTTACAACAATCAAAAAAACAAAAATAATAAAAACAGTAACAAAAACAGCAAACCCTGGAGAAGAGGAAGAATCTGATTTCCAGAGTTAACACATTAGTAAATTCTAATGTCTGGTTTTCAACAAAAATATCACAAAGGATACAGAGAAACAGGAAAGTGTAACCCATTCAAATGAAACCTAAAGAGACTCAAAAAACAAAAGGAATTTAAAGTCAAGAAAATTATTTATGAACAAAATGGAAATATCAAAAACAGATAGAAAACCTAAAAGAAACCAAAAAGAAATTCTGGAGCTAAAAAGTACAATAACTGAAATTAAAAATTCACAAGAGGGATTCAAAGGCACATTGAACAGTTAGAAGAAAGAGTCAGAAAACTTGAAGAGAGGATAATGGAAATTATTGAGTCTGAGGAACAGAAAGAAAAGAGATTGAAGAAATGTGAAAGCAGTCTAAGGAACCTGTGCGATACCTCAACCAGATCAGCATACACATTGTGATAACTACAGAAGGAGAAGAGAGAGAAAAGGCTGGTGAGAATATTTGAAGAAATGATGACCAACAGCTTCCCATATTTGATGAAAAACATGAATATGAATATCTAAGAAGTTCAATAAACCAAGTAGGATGAACTCAAAGAAACACATACTGAGATACATTATAATCAAACTATCAGAAGAGAATTTTGAAAGCAGCAAAAGAGAAATGACTCTTCGCATACAAATGATCCTCAATAAGATTATCAGCAGATTTCTTATCAAAAACTTTGGAAGCCAGAAGACAATGAGCTAATATAGTCAAAGTGGTAAAAGAAAAAATTTAGTCTATCAATCAAGAATTCCATATCTGGCCAGGCACAGTGGCTCACGCCTGTAATCCCAGCACTTTGGGAGGCCGAGGCGGGCGGATCACGAGGTCAGGAGATCCAAACCATCATGGTTAACACAGTGAAACCCCATCTCTACTAAAAATACAAAAAATTAGCTGTGCGTGGTAGTGGGTGCCTGTAGTCCCAGCTACTCCAGGAGAATGGCATGAATCCAGGAGGCGGAGCTTGCAGTGAGCTAAGATTGCGCCACTGCCCCCCAGCCTGGGCAACAGTACGAAACTCTGTGTCAAAAAAAAAATAAAAGAATCCCATACCTGGCAAAAACTGTCCTTCGAAATTGAAGTAGAAGATAAGACTTTCCAGATAAACAAAAGTTGAGGGAGTTCATTACCACTAGACCTGCCCTACAAGAAATGCTAAATGAAGTCCTGCAAGTTGAAAGGACACTAGACAGTAACTGAACTTGTATAAAGAAATAAAGATAAGTAAAGGTAAATACATGGGAAATTATAAAAGCTAGTATTATTGTAACAATGGTATGTAACTCCACTTTTTGTTTACAACATGACTTGAGACCAATACATTAACAAAAACCAATGATTAGGCCAAAAGCTAGTGTTATTGTAACTTTGCTTTTGTTGGGAAAACTCCCTGCCAGGACTGAGAATTGCCCTCTACAAGTGGAGGCAAATTACTGATTTGCCATCAGACCAAAAAAAAAAGGCAGATGATTCCGGGTTGGCAGGTAGTCAAAGATTTATCCAGGGGAAATTTATAAGGCAGCCTTGGGCAGCAGCAAGACAAGGTAGATTTCAGTGCTTATAGTACATGCCTATCTAGTCTTTTATATCATGAAGAGGGAATGGAAGGGGCGGGGGAAGTCACTGATGGTGTGTTAAGCCGTCTGGTTGTTTTCTTAATCTGTTTACTCTTTGCTTACAGGAACTGTTTGGGTTTTGTAGAGTCTGGTCAACATTCCTAAGGAGAGGAGGGATGTTGCAGACAGCAGCAGTTATTTTAGCACTGGTATGCATTTTTAGGTCACTGCATGCTACAATGCACTTTGTGGTCACATACCCAGAAAACATTTTCACAACAGGTAACTCCACATCTTGTTTTCTACTTAATTTAAGGGACTAATAGATTTAGTTTGTTTTGGACACATGTTATATAGAGATGTAATTATGTGATATCAACAGCTGAAAGGGGTGGGGGACAGGGCAGTTAAGGAGCAGTTTTTGTATCTTTTTCAAATTAAGCTGCTATAAATTTATGTTAGAAGCTTCCTTATTTAGGATGTCAAATGTAATCCCATGATAACACAAAGAAAATAGCTAAAAGAAGATAAGAAAGGAAGTTAAAAGTTTCATTACAAAAATCAACTAAACATGAAAGAAGACAGATAAGAAATGAGGAACCAAAAAAAGCTGCAATATATATAGAAAATAGCAAAATGACAGAATTCCCTCATCAGTAATTATTTTAAATGTAAATGGGTTAAACTTCAGTGAAAAGACAGAGATTAGAAGAATGGGTTTTAAAAAACCATGATTCAAGACTCCTGTGCCACATAACATTTCAGTCAATGATGGAATGCACATAGGATGGTAATACAATGGTAAGATTATAATAACGTATTTTTACTATATATTTTCTATGTTTAGATATACAAACACCATTGGGTTATAGTTACCTACAGTATTTAGTATGGTAACATGCCGTAACAGCTTTGTAGCCTAGGAGCAATAGGCTATACCATACCATCTAGGTTTGTGTAAGTACCTTCTGTGATATTTACATGATGATGAAATTGCATAACAATGCATTTCTAAGAACATATACCCATACATAAATGATACATGACTGTATATGCTGTCTGTAAGAGACTTAAGATCCAAAGACAAAAACAGGTTAAAAGTGAAAGAATGGGAAAGGATATTCCATGAAACTAATTACCAAATATTAAGGATGGCGATACTAGTATACAACAAAATACACTTCAAAGCAAAAAAGATTACTAAAGACAAAGAAGGACATTATATACTAAAAAACGGTTCAGGATGAGCACGTTGGCTCAGGCATGTAATCGCAGCACTTTGGGAGACCAAGGTATGAGGGTGCCTTGAGACCAGGAGTTGGAGACAGCCTGGGCAACACAGTGAAACGCTGTCTCTACAGAAAATTAAAAAATTAGCTGAGCATGGTAGCATGTGCCTGTAGTCTCAGCTACTCAGGAGGCTGAGGCAGAAGGATAGCTTGAGCCAAAGCACTGGAGGCTGCAGTGAGCTATGATCACACCACTGCACTTCAGCCTGGGCGACAGAGCATGATCCTGTCTTAAAAAAATAAAAAACATAAAAGGTTCAATACAGCAAGAAGGTTTAACAGTTGTAAACATGTATGCTCCTAATGACAAACCATCAACATATATGAAACAAAAATTGACGTAATTGAAGGGAGAAGTACAATTCTACATTAATAGTTGGAGACTTTAATATCCCAATCTCAGTAGTGGATAGAACCATCAAAATCTAAGCAAGGAAATATAGGACTTTCACAACACAATAAACCAACTAGATCTAACAACCATATACAGAACACTCTACCCAACAATGAAATACACATTCTTCTCAAGTATACATAGGATAAATTCCAAGATAGGTCATAAATTAAGTCTGAATTGATTTTAAAAGACAGCAAAATATCTTCCCTGACCACAATGGGATGAACTTAGAAATCAAAAACAAAAAGAAAACTGGAAAATTTAAAAATCATAGAAATTAACACACTCTTAACCATTAGATCAAAAAAGAAACCACCCGGCATTGGTTGAAAATCACCCCCCGGCTTTGGCCATGGCAGCGGGTGAGATTCGGCGCCCAGAGCCTCCAGGGGCCTCAGCTCACCGCACGCTGACACATGTGCGGCGGTGAAACCCAGCCCCAACAGGCCCCGCGGCCTCTCCCTGGGTGCGGCCGCTCGCGTGGTCTGGCTCCTGACCCAGGCTGCCGACCCCTAACCCTGTTTTCTCTCCACAGGACACTGGTCTTCCCACACGTGAGACCGATGTCGCCAGGACCACGGGGTCGGGGGGACTCGGCTGTCCTCCGTCTTTCAAATAAAGCTGTTTGTCTAAAAAAAAAAAAAAAAAAAGAAACCACAAGACAAATAATAAAATACTTATAAAGACAAGTGAAAATGAAAACACAGCATACCAAAACTTATGAGACACAACAAAAGCAGTGCCAAGGGGGAAGTTTCTAGCTATAAATTCTTACATTAAAAAATAAGAGTCTGGTCTGAAGAAAGCAAAATTAAAAATTATTTAAAAAATAAGAAAAATATCAAATCACCAACCGGACTTTCCAATTTAAGGAACTGAAAAGGAAGAGCAAACTAAACCCAGAGCTAGCAGTAGAAAGGAAGTAGTAAAGATTAGAATAGATATAAATGAAATAGAGACTAGAAAAATAATATAGAAAAATCAAAATGAAACCAAAAGTTGGTTATTCAAAAATCAAAAAACTTTGCAAATCTCTAGCTAGATCTACTTATAACAAAGGAGACAAGTCAGAAATGAAAATGAAGACATTACTACCATTTCTACAGAAATGAAAAGAGTTATAGGGGAATACTGTCAGCAATTGTCTGCCAAGAAATTGGATAACCCAAGTGAAATGGAGAAATTCCTAGAAACACTAAACCTACCAGGCTAAACCATGAAGAAATAAAAAATATGAGTAGATTTGTAACTACTAAAGAGATTCAATCAGTAATCAAACATCTCCTGTCAAAGAAAAGCCCTAAACCTGATGGCTTCACTGATTAATTCTACCAAGCATTTAAAGAAGAACTGTATCAATCATTTCAGACTTCCCAAAAATTGAAGATGAGGGCATACCCTTAACACGTTCTATGAGGCCAGCATTAACCTAATACCAAAGCCAGTAAAGGTACTACAGGAAAACTACAGACCAGTATCCCTTATGAAGACTGATGCAAAAATCCTCAGAAAGGTACTTGCAAACAGAATTCAGCAGTATAGTTAAAGGATTATACAGTTTAAGTCATCACTTAATGTTGATAGGTACTTGGAAACTGTGACTTTAAGCAAATGATACATCAGGAAGCCAGTTTTGCCATAGGCTTGCCAGGCACACTGCCTCACACCTGTAATCCCAGCACTTTGGGAGGCTGAGATGGGAGGTTCACTTGAGCTCAGGAGTTCAAGACCAGCCTGGGCAATAGAGTGAGCCTCGTCTCTACCAAAAACAAAAAAAAAAGCCTGTAGTCCTAGCTACTTGGGAGGCTGAGGTGGAAGGATCACTTGAATCCGGGAGGTAGAGATTACGGTGAGCTGAGGTTGAGCCATTGTGCTCTAGCCTAGCCAACAGAGGAAGACTCTGTCTCAAAAAAAAAAAAAAAGGCTAATTTATATAAACAAGAATTAAGTTCCTACAGATGTTTTATAAACATCATCAAAGTTCTAAAGAAAGACCCAAAACATCTCCAGTTTTAAACATTGAAATAAATGCAAGCTACATGTACATTTAAAAAAAGATTAATAGAAACAAGTAAAATATTTACCTAATCTCTGGCAAATCTATGAGTGACAAGTGGTTGTAGTAATGGTGAGTTAAATCAAAGAGTAAATGCTTGCAAAGAGAAAATTGTAAAGAGCACACAGTTCATAAACAATAACAGGTCATGCCTATAATCCCAGTACTTTTGGGAGGCTGAGGCCAGAGGATCCCTTAAGCCCAGGACATTGAGACCAGCTTGGGCAACATAGTAAGACATCATCTCTACAAAAAAATTAAAAACACAAATGAGCTGAGCACGATGGTGCACACATGTAGTCCCAGCTACTCAGGAGGCTGCGGTGGGAGAACCACTTGAGTCCCAGAGGTCAAGGCTGCAGTGAGCCATTTTTGTGTCACTGCACTCCAACCGGGGTGCGAGTCTGTCTAAAAAAACAACAACAACAACAACAAAATGGAGGAGGCAGAGCAAGACAGCTAAATAGAAGCCTCCACCAATTGTGGAGGTGTCTCCTGACAGGGACACCAAATTTAACCACTATCTATATTAAAAAGCACCTTCATAAGAACCAAAAATCAGGTGAGCACTCATAGTACCTGGTTTTAACTTCATATGACTGAAAGAGACACTGAGGAGGGTAGGAAAGACAGTCTTAAATTGCTAACACCTCCCCTTCCCCAGCCCCCAGCAGTGGCCACGTGGCACACAGAGAGACTCTACAGTTGAAGGAGGGAGATCGCAGTGATTGTGGGACTGTGTTGGAATTTAGTGCTCCCATGTTGCAGTTGAGAGCAACACTGGGCAGAACTCAGCCAGCATCCTCAGAGGGAGCATTTAGACCAGCCCTAGCCAGAGGGAATTTGCCCATCCCAGAGGTCAGAACATGAGTTTCAGCAAGCTTTGCCACCATGGGCTAACATGCCCTACAGTCCTAAATAAACCTGAAAGACGGTCTAGGCCACAAGGACTGCATCTCCTAGAAAGTTCTTTTTTTTTTTTTTTTTTGGAGACAGAGTCTGGCTCTGTCACCCAGGCTGGAGTGCAGTGGCGCAATCTTGGCTCACTGCAACCTCCGCCTCCCAGGTTCAAGCAATTCTCTGCCTCAGCCTCCCGAGTAGCTGGGATTACAAGTGCCCACCACCATGCCCAGCTAATATTTGTATTTTTAGTAGAGATGGGATTTCACCATCTTGGCCAGGCTGGTCTTGAACTCCTGACCTCATGATCCACCTGCCTCGGCCTCCCAAAGTGCTCGGATTACAGGCCTGAGCCACCGCACCTGGCCTAGAAAGTTCTAATGCTGTGCTGGGCTCGTAACTAGTGGACTTGGGGGACACGTGAGCTAGTGAGACACCAGCCCAAACTTAAAAAACATATCAATATTCAGGCTGGGCACAGTGGCTTATGCCTGTAATCCCAGCACTTTGGGAGGCCAAGGCGGGCAGATTGCCTGAGCTCAGGAGTTCAAGACCAACCTGGCCAACATGGTGAAACCTCGTCTCTACTAAAAATACAAAAATTAGCCAGGTGTGATTGTGCACACCTGTAATCCCAGCTATTCGGGAGGCTGATACAGGAGAATCGCTTAAACCCGGGAGACAGAGGTTGCAGTGAGCCGAGATTGTGCCACTGCACTCCAGCCTGGGTGACAGAGTGAGGCTCTGTCTCAAAAAAAAAAAAAAATCAATCAATATTCAAGTACAAGGTGGTTATAGAACACTAAGCCCATTTAACCCAAAGAAGACTACCTCAAGGCATTTAATAATCAAACTCCCAAAGGTCAAAAATAAAAAAGGGATCCTAAAAGCAGCAAGAGAAA
Organism: Homo sapiens; assembly: GCF_000001405.40. Lineage (NCBI taxonomy): Eukaryota > Metazoa > Chordata > Mammalia > Primates > Hominidae > Homo > Homo sapiens. The sequence goes on along the minus strand of NC_000004.12, from coordinate 139,432,957 downwards.
AGAAACAACATACAATGGAGGCCAGGCATGGTGGCTTACGCCTGTAATTGAGCACTTTGGGAGGCTGAGACCAAGTGGATCGCTTGAGGTCAGGAGTTCAGCCTGGCCAACGTGGCAAAACCCTGTCTCTACTAAAAATACAAAAATTAGCCGGGCATGGTGGTGTGTGCCTGTAATTCCAGCTACCCAGGAGGCTGAGGCATGAGAATCATTTGAACATGGGAGACAAAGGTTGCAGTGAGCCAAGATCGTGCCACTCCACCACAGTCTGGGTGACAAAGTGAGACTCTGTCTCAAAGAAAAGCAAACAAAAAAACCACATACAATGGAACTCCAATAGGTCTGGCAACAGACTTTTCAGTGGAAACCTTATAGGCCAGGAGAGAATGGCATGACATATTTTAGGTGCTGAAGGAAAAAAACTTTTACCTTCAAATAGTATACCCAGCAAAAATGTCCTTCAAACATGAAGGAGAAATACTTTCCCAGACAGACAAAAGCTGAGGGATTTCATCAACACCAGACCTGTCTTACAAGAAATGCCAAAAGGAGTTCAATCTGAAAGAAAACGATGTTAATGAGCAATAAGAAATCATCTGAAGGTACAAAACTCACTGGTAACAGTAAATAGAAAAATACAGAATATTGTAACTGTAATTGAGGTGTGTAAATGACTCATATCTTAAGTAGAACAATAAAAATGAATCGATCAGGCTGCGTGCAGTGGCTCACGCCTGTAATCCCAACACTTTAGGAGGTGGAGGTGGGTGGATCACCTGAGGTCAGGAGTTCCAGACCAGCCTGGCCAACATGGTGAAACCCGTCTCTACTAAAAATACAAAAAATTAGCCAGGTGTGGTGGCAGGCACCTGTAATCCCAGCTACTTGGGAGGCTGAGGCAGGAGAACTGCTTCAACCCAGGAGGCGGAGGTTGCAGTGAGCTGACATCACGCCCTGCACTCCAGCCTGGGCGACAGAGTGAGACTTCGCCTCAGAAAAAAATAAAAAATTAAATTAAAAAAGCCTGGGACCTGATGGCTTCACTGCCAAATTTTACCAAACATTTAAAGAAGAGCTATTACCAATCCTGCTCAAACTATTCCAAAAAATAGAGGAGGAGGGAATACTTCCAAACTCATTCTATGAGGCAAAATCAGACAAAGATGAATCAAAAGAAGAAAACTACAGGCCAATATCCCTGATGAACATTGATGCAAAAGTCTTCAATAAAATACTAGCAAACCATATTCAGCAACGCATTAAAAAAATCATTCATCACGATCAAGTGGGATTTATCCCTGGGATGCAAGGGGGTTTCAACAAATGCAAATCAGTCAGTGTGATAATGTGATAACATATCAACAGAATGAAGAACAAAAACCATATGGTCATTTCAATTGATGCTGAAAAATCTTTTTATAAAATTCAACATCCCTTCATGATAAAAACCCTCAAATAACTGGGTATAGATGGAACATAACATAATAAATGCCATATATGACAGACCCATAGCTAGTGTCATATTGAATGGGGAAAAACTGAAAACCTTCTAAGATCTGGAACACAACATGGATGCCCACTGTGACCACTGTTATTCAACACAGTACTGTATATCCTAGATAGAGCAATCACACAAGAGAAAGAAAAGGCTTCCAAATTGGAAAGGAAGAAGTCAAATTATTGTTGTTTGCTGATGATATGATTTTACATTTGGAAAAACCTAAAGATTCCACAAGAAGAGTATTAGGACTGATAAACAAATTCTGTAAAGTTGCAGGATACAAATAAACATACAAAAATAAGTAGCACCCTTTCCACAGCTTCCCATTCTTTAGAAACCAGGCTGCATATTCCCGGTGGTGGCACGCTGGATTCCAGGCTCTCGCATCCCCACCAGCCTCCCTGAAGGCAGACGGGTGGCCATGGAGACCCATCCAGACTCATGGTCTTCAGTGCATTACAGGGTGGGTGATGCCAGGGTGCCAGACGCCATGTTTGACCAGAACATTGGGAAGGTCATAGCCATGCTGGAGGTTCTTGTGAGGAGATGAATTGGTGAAGAGAGAGGCCAGGATGAAGATGCCTCCAGGAGTGGGCCAGTTTGGGACTGGCAGCTCCACCCGGGTTCTGCTCTCACTGCTGAGGGCAGAAGGGTTCACTGGTGAGACCCTTTGGGGGAAGACTGAGGAGGAGGCAAAGCAGCTTGCTGCTTCTATGTCAGCCAGACTGATGACATCTTGCTGCATCAAGATGTGGATCTGGTGGGCATCAGCATCTCCCCTCCACTCACCCAGCAGATACATGTCAAGGCTCTAGATTTGTTGTCTGTGTCTATGATTGTTTCTGCTGCAAGCTGGCCAGATGAGTTCCCCTCCTGAGCCTGTGTGAACAGACTCCATCTTGGTCTGATATGGTTTGGGTCTCTGTCCCCACCCACATCTCACCTTGAATGGTAATCCCCATAATCCACACGTGTTGAAGGAGGGACCCAATAGGAGGTGACTGGATCATGGGGGCTGTTTCTCCCATGCTGCTCTCATGATAGTGAGTGAATTCTCATGAGATCTGATGGTTTTATAAGCGTCTGGCATTTCCCCTGCTTGCACTTCTCTCTCCTGCCACCATGTAAAGAAGGTATCTATGACAAACCCACAGCCAATATCATACTGAATGGGCAAAAACTGGAAGCATTCCCTTTGAAAACTGGCACAAGACAGGGATGCCCTCTCTCACCACTCCTATTCAACATAGTGTTGGAAGTTCTGGCCAGGGCAATTAGGCAGGAGAAGGAAATAAAGGGTATTCAATTAGGAAAAGAGGAAGTCAAATTGTCCCTGTTTGCAGATGACATGATTGTATATCTAGAAAACCCCATTGTCTCAGCCCAAAATCTCCTTAAGCTGATAAGCAACTTCAGCAAAGTCTCAGGATACAAAATCAATGTGCAAAAATCACAAGCATTCCTATACACCAACAACAGACAAACAGAGAGCCAAATCATGAGTGAACTCCCATTCACAATTGCTTCAAAGAGAATAAAATACCTAGGAATCCAACTTACAAGGGATGTGAAGGACCTCTTCAAGGAGAACTACAAACCACTGCTCAAGGAAATAAAAGAGGATACAAACAAATGGAAGAACATTTCATGCTCATGGGTAGGAAGAATCAATATCGTGAAAATGGCCATACTGCCCAAGGTAATTTACAGATTCAATGCCATCCCCATCAAGCTACCAATGCCTTTCTTCACACAACTGGAAAAAACTACTTTAAAGTTCATATGGAACCAAAAAAGAGCCCGCATCGCCAAGTCAATCCTAAGCCAAAAGAATAAAGCTGGAGGCATCACACTACCTGACTTCAAACTATGCTACAAGGCTACAGTAACCAAAACAGCAAGGTACTGTTACCAAAACAGAGATATAGATCAATGGAACAGAACAGAGCCCTCAGAAATAATGCCGCATGTCTACAACTATCTGATCTTTGACAAACCTGAGAAAAACAAGCAATGGGGAAAGGATTCCCTATTTAATAAATGGTGCTGGGAAAACTGGCTAGCCATATGGAGAAAGCTGAAACTGGATCCCTTCCTTACACCTTATACAAAAATCAATTCAAGATGGATTAAAGACTTAAACGTTAGACCTAAAACCATAAAAACCCTAGAAGAAAACCTAGGCATTATCATTCAGGACATAGGCATGGGCAAGGACTTCATGTCCAAAACACCAAAAGCAATGGCAACCAAAGCCAAAATTGACAAATGGGATCTAATTAAACTAAAGAGCTTCTGCACAGCAAAAGAAACTACCATCAGAGTGAACAGGCAACCTACAACATGGGAGAAAATTTTCGCACCCTACTCATCTGACAAAGGGCTAATATCCAGAATCTACAATGAACTCAAACAAATTTACAAGAAAAAAACAAACAACCCCATCAAAAAGTGGGCAAAGGACATGAACAGACACTTCTCAAAAGAAGACATTTATGCAGCCAAAAAACACATGAAAAAATGCTCATCATCACTGGCCATCAGAGAAATGCAAATCAAAACCACTATGAGATATCATCTCACACCAGTTAGAATGGCAATCATTAAAAAGTCAGGAAACAACAGGTGCTGGAGAGGATGTGGAGAAATAGGAACACTTTTACACTGTTGGTGGGACTGTAAACTAGTTCAACCATTGTAGAAGTCAGTGTGGCGATTCCTCAGGGATCTAGAACTAGAAATACCATTTGACCCAGCCATCCCATTACTGGGTATATACCCAAATGACTATAAATCATGCTGCTATAAAGACACATGCACACGTATGTTTATTGCGGCATTATTCACAATAGCAAAGACTTGGAACCAACCCAAATGTCCAACAATGATAGACTGTATTAAGAAAATGTGGCACATATACACCATGGAATACTATGCAGCCATAAAAAATGATGAGTTCATGTCCTTTGTAGGGACATGGATGAAATTGGAAATCATCATTCTCAGTAAACTATCGCAAGAACAAAAAACCAAACACCGCATATTCTCACTCATAGGCGGGAATTGAACAATGAGATCACATGGACACATGAAGGGGAATATCACACTCTGGGGACTGTGGTGGGGTGGGGGGAGGGGGGAGGGATAGCATTGGGAGATATACCTAAGGCTAGATGACGAGTTAGTGGGTGCAGCGCACCAGCATGGCACATGTATACATATGTAACTAACCTGCACAATGTGCACATGTACCCTAAAACTTAAAGTATAATTAAAAAAAAAAAAGAAAGAAAATGTGGCACATATACACCATGGAATACTATGCAGCCATAAAAAATGATGAGTTCATGTCCTTTGTAGGGACATGGATGAAATTGGAAATCATCATTCTCAGTAAACTATCGCAAGAACAAAAAACCAAACACCGCATATTCTCACTCATAGGTGGGAATTGAACAATGAGATCACATGGACACAGGAAGGGGAACATCACACTCTGGGGACTGTTGTGGGGTGGGGGGAGGGGGGAGGGATAGCATTGGGAGATATACCTAATGCTAGATGACGAGTTAGTGGGTGCAGCGCACCAGGATGGCACATGTATACGTATGTAACTAACCTGCACGTTGTGCACATGTACCCTAAAACTTGAAGTATAATAATAAATAATAATAATAATAATAATAATTGGGAGGAAATAAAGTGGTTAAGAAGAGAAAAAAAAAAAAAGAAGGTCCTTGCTTCCCCTTCACCTTCTGGCCATGATTGTAAGTTTCCTGAGCCCTCTCCAGCCACGTGGAACTGTGAGTCAATTAAACTCTTTCCTTTATAAATTACCCAGTCTCGGCCAGGTGCGGTGGCTCAAGCCTGTAACCAGTACTTTGGGAGGCTGAGGCGGGTGGATCACGAGGTCAGGTGTTCAAGACCAGCCTGACCAATATGGTGAAACCCCATCTCTACTAAAAATACAAAAATTAGCCAGGCGTGGTGGTACACGCCTGTAGTCCCAGCTACTTGGGAGGCTAAGGCAGGAGAATTGCTTGAACTCGGGAGGAAGAGGTTGCAGTGAGCCAAGATCGACCACTGCATTCCAGCCTGGGTGACAGAGCGAGACTCCATCTTGAGAAAATAAATAAATTACCCAGTCTCGGGTATTTCTTTATAGCAGTGTGAGAATAGACTAATACACAGTCCATCAGGGTATTGGGAAGACTGTGGTTTGCAAGAACACAGCAACATCAGTGGATGCCTTTTGGATGGTGATGGCCTTGTGTTAACTGCCTGCAGCTGATGAACGTGGTGGGGAACATGCTGCATTTCCTACCTGCCTTTGTGTGCAGGTGAAGCAACCAGTCTCGAAGCACTACGCAGGAGTGATGATGATCTGCGACACCTGCATCTACTCAGGCAGCCTGCTGAGCCCCAGCCATAGCTGGATCTGTGACGAGCTCACGGGCAGCAGGGGTCTGACACAATGGGGACCTACATCGTGGACCTGCTGACCCACCCGACCTTCTGGAGAGATGAGAAGTTGCACACACTGTCAAGACATACATGAGGCAGAGTGCCACCATCTGTGGCATCCAGCATGTCACCATTGATGACTTCTGTTTCAAAAAAAAAAAAAAAAAACTACCTGCCGAAACAGGATTCAACACTGTGTAAAAGAAGGAAACAACTTCACAACATCAAGATACTAAGCAATGTAGCAGTTACAACTATACAATAAAAAATTACTAGACACATGAAGATTCAACAAAATATGATCCATACCAGAAGAAAAATCAGTCAATAGAATCAGAAATGACAGAGATCATGGAATTAGCACAAAAAAAACCATTAAAACAGCTATTACTAATATAATTAAGAATTTACAAGAAAATATGAACATAAGAAAAAATGAAGATATGAAAAACAATGAAATGCAGCTTTTAGACTTATGTAATGCAATATCTGAAAAAAATTTAAATCACTGTAGGAGCTTAAAGCAAATTTAATGTAGAAGAAAAGATTGATGACCTTGAAGACATAGCAATAGAAGCTATTCAAGCTGTAGCACACAGAGAAAAATACACCAAAAAGCCAAACTGCTATGAGTGTCTGCAGAAATAAACTTCAGTAGATGTGTAACTCCAAGGACTGTAGGTAGTGGAATTGACAGATATGAAAAGTATAGAATTTCTGTGTTCTGAATATTTTAAAAGGTAAAGGATGTTATAAAGATGAGCAAGAGATTACCAGGAATGGACAGACAGGTTGGAAGGTAGTTGGGAGATGGGGAGATGCTCTAGAAATATAAAATATAATTGTTAGAATAACAAAACTCAGTGGAAAGGTTAAAGAGCAAATTTGATACAGATGAAGAGAGAATTAATAAATGAAGCCACTGAGGTGGCTCATGCCTATAATCCCAGCACTTTGGGAGGCCGAGGTGAGACGATCACTTGAGGCTAGGAGTTCAAGACCAACCTGGACAACATGGTGAGACCCTGTCTCTACAAAAAAGTTTAAAAATTAGCTGGGCATGTTAGTGTATGCCTGTAGTCCTAGCTACTCAAAAGGCTAAAGCAGAGCATGACTTGAGCCCAGGAGTTTGAGGCTTCAGAGTGCTATGATTATGCCACTGTGCTCCAGCTTGGGCGACTGAGGGAGACCTTGTCTCTTAAAAAATAAATGAGAAGATATCTTTAAAAATTACCCAGGGTATACTAAGGAGAGACAAGGAAGTAAAAATATGAAAACAATATTAAGAGATGGAAGCTTGGATAAGAAAGTCACACATATGACTAATTGAAATCTCAGAAAGAAAGAAAAGAAGGAAAAAAGTAGAGGCAATACTCCCTGCCCCCTAATATTTTGTGAAATTGTTCAAACATACAGAAAAGTTGAAAGAATTACACAGTGAACTTTTACATTTACCAATTAATTCTAGAACATTTTGTTATATTTACTGTATCATATAGCTATCCACTTAACCATCCATCAATCCTATTTTTTATGCATTTCAGAGTAAGTTGTAGACATCACCACTAAACATTTTAGTATGTTCATCATTAGTATTCAGTATTGTTCTATAGCTTTTTTGTATTTAAAATGTACATACAATAAAATGCACAGATCTTAAGTACAATATTTGGTAAATTTTTACAAGTGCATATACCTGTGTAACACAAACTGTCAAAAAAAACCATATACTGCTCTTCAGAAAATTCCCTTATGCCCCTTGCTAGTCAATCCCTGCCCTTTACCTCCCACTGGTAAGAAGTGTTCTAATGAGAGGTATCATTTAGATAAATAGTGCTGTGATTTTTGCAGAAATGATGAAAAAAATGAATTAACAGATCTGGGAGTCACAAGATAATGAAAGCAGGATACATAAACAGAAATGTATAATGACATTGTATAAAGAACCTGCAGAATTTGTAAGATCTTACAAGCAGCTAGAAAGGGCAGATCACTTGCAAAAGAACAGCAGTGAAAATGACAGTGGATTTATTATCAGCATCAATGGAAACCAGAAGTTAATGGAATAATACCTTTCAAGTGCCAAAAGATAATGGTCAACTAGAATTATGTACTTGCCCAGACTACCTTTTAAGAAGAGTGAAATAGAGACATTTAAAGATAAGTGATAATTGAGAGTTTAGCTCAGAGATATGCACAAAACTCCTAAATGACATATAGTCATGCACTACATGACAAAGTTTTGGTCAATAACAGACCGCATATACAATGGTGGTCCCATAAGATTATATTGGCTGAGTATTGCTAATCCAAAAATCCAAAATCCAAAATACTCCAAAATTTGAAACTTTTTGAGTGCCAACATGATACTCAAAGGAAAGGTTCCTTGGAACATTTCTTTGGATTTTCAGGTTAGGGATGCTCAACACTAAGTATCATGCAAATATTCCAAAATAAAAAAAAAATTCAAAACCAAAATTTTCTTGTCCTAAGGATTTAGGATTAGGGATACGCAACCTGTAATACTGTATTTTTACTGGACCTTTTCTATGTTTAGATATACAAATACATACTCGTATTACAGTTGCCTATTCAGTACAGTAATATGCTATACAGGTTTGTAGCCTAGGAGCAAAAGGCTATGCCATATAGTCTAAATATGTAGTAGGCTATACCATCTAGGTTTGTGTAAGTACAGTCTGTGGTTTGCACAATGATGAAATCACGTAAGGACACATTTCACCTTTCTCAGAATGTATCCCATCATTAAGTGATGTGTGACTGTAGTTGAGAGATAGTATTTCACAGGAGTTAAGAATATGCACTTTGGAGACTCCATAGGTGTGAATCCCTATTCCACCATTTGCTAGCTGTGGAACACTGGACAAGTGAGTTAACACCTCTGTGCTTCAGTTTTTTTTCTCACTTGTAAAATTTTGACAATAATTGTATTCATGGAATTGTTATGAGGATTAAATGAACTAATATAAAATAAAGCACTTAGAACCAAACCTGGAATATAAGTGCTTTGTTAAGTCAGAGCTTAAAAAAAGGAAATTATCATAAAAGAATGGTCTGAAGTACAAAATAGAATGGTGAGTGAATAAAATGGTGAACAAGCTTGTCAGTCCAAACATCAGTCTAGAAAAATAAGGTCCGATTTGTGAAGTTTTGAACTAATGCCTCCAATAACAATAGCAAGTAGGCATTTGGGGGAGGGTCAATGTAATTAAAATTATTCTAAGATCATTACTTCGTTTCAAAGGAAAGTTAAGATATGTTTGCCTTTACATTTTGTTAAGTTAGACACTTATAAAATGCAGGGACAGTTGTTAAAAAAAAAAGGAATAAATACAGAGCTATGAATTCCAATTCAGTGGAGGAAAAATGGAATTTAAAAAATCTAACCATAAAGTCAGTTTTTTAAAAATGCAGAAACAGCCAGCGCCGTGGCTCACGCCTGTAATCCCAGCACTTTGGGAGGCTGAGACGGGCAGATCACGAGGTCAGGAGATCGAGACCATCCTGGCTAACACGGTGAAACCCCGTCTCTACTAAAAATACAAAAAATTAGCCAGACATGGTGGCGGGCGCCTGTAGTCCCAGCTACTTGGGAGGCTGAGGCAGGAGAATGGCATGAACCCGGGAGGCAGAGCTTGCAGTGAGCCGAGATCACGCCACTGCACTCCAGCCTGGGCGACAGAGCGAGACTCCGTCTCAAAAAAAAAAAAAAATGCAAAAACGTTGGGGCTATAAAAATAGTAGCTCAGAAAAAGCAAGGCAAATATAAACAAAAAAGATATATAAACAAATCCAACTATATCAAGAATCACAATAAACATAAATGTATGACATTTACCAATTAAAAGATAGAGTTTGTCAGACTGAAATGAAAAGAAAAATCTAGCTGTATGACATATACAAGAATCTGAAAACATACAGGCAAAACAGTAGAAGATAAGAGATAGAAAAACATATACCAGGCAGATCTTAATACAAAGAATTCACATACATACATTAATTTCAGAAAAAAGATTTTAAGACAAAAAAAGATTATTAGAATAAAAAGGTCATTACCTACTGATAAAAGGTTTTTTTCACCAGAAAAAAAACAGAAAAATTCTAATCCTGTTTGTAACTAATAAAATGGACTTAAGCTATATACAGCAAAAAATGTTAGAACTACAGGAGGTGGCAAATTTCTATGCAACTCTCTCAGTTCTTGATAGGTTAAACAAACAAAAACCAGTGCATTGGTCTAGGCCCTGGGAATACAGAAGTGAACAGGCAGACCATCACCTGCATGCTAGTGGGAAGATAAATTAACAAAAATATCAAATTTTGGATAATGATAAATGAATGAAGAAAAAATCAAATATAAAGGTAGAATCTAATGGGAAGAGGTGGTTATTTTATGAGGGTGGTTAAGGGAAGGCTTCCTTGAAGAGGTGGCATTTATGCGGACACATGAATTAGTTGAGGGAGCAAATGATGTGTATATATAGGGGAATATTTTTTCAGACAAAAGGAAAAGCAACTGGAAAGACCCTGAGGCAAACATGAGTTTCACATAATGCAAATATACATATTTAGCTTTTTGAATCTGCTTAGAATGTCTTTTCCCCCCATTTTAAGTAGAATGTAGAAACCTTACATATAGGTCTACTTAACCTGTACCCCTTACGTTAGAGTTGTCATGAATTACGTCTACATATGTTTAAAACCCCATTAGACAATGGTACAGTTATTTTCAACCATCAAATATATTTTTAAAGAACTTAGTACCTGTCAATGATAGACTAGATGTGGCACATATACACCATGGAACACTATGCAGCCATAAAAAAGGATGAGTTAATGTCCTTTGCAGGGACATGGATGAAGCTAGAAACCATCATTCTCAGCAAACTAACACAGGAACAGAAAACCAAACGCCACATGTTCTCACTCATAAGTGGGAGTTGAACAATGAGAACATATGGACACAGGGAGGGGAACATCACACACCGGGGCCTGTTGGGGGATGGGGTACTAGGGGAGGGATAGCATTAGGAGAAATACCTAATGTAGATGATGGGTTGATGGGTGCAGCAAACCACCATGGCACATATATACCTATGTAACCTGCACATTCTGCACATGTATCCTAGAACTTAAAGTATAATTTAAAAAACAAACAAAACTTAAGAGGAGAATAGGAGAATAGACTACTATTTTTACACAGATATTTACCATTTCTGGTGCTCTTCCTTCATTCCTGATGTTTTCAGGTTTCCTTCTGGTATCATTTCCCTCTGTCTGAAGAATTTTCTTTAGCAATTATTTTAGAACAGCTCTGCTAGAAATGAATTCTTTTAGTTTGTCTTCATATGAGAATGCCATTATTTCACCTGAATTCCTGATGGATATTTTCACTAGATGTAGTATTCTGTGTTGACACTTTCAGTGCTTTAAAATTATTGTGCCACTTCTGGCCGGGCGCGGTGGCTCATGCCTGTAATCCCAGCACTTTGGGAGGCCAAGGTGGGTGGATCATGAGGTCAGGAGATTGAGACCATCCTGGCTAACATGGTGAAACCCCGTCTCTAATAAAAATACAAAAAAATTAGCCGAGCGTGGTGGCAGGTGCCTGTAGTTCCAGCTAGTTGGGAGGCTGAGATAGGAGAATGGCATGAACCCAGGAGGCAGAGCTTGCAGTGAGCCTAGATCACACCACTGCACTCCAGTCTGGGCGACAGAGCAAGACTCCGTCTCAAAAAAAAAAAAAAATTATTGTGCCACTTCTGTGGTTTGCATGGATCCTGCTGAGAGATTTGCTGTGATTCAGATTGTTTGTGTGTAGGTAGTACTTTGAATTTCTCTAGCTACTTCCAAGATTTTTTTCTTTGTCTTCATTTTCAGCATTTTGATTGTGATGTGTTTGGGTATAAATTTATGTGTTAAACCTGTTTGGGGTTTGTTGAACTTCTTAAATCTGTAGATTTGTCTTTTGCCAAATTTGAGACCTTTTCTTCCATTATTCTAAATTTTTCAGCACCTTTTGTCATTATCCGAGAGGTCTCTGAGATTCTACTCATTGTTTTTTCAAATCTTTTTTCTCTCTGCTGTTCAGATTGGTTAATTTTTATTGATCTATTTACAAGTTCATTGACTCTGTCATGTTTACCTTGCTATTGAAACCATCCAGTGAATTTTTTTTAAATGTTGGCTATTGTATTTTTCTGTTCTAAAATATCCATTTGATTCTTCTTTATGTCTTCTATTTATTTGCTGATACTTTCTATTTTTTTCTTATTGGCTTCAAAAATGCTTGTGACTGCTTGTAGGAGAATTGTTATAACAAAGTCAAGAACTTTGGAGGGTCTGATATTTTACCTTACTTGCAAGTTAACAAGTTAGGCTGCCACAATTTCATGAATAGTGACAGAAGACACGAGACTCCTGGGTCAGAGACAAAGGACAGTTTATTACCCACACGAATAGCAGGAGGCAGAGTATCAGCATTTAACCCAGTTTTCTGAGCCTCAGTTCCCACACAGTGATGCTGTGAGGGCCTGGTGATACCTGTATATGTAGTGGGATTTATGAATGCTGTGGGAAACACCAGTCTTCAATAAAGGGCCAGCAAACCTGCCCAGCCTTGCCCTGGAGAGAGACATTATCTTTTTTTTTTCATCCTGGAAGGAAAAAAATCTGTCCTTGGTCCCAAAGGAAGACATTCTATCTTCCAAGGATGTTTGCTATACAAACAGCTAAAAAAGATAGTTCAGAGAAAAAGCTGTTAATGCCTTTGCCTAGAACACCTGTAGAAATGCAAGAGACCAATGGAGAATAGACTCCTAACAAATATTAGTAGTTGCTTTAAAGCCTTCATCAGACAATTTTATCATCTGTGTTATCTCAGCATTGTCCTTTTTTTTCCCTATATGAATTGAGATTTTCTTGTTGTTTTTTTTTTTGTTTGTTTGCTTTGTAATTTTGGACCGTATCATGGATATTTTGAATATTCTGTTTTGAGATGCTGGATCTTATTTAAATCCTATTAAGAATGTTGATATTTTTGTTTTAGCAGGCAATCAAGCTGGCTAGGTTCCTGCCACAAGTTCAGACTAGTCTTCTGTAGGTGAGAAAGCGCATAATGATATTAATATCCACCTCCCAAACCCCAGAGTGTGTTACATTCCAGGGTGATAAACCTAGAGGGGCCTTCTTCCTCTTCCCAGAGGAAATTCACTTACATTTCAAGATAATGAATAATTTCTCTCCTGAATGGGAGGAATGGGTAGGTCACCAGCAGCTTTGATAAAAGCTTGGAGGCTTCTAAATTTAAGATTCTTCTCCTGTGATGCAACCCACTGCACAGGAAACATCTGTTGCCTTACGGGAAATGGGGCATGGGGAAATGACACAAGGTGTTGTAAATGCTTTGTGCTTTCAGTAGCAAATCTTTTATGGCACCAGCCCAGCAGTCTGGTGTCTTCTGGCAGTATATGTATATGAAACTGTGGCAAGCTAACCTATTAGCTTGCAAGAAGGACAAACTCTAAGACACTTCACAGTTTCTGACTTAACAGGGGAGAGTGGCAGGATGTGAAGGTGAAGGAGCAGGCAGGGCAAATTACATAGCACCATCCATAGCTAAGGTAATAGATGAATTGTTAATGTTAAAAATAATGACAGCTGGCCGGTCACGGTGGCTCATGCCTGTAATCCCAGCACTTCAGGAGGCCGAGGCAGGCGGATCACGAGGTCAGGAGATCTAGACCACCCTGGCTAAAATGGTGAAACTCTGTCTCCACTAAAAATACAAAAAATTAGCCTGGCGTGGTGGCAGGCACCTGTAGTCTTAGCTACTCGGGAGGCTGAGGCAGGAGAATTGCTTGAACCCAGGAGGCGGAGCTTGCAGTGAGCCAAGATCGCGACACTGCACTCACTCCAGCCTGGGCAACGGAGCGAGACTCCATCTAAAAAAAAAAGAATAATGACAGCAGTAGCAGTGGAAAGGAAAACAAGACACTGCATGCTAAGCTCTTCTGCAATGAGGGTGAGAGACCAGGAAGACAGTAGACGACTGTAAAAAAAAAAAGGAGAATGGATGATATGGTCAAGGGAACTAGAATTTTCAAAGGAGAAAAAAGGTCTGGAATTGGCAGTGGGGAATAAGCAGGACACCTACCTCATCTCTAGGCTCCTTTGGTAAGTGGGTTGAGTAATTTTTAAAAGCAGACACAATTTGAGAGTATTGCAAGGAAAGCAATATTATTAGGAGATGGTTAGGTTTTGGTTAGAGTAAGAAAATGAAAGGAATGTTTAGAAAAGGTGTTAAGGATTAGGGGATTTGACTGATGACAATACAGTGGAAGGGTCAACACAGATTAAGAGGAGTGGGAGCCTGGGCACAGGGGCTCATGCCTGTAATCCCAGCACCTTGGGAGGTCGAGCCAGGCAGATCACCTGAGGTGAGGAGTTCGAGACCAGCCTGGCCAACATGGTGAAACCCTGTCTCTACTAAAACACAAAAATTAGCTGGGTGTGGTGGCTCATGCCTGTAATCCCAGCTACTTGGGAGGCTGAGGCAGGAGAATTGCTTGAATCCGGGAGGCAGAGTTTGCAGTGAGACAAGATCGCACCACTGCACTCCAGCATGGGTGACAGAGCAAGACTCCGTCTCAAAAAAAAAAAAAAAAAAAGGAATGGGAAATTAGGCTATATTAGAGCAAAGCATGATGGTGTTACAATTCTATACAATGGACTTTAAAAGATGCAAATAGGGAAATGAGGTATGATGGGGTTATTTCTATTTTTTTAAAAAAAGGTCTCATTATAGCCTCTTGGGATTGTTCTTTTAAGCAGTTTGTAGCGTGTTATTATAATCTCTTGGAATTGTTCTGTTAGGCAGTTTATAAAGCAGGTGGATATTGTGATGGGTCGGGGGTAGATTTACCAGGATCACATTCAGCTCTTTGTGCCTCTAAAATCCAGCTGGAGTTGTGACTGGGAAGAACTCTGGATGTGTTATTTAAATCCAGGAACACTGGGAATTTTAGAGGCTTTCTTTACAGTCTAAGTCTTTGGTGTTGCTGCCACTGGACAGGCAATCTCCAGGAGCTTGGAAATCCTGCTGTGACTGGGAAAGAGCATAGTGATATAAGTAAATATCTACCAGGAAAATCCAAGAAAAGCAACATCACTTTAGGTGTCTCCTCAAACTTCAGCTCATCAGAGGGGGCTTATTTTAATACATTATCTGAAAGAATATCTTTCCTGGTCACTTTCCATCCTCCTTTCTATGCTTTTCCCGACCACCACCTCCTTAGCACTTATCACCACCTGTCATATATTTCTCTGTTTAGTATTTCCTCTCTGTAGGATATAAAGACCTGGAGAACAGATTTATTACTGCTATTTCCAGGACCCAGAATAGCATTTGGCACATTGTACACACTCAATAAATATTTGTAGAGTGGATGGATAAACTGAAGAATATTAGAACCATTAAACAAGTCTAGTAATGTGACCAATTAAAAAATCAGTAATTCTGCTGGGCGTGGTGGCTCATGCCTGTAATCCCAGCACTTTGGGAGGCCGAGGTGGGCAGAACATCCGAGGTCGGGAGTTCAAGGCCAGCCTGGCAATCAAGGTGAAACCCCATCTCTACTAAAAATACAAAAATTGGTGTGGCATGTGCCTGTAATCCCAGCTACTTGGGAGGCTGAGGCAAGAGAATCACTTGAACTCGGGTGGCAAAGGTTGCAGTGACCCGACATTTTACCACTGCACTCCAGCCTGGGTGACAGAGTGAGACCCTGTCTCAAAAAAACAAAACAAAACAAAACAAAAAAAACAAAAAGGACAAAAAAACCCAGTAATGGTAATAAAAAATATAAAATATTCAGAAGTAAACTAAATGGTAAATAGTACTCAAATTTACCGACAGAGGAAATGGATGAATGGAGGAGAGTACCATGCTGCTGGATGGAAAGACATAATATTGTAATAATGCAAACTCTCTTCAAGTTAATCTATAAAATGGACACAATATCAGTCAAAATTCCAGTGGAATTTTTGGAGGAAAGGAAGGGGCAAATTTGACAAAATGATTGTAAATTTCACCATGAAGAATAAATGCTTCAGAATAGCCAATTCATATTTTGAAGAAAGGCATCGATAAGGGACCTTGCTCTATTAGACACAAAAACCTATATAGGAAAAGACAAATGGGTGGTATATATTAAAAGTTTTTTTTTTAAGTACATACCCTTTGCCCAGACATTCCACTTCTGGAAAATTTCCCTGAGAAATAACTAGATAGTATATGGCTAAGATATTTATTGAAACATTGTCTATAATGTTATAATGCCAATCCAATTAAAAACATTGATTGTTTGACAAGTAGAGGATGGTTTTAACCAAGTATGGTTTAAATAAATTCCTGTGGAATACCACAGAGCTCTTAAGCATGATGTAGAACTACATTAATTGATATGGAAGGTGATCGCCATATATTGTTATGTTTTTTAAAAAGCTGATTACAAAACAGATGTCTAATACTATCCACATTTTTGTAAAATAAAAATTGGCATATACCTGTGAAGAAAAAAACCTAGATGGAAGATTATATATCAAAATGTTAACAATAGTTCTGCATCTGTACACTGAAAAATGGTATGCTTTCCCCAAAATGGGATGGTACTTAAATTCCTCATTACTGCCACCTGGTGGCAACCAAGGGAGATTTCTAATTTCTTTTCTACCACCTTGAGTACAATGCACGTAACATCATAATTATATAAAGTTATAAAGAAATCTTCAGTATCACCTGGTTCTATCCATCATTTTGTAGCTGAAGAAATAAAGGGCAAAGACTTTAAGCCACTTGTCTGAAGTTGCACTGTTAGTGAAATTTAATAATAGTAGCAAACATTTGTTGAGCCGTTTTGCTAAGTACTTCAAATGGATTATATCATTTTATTGTCACAGGAGCCTATGAGGTTGGTCCTATTTTTACTCTCACTTATCCCTACTTACCAGATGAGGATCCTGAGGCTCAGAAAAAGTAAGCAACTTACCCAAGGCTGTATAGTTGGGATACAGCCAGTGATTCTGAGTTTTACCTCCCTCTCCTGAACCTTCTGTACTGTACCTTCTTAGCCCATTAATTGCCCCTGCCCCTTCCACTACGTACCCTTGCCCTTTCCTTGTCCGTTCCTTCAGTGTTTTGGTGACAACTCTTAGCATATGCCCAGTCTTTGTGTTATGTTTCTCATGGATGAAAAGACAGTATAGGCCAGGTGTGGTGGCTTATGCCTGTAATCCCAGCACTTTGGGAGGCTGAGGTGGGCAGATCACCTGAGGTCAGGAGTTCGAGGCCAGCCTGGCGAAACCATGTCTTTACTAAAGTAATCCCAACTACTTGGGAGGCTAAGGCATGAGAAACACTTGAAACTGGGAGGTGGAGGTTGCAGTGAGCCGAGATCACACCACTGCACTCCAGCCAGGGGATAGAGCGAGACTCTGTCTCAAAAAAAAAAAAAAAAAAAGGGAAGGATTGATTGATTTACTGAGAGAAGTATAAGGAAACAAAATGCCCCAAGACCCTTGTCCGGAAGGAAGGGAGGGAGGGAAAGGAAAGGAAAGGAAGGAAAGGAGGGAGGGAGCGAAAAGACAGTAAAGACAGTATGAACATTTACTGAGAGAAGTATAATTATCAGGGGAACCCGCCCCCAATATTTCAACGGAGGTTCTATTTTCCATAAGTGTTGGCCGGCTGAGAAATAAAGAGTACAAAGAGAGAAATTTTACAGCTTGGCCACCAGGGGTGACATCACATATCGGTAGGACCATGATGCCCACCCGAACCTCAAAACCAGCAAGTTTTTATTAAGGATTTCAAAAGGGGAGGGCGTGTATGAACAGGGAGTAGGTACAAAGATCACATGCTTCAAAGGGCAAAAAGCAGAACAAAGATCACATGCTTCTGAGGAAACAGGACAAGGGCAAAGCAGAACTCCTGATAAGGGTCTATGTTCAGCGGTGCATGTATTGTCTTGATAAACATCTTAAACAACAAAACACAGGTTCGAGAGCAGAGAACCGGTCTGACCAAAAATTTACCAGGATGGAGTTTCCCAATCCTAATAAGCCTGAGGGTACTGCAGGAGACCAGGGCATATTTCGTCATTATCTCAACCACATAAGACAGACACTCCCAGTGCAGCCATTTATAGACCTCCCCCCAGGAATGCATTCTTTTCCCAGGGTCTTAATATTAATATACCTTGCTAGGAAAAGAATTTAGCGATATCTCTCCTACTTGCATGTCTGTTTATAGGCTCTCTGCAAGAAGAAAAATATGGCTCTTTTTGCCTGACCCTGCAGGCAGTCAGACCTTATGGTTGTCTTCCCTTGTTCCCTAAAAATCGCTGTTATTCTATTCTTTTTCAAGGTGCACTGATTTCATATTGTTCAAACACACGTTTTACAATCAATTTGTACAGTTAACACAGTTATCACAGTGGTCCTGAGGTGATGTACATCCTCAGCTTACGAAGATAACAGAATTAAGAGATTAAAGTAAGACAGGCATAAGAAATTATAAAAGTATTATTTGGGAACTGATAAATGTCCATGAAATCTTCACAATTTATGTTCCTCTGCCACGGCTCCAGCCGGTCCCTCCATTTGGGGTCCCTGACTTCCCGCAACATATAAGGAAACAAAATACCCCCAGCTCCTTACCCCAGACCCTTGTCCAGATAGAAATTTAGACTTATTAATATATTGAATTGTTCAAGTGTCCATATACTAAGAATTACATCAGCGATGTGGAACTATGGATAGGCTTCCTTGGGTTCCTGGCTCCACACTATAACCACCGCCCCCCACCCCTTAAATTTCTGTATAGCAGACTTAAGAGTGAATATCACCATATGCAGTTGTTCATGTACTTCTTCCCCTTTCTCTTCTAGCTCTTGACAAAATTCTCAGGGAAAACTCTTCAGCTCTGGATGTCTCCCTTTTTGTGGATCAAACACAAAGGGCATCATTCTAAAATATATACAGAACCATAAAAGCCCCAAATAGCCAAAGCAACCCTGAGCAAAAAGAACAAGGCTGGAAGCATCACACTACCAGACTTCAAAATTTACTACAAAGCTCTAATACCTAAAATAACATGGTACTGGCATTAAAAAAAAAAAAAAAATAGGCACATAGACCACCAATGAAACAGTATAGAGAATCTAGATATACCAACTCATCTTTAACAAAGGTGCCAAGAACATACAATGAGGAAACGATGGTCTTTTCAATAAATGGTGTGGGGGAAAGCTAGATAACTATATGCAGAAGAATGAAACAAGATTCCTCTCTCTCGCTATACACAAAAATCAAATCAAAATGGATTAAAGGCTTAAATCTAAGACCTGAAACTACAAAACTAGAAGAACACACTGGAGAAGTGCTCCAGGACCTTGGTCTGGGAAAAGATTTTTTTGTTTAAGACCTCAAAAGCACAGACAACAAAGCAAAAACAGACAAATGAGATTACATTAAGCTAAAAAGTTTCTGCACAGCAAAGGAAACACTCAACAGAGTGGGGGAGACAACCCACAGAATGAGAGAAAACATTTTCAAACTATCCATCCGACAAGGGATTAATGACCAGAATAAAGAGACCAAACAATTTAAGCCAAAAACAAAACAAACAAACACACAAAAAAAACAAAAGCCAAATAATCTAAAAAGTGGGCAGGTTGGGTGGGGTGGCTCAAGCCTATAATCCCAGCACTTTGGGAGGCCAAGGCAGGCAGGTCAAGAGATCGAGACCATCCTGGCCAACATGGTGAAACCCCATCTCTACTGAAAATACAAAAAAAATTAGCCGGGTGTGGTGGCATGTGCCTGTAGTCCCAGCTACTTGGGAAGCTGAGGCAGTGAGAATCGCTTGAACCTGGGAGGCAGAGGTTGCAGTGAACCAAGATCACACAACTGCACTCCAGCCTGATGACAGAGCGAGACTCCATCTTGAAAAAAAAAAAAAAAAAAGTGGGCAAAAGATCCAAACAGACATTTCTCAAAGGAAGACATAAAAATGGCCAACAGGTATATGAAAAAATGCTCAACATTACTAATCATTAGAGAAATGCAAATTAAAACAACATGTTATTTCACCCCAGTTAAAATGGCTTGTATTAAGAAAACAGATAATAACAGATGCTAGTGAGGATGTGGAGAAAAGAGAACCCTCATACACTGTTGGTAGAAATGTAAACTAGTACAACCACTATGAAGAACAGTATGGAAGTTCTTCAAAAAACTAAAAATAGAATTACCATATGATCCAGCAATTCCACTACTGAATATGTATCCAAAAGAAAGGAAATCCGTATATCAAAAAGATATCTGCACTCCCATGTTTATTGCAGCATTGTTCACAATAGCCAAGATATGGAATTAACCTAAGTGCCCATCAATGGGTGAATGGATAAAGTGTGGTATGTATGCACAATGAAATATTAATCAGCCATAAAAAATAATGAAACCCTCTCATTTGCAGCAACATGGATGATACTGGCGACCACTATGTTAAATAAGCCAAGTACATAAAGACAAATATTGCATGTTGTCAGTCATACATGGGAGCTAAAAATGTGGATTTCATGATGACACAGAGTACATTGGTGGTTACCAGAAGCCAGAAAGGAGGGGATGGAGTAGGGGATGAAGGGGGAAAAAGGATATAAGTGTACTTATTACCACTGAACTGTACACTTAAAATGGTAAAGATGGTATGTTATGTATTACCTCAGTTTACAAAAGAAAAAACAAATGGCATCAACGTTAATAAGTGTAAAAGTTGTACTAGGGATAAATCCGCCATTTAAAAGGGAAATTAGAAATCTGAAATAATGAGTGCAGTTAGACTCTGAAACCCTTGAAGTCCCCAAAAGTCTCATTCAGAACTGGTCCCAAAATGAATACGTACTTTTGTATCATTGTCTAATTAAAGCTGCTTTTTTCAAGTATTAGTTTGCTTCAAAATTAATCTTTTTATTTGTACTATTATTATGAGTGTTATTTCCTATTCTTCAGGTATATTTTTTGGAGAACAGTGTTAGTGAAAAGAGCTTGACTGTTAGACAGTCTTGAGTTAAAATTCACGTTAGCTGTGACGAAGAAACTATTACATTAAATTTTAATTACTTAATTTTATTATCTACAATTAAGGATAATAATATCACCAAAGGTTGTGGAGAGGATTTAATGGGATGACACATAAAACTAGGACATAGAGGCATCTAGCAAATACACACTTCCTTCCCTTCTCCCTTGTTATATACTTATCCACACGGGCTAGGATTTCTTTGAAGGAACCATTTCTATCTTAGCCAGTGTTCTATCTGAGGTATTTGATGCTCTCTGCTTTTTTCTTTCACACCCCACTTTCAGTCTCTCAGTATGTACTGTGAGCTCTGCTTTCAGACTAGATTCGTAACTCAGTGATTTCCTACTCCTCCACAACCACCACCCTGGTCCAGGCCATCATCATTTTTCATCTGGACTACTGTAGTCACTTCCTAACTGGACTCCCAACTTCCACTCTTGCTGCTTGCCATTTATTGTTCACATAGCAGCCAAAGTTATTCTTTCATAAATTAGATCATGTCACTTCTCTGCTCAAAACCTTCCAAGAGCTCTCCACCACTTTTAGACTAAATATCTGAAGTCCTTACCAAATCCTACTAGATCTATGTGATTTGACCCCAGCCTATCATTCGGACTTCAGACCTCTCTCCTGCTACCTTACTGTGCTCCAGCAGCACTGGCCTCCTTGCTGTTCTTTTTTTTTTTTTTTTTTTTTTTTGAGATGGAGTTTTGCTCTTGTTGCCCAGGCTGGGGTGCAATGCTGTGATCTTGGCTCACTACAACTTCCGCCTTCCAGGTTCAAGCAATTCTCCTGCCTCAGCCACCCAAGTAACTGGGATTACAGGCGCCTGCCACCACACTCAGCCAATTTTTTGTATTTTTAGCAGAGATGAGGTTTCACCATGTTGGCCAGGCTGGTCTCGAACTCCTGACCTCAGGTGATCCTCCTGCCTTGGCCTCCCAAAGTGTTGGGATTACAGGCATGAGCCACCGCTCCCAGCCCTCCTTCCTGTTCTTTGATGGTGCCAAGCATACTCCTGCCTTGGGGCCTTTACATCTGCTGTTCCCTCTGCCTGGAATGCTCTTTCTAGATTTTTAATGCCTTACTTTCTCATTTTCTAACTCAGAGAGGCTGAACCTAGGTACCTCATTTTAAACAGATACCCCTGCAAGGGTTTCTTCCTCTCCTTATGCTTATTTTCCTCATAGCACTTACCCCACATTGATATTGAGATTTTTTTTCTTTCTTTTCTTTCTTTTTCTCTTTCTTTCTTTTTCTTTCTCTTTCCTTCCTTCCTTCCTTTCATTCTTTTCTTTTTCCTTCCTTCCTTCCATTCTTTTCTCTCTCCTTCCTTCCTTCTCCCTTCCCTCCCCTCCCCTCCCCTCATATAGGGGTCTCACTATGTTGCCCAGGCTCCTGGACTCAAGTGATCTTCCCACCTTAGCCTCCCAAGTAGCTGGGATTATAGGCACACACCAGCACACCTGACTCTATGTAGTCCCACCTGAAATGTAAGTTTCCCTCTGAAATACAGGTTCAATACTTTGTTTTGTTCACTTTGTATCATCAGCATTTACATCTGCCAGGCATTCAAAAATATTCGTTGAATAAGTAAGTGAGCAAACTTACCTGCTTCCACAGCCATCCTTTCCCCTCTCCCTAGAGATGTTTTTCTTCCTGTCTGAGATTATAATGTCTCCCCTGTGTCCTGCCTCCTCAGCATTCCTTAATATTGCCTATCTTCCACATTCAGTTCTCCCTGGCTACATTTTTTGTTTTCTGGCAAGCATACATCTCTCCCATCTTAAATTAAAACAAAAAAAGAGAAAGAAAATTCTCTCTGGGCATCCCCTGTCAGCTGCCAGTCTCTGTCTCTCCTGCTCTTAACAAACTTTTGAAATATTTATTTATACTCTTTGCATTGCCTCAATTCTCTTTCATTCAAGTTTCTCCAAACCCATAGAAACTGTTCACTCCTGCTTTAAACTTTCTTTCCTGAGCTCTTCCAAGATATTACTCTCTTATTGTTTTTTTAATCTTACTTCCCTGATTGCTACTTTTCCTGTCCCTCCCTCAAATTTTGTATATCACAGCGTTCTGATACAAGTTCTTCATGTTCTCCAGATTCTTCCTTGGCAATCTTACTACATCCATTGCTTTAGTTACCACCTAAACCTGGAAGCCCAGCTCAGATTTCTCTGTACTAAGCTCATGACTTATTTGACCTAGTGTCTACTTGATATCCACCTTGATTTCCACAAGCACCTCAAAATAAAGATGCCCTCTTCCATCTCCAAACTTGATTCTCCTCCAGTGTTACTTATTTTAGTGAGTGGTAGCATCATCCAGTTGCTCAAGTAGAAAACATGGATATTGTCCTTGATTTATCCTTCGCCTTCAGCCCCCTTCCCCCATTTAGCCAACCATTGGCTTCCATTAATTCTATTACAGTGAGAGAAATTGTATCCCCCCAGAAAGATATGTGAAAGTCCCAGCCCCCACTGCTTATGAATGTGATCTTACTTAGGGTCTTTGTAGATGTAATTCAGGATCTTGAGAGGTGATTATCCCGGATTAGGGAGGGCCCTAAATCCAATGACTGATGTCCTTAAACATGAAAGGAGAGGGAGATGTGAGACAAAGACACAGGGGAGAATGCCATGTGAAGATCCCTATAAGGCTGGAGAGAGAGATTGGAGTGATGCTGCTACAGGCCAAAGAACACCAAGAATTGCCAACCCCATTGACAGCCTGATTTCAGACTTCTGACCTCCAAAACTGTAAGAGAATAAATTCTGCTTTTTTAAGTCATGAGGTTTGTAGTAATCTGTTATGGTAGTCCCAGGAAACAAATTTTCTACCTTCTAAATAGCTCTGAAATCCATCTATGTTTCTCTACCAACACTGCTGCTAACTAGTTCAGATCATGATTAATCTTCTGCCTCATCTCCCTGCTACTAGTCTCAGCCCATCTTTCTAAAATGCATGAAATTCATTCCACTATTTAAAATCTGTTGAGTAGTTTGCCAGTGACTTGGATTAAGTCTAAATGCCTAGTATCATGGTTTATGGGACTTTATAATTTGGCTTCTGCCTACTTGTGTAGCCTTCTTTTCCCACTCACCCTCAATTCTGTTTTTTGTTTTGTTTTTTGTTTGTTTTTGAGACAGAGTTTCTATTGTTGCCCAGGCTGAAGTGCAATGGTGCGATCTCGGCTCACCAGATCAAGGTTCAAGCGCTTCTCCTCCCTCGGCCTCCCAGGTTCAAGCGTTTCTCCTGCCTCAGCCTCCCAAATAGCTGGGATTACAGGCGCATGCCACCACGCCCGGCTAATTTTGTATTTTTAGTAGAGACGGGGTTTCTCCATGTTAGTCAGGCTGGTCTCAAACTCCCGACCTCAGGTGATCCGCCCGCCTCAGCCTCCCAAAGTCTTGGGATTGCAGGCGTTAGCCACTGTGCCCGGCCCCCACTCACCCTCAATTCTATGCTACAGGCATAGTAATAATTTCTGATATTTCTCAGCATTTATTCTGTGCCAGCCACTATTCTAGGGGCTAAATTGCACAACAACCCTGTAAGATAGAAAACAGGTTTCTTTCAATGTCTCAGCCTTTCTTTCTCTCGCTTCCAGGATTTTGCACACGCTGTTCACACTGCTCTCTGCCTGAAACACTCTACTTTCTTTTCCCTTGCTCTTTGACCCTCTCTCAACTGGCTAATTCATACTAACACTTTAGGCCCCAGTTTATTCAATACTTCCTCCAAGAAGCGTTCCTCACTTCCTAAATCTGGGTATATGTGCCACCCTCACTGCCTATATTCCCATTACACCCTGAACTCCCCCATCAGAATACTGTTTACTGGTCTATACCTCACACTGTATTTTATGTTTTCTTTGGGGAAGGGGTGTATCTCTATTACCATTGTAACTCCATTCCCAGAATCGAGCACAATGCCTGGCATAGAAGAGATGCTCAATCACTATATGTTGAGTAAATGAAAAAACCTTAAACAAAGGTTGCTAATAGCATTATGTCTCTAATACCAGCCAGGGCAGAAAGAAATGCATCCCAGACCTACTTGCCAACTGTCCTCTTCCTCACAATTCTGATGCCTCTGCCTGGACCAGTCCTGAAACATCTTTTCATAGGAATTCCATGAGATCTCTAAGGCCAGTTAATCTTCAGTTCCCTATCATATTCAGCACTTCTCCAAATACAAGCCTCTACAGGTGGCTCTCCTTTCCCAGAGAGCTTTGCAAGCTCTCCCAAACCCTTCTGCTTACTTCTGCTCTCCTTTTTCCTGGGCTTTCTGGAACTCCAGCCTATTCAAAACAAACTCACCTGTATTTTCATCCTTTTTTTTTTTTTTTTTTGGAGACAGAGTCCCACTCTGTCGCCCAAACTGGAGTGCAGTGGCACCATCTCGGCTCACTGCAACTTCTGCCTCCCAGGTTCAAGCAATTCTCAGCTTCCCGAGTAGCTGGGACTACAGGTGTGCACCACCACACCTGGCTAATTTTTGTATTTTCAGTAGAGACGGGGTTTCGCCATGTTGGCCAGGCTTGTCTCGAACTCAAGCAATCCACCTGCCTCAGCCTCCCAAAGTGCTGGGATTATAGGCATGAGCCACTGTGCCTACCCATATTTTCACCCTTTTAACAGAATATTCTTTCCATCTCTGGCCTGAAATAGAAACCTGTTTTCCATTAGAAAAATTATCTTCTTACTTCTCTCTTGGGTGGAAGTTGTTAATTTGTCTCACCCTTGTAGAAAACCCTCTCCTTTCAAGCTTTTATTTTTTTTTTAATTATTTATTTATTTATTTGAGATGGAGTTTCACTCTTGTCGCCCAGGCTGGAGTGCAATGGCGTGATCTTGGCTCACTGCAACCTCCACCTCCTAGGTTCAAGCTGTTCTCCAGCCTCAGCCTCCCGAGTAGCTGGGATTACAAACACCTGCCGCCATGCCCGGCTAATTTTTATATTTTTAGTAGAGACGGGGTTTCGCTGTGTTGGCCAGGCTGGTCTCGAACTCCTGACCTCAGATGATCTGTCCACCTCGGCCTCCCAAAGTGCTGGGATTACAGGCGTGAGCCACCACACCCAGCCTCAAGCTTTCATTTTCAACCATCCATCTCTCTACTGCTTCTTACTGTCATCTACTAAGCTACTAGTTATTCTTCTCTCTGGTTTATGGTCCCATCATCATCTGAGATGACCTCACTGTCCATGTGAACAGCCCTAGTCTCCAATTCCTTGAATCCTCTCAATTTGATACCCTTTAACACATTCCACTTGGTCTATTCTATGGCTGTACCTGTTTGCCAACATTAGGTGGTTTGTCACAACTTTATTCTGTTCTTTGGTCTATTCTATAGCTAAATCTAAGTTTGTTACAAACCAGGTGGTTTATCACCTCTTAAATCCTAAATTTCAATCTCGTTCATTCCTTTAGCTCATCCATTTTCTTGCTAAAAGCCCTCCTCTGCCACTTCCTTATCCTAAATTTCAATCTTGTCCATTCCTTTAGCTCATCCATTTTCTTACTAAAAGCCCTCTTCTGCCACTTCCTTCCTTAAATCAGCCTAGATGCATGATCTAGGTTTCATGATCCAACTTTTCATAAACACCCTCAATCCTTTGTGCTCTTGTTCACCTGGCCCAAATTCGGCCTGGGTTTTACCATGATACTATGCTCCACTACATTCCAAGTTTGTGGCCTAAGTACTAGAATAGGTACTTTTGGTATGGTAGGGGCATATAAGATGAAAAAAATCATCCAATATAAAATGAATCCAGCCAGTATATAACAATATAATCATTTACTTCCTATCCCTGTACCTAGCCTTGTATAGGTAAAAATTCTCTCATCCTCTTATTTTTAATGTTGGTTAGGGGCTTTATGTAAAGCTTCTGTGGCTCCAAATGTATTGAAGTGTTCAATGGATATGCTCCTTTTGAAATCTTATCACTGTTCTCATGTAGGCTAAAAATGGAACTATCTATAACTTTCTTGCTTCTTACTGGTAGGTTTATTTACTCATGCAGCAAATATTTGAGTACCTACTATGTATTTGGCATACACTTTGCCCTTAAAGAGCTTATAACAATATAAAAATAAGACAAATACTCAAAAAAGTTTAAGATAATACTACATATGACTAAAAGAAAGATGGAATGTGTTATGAAAGATCAGAGAAGAAAGAACTTATATCCAGCTGAGAAAATCCTTAAAGAGTGGGCAGAATTTGCTCAGTTGACGAGAGGAAATAATATTTCAGCCAGAGTGAGAGATATAAGAAAAGGCTTTGCATAGGAAAGGATTAGGAATAACCCAGTTCTTGTTTGTTTACAGGTGGATGGAAAGCCGATTTCCAGTCTTTATGATAACGCCGATGTTCCACTTGGGAAAGATACTGTACAACAATGAAAGTAGCCCTTTCTTTTGTCTTTCAAAGAATGTATTTTTAACAAACAGCCTCTGTGTGATCCTTTTGACCACACAATTTGTAGAGTTAACGCTGAAATTTTCATTAGCAACAATGAAAGCACACACAGGCACAATATTAATATAGATTAATATCAGCCTATTTTGGTCAGAAAGGCTCATTTAAATGTTTAAGAGACAGAAGTCCCAAATTGTAGTAATTTCTTCCACTAGCAGGAGGAAGCTCAGAATTAGTTTTTCTACAACACTAGAGGAATACTACTCAAAAATAAAAAGGAATTAACCATTGATACATGCAACAACACAGATGAATCTCAAAGTAATTGTGCTGAAAGAAACCAGACCCAGAAAAAGATAAATTCTATATGATCTCATTTATATAAGACTCTAGGAAATGCAAACTAATCTACACATACAGAAAACTGAGGGCAGGTACTGAGAAGGGTAGGAGGGGGGCGTTACAGAGAGGCATGAGGAAACTTTTTGGGGTGATAGATATGTTTACTACTTTGATTGTAAGGATGAGGTCGCAACTCTGTGCGTGTCAGTGGTATATTTTAATATGAACGGCTTATTTTATGTAAATTCTACCCCTATAAAGCTGTTTTTTTTAAAAAAAAAAACTTCTCTTTGAGAGACATCACCTTTGTCTTTTAAACCATCTAATGTTGAATCTAAAAGTTCAGTGTAAAGTTTAATAAAATCAGAGTGTGTATGTGTCTTAATTTCCAGGACATATAATCATAGTGATTAAGCCAAAAGTGCTTATATGATTACCTATAAACTATCATAGTTAAATGACTAAATACCCTGCATAAGGTAAAATGATTATTTTATTCCTATAGATTGAAATTGCCCAACTTTTTATTAGAGAATAATAGATTAGAGGGCATGTTGGCTCATACCTGTAAGCCCAATGCTTTGGGAGGCTGAAGCGGGAGGATCCCTTGAGGCCAGGAGTTGAAGATCAGCTTGGGCAACATAGCAAGACCACATCTCTACAAAAAAATTTAAAATAAAATGTTTATCCAAGCATAGTGGCACTCACTCACCTGTAGTACTAGCTGCTGAGGAAGCTGAGGCCTGGAGTTCAAACTGCACAACGCTGCACTTCAACCTATGTGACAAAGTGAGATCCTATCTCTAAAATAATTAATTCAGTTTTTATAATTAGGGAACATTTAAATTCAGATTATAAGTAAAAAATGGAATAAACAGTCCTGTTACCTGATATGGTTTGGATCTCCATCCCTACCCAAATCTTATGTTGAAATGTAATCCCCAATGCTGGAGGTGGGGCCTGGTGGGAGATGATTGGATCATGGTGGTGGTTTCTCATGGTTTAACACCATCGTCCCCTGGTGCTGTCGCCGTGATGATGAATTCTCACGAGATCTGGTTGGTTTAAAAGTGTGTGGCACCTCCCCCTTCTCTCTTGCTCCTGCTCCTACCATGTGAGATGCCTTGGTCCCCCTTTGCCTTCCGCCATGATTCAGAGTTCTCTGAGGCCTCCCCAGAAGCAGATGCTGCCATGCTTTCTGTACAGCCTGCAGAACCGTAAGCCAATTAAACCTCTTTTCTTATACATTACCCAGTGTCAGATATTTCTTTATAGCAGTGTGAGAATGGATTAATACACTACGTCATGCAAAATGTAAAAACAGGCAACTCACTGAGAGTAAACCTAATCAACTTGTTCATTTAGATATAAACTGTAGAGACGACACTGCCATCTAGTTGTTGAATACTGAGTATACTGTTGAAACATTCTTGACAATGTTCTATTTCTCTTTTGTAGACTTACAAGGAACACACAGAAGCCCCTAACCAATTACATCTCCTTCCTAGGAGTGTGAATGTGACTGCCATAGTGCAGCCCATGCTGCCCCTGGTAATTATATGCCTCAACCCAAGCAGGTGATTATGTATCCTGTGACTACCTCATGCTCAAGGCTCTTCCATATTACACAAACACACACACTCATACTCAAAAGCAAAACAAAAATAAAACAATCTGCTTGATCCCTGCCCTATAGAGATTAGTCTAGTCAGGGAAACATACAACTAAGCATTCGAATACAGTGTAGTGGGTGCTACGAGAGCAGAAGTACAGAAAATATGTAAGCTCCAACAAGCACCAGCAGGAGTTAAAGGTTTAGGGAAAATTAGTGGGAAGTTTATCTAAAATGAAAGCAGTGGATAAGAGGAGATGAGATTCTGCAGTGTCCTGTAAGCTATTTTATTCTAGAAGCAGTGGAAAGCTTTGAACTTTTTGAAAGACCTTAAGCAAGGAAAGGAAGTAATTAGATTTGTATGTCAGAAATAATATTCTGGTTTTAGTATACAGAATGGATTAAAAGGAGGTAAGATTAGAGGCAGGGAGAGCTTGTTAATTTAAGCAAGAGTAATTTAAGCAAGAGATGATGGTACTAAGCTAGGATTATAAACATGGAAATGGAGAGAAGTTGGAGGGTTTGAAAGATGTTCTGCAGATATAATAAATATGACTTGCTGAAAGCCAACTGTGGAGAATTAGGAAGATGGAAACACCAAAGATGACTTCCATGTTTCTGACTTCACAACTGAGTGCATGGTGGTGTCCAAAAAGTGGAGGAGCAGGTTTTGAGATAATAAAATTCATTTTTACTCCTATTGAGCTGGAGGCACTCACGGTGTATCTAAGAACAAACATCTATTTGACAACTGAATATATGGTGTGATGCTCACTATAGAGATCTGGACGCTTCAGCACATACATTATCGCTGACACACTGGGGTAGACATAAGGCACGCTGAGTCTATTTCAGGAAATGTGCCTAGACTTAAAATAGATATGCACATAGAGTGGAAGGAAGAAGAGTAGAGAAAATTGAGAAGGAATAGTTAAGGAGGCTCCCTACCTTCTCACTCCACCTCAGGCCGGCAAGCAGAACTTACTGTTACCCCCTTGGGCTCCCACTGTTTTCCATCTATGCATCTACCAAGGCATCTGTTATGTCATTGAATATACTTATCTTTCTCTCTCCTTCTACTAAATTATAAGGATCTTAGGGCAAGGATCATGTCATATTCATATTTGGATTCCCAGGACTTAACAACAGTGCTTGGCAGATAGTTTTTCTTACGACTTTTATTTAATAACTAATGATAGAAAAAATTCATTGAGTACTTTCTGTGTTCTAGGCACTTTATATACAAGGTCTGTTATACTTGGGATATATTAAGACTCAGAAAATTTAAATGACTTGTCCAAGAAGCTTCCAGGATTCAGACCTGGCTCTGTATGAGTCCATGCTTTTTTTTCTACTGTATCATACTGTCTACAACAGACTGGTGAATGAAATCTATCTTTAACAAAAGAGGAAAAAAGGAATTGCATCTTATATAAGGCACAGATACTGATTCTTATGCTAAACACAGTGAAGTCCTGTAGAGAAAATCCTTGGGTTCTGTCTCCTGGGGTTACATGCCATGTATGCCAGAAAGTATAGCAAGTAAATGGCTGCATGTCCTAAACCATAAGGAAGTTCATACAGACTAAGCAAAATGCAACTAGTTACCATTTTGCACAGCAGCTCTTGGAAGGATCCAGCAGTTACCACTACACCATGGATCTAAGACACCCTCACAAAGATAGGCCAAACACGGCCTGCGACCTTCACCTTGTAAGTTTTGCTCAAAATAACTTGGCCAAAAGCTGAGAAACTTTAGTACCATCTAAACTTTTCATTCCAATTATGCTTGGTCACTGCTCAGAAGGCAGCTCCCTCTCATCCATCAGCTTCCTCTCAATTCTTGTCTCCAAACTGTGTACTGGATAGCATCCTGTCAACACACAATGCCCTCCCTCCAACCTTTCAAGTATGGGCTTTGGCAACCTATTCCACTATAAATAAATCCACCTATACACTCAGCGCTTATAAAACCTTTAATTCCTTTGAAGTTCATTCCATTCAATTTTGTCACCCTTCACCTTGCTTTGTCCCTAATACCTACATCATGTTATTCCTTTAAACCCCAAATTCATTTAATCATTTCCTAGGAGATTTCAACATTCATGTGGAATGTCGGTTGAACATCCAACCATCACAGTTCCAACGCCAGTTCAACCTCATTCCCTTGGTCACACTCCCCACTTTGTTATGGAGCGGTTCTGGTGATTTTCATACCCTTATGCTTCCATTCATATTACCCACAGTGCACCTGATCATTAACCTCATTGAGACCTCCATTCCTATAATGCCACCTCTTCTTCCAGTTTATTCTTGATCCCGCTTCCTTCTGTATCTGGCCTCAATCTCTTAAATTGGTCATATGACCTGCTCTAGTGCTTTTCTTTTTCTTTTTTTTCTTTTTTTTTGAGACAAGGTCTTGCTCTGTCGTCCAAGCTGGAGTGCAGTGGCCCGATCTTGGCTCACTGCAACCTTCACTTCCGGGGTTCAAGCCATCCTCCCATCTCAGCCTCCTGAGTAGCTGGGACTACAGGAGCTCACCACCACACTTGGCAAATTTTTGTGTTTTTTGTAGAGATGGAGTGTTGTCCAGGCTGGTCTCAAACTCTTGAGCTCAAGCAATCCTCTTGCCTCAGCCTTCCAAAGTGTTGGGATTACAGGCATAAGCCACCAAGGCTGGCCTCGTCAGTGCTTTCAATTACCCTCCATATTTTTCCATCCCTGGGTTATCTCTTCCAACTCACATTTCTATATCCTGCCTGGCACAAATGCTCTCAATTCTCTTCTATCCTTATCTTTCTCCTATATCCATTATCCAAATCACAATTCTGGATCAGTCCTATAATCTACCTGGCCCTGTAAGCCATTCAGATGAGATGCTAGAAACAATCACAAAATCACCATACTTTCATGATTTCCAAATTCAGTTCCATGGTTAACCCTGTTCATTACTGTTTTTGTGTTTCATCAGCTCTATTCCAAACCATCTCTATTCTCTTCAAGCCTCTAAACTAACCTTTTGCACCCTCCTACTTCATAAGTAATATCACCTATCACTTCCTACTTCACAAAAAATTTGGAGAACATCTAATATAAATCTCTCCTTTCACATCTACAAACTTATAACGATTCCCTTCCTTCTAGTTTTGAGAAAAGGTGTGAAGGTGTGTTTTCCTTTTTTTTTTTTTTTTTGAGATGGAGTCTCATTGTAGTGCAGTGGCACGATCTCGGCTCACTCCAGCCTCCACCTTCCGGGCTCAAGCAATTCTCCTGCTTCAGCCTCCCGAGTAGATGGGATTACAGGCGCCTGCCACCATGCCCGGCTAATTTGTGTGTGTGTGGTTTCGTTTGTTTTTTTGAGATGGAGTTTTGCTCTTGTTGCCCAGGCTGGAGTGCAATGGTGTGATCTTGGCTCACTGCAACCTCCGCCTCCTGGGTTCAAGCAATTCTGCCTCAGTCTCCCAAGTGACTGGGATTTCAGGCATGCACCACCACGCCCGGCTAATTTTGTATTTTTAGTAGAGATGGGGTTTCTCCATGTTGGTCAGGCTGGTCTCGAACTCCTGACCACAGGTGATGGGCCCGCCTCGGTCTCCCAAAGTGCTGGGATTACAGGCGTGAGCCACTGTGCCCAGCCCCTAAATCACCTAATTCTTTAATCTGAGCCCCAGTCTCATTTCTCAGATTCTGTTTATACTAGGCTACATAAAGCTCCTGAATACACTATTGTTTCACATACCTAAATTCAACATTCTCTGAAGCTCTTCCTAGCCTATCCAAACAGAGATGAGTGCTGACTCCCAGGAGTTTAGATATTGCTGTTGCATTCACTTCTTGTCTGTCTCCTTTAGGAGCTTGTGAAAAATGTGAGAGAAAGGACAATGTCATGTACCCCCAGTGTGAAGTATAGCACCTGGAGATAGCAGGCATTCAATAACTACTGGATGGATGGAGGCATTATGAAGTTTGCCAAGTTTGTTAACACTACTAAAGGTTTCAATGAATGTAAAAACAGTGGCAGATGGGTGGTTTTCTTGACTGTGGGAAAGGTAAAATAGTATAAAGTACTAGCAAGTATAAACACAGGCATACCTCATTTTATTGCATTTTGCTTTACTGTACTTTGCAGATACTGCATTTTTTACAAATTAAAGGTTTATGGCAACCCTCCAACAAACAAGTCTGTTAATGCCACCCCAAAGTCATGTGCTCATTTTGTGTCTCTGTGTCACATTTTGGTAATTCCTGCAATATTTCAAACTTTGTATTATTATTATTTCTGTTACAGTGATCTGTGGTCAGTGATCTTTGATGTTACTATTTTGACCGTTTGTGGGCACCACAAACTGTGCCCATATAACATCAGCGAACTTAATAAATGGTGTGTGTGTTCGGACTGCTCTACCAACCGGCCATCCCCCTATCTTTCTCCCTCTCCTCAAACCTCCTTATTCCCTGAGACACAATACTGAAATCAGGCCAATTAATCACCCTGCAATGGCCTCCCAGTGTTCAAGTTAAAAGAAGACTTGTACATCTCTCATTGTAAATCAAAAGCTAGAAATGGTTAAGCTTAATGAAGAGGCATGTCAAAAGCCAAGACAGGCTAAAAAAGCTAGGGTCTTGTGCCAAACCATTAATTCTTGAAGGAAATTAGAAGTGTTACTCCAGTAAACACCTAAGAAAACCTTATTGCTGATACGGAGAAAAAGTTTTAGTGGTCTGGATAGAAAATCAAACCAGCCACAACATTCCCTTAGGCCAAAGCCTAATCCAGAGCAAGGTTCTAAATTCAATTCTATGAAGACTGAGAGGTAAGGAAGCTACAGAAGTTTGAAGCTAGTAGAGGTTGGTTTATGAGGTTTAAAGAAAGAAGTCATCTCCATAAATAAAAGTGCAAGGTGAAGCAGAAAGTGCTGATGTAGAAGCTGCAGGAGTTTATCCAGATCCAGCTAAGACCATTGTTAAAGGTGGCTATACTCAGTAACAGATTTTCAATGTAGATGTAACAAGCCTTTTATTGGAAGAAGCCACCTTAGACTTTCACCGCTACAGAGAAGTCAGTGCCTGGCTTCAAATCTTCCAAGAACCGGCTGACTTGTTAAAAGCTAATGCTGCTGGTGACTTTATATTGAAGCCAATGCTCATTTGCCATTCTGAAAATCCTAGGGCCCTTAACAATTATGCTAAATCTACTCTGCCTGTACTCTATAAATGGGACAAAGCCTGGAAGACAGCACATCTGTTTACAGCATGATTTACTGAATATTTTAAGCCCACCATTGAGATCTACTGCACAAAAAGATTCCTTTCAAAATATTGCTGCTCATTAACAATCATCTCGTATCCCAAGAGCTCAGACGGAGATGGACAACGAGATTCATGCTGTTTTCAAGCCTGCTAACACAATGTCCACTCTATAGCCCATAGACCATGGAGCAATTTCAACTTTCAAGTCTTATGATTTAAGAAATACATGTTGTAAGGCTATTGCTGCCATAAATAGTGATTTCTCTGATGGATCTGTGCAAAGTAAATTGAAAACTTTCTGGAAAGGATTCACTATTCTAGATATCAATAAGAACATTCATGATTCATGGGATGAGGGCAAAATATCATTTACTGGAGTTTAGAAGTTGTTTCCTGTCCTCAGAGATGACTTTTAAGGGTTCAAGACTTCAATGGAGGAAGTAACTGCAGATGTGGTAGAAATTGCAAGATAACTAGAATTAGGCCAGGTGTGGTGGCTCAAGCCTATAATCCCAGCACTTTGGGAGGCTAAAGTGGGCAGATCGCTTGAGGCCAGGAGTTTGAGACCAGCCTGGAGTGAAACCCTGTCTCTACAAAAAATGCAAAAAATTAGCCAGGCATGGTGGCGTGTACCTGTAGTCCCAGCTACTCTAGAGGCTAAAGTGGGAGGATCACTTGGGCCCAAGAGGTAGAGGCTGCAGTGAGCTGTGATGGTGCCACTGCACTCCAGCCCGGGGGCAGAGCAAGACCCTATCTCAAAAAGAAAAAAGGCCAGACGTGGTGGCTCATGCCTGTAACTCCAGCACTTTGGGAGGCCAAGGCGGGAAGATCATTTGAGCTCAGAAGTTCAAGACCAACCTGGGCAACATGGCAAAATCCTGTCTCTACTAAAAATACAAAAATTAGCCAGGTGTAGTGGCACGCACCTGCAGTCTTAGTTCTTGGGAGGGTGAGGTGGGAGAATCACTAGAGCCCAGAAGGCGGAGGGTGCACTGAGCCAAGATCGTGCCACTTACTCCAGCCTGGGCAACAGAGCGAGACCCTGTCTCATTTAAAAAAATGAGAGAGAAAACTAGAATTAGAAGTGGAGCATGGACAGGCCTGGTGGCTCACACCTGTAGTCCCAGCACTTTGGGAGGCCGAGGTGGGCGGATCACTTTGAGGCCAGGAGTTTGAGACCAGCCTGGCCAACATGGCAAAACCCTATCTCTACTAAAAATACAAAAATTAGCCAGGCATGGTGGCACATGCCTGTAATCCCAGCTATTTGGGAGGCTGCGGCACGAGAATCGCTTGAACCTGGGAGGTGGAGGGTTGCAGTGAGCCAAGATTGCACCACTACAGCACTCTGTCTCCAAAAAAAAAAAAAAAAAAAAAAAAAAAAAAGAAGTGGAGCGTAAGGATGCGACTGAATTGCTGCAATCTCATGATGAAACTTTAGTAAAGAGTTACTTCTTACGATCAACAAAGAGTGGTTTCTTGAGATGAAATTTACTCTTGATGAAGATGCTGTGAACACTGTTGAAATAACAGAAAATTTAGAGTATTACATAAACTTAAAGCAGTGGCAGCGTTTGGGAGGACTGACTCTAATTTTGAAAGTTCTACTGCAGGTAAAAAGCTATCAAACAGCACCACATGCTAGAGATTCCTTCATAAAAGGAGGAGTCAATTAATGCAGCAAACTTTGTTGTTTTATATTAATTGCTACAGCCACCCCAACCTTTAGCAACCACCACCCTGATCAGTCAGCAGCCATTAACATAGAGACAAGACCCTCCACCAGCAAAAAGGTGACTTGCTGAAGGCTCACACAGTCATCAGCATTTCTTAGCAATAAAATATTTTTAAGGCCTGGTGCGGTGGCTCATGCCTGTAATCCCAGCACTTTGGGAGGCCGAGGCAGGTGGATCACCTGAGGTCGGGAGTTCGAGACCAGCCTGACCAACGTGGAAAAACCCCGTCACCACTAAAAATACAAAATTAGCC
This sequence comes from Homo sapiens, assembly GCF_000001405.40. Lineage (NCBI taxonomy): Eukaryota > Metazoa > Chordata > Mammalia > Primates > Hominidae > Homo > Homo sapiens. Next base: position 139,396,204 of record NC_000004.12, on the reverse strand, counting down.
AGGTGTGGTGGCGCACACCTGTAATCCCGGCTACTCAGGAGGCTGAGGCGGGAGAATCGCTTGAACCTGGAAGGCAGAGGTTGCGTCGAGCTGAGATCACGCCATTGCACTCTAACCTGGGCAACAAGAGAAAACTCCGTCTCAAAAAAAAAAAAAAAACAAGGTATGTACAATGTTTTATTAGACATAATATGATCACACAATTAACAGACTATGATATAAGTATAACCATAACTTTTATATGCATTGGGAAACCAAAAAAATTGTATGACTTGCTTTAATGTGATATTCACTTTACTGCAACATTCACTTTATCGTAGTGGTCTGGAACTGAGCCTACAATATCTCCCAAGGTATGACTACTAAAAAATAAAAAAGACAAATTTGATCTGTTAGTATCTAGGAAAGAATTATAAAGTATTCCTGGCTGGGCATGGTGGCTCACGCCCATAATCTCAGCACTTTGGGATGCCAAGGCAGGTGGATCACCTGATGTCAGGAGTTTGAGACCAGCCTGGCCAACATGGTGAAACCCCGTCTCTACTAAAAATACAAAAATTAGCAGGGCGAGGTGGCAGGCACCTGTAGTCCCAACTACTTGGAAGACTGAGGTAGGAGAATCGCTTGAACCCGGGAGGCGGACAATCGCTTGAACCCAGGAGGCAGAGGTTGCAGTGAACGGAGATCGCACCACTGCATTCCAGCCCAGGTGAAAGAGCGAGACTCCGTCTTAAAAAAAAAAAAAAGTACTTCCCGAAACACTGGCCAAATGTGCTGCAGAAGACAAATAAGAATAATCAAGTATAACACTGACAAACAGAAAGGAACCTTTTATAAACATAATGACATTGTGCAGATGTTGTGGTAATCACTTTCTATACAGTATATTACTTATCCTTCCAACAGCTGTATGACCTATAAATTCTTAGTATCTTATCTAAGGGACCTGAGCCAGGATTTAAACCTAGTTCTGTCTGACCTAAAAGCTTTAACTACATTATACTACTGTTGTACCAAAGCACCAAGTATTTATACCAGATATTTAACAGCTAAGTCACAAGGATCAAAGAAAAGTAACTAAAGCATAAGGCAAGGCACCTATGTGAAGACAGACTAAAAAATGTAGACCTCCCAGTATGTAAAATTAGAGAAAACCATCAATGTCTATAAATTCAAGAATGGCGATCAACAGTATCAACATAGCCTAACTCATTATCAAATATTCTTTAACCAGTTAAGAAACAAACAAGATTGGACAGATTTGGGAGTTCTATCCAGAATGTTATTTCAACAAATCTCATAAGGTAAATTTTAGCTTGACATACGATTCTGTAGCAAATAAATCTCCTTTCCAGGTTCTACCCTATCAGGCCAACATGTTCGGCTTGAATTCTGTCTGTCCCAGAATTATGGATCCTTTCACATGTAAGATTTGTAATAGTAATTCATTCATTTATGGAAAATGCAGTCTTGTAGGGATAACAAGAGAATATGTATTTGGGGGTTAGGTATGTCTGTATTTTCAGAGTAGTATCTACCGCTGATCCTTATTTAAAAGCCTGCTGAGTCGTTGCCTTGCCCTAATACTTAAAAACTCAAGCATCTATTTATGGCAATTATTATTATTTTTTGAGACAGAGTTTCATTCCTGTTGCCCAGGCTGGACAGCATTGGCGCGATCTTGGCTCACTGCAACTTCCACCTCCCGGGTTCAAGCAATTCTCCTGCCTCAGCCTCCCCAGTAGCTGGGATTACAGGCATGCGCCACCACGCCCGGCTAATTTTGTATTTTTAGGAGAGACGGGGTTTCTCCATTTTGGTCAGGCTGGTCTCGAACTCCCGACCTCAGGTGATCAGCCCGCCTCGGCCTCCTAAAGTGTTGGGATTACAGGCGTGAGCCACCGCGCCTGGCCCCTCTGTCCTCTGATCTTTCTGAGGAGAAAAACCAATAGTATAAAGTATTTTTTAACAACTTCATCATCAGACAATAGCTCTCAATTTTAGATGTACCTTAGAATCACTGGGGAAGGGAGGAAAGGAAGTACAGGAGGGGAGGAAAAGAGAGGACAGAAAATAAAGAAGGAGGACCAATGCCTAGTCCTGATTGCAGATAATTTAAATCAGACATCTTTGCTAGTGAGCCTGGGCATTAATGTTTATTATCTACAGTTCACCTCAGATTCTAATACACAACCAATGTTAAATTTATGACTTAAAGGATTCAATTGCCTAGCCTCAGTAGAGATTAACTGTGGGCCACAGCTATTGGTTGTGATGGACACTGTGAGCCAAGTGTCTAGAAAGAACCATAGCCTATCCCTACCTTTTGTCTTCTCGTAATGATTAAAAGTGGAGACACTGGGCTATGAAAAACAGAGCCTTCTAGTAGTTGTGTATGTTACCAGTATCCTTATATTGTCCGAAAGAGGAAAAACTGAGTGACAATCCTTGTAGTAACTTAATTCCAACGGCATGATGTTACCTGGGTGGCTGGTTGCTCAAGACATAAAGGATGAGTAGATTCACTGCCAACCAATGCCACAATGAACAGGCAACTGAGAAAATTAGAGGATGGTCCTTCCAGGCATCCATTCACAGCCATTCCTCTGACAAACTATAGGAAAAAAGCAAAATTTAGATGTGAGCAATATATTCTTAGCATAAACAGACTAAAATGGATCGGTAGTATTTTGAAGGAATTCCTTAACAACAGAGAAGGACAAAAGAAGATGAATGGGAATATTCTACATCAACAGATAAAGGATAAAAAATTGTGGCTGTGGCAGGTGACCTAAAAGTTAAGTTTTTTTATAGCTATTATACAATCTGTATATACTGTCGTAGTCACTATACCTTTATACCACAATGTACCCAGTGTAAACCCTTAAGATATCATACATCACATTAAAAATAGATGAGTCTGAAACATTTAATTTCATATCGTAAATGGACATTTCTCTCAAATAAAAAGCATCCTGGCAGGTGAATGAGAAATCCGACATGAAATGGAATGCTTGAAATACCAAGTACGCTTTTTAACTAAAACTGTTTAAGTTATAAAAAGGTGTAAGTGAAGCAACTGGCTTATTCGTAGGTCCTTTTCTATGAACTCCCAAACAAATGTTAGTTGTACAATAATGCTAGTTAAATACGTTTCTAAATACTTTTATTGTTAATGCATAGTAAATGCATTAAGTCACTGAAGGAATGAATCAGTATTTAGTAATCCAGAGTTCAGAACTTGAAAGGAAAAGGAAGAATCTAAGAGACAGGTTTGTTATTATCTACTTCTTTAAATGGTTCCCTTTTCATTTTTAAAGATATCAAGTGACAGCATGATTACTTGAAGGCAAATAAGTAGTTCGAAAAGAGATGAGAAGTGGCAGCCCATTTAATTTTTCACTACTGAGGAAGAAATATCAGATAGCTTTGGAAGACCACTTTAGAAAGAAACCAGTTCCTATCCCATTTGTGATGAGGCATTAATCACTGGACAATGAACCTGGTAAATTTGCAGATCAAAGTAAACAAGCAGTACTTATAAAAGCCCAAAGTTGGGAAACCATGGTAGATTGGGAAGATAGCCATAGAATAAGAAGAGAGGCTTCTTGTTTTTGTTAGACAATGCATGGTAACTAAATCAGAAGATAAATGTATTAGCAGAAAGCAAGCCTTGGGATCCAGAACATACTCCAAAAATCCCTTCACTTCCTACCTTGTTTCTAATTGAGAGAGTAATTTGTACTTATTGAGATCTAGTTGAAGATTAAGCAACAGCAGAAACCTTTGTATCACAGAGAAAATTTTCCATCACATCTTCACCACTACCAACTTTTTTTCAGTTAGGAAGAATTATACCACTTTTATTAGATAATGCAGACCCTTAAACTAGGGACAAAGGCCTAATTTTTAAAATGTAAGAACCACAGTATAGTTTTGTTAGATTGCCAAGTAGCAACTTTACTTTCGGTACAAGCACCCTTGAATCAAAGTCTATATTTTGGTTTTGGCACATAGAATTTAAGACTACGAGTTAGTAAAAGTTCTAATTTATATAGTACCAGTTTTTTCTTTCTTCTGGTTACAATCCCAAGAGAGCATTGTTTCAAAGGCAACTGGATAAACTGAGGCACTAGAAACTTTTAGATCTTCTTTCCTATAATATGCTGCTCCCTCTCCCTATCTTCATAAAAGGGGGTGTGTCCTAAGCTGGGCATGGTAGGTTGTTCCTATAATCGCAGCTGTTCAGGAGGCTGAGGTGGGAGGATTGCTTGAAGCCAGGAGTTCACAATCAGCCTGGACAACATAGTGAGATCCCATCTCTATAACAAAACAGCAACAACAAAAGAGGAGGTGTGTCCTGATGGAGGCAGCAGGTTTGAATATAGTATATAACCAAGACAGTACATAAAAGATACTCTTCTGATTTATTAAAACAGCATTATTGGCTGGGTGCGGTGGCTCACACCTGTAATTCCAGCACCTTGGGAGGCCGAGGTGGGCGGATCACCTCAGGTCGGGAGTTAGAGACCAGCCTGATCAACATGGAGAAACCTCGTCTCTACTAAAAATACAAAATTAGCCGGACGTGGTGACGCATGCCTGTAGCCCCAGCTACCCAGGAGGCTGAGGTTGCGGTGAGCCGAGATCGCGCCATTGCACTCCAGCCTGGGCAGCAAGAGCAAAACTCCGTCTCAAAAACAAAACAAAACAAAAAACACCAGCATTATTTTCTCCAGAACCTCCTGTACATTACCAATATTTTAATTTCAACAACGATCTCAGATTGCATACTAAAAGGTAAAAGTGCAATTCAGTAATCTTTTCCAAAAATGTTTTATTGCTACAGGTTGAAATTTTTCAACCATCAAAATTAGAACAAAATTTAAGTTTCTGCTCACTATGGTGTAACACAGCCATTTCGTGGGACTTTGTTTTTAATGTAGGTTGGCAGTAGAGTTCAGCAAAGTTTAGATGATAGCAGAATGGTATCATGAAACTTTGTTTATAACTTAAAGAAGTGGGGCATTAGCTAGAATAGAAAGACCGCCTTCTATTTGAAAGGTCAGTCTTTCTTTGAAATCTCAAAGATTCATTTCAAAATTTAAGGCTTTAATTATCTGACACAAGTATATACCTATCTTGCAACAAAGTCCAATATTTTACATTACAGCTTTTCCCAAATACTATACATGGTAACTGAAATATTCTTAGAAATCATACAAGACTTCCCTGAACTTACCACAACCTACCTGAATCTGGACCACACTTTTTTTGATCTCTTCATAAAGTCACAGCTTTCATTTCACAGCTCTAATAGCAATACACCATGGAGTACAAACAACACTGTGAAAAACAAGGGCCTGATAAAGCCCACAGCAAAGCTATTCACTAATATTGGCATTACCTTTAGCCATGCTATTAGAGATCACACTTTATTTTTGTGCATAATAAATACGATACAGAAAAATGTTGAAAATATATGACTCAACTATCTAATTAAAGCTGAGTAAACTAACCTAGTCAGATTTTAGTTTTTCAACGAGAAATGACAAGAGTAGCTGAATATAAAGAAAAACAAAAAGAACTTTACTTTCCTATGTTAATACAGGTCAAGAGACCCTTTCTTCTCAAAAGGGTTGGTAACACCAGTTCTTAGCAATAAACATAAGGCACTTGTTTAGATTACAACATCACTCCATTTTTTCCACTTGTTTTTCTAACCCTGTTTTTCCCCCACAGTATCATTTGAAATTAATAGGATGAATGAGGCAAATATGAGACGATCCAGTTGATACTACTCAGAGCAAGATAGTACAGTACAGTGTTTCAGGGGTGATGTCTGGACATAAAATGAACCCAGTCAAGGTCCTCTGACACCAATGTATCCACTATCAAGTAAACCTGAAAGAAAATAAAAGATTTATTCAATAGTTCCAGTAAAATTGGGTTGGAATACAATACACATTAGGAATTTAGCTCCTCACGGGTGGCATCTGCATCTTAAGAGTTCTGAGTACTTATGAATATTCATTCTAAGACAATCTACATCATTTGAACATTGTCAAGACAAATAAATGAATTTCATTTCAATATACAGTAGAGTTTAAACAAAATTCACACATACACCCCCTATTATATGGCTGGTACCTCCTCCAAACACCTCATTAGTGGCAGAGGTAGGACTAGTGTTCTTTCCCAACAATAAGAACTTCAGTTGCCACTCATAGGAGTTGAAAAAAAGTTTTTGTTTTTTTGCCATCTGTTAAGATGTTCCTGAGACAGGGCCAGTTAATAAAACATAACAAAGCACTGGAGTTCGGTTTGTACTTCTCTTTACATCACTACTAAACTGTTAGACTGAGATGTGGAATGCAGGTCATGTACTATGAAAAGTTGATTGTAGCACAACTGTTCAATCAGTAAAAGGTCTTCGGCAAATTCCCTTTAGAGTATACTTTCTATAAACTACATGTTCCACAAAAAGGTCAATTATATATACAATTGATTTGTTTTACTTAATCTTATTTGCTCAGATCTTGCAAATGCAATGAGAATATTAAGCCTGAGGCTAGTTCTCAGTGTATAGGTTTAACAAATTAAGGCTCATTTTCCCAAATCAAAATAGTTTTTAGTTTTCCTTTTAAATTATGAATTACATTCATAGTACCTGCCACCAGCCTTGCCCTCAATGAAATCTTAATGCAGGAGCAGCATTCTACTTCATTATGGAATTTCCCTGACACCAGCACTTAGCCCCTTCTAAAAAGCTCCCATCTGCACTAGCCTTACAGCATATTACATTGCCTCTGGCTTGCACCTCTGTTTCCACCTGTGTATTTCACAGAAGCCCAACACAGATTAGTTGAAATATTCACACAACTGTTTTTCAAAACAATTTATTGCATCATATTTGGTACCTTATGTTTGACAACAAAAAGGAAATTACATCTGTAACTGCAAGAAAAAGAAGCTGGTCTGTTATTTGAAAAAAAAAAAAAAAAAAAAAATCTTGGGCCCTTTAAAAATTACAAAGTCTTGGGCTTGCCTGAAACAACTGAGCAAGAAATATATTCTTAGAAATGTAGGGCTTCAAGTATTACAAACCTGTGACACTGTGGAAAAATTCCAGAGGTATCTAAACTGCAGCACTTTTTTTTCTGCATATCGTGAACAAGGCCTGCTGAGGTTTTTAACTATTAGTCTTTTGATCAGTCATAGAATGGTAGTCAGGAGTTCTGCTCTTTAACTTCAAGCCATGGTAGATTTTCCTTTTTTCACTCTTGGGTGAAAAATTCATGCTTGCTAATTAGTTGGTGCCACATCACAGTGCATTTGGTTCTTGCATTACAGTTTTAACAAGTTTGGCCAAACAATGCTGAAAGGTTTGCATTGTTGTTTTAGTTCTTCAAGTTTTAGTTAAAATTGAGACTGTTACAACTGGTTCCTTCAGTTAAAAACTGTGGTACAAGAACACCAAACTGATCATGTACAGTGAATTTTGGAAACACAAGCGTATTGAACACCTTATAGGTTTCTTATAATTTTGCTTGGTATCTATATGTCCCAGTTTCTACAACATCAAGCATCTGTTGTAGGTTTCTCTGTAAATAGTGATTCACATTGCATACTTCCTATGGTCAGAATCAACCCCGTAACAAAATCAGTCAGATGCTAAAGCCCCAACAACTCTTTGTGCTCAGTGAAAGAATCCAGTGCTAAAACAGCATTTATGCTGTCTGAGATATAGTAAAATCTCACAAGACAAATTTAAAGTAATATTTCTGCCACACACCTGCTTTGTTAGCTGTAACAGCCTCCAGATTTTATATAAATTAGTTTAAAAACATGGGTGGGTGGGGAGGAATAGGATAAGGTATCTTTTTTAACCACTCAATTTTAGCAGCTTTAATTTTTTAAGAAACTGAACCTCTATCCTGTAATGTTAGATATTTTATATATACTTTTTCAGCAGGATAAAAAACGTAAAACACTATTTGAAGGCAAGAACATTTACTCCTCTCATTCTGTGTAAGTTAGAGCAATGCAGCAGGTGCGTGACAAAAATATTATATACTAGATATGGTCCAAAGTCATTCCATTTGCTTGTTTAGTGATGTTCAAATTTCATTGGCCAGTTCTTCAGCTTCTGCAGAACTATCTCCATTAACTGTGATCTTCATATCCTCTTCATATCCAGGAGGCATGAAAGCCAAAGCATAAGGGAAAAGCTTATGACAATTTGCTCTATAAATTTCAGCAGCTTCTTTACAGTCTCCTAGGCTACCATCATACAAGGCTTCCAATACCTCCATACATGTCTAAGGAAAGAAAAAAAGTCATGTTGTAACTGGTCAAAAAAAGGTTCTTACTGGGAATTTATTAGACATTTCAACAGCAAGAGATTTCTAAAATAAGAAATAAATACACATATTTAGCTATTTACTCCTGCATATGCATTCTATTAGAATGTTCTTCAAGGCCTAATTTAACCATTTCTCCAGAATTGCAGGATTTATACAAAAGGCTAAACAGGGATGACTGCAGAAACAGGAATGGGACTATGGTGAGGCAAGCAAGGTATATGGAGTGCTACATTTAAAAAGCCACTCACTCTCAGCAAGCGTATGACCTTAGGCAGCAATGTTACCTCAGCCTAGCCTGGCCCTGGGTATAAACATCTAGATTTACAATGCCAATACCAATTACTGCACATATGCCTTCTAATATTTTTGAAAGCTTAGAGCCAGCCAGCAAACTCAAACACTGTATTCAACATTGTGTTCAAATTAAAGAGCAACTTAAGGCACATCCAATAACTAAGCAGAAAAGAGTGTCTCAAACATGAAGTGATTATTTGCAAGAAAAATTAGTTCATGAAAATGAGTAATTCTTTCAACCAAACCCCTAAGTAAGTCTGCTTCTTATCTTTTTTGTTGATTCATGTTGATTTGCATTTCTCATGTTTGCTTTCTTAATATTTTCACTTAGAAAAGCTACTTAGTTTCCACATGCAAAAATCCCTACAAACTTTGCCAGGTTACAAAGCAACTTAAATCCAGGTTACAAAGGACCTAGATTAGAACTTTAAATCCAGGTTCTAATCTAAATGGTAAAACAAACAAGTCTAATTTTTCTTTCTTAAAGATACTGCCTTCATTTGCTATTAAATGAATATATTTATTAATAACTGTCTTTCAGCATATACATGTTTATCTGGCAAATTATAACATGAGGTAGCTATCCCTTTGTTTCTAGTTTAAACTACAGTATTTTACAATACACCCATATTAATTTTTATTTAACTTAATCTCATATTGTATTACAAGTTACAAAATAAGTATTTTTATTTAGCCCCTAGTAAATACATCTTTCTTTATTTTGAGATAGGGTCTTGCCCTGTTGTCCATACTGGAGTACAGCGTCACAATCACAGCCCACTGCAGCTCCAACCTTTCAGGCTCAAGTGTTCCTCATATCTCAGTCCCCCAAGTAGCTGGGAATACAGTGCCACCACATCTGACTGATTTTTTTTTTTAAGAGATGGGGTCTCACTATGTTGCCCTGGCTTGTCTCGAACTCATGAGCTGCAGTGATCTGCCCACTTTGGCCTGCCAAAGTGCTGGGAATATAGGCCATGAACCAAAACGCCTAGCCAAAATACATTTTAAACATGTTAGAATCTCCACTGAGACCACTGCTTGCTCAGAAATGCAGAGATATGAAATGAAATCCAAAAATGACGATGGAATGTATATGATTTTATTAAAACATATTTCTTAAAAAGTTATTCCAAGCTACAGATGTGAAACTAGTTACTGAATGCCAAGCAGCCTAAATAAATTTTAAGATAAGTTGTTTCTGACCCAGATTCATAATGATTTAAAAAACAGTGTGTATAAATACCCAATTATTTCTCTTGGTGAAAAAAGTAGTTAAGTATTCTTACAGAGAGATTATGAAAAACTCTTTACCTGGAGGTTTCTGTTAGTGAGAGATTCATCAAGTGTTGTTGCCAACTCTATAGCTCGCTTCTGACTAGAAGGATCTAAGTAATATACCATTTTGGCAGCTAAATGAGAGGGAAATAGGAAATTTATTTCAAGGTAAAACCAACATCTTATCCTCTACTTATTTAAATATAAAAGGCAAACAAGATATATATGCAGAGGGTGTGGCACTTTATTAGAAGAATGGGAACAGCTACTTGAGATACTGTTATTCAAAAAATAATAATGCTAAGGGGATTAGCTTAACCATCCAAAGAAAGAGAACAATAGAGGTATACCACATATATCTACCCAATAAAATAGAATGTATATGCAACACATGCACAGTAAAGGAGACTATGAAGAAACACAAGCATTCTAATAATACTTGTATTTTTGTGGTAGGACCATGATAGTCTTCTTTCTGAAATAAGCAGAATAATGTGGAGGTTGGGGGACTATCCTATCTCAACAGTGTGAGCCAAAATGCTGAATTCAGGATTCCACAAAGGTATACAAAGCTGCTGGGCTTAAGCCAAGTATTTGAAAAGTACTACCCACATGGTCCCATAAAGGTCAGATTTTGGCTCATTGGCACAGACCCTTGACTTAGATTTCTCACAAACTGTGAAGATAATTTCAGGTGTTTAGCACTGTCAACTCTGATACCTACATAAGAATGAGAAATGGAAGACGATGGTCCTATCTGAGTGAATTTTAAGAGCCCAATGATGAAAAAAGAAATAAAAGAAAGCTCTACCTTCATTTTATGATATACATTTAAGTTTAGTTACACCTGCTTCTTTGTAATGCCAATGCTGAACCAGAAGAGACCACTGACTTTGATTTGTAGTGATTATTTTGCCGTAAGAAATTAAAAAATGTATAGGAAGCGCATATATATATAATATATATTATATATATATATATATTATATATATATATGTTTGGTTTTGTTTTGATTTGAAACAGGGTATCATTATGTTGCCCAGACTGGCCTCAAATTCCTGGGCTCAAGTGATCCTTCTGCCTCAGCATCCTGAGTAGCTGGGACTACCGGTATGTGCCACTGTGCCCAGCTTAGGAAGCTTATTTAAGCTGCCTGTTTTCATACGATCACAATGTAACATATACACACTGCCTCTTCCATTCTAAAAACATGTACCTTATATTATTGTTGATTCATTAAAATTACTGAAGTTGTTTTAGAAGGCTAAGGATAAAATAAAGTGATTACCTGATAATCTGTGTGGCAATGAATCAGAATTCCTTTTCAGAAAAGTTTCATTAAAATTCTTTGGATTCGTTGCTCCAAAAAGACGATTCATTTCTTGTTTTAATACTGTTCTAACTGTATCAGATAAATCTTTACTTTCACACACTGCTGAATAAATTAAAAATAAAATCTTAGCAGTTGAATACTCTGATAAAGTTTACAAAAGTTTATTTTTGTTTGTGTTTGAGACAGGGTCTTGCTCTATCACCCAGGCTGGAGTACAGTGGCACAACCATGGCTCACTGTAGCCTCAACCTTCCAGGCTCATGCAATCCTCCCACTTCAGCCCCCCAGGTAGCTGGGACTTCAGGTGTGCACCACCACACCCAGCCTATAGGAGTTAAATTACCTAATGATGAGGCCAATGAAACATGGCAATTATATACAAAGACAAGATAAAACCTACTGATAATTTAACATTTGCAAAAAGAGCTTACCTATATAAACTGACTGACTGATTGAGACAGACAAGGTTTTACTGCCACCCAAGCTGGAGTACAGTGGCGCAATCATGGCTCACTGCAGCGTCAACCTCCCAGGCTTCAGTGATCCACCCACCTCAGCCTCCTGAGAAGCTGGGACCACAGGTGCAAGCTACCACGTCCAGCTAATTTTTCTATTTTTTTGTAGAGACAGGGTTTCGCCATGTTGCCCAGGCTGGTCTCCAACTCCTGGGCTCAAGAGATCTGTTCACCTTGGCCTCCCAAAGTGTTGGGATTACAGGCATGAGCCATCATGCCCAGCAATACACATTAAAAAGAATGTATGTCAGCAGAACAATCTAATGTTCTAAAGGCATTCAAATAATTTTATTAACACGAGATTCATTTCCAGAAAGGAACTGTAAGCAAAGGAGATGACAAAACAAGTAGTTTCACAGCCTTCTAAACCCCTAGAGCTGCCCCCTCAACCTTAAGGTCTGCAAAGCAGCAACTTGGGAATACCCACCTGGTAAATAGTATCACAGCCAACTATGTAGTGCTGAAGACAACAAATTTTCCTCACCCTCCCTATCTTCCTCTATACCCAAGTAAGGCACACGTTTCAATTAAAAACAAAAGAAAACATGGTTGATGTCATTGACCTTTATTTCAGAAACTATGTAAATTGAGCTATCACTGTATAATAAACTCCCAAGGACCACCAAAGCATTTTCCTATTAATAAATAGGCTGGGCACGGTGGCTCACACCTGTAATCCCAGCACTTTGGGAGGCCAAGGCGGGTGGATCACTTGAGGTCAGGAGTTCGAGACCAACCTGGCCAACATGGCGAAACCCCGTCTCTGCTAAAAATAAAAAAATTAGCCTGGCATGGTGGTGTGTGCCTGTGGTCCCAGCTACTCAGGAGGCTGAGGCAGGAGAACAGCTTGAACCTGGGAGGTGGAGGTTGCAGTGAGCCAAGATCATGCCACTGCATTCCAGCCTGGGTGACACAGTGAGACTCTGTCTCAAAATAAATACATAAATGAATGAATGCACTGTTGTCATCATATTCCCAGGCCTTGGGATTTAGAGATGATTCCTCTGGATTGAATCCAAGTTATACTTTGTTTCATTATCATTTTGGTATAAAGAGAGAGTCTGGAGCTTTGAAGCCAGTTAGACTTGGGTATGGATCCAGGCTTGGATAAGTCATAACCTCTCTGAACCTATTTCTTGATCTATAAAACTGGGGTGATATCTAATCTAAAAGATTTACAGTAAGGAAAAGCTACTGTGTAAAAGTGCTAATTATGTAATAGGTAGTCAATAAATCATAGTTACTATTTTTATCATAGTGTGAAAACATTACGTAGATTTTCCTTATGGCTGGGAACTATGGTGATGACTTTCAAATTTTCACTTTAATCAGGTATTTGTACTGCGACAAATACATATTCCATATCCATAACTTATGTGAAGCAAAAGTTTCACAGAACACTTACTGTGTGCAACATATGCTGATCTTTTCTACACTATTCTATTTTTATTTTGGGTTTTTGAGTGCTGGTAATGACCCACTATCCTGCTAATGGATCATTAATCTAAGTTTAAAAAATATAATGAACTCAGTAGGAAACATTTTCTAAGTGAAATATTCTATACATAATTATTAGCTGAATAATTCACTGACATGCTCTTTGTTGGTTAAATAGCATTTCTTCTATTATTCTATAAAACTGGGTGGTTCAAGTAAATGAGCTATAGTGAAATACTTTAGTTTAACCTCTACTATGGCTGTACTTTCAACTTGGTTTTGTCAATCTATCAATACTTGTTTTTCAGTGGAAAAGCAGGAATAGAGAGGAAACAGAAAAAAGTTATTAAAATAGGTTACAGCCAACTGCAATGACATTAATTATCTCAAAAAGAATGTATCTTCTGTACAATAAAAATTATTTACATAGGCCTTGCTGGTTTGCCTGAAATGCTTTCAGGATACTTTACATGTAAAAAATATCTGCATAGTTTGTATCATAGTTGATGAAGAGAGGGGTAGGCAAGGGGTTTTTATGGTTTTCATTATCTTTTTTTAACTTGTTTTAATCAGATTAAACAATCTCCCAGAAAAATTAAAACTGCTAAAAAAAACTCTACCAAAACTGAAGCAAATAACTTCACTAACAGCTGATTCCAAAAAGTTTGAGGCCTACTAATTTTCTCCTAAACTTTTCTGGATATTTTCCTGGAAATTACAGTTCCAGAAAACTAGAATTGTTAACCTCCAGGAAAATATCAATTACAAAAAGGATAAAAAAATTCTACTGCAGTAAAACCCAGAATGTCCTATGGAATTCTGTGTAATGAAATTTTATGTGTACCCTTAAGAAAAGGAGCAACATCATATGTCACAGATTATCAGATGTCCATTTACTGCTAAAGACTAGTGGGCAGGGGAGAAAAACTCTAAAAAGCCTTTGAATGTGGTAAAACTGACAAAAAACATCAAGGCCTCAGGAAAGTAGCAAATCCCCTACTAACTCAATTACCTTCCATGAAAGAGTAATAAGTCTTGAGAATCAAGGAAAAGTAATAACTGATGAGCGAGAAGGGGAATATAAAACCTTTTCTAAGGGGTTTTTGATTTGGGTCCTTTGACATCTTAAACTGGAATGTTTGGTTCATGCTATTAGCTTATTAACAGAATGAATAAATTAAGCAAGCACCAATGGTTAAAACACACAATGAAAAGGTGGCTGATTCTTAGCAAAAGGGATTGCACAGGGTTCTCAGGCTAGCTGGCATTGTTAATAATTTGGGTAAAAAATGTTCTTATTTTGTGTGAGGTAATGACTGTTCACTACTAGGTTATAGTACAACCGAGTAAGTGATTACAACTCAAAAACGGCAAAATAAATGAGAAAATTAAACAAAGCTTAAAAAAATAAAAAATTTAATAATTTAGTAAGTATTAAACAAGGTTTAATAAACAAATTAGATTATGAAAGAAGGTTGGAGGAGACATACATAAGTATAAAAAACATATCTGCAGATCAAAGAAAAATGAGTTTGTGCAAATGGGAGAGGAAAAAGACCTAAGTTTCACTGTAGATCAAGGCAGCCAAATAGTGCTAATTTTAAAAGCAGTTAGGAGAATATAAACATTTAAGAAAATAATAAGACAAATAGAATATATAAGCACCTATCTTTTACTTAGCACTGACCAGAAATGTAATTGTTTTAAGTCCTACAACTTTAAAATTTAAAATCATAAAAAACTTTAAAAGGGTATTAAATATATCATCCTCATAATAAGAAAAAGACAGTGCTCCTATATGGTAAATAACTGCATGCAGCATTTAGTAATAACATTGTTAGTATAACAACATATTCTAGAGATTTGGAGGGTGCCAGTAACCATGCTAAAATCCATATTCACTCAGCAAAGCTTCCGCAACTGATGAAATAGGTATGGAGGCACTGTTTTCCTCTATACTCTCCAGAAAGGTGTCTGTGAGGGTTTCTTTGTAAAGAAGCAGTTACAACAGTATATCTTAACATGACAAATGTATTCCTGAGAAATTACTTCTAAATTACATATTTTTTTAAAGTACCAAATATTTTAGTTAAAGAAACCCTTGGGGTATAACAAAGATGCCACTATTTGGATATCTGTATTTTCACATATGCCTTTATAGTACACCCGTTTTCAATAAAGGCAATGAAGCAGTCTACCCAACTTCTTAAAGGCTTTTTAAGAGACAGATCTTTACCAATGCAAATAATCACAACCTAATTTCATTGCCTAAAGTCAGTCAAAATTAGATCACTTTGTAAAGTGATGACGATTTCAGCTGAACACAAAGAGCAATGGGTATAGCCAGTATAGATACTCAGTAATTCTAACTAATTATTAATCATTCTAAGCCCATGTGTATTTTAATTTTCTGAAACCAACTGCTGAAAGAAAACACTCATGTTAATCAATCTACATACTGATTATAAGCAAATACATTTAAATATGTCACTTTTAATTTGTATTTCAAAAGAAAGTATCTAACTCAAAAGGATTTAGGTTATTTTACTACCTTTCAGGAAAATATGTATAAAGTATATAACAGTGTGTATGTTATTTTTGAAAATACTTCATTTTGAAAATACATATACTCCATCTTAACTGAGAATAAATTAAAACTATTATTTCTATCCTTAATTTTCTGACCCATGATTGCAAAGTTATTTTTCATACTCCCCCCCCCCAAAAAAACTAAAGAGAAACAAACTACTAAATACAGCAATTCTCTCCTTTACTTTCTACAATATGGTTACATTATTACTTTCATAATTTTTAAAAATTGAGGAAAAACACTTCTACAATTCAGTTTTTGTAACACAAATTAGTTTTTGGACAAGCGTAGTATAATTTAAGTCTAATCTTTCTGGAAAGTCAAAACGATGTTGTTGTTGTTTTTTTGAGACGGAGTCTCACTCTGTTGCCCAGGCTGGAGTGTAGTGGCGTGATCTCGGCTCACTGCAACCTCCGCCTTGCAAGTTCAAGCGATTCTCCTGCCTCACCCTCCTGAATAGCTGGGACTACAGGCATGTGCCACCATGGCCGGCTAATTTTTGTATTTTTTGGTAGAGACGGGGGTTCGCTATGTTAGCCAGGCTGGTCTCGAACTCCTGACCGCAAGTGATCCGCCCACCTCGGCTTCCTGAAATGCTGGGATTACAGGTGTGAGCCACTCCACCCAGCCAAAATGATGTTCTCAATTGGGACAATTTAGCATTTTTTTGGTGATTGGGATGCCTGATTTAATTTCCTCAGTTTTAAATGTATGGAGTTGGCAATGTGATAGTTAATAGTATTTCCAAATTCTATAGATTATTCTGTTAAAGGTTCTATTTCTCCCCCACCAGTCACTTAAAAATCCAAACAACAATACAACCTGACTACAGGAGTACTTTATTATAAATGTACAGTTCTTACAGTAGAAAGAACAATATGAAGATGTGGGCTCTAGTCACTGTTGCGTTACTAAGTTTCTATCTGTTACCTAGAATAAGTCATCTTTTAAGGTCTCAGATTTTTCCCACTATGAAATGAGAGACAATTACTGTAACATTCTACCTTTCAGGGTCTAAAATTCTGTAGTTCTACTTTACATTAAAACTAATATAAAACTGATCTGATTGTCAAAATATTTGAAGATACAGATAATTGTTTTAAAGTAACAAAAAATTTTATGACTCGAATTGTGCTAAGAAAACATAATTCATGCAAATTCAGATCTACAATACAGATAAATAAGGAGAAAACAGTCAATTTCAAAGAGATTCTTCAATTTCAAAACAATTTACTAAGAAGTTTTACATAACAAAATATGGTTCAAAATTTCAACTTACATGTAACTTTTTAGAAACAGAAACAAAGATGATTCTCAAATATCTGGACTGAATAATTCTATGTCAAAATCAGGTAATACTTGTATCCTTAAAATAAAAACCTTCATCATAAAGAAAAAAGCCCTGCTTTTCCCTTAGCTAATTTAGTATGTGACAGCTTTAAAATCATTTGGTTTATGATAAACTTGTACAGACCACTTATACCGTCACCATCAACCACTGTATCAAATACTTAAGTAATGGAAAACAAAAACATACCAGTATTAAAGAGACGAATCATACACTCATGAAGCCAGGGATGACTAGAATCAATAGCAAATGCCCTCTTTACTGATTGTAGCATCAAAAGAAACTTTTCTATAAAAAGAGAAAGTAAGATATATTTTGATCATTGGATAAGAGGCCTCCTTTGGAGGGCCAAGACTTCACAAATAGAAAAAGTAAATTTAGAGTCGATCACATCAGAACCACAAACATACGATTGAGGCAAACGATTTTCCTCAAATTTAGCAACATTAGTTAATATTTTTCACATAACATTAAGAAAAAACGTTTTGTGAAATGTAGAAAATTTAGGTGGCATTTAGCAATATTTAAACTAATGACATATAAGCAAAGAAAATCTGAAGTGCCTTCATTTCCTAACTTCCTTTATTTCAAAATAAAGCAACCTTTCCCACTACTTAGAAAATTTCATTGTGTATATTTGAAGGTATTCTTTTATTTTGTGACATGTGAAACAGCTTCCCTTCTGTTTGACTGTTCCTCTCCTGTCAATCTGTGACTCCTTTCTCCTCTAAAGGTAGAATAGTTACCAAGGTTATCTTTTCAGTCATTCTCTGATCTTTCCCTATGCTATCCCCACACCCATTCCCTGTATTTCCCAAGATTCAGTAGTATCTCCACCTGTTAAATGGAAATTTGCACTTGAATACTCAGTCCACTTCCAAGTTTTATCTATAACCAACCTCTTTGATAAGACTTTCCTAATTTGGTACCATTTTCCCAATGTCAAAGTTCAAAACCCCAGTCTCTTCTCCTAATGCTCTTTCCCTTGTCCCCAATACTAAAAAAGCCAAAAATACTGCCATGCCTTTGTCATTACCAATTTCGTACAACTGCAGTGGATTCCAAATGCTGGGGTCCTTTAGAGGTTAGGACACAGCCAAGAAGCAAACTGAATGGGGCTTTAGATTGCCCTTCCCTACTTTAAGCAGAGCAGCTTTTGAATTTTATACTTTGGGGTTCCATTTAAGAATTTTTTAAAAGTGGGAGTTGTATTAACTGTTAAAGTTTGAGAATTATTGGACTATTTATTAAACTTATTTTCCACGTTATAATAATTGTGGGAAGTAGAAAATACAGTAAATTATTTTAATCACTCAAAATCTATCGAGACAATCTGTTATCTTTTGATCTATTTCTTTCCAGCCACTTCTATATTATATACCTATGTAAATATATTAATAAAATTTCAATTTATAGGTAGTTCTGTGTCCTATTTTGGAATAATATAATATAGCAACTTTTCCCCAACATCATTTACTTTTGATAAACATGACCTTTTTTTTTTTGAGATGGAGTTTGATTCTTGTTTCCCAGGCTGGAGTGCAATGGCGTGATCTAGGCTCACCACAACCTCTGCCTCCCGGGTTCAAGCGATTCTCCTGCCTCAGCCTCCTGAGTAGCTGGGATTACAGGCATGTGCCACCACACCCGGCTAATTTTTTGTATTTTTAGTAGAGACGGGGTTTCTCCATGTTGGTCAGGCTGGTGTCAAACTCCCGACCTCAGGTGATCCACCTGCCTCGGCCTCCCAAAATGCTGGGATTACAGTCATGAGCCGCTGCGCCTGGCCAAACATGACTTTTTAAATGGATACTCATATAGAGAAGTACCATGTTATTCAATTTCCTTTAGTAGATATACTGTTTAGAGCAACAACCTTCTCTTTGATTTTATTAAACAGTTTCTCTTTCCTTTAATATGCATCACCTTTGTGACGAACTCTTTTTTCAATTAACCACTTGGAAAATATTAACTCAGTACTCTAAAATCTTATTATCTACTACATATATATTCTAAGCATTCTAAACCTGGAAACCAAGACCCTTCATTCATCTTTTACCTGCTCCAGGCAATTCAGACAACCTCAACATTATTTACACACTCCTATGTTTTCTTAACAGATACTCTTGCCTTCTATGTATCTTTTCCTTTAGAAATATAATCCATCCTTCAAGATCCAGGCTCAAAATTTTATCTTCTATTTATAACAATAGCTAATAATAGCTAACATTTATTTAATGCTTACTATATACCAGGTACTAGGTCTAAGCTCTGTGTATTAACTAATTTTATCCACATGATCAATTCTTTGAACCATATACATGGTAATTACATCTGACCTGAATCCTAGTTATGTTATGTACATCTATCATTGATTCTAATATCCTAAAAGAAGTGATTATATCATTATATCTCCCTACACATTCTGTTCATAGCAGGCATTTCTGTGAGAAAGCTGCGTTGGCATTTGCTAAATAATCGTACAGTGGTAAGGCTATCAGAGTTGGGTGACTATACCTAAGAAATACAGTGATCAGTTTTGTCAGGGCCACTGTACCCTAATTGCCTACCTTTCCTAAAGTAAATCTCAAAGGCAAAAAGATGAGTCTCTATCTTGTTCTTCACCAAGTTCTTCAACGGTGTTAAAAATTTAATAGCTTCTTCCAATGGAGTTTCAACCTAACAAAAATAAAAGATATTATACAAATGAAACTAAGGTTCTTGGGGAATGTGATTTTATTCTACTAAAAATTCTTATTTTTAAAAAATAAAATCACTTACCAGTCACCCAGAAAAACACTGTCATATTTTAACCTCCTATAACCTAAAAAAGGGGATTTTGAATTCTAGAATTCTTAACTGATTTTTAACCCTAGATACTTTATTATTGCTGGATAGAAACTATCCAAAAAGAAGGAAGTAGATAAAACAGAACCAGAGAAAGAAAGACAGAAAGAGAAACAGGTCAGATAGCCAAGGGGGAAGAAAGAAGAGATGTAAACTAGGACAGGAGAAGTACAAAGGAGACTACAGAGACCATGACAGAATGAGTGAATGTTCTTTATAATTCAAACAAAGTGAAGTATAATCAAGCTATTCAAAATACTACACTATCCATTCTGTCTTGCTTTGTTCTATAAATTCTACAGGAATTCGTATTTATTCAAATGACATATTAATGGTGAGGTGGCATTTTAAAATATTAATATTTATAGAACTGTGTTCCTACCAATTTTTATTAATTACATAAATGTCATAGTAATTATATACTTGCAATCATTACTAGGCAGGTATAATGCAATTGTGCTACTATTCTACTCCTGGACTGAATATTAAGACAAGACTATTCCCTGTCTTATCTCAGGTAGGGCTGGAGACCACCACCATATTTATCAGAAGGGCACTAAACATCTGGATTCTATATTTGCTTTCTCTCATCACAGAGGCAGTAACAATTTACCCTAATGGAAAATGAATTTGCCACATCTGGTCAACGTGCCTCTGTTAGTAGAGTAATTGTGATTTCACCAAAACAGCTTCTGGGCAAGAAAATTGTTTCACTGCATTTAAAAAAAGAAAAGAAAAGAAAAGAAAAGAAAAGCAGTGAAGTGAATTCTATGGGATTCACCACGTCCTAGTGTGTAAAGCAGAAGGCCTTACAGGACAATAAAATAACCCATTAAAAGCCCAGCTCCAGTGCCGGAATGTTTTCTTTTGAAGGATACATGTTCTAAACCAGAACCAGAAATTAATATATGGCTCTGCCACTCTAATAACTGTGGATTCAGGAACCAAGAGATAGAGGAGAAAATAAAGGCCCTCATAGGTACGACTTCCCCACACATTTGTACATATTTTACTTCTTGCTCCCATGACTCCATATTCTACTATATAGGAATTTCTGGTACAAGGGGAGAAACAGTTGTATCAGAGAAAGGCAGAGAACTGGAAACCAAACCTGCCACCTAGCTGTATCATGCCTTTCATGCCTCTAGGGTACAGTAGGGTACAGACTGAAATGAGGGTCAGTGTATTGACCAGGGTAATTTACTATCAGAGACATATGACTGCTATTACAAAGGGAAACAAGGACTATAGGGCAGGTAAATCAATACAAGTATTTATATTTAGTTAAATCAAGTACTCGAACTTGGAGAGAGGAAACAGAGAAATTAATTCTGTCTCCAACTTTAATAAACAAGAACATATTCCCCCAAAGGAGATCTGGGTTGGGTTTGATATTCTGATAGGTAGTCTCAGTCTCTGTTTACTTCTCATAGGTAAGACTTTGTCAGGGTAAATCTAAGTGTTTAAATATACGTAGATAACCACAAGAAATCTACACTCTATATTTACTCATACATCGTGCAGAACAAGGTTTTATATATACATGGAATCATGTAATCAGAAATGCAAGTCTAAAATCAGTATTTCAGGAAAAAAAAGTCAAAATATCCCTTGAAAATCCTTTAAGCTGAAGACAGGCAGATATAAAAATATAAATACTTTGTATTACGTGTATGAAAACCATGTTTTCAATACCAAACTGACAATCACCACAGCAAGATGTTCACACCAAGATAAGCACACAAGAACTGAAATGGACTGTGACAGTCATGCCTCCCATCTCATACTCAGTTGGGGTCCATTGTTCACTGAGGGAAATACTGGATAGAATTAACCATCATTATGCATATTATTCTTTGTCTCCCTTAAAGAAAAAAGTACATCCATCATGAAGAGTTGAGTTCACTTAGGTTAAATGCATGTAGGATGAGACTGCACTGCACTTAATGGGCAATTTAAGACACTTCCAAGGGCAATTTTAATCATATGCAATTTTTAAATTTATAAACTGACTTGAAATCTAATCCTCATATTAAGATATGTTGTAAAGGAGTATATGTCTCTAGCATAGCAACTCCCAGCACAGCAACAAAAAGTTTAAAATGATACAACTTTTTAAAGAAAGACTACTGTACTAAGGAATCATAGCCTTTGGAAGGAAAAGTATATATACAACAGGAAAAAAAATGCTAGGCTGGGCGCGGTGGCTCACACCTGTAATCCCAGCACTTTGGGAGGCTAAGGTGGGCATATCACTTCAAGTCAGGAGTTCAAGACCAGCCTGGCCAACATGGTGAAACTCCATCTCTACTAAAAATACAAAACAAAACAAATAGTGGGTGTGGTGGTATGTGCCTGTAATCCCAGCTACTGGGGAAGCTGAGGCAGGAGAATCGCTTGAACCTGGGAGGCGGAGTGTTGCAGTGAGCTGAGATCATGCTACTGCACTCCAGCCTGGGTGACAGAGTGAGATTCCATCTCAAAAAAAAAAAAGCAAACAAACAAACCAACAAAATGCTGAGTGAAGGCAAGGAGGAAGATAGGATGAGTGGTACAAAAGGGAATTCATAAATACCAACTAATGCCTCATGGTAAGTTGGAGAAACAAGTGATACAGCTTCTGCCAAGACCTGAGATTTATACTCAAGTTCACTGAATACTGACCTTACTAATTCCCATTTTCCTTTTCTCCTTCTTTACTGGAATTACTGCTAATTTATTAATACTTTGATTTTATTTTATATAGTCATGTGCTACATAATGATGTTTTGGTCAACAATGAACTGCGTAAGTGGTCCCATAAGATTAGAATGCCCTATTTTTAGGGCATTTTAGAAACACAACTACTTACCATGTATCACAATTGCCTATAGTATTCAGTATAGTAACATGCTATACAGGTTTGTAGCCTAGAAGCAATCAGCTATACCATAGAGCCTAAGTGTGTAGTAGACTTTACCATCTAGGTTTGTGTACATACACCCTATGATGTTCGCACAACAATAAAATCACCCAAGCCAGGTGTGGTAGCTCACACCTGTAATCCCAGCACTTTGGGAGGCTGAGGTGGGTGGATCCCTTGAGCCCAAGAGTTTGAGACCAGCCTGGGCAACATGGTAGAATCCCATTGCCATAAAAATAAATTAGCCAGGCGTGGTGGTGGGCACCCGTAGTGCCAGCTACTCTGGAGGCTGAGATGAGAGGATCACTTGAGGCCAGGAGGCAGAGGCTGCAGTGAGCCAAGATCATGCCACTGCACTCTAGCCTGGGTGACAGAGCAAGACCCTGTCTCAAAAGAAAACAAAAAAACAAAACAAAGCAAGAAAATCACCCAAGCATGCATTTGTCAGAATGTATCCCTGTTAAATGACACATGACTGAATATTATCCTGAACTAGTGACACTAAATTTGCCATTTACCACATAGAAGAAAGCTGAAATACAGAATCACCAAAAAAAGGGGGGGTTGAAGGGCGGGGGAGATACTATATACTGCAGAACCAGACTTGGCAGGCGGCCTTTAAAATAACCTACAAAGCCACTCCTAATTATGATGGCTTGGTATAATTTGATGTTGTTACCACATTTGGAAATCTTGGTAAGTATAGATGCTTTTAGACAGGGGCATCTTGGAGGAAGTTAGCTGAGGAAGAAAAAGGTCTTATGTACCTAACAGGTAAGAATAATATGTACTGAGGAGCAGCCCATGAAAAAGGGTACCTTGCACTAAGCTTCTTCCAAACAAAGCAGTCAGAAGCACCGTTTGTAGCCATTACTTTGTTCTCAGACTCTACAATCATGGCTACAAATAATTAGACCACAGGTTGTTATCTGGCTTGAAGGCAATTATGACACCCTGGACCCAAGGAAAACCTAACAGTCTTTAAGGAAACCTAGTACAAGAATTCTGCTCTGCAGGTGTACTCTTTATTAAACAGTAACTAAATAATCAAAAGAGATCCTCTCCTTAAGAAATACATGGGCCAGGCGCAGTGGCTCACGCCTGTAATCCCAGCACTTTGGGAGGCTGAGGCGGGAGGATCATGAGGTCAGGAGATGGAGACCATCCTAGCTAACACAGTGAAACCCCGTCTCTACTAAAAATACAAAAAAATTAGCCGGGCATGGTGGCGGGCGCCTGTAGTCCCAGCTACTTGGGAGGCTGAGGCAGGAGAATGGCGTGAACCTGGGAGGCGGAGCTTGCAGTGAGCCGAGATCGCGCCACTGCACTCCAGCCTGGGTAACAGAGCAAGACTCCACCTCAAACAAACAAACAAACAAAAGAGAAATACATGAAAACATGAAGAGTTATAATGAAAAATGTCATTAAGGAAAGTCATGGGATAAAGGGAAAAGTAAGTAGACAAAGTGATGATGGCAGCAGGCTGGCAGTGAAGGTGGTAAAAGTAGTAGTAATAAAGAAAGTGGGGGCATAAAGATGGAAGGTCTAAAGTTTAAGTTCTATGCCCTGAATGACTGAAATTCTCTGAGGCCTCAAAGGTCCATTTTCTGTGCTTTCTTGCTTCCCTGTGCAGTCTTCCAATAAATTCCCAACAATAAAAAGGTATTGTGTTTGTTCCTAGCAGGTATACAATTATTTGTAAAAACATGTCAATAAATCCTTGTAGAATCCAACTGGATTTTTCTATATTTCGTGTGTGTGTGTGTGTGTGTGTGTGTGTGTGTGTGTGTGTGTGTGCTACTTTTCTTTTTTTTTTTTTTAAGAGACAGAGTCTTGCTATGTCTCCCAGGCTGGAGTACAATGGCTATTCACAGGCATGATCATAGCTCACAGTGTACTGCAGCCTTGAACTCCTAGATTCAAGTGATCCTCCCACCTCAGCCTCCTATATAGTTGGAACTATAGGCACATGGCTATATTTCTCATAGCAATATCACTATGTCTACGTGATACTACTGTCCACCTGCTCTGGTGGACAGAATTCAAAACATATTCTCCAACTCTATTTGTTTGGCATTATAATTTTCCTTGGTTATAAAGCAGTCAGGGAAATGATTTTGAGCCTTTCCTTACTAGTGAGGCTAAAATTAAAGTCTGGGGCGACTGCTTCCTATATTGCTTTAACATAACAAATTATGCAATTATTTTCATACAAAGCAGGAAGATGTCTAGGGTCAAAAGAAAGGACAAAGGAATGTTATTAATCAAAATGGTTCATGTGACAATGAGTATCTTGGTTTCAGCTTAATGGTTAAAACCAGCAGGTCAGATTTTGGCCTAGGGAAAATATTTACAGCCTTAGGCTAGAAAAGAAATAATGTAAACTGACAACAGAGGTAAATGGGAGATACACGTATAGTCCTCAGTTTATAACAAACTCAATTTAGCCTAGACATAAAAACTTGCATGTTACCACTGTAACAGACATTAGATGCTTTACATATGTATTTTCTCCAGTCCTAAATAAGGATTTTCTTAGTTCCATTTTATAGATGAGAAAACCATCAGAGAGGTTAGACAAAGTGTCCAAGGGCACACAGTGAAAATATAAGAGCTAATATCTGGACCCAGATCTGAATGACTCAAAAGCCAAAATTTTTTCCACCATACTATACTATATGACTTTGGAACAGGATCATTATTTCAAGTTTTAAACATGAAACACGATCAGAAACAAAATATTAAAGAAAGAATACTAAAAAATAAAATAATTTTTGGCTCTAAAACCTATATCACATAAGGTTATATACTGTCAAATAAGACAGTATAAAAATGACAAGAGCTGGTCATAAAATGTCACTCAATTGTGCTAAACACTATTATTAAGTACCTTGGCCAGTTTCTCTGGAATAAGTTCTTCTTTTGGACCTCCTATCTCCTCATCATCATCATCCTTCTTCTTTTTCTGATTTCTCTGCTGCTTTTCTTTTTCTGCATTTTTTTTCTCTTCTTCTATCTGGGCTTTCTTTTGAGCTCTTCTTTGTTTATTACGTAGCTTCTTTAGCTCTTTGTCAGACATGTTTGCTGCAGGCAATAAGTTAATTAATAAAATTAACAAGCATGTTAATCAGATTAGTAATTTTAAGTATTATTTGATCCTACCAAACTTCCATTAAAAAATATTGCATGAGGCTGGGCATGGCGTCTCATGCCTATAATCCCAGCACTTTGGGAGGCCAAGGTGGGCAGATGACCTGAGGTCAGGAGTTCGAGACCAGCCTGGCCAACATGGTGAAACCCTGTCTCTACTAAAAATACAAAAATTAGCTGGGTGTGGTGGTATGCACCTGTAATCCCTGCTACTCAGGAGGCTGAGGTAGCATAATTGCTTGAACCCAGGAGGCAGAGGTTGCAGTGAACCAAGATCACACCACTACACTCCAGCCTAGGAAACAAGAGCGAAACTCTGTCTCAAAAAACAAATTTAAAAAAATATTACATGGTATGGATGTAAATGTCCCCATATGTATGTAGCCTTTTTTTTTTTTTTTTTTTTTGAGACGGAGTCTCACTCTGTCACCCATGCTGGAGTGCAGTGGCGAGATCTCAGCTTACTGCAACCTCTGCTTCCCAGGTTCAAGCAATTCTCCTGACTCAGCCTCCCAAGTAGCTGGGACTACAGGCATGTGCCACCACGTCCGGCTGATTTTTGTATTTTTAGTAGAGACGGGGTTTCACCATGTTGGTCAGGCTGGTCTCAAACTCCTGACCTCCTGATCCACCTGCCTCGGCCTCCCAAAGTGCTGGGATTACAGGCGTGAGTCACCGCACCCAGCAGTACCTAGCCTTTTAATGGTTCAACATCAGATAGCAAACAACGGAACCACTTCAGAAAACTTTCTTGAAACCATATGGGATATGCATGTAAACAAATGATCACAGCAAAACATACAAGTTAAACAGCAATATTAAACTATTTGCAATCTATGAATATAACAAGCTGTTGCATATCTCTATGGCTTCAGAGGACTATGCTCGCTTAGTTATGCCTTCTCTAACCTGGCCAAACAATTATTCATTCTGTCTGTGCTGCCACTATGGCTAATATATTTTGCTTGACACAATAGTTTGTTTATACAGCTGTCTCTCTTTTAAGCTATGAGCTCTTTGGTAAAGGAGATCCTGTCTAATTTGTAACCTTATTTTCAGGGCCTAGCAGCATGCCAAAACAGACAGACAACACTCAAATATTTGTTAACACAATAAATGAATAACTCTATAGTAAATTAAAAATTTAATATTGAAAATTAACAATATCCCTAGAAGTATAAACTATTGACTGTCTCAAAAGACTGGAAATCACTGACAAATATGCTATAATATAGTGAAATATTTATATTGTTTTGATTTCAAGGAACAAATTTGAAAGCTAAAGGCTCATCCAGTATTTATTTGGATAACATCTGTTAATATAGAGAAATGAAAAAAGTCATTCCAAAATACACTACCACTGTGGTGATTTCAAAATATGCCCACAAGTTCTTCCTTTAAAAAGGCAGGACCCCCCTCCACCCCCGCCACCTCAAACGTGGGCTATATTTAGTGACTCATGTGTAAGGAGTAACATGTACTATACACCAAGGTATGTAACATTAATATTAGGACATAAATGGACTATAGGTTCCTCCTTGCTTTCTCTTGGATCATTCAGAGGAAACCAGCTCCTGTCTTATGAGGAAACTCAATCTTATGGAAAGACCAATGTATGGCCAAGAACTGATGCCTCTGGCCATGAGAGTAAGCCATCATGGAAGGAGATCCTCCAAGCCAAGCTGATCCTTCAGATGCTCCAGCTGGCAACTTTTTAAATTTTAAAATATAAATAGAGACAGGGTCTCACTATGTTGACGAGGCTGGTCTCGAACTCCTAGACTCAAGCAACCACCCGCCTCAGCTTCCCAAAGCATTAGGACTACAGGCATGAACCACCGTGCCCAGCCAACATCTTGACTTCAGCTGCCTGAGAGACCCAGAGTCTTCAGAAACATACAGCTAAGTGACTTCTGAATTCTTGACACATAGTAACAGTCAGATAATAAACGGTTGCTATTTAAAGCTGCTATGTTTTTGAGTAATTTGTTTTGCAGCAATAGATAAACAACATAGATTTTGGTACCTGGACATGAGATACTGCTGTAACAAAAACCTAAAATGTGGGAATAACTTTGGAGCCAGGGAGTTGCAAAAGGTGGACAGACTTTGAGTAGGGCTTTAGTGGAAGTTTGAAGAGCCTTGGACTATTCATAGAAGTCTAGACTTTGAGGAGGCTGCAGATGAGCCCTTAAAATGAAGTGAAGGATATGTAATAGCCACAGAGTAGCAGAAAGTTTAGCAACAGTGTTATAAAATGTGTCAAATGGACTCAGTGAGCTAACTAACTAACTGAAGGGATTTTCAGGCAAAGTGCCCAGGAAAAATGTAAGAGGACAAAGAAACTAAAGAAAAGAGACAGGGGCTTGATGGTTTTGAAAACTCTCAGTCTCTCCAGAAATGGCTTGCTGGGCAAAGATCAAAAAATATGTCAAGAGGGAAGGCAAAGGGGCTTGGCATTACAATCTTTTGTTACTCAGAATATGGTGGTGCCTCACTATTTAGTCTGAAGAAAGGCTCTCTAAAAAATTTAAGAGTATGACTCACAGATTCTCTCAAACAATAAAACTTCTAAGAACTTAAGGGTGTTCTCCCCTCCATAGAAGCTCAAGTATACGTGGATTCCAATAAGACTCACAAAAGATTCATGATGTTTATTCTATGGGCAGAAATAGTAAATCTGGAAGGAAAAGAATGACAGCACAAAATGAAAAGAGGTCTTTAGACTCTCAATATTTTACTGGTCAGAATACTGAAAAACTACTCAGTTGCAAACAACTGTTAACTTCCAAAAGAAAAAAAGGGTAATTCAGAAAGTGGAACCAGGAACTCAGAGGGCAGGGCCAAGAGCCACAGAAAATTATTCCAGTCTTGGGTCCTCATCAAAGAACTATTAAGCCATGCCCCACTGGACTTGAGGATGGACGTGGTAACTCCTGTGTGTCTCCTAATAATGTCTACAGTGGTCATCCTATGCCTGTCTCATTTTATATTGGGTGTGTAGTTGATAAATAACTTGTAATTTTAGTTAACAGGATTTCATATTAAAAGAACTATAATTGAAATGTCACACTTAAGGTTAAAAATAAAAATAAAAAACTATACTCAAGGAGCTGCTTCAGCACCTGTACCTGATTTACATGACAAGATTCTGAACTTTAAGCTAATGTTACAATGGGATAGACTTCTGAAGGCCTTGAAATGGCTAACTATATTTTGCATATAAGAATAATGTAAGCTGGGCGTGGTGGCTCATGCCTGTAATCCCAGCACTTTGGGAGGCCAAGGCAAGAGGATCACTTCAGCTCAGGACTTTGAGAACAGCCTGGGCAACATAGCAAGACCCCACCTCTACAAAGGATTTTTAAATTAGTTGGGCATGGTGGCATGTGCCTGTAGTCCTACCTACGTGGCAGGCTGAGGTTGGGGGACTGGCTGAGCCCAGGAGTTTGAGGCTGCAATGAGCTATGACTGAGTCTCTGCACTCCAGCCTGGAAGACAGAGTGAGACCCTGTCTCAAAAATTTAAAAAAAAAAAAAAACCCAAAAATGATAATGTAAATAATTTGTAACCAAAATGCAGACCACGGCAGTTAAACTTATGTCTACAAATTCTTCAATTCTCCTCCCCTCAAATATAGGTTGTGCTTGGTGACTCTTTTCTGACCAATTAGAATGTGAAGGAAGTAATGGTGTGATGTCAGGAGAACAGAACATTAAAAAGGTGTTGCAGCTTCTTCCTTTCTCTGTCATCATTAGCTACCATGTCTTCAGAAACTTTAGAAACTATGGAGAGACTAAGAACTAAGGTCTCATGCCAACAGCCAGGTTGAGTAAGCCATCTAGGAAATGGATCCCTTCAGTCCTAGCCAAGCCTTCCAATGATGGCATGCCCATCCAAAATCTCAACTACAACTTCCTAAGAGACCCTGAGTCAGAGTCACTTAGACACTTCTGAATTCCTGACCCAAAAAAAGGGTTATTTTAAGCTGCTAAATTTAGGGATTAATTTATGATGCAGCAATAGATAACATAAAGCCAATGAAAACAAATGCATTATTTGTTTATCTTTCTCCTAGTGAAGAATCTCTTAATACTAAAAACAAAACGCAAAAAAAAAAAAAAATTCTAATAGAGACCAAAAAATTACATTCTGGAAACACAAAACTATAAATGGATGGCAACATAAGCACTGACCTTTTTAACAACTGGTAACATAAATGCTACCACTTGTAGCCTTGCTACATGATAGATATAATGCATACCTTATATTTTTTCTCTCTTTCTTTTTTTCTTTGAAACAGGGTCTCACTCTGTCGTCCAGGCTGGAGTGTAGTGGCAAACATGGTTCACTGCAGCTCTGACTTCCAGGGCTCAAAAGATCCTTCCACTCCTGCCTCCTGAGTAGCTAGAACTACAGGTGCTCACCACCATGCCTATTTTGTTTGGTTGGTTGGGGTTTTTTTTGTATTTGTAGAGACAGTTTCACCATGTTGCCCAGGCTGGTCTCGGACTCCTGGACTCAAACGATCCACCTGCCTTGGCCTCCAAAAGTGCTGGGATTACAGGTGTGTGCCACTGCACCCAGCCCATACCCCATACATTGTATTTCATTTGATGTCCTCAACAACCTCACGAATTAGAGTATAATATTATTTTATATACGAGAAAACTGAGGTTTCAGAGGAAAATAACTCAGAGTCATGGTAAAAGGCAGAGCAAGGATGTAAATCTACTTCACTTGGACTCCAAAGTCTAGGCTTCTTCTATGCTATACTAAACTCCAGATGATTAAAAAGACAAATGTAGGCCGCATGTGGTGGCTCACACCTGTAATCCCAGCACTTTGGGAGGCCAAGGTGGGTGGATCACCTGAGGTCAGGCGTTCGAGACCAGCCCGACCAACATGGAGAAACCCCGTCTCTACTAAAAATACAAAAATTAGCCAGAAGTGGTGGCAGGCGCCTGTAATCCCAGCTACTTGGGAGGCTGAGGCAGGACAATTGCTTGAAACCAGGAGGCAGAGGTTGCGGTGAGCCAAGATTGTACCATTGCACACCAGCCTGGGTGAAAAGAGCGAAACTCCATCTCAAAAATAAATAAATAAATATTAAAATTTATCATGAAGCATTATTAGTACTACCTCTATAGAAAAAAAGGCAGCAAATACACTTTTGTTCCTACTAATCACCACTGTTTCAGCAACTCTAACCATACCAGAAGACATAAGGGGGAAAGGTATAAATATTGAAAGAAATAAAACTACTGCCATTTACAGATTAACATACTGGCCTACATAGAAAATTTTCAAAAATCAACTGAAAAATGATTCAACCTAGTATCAGAAACTTTCTGGAAGACAAGCTAATTCTACCGTGTATGCATAAGCAAAAATCTGCATGTAAAAACACGAAAATTCTAAAGACACAGTGTTAGATTGAGAAAAATGGATCATAACAACAGAAACCTATCTGTGTACTGATGTCAATACCATGTAGTTTTAATCATATCTTTAATATATGTTAGACCAAGAAACCATGCCTATGACCTACTACATTATTTTTTTCAGAATTTATCATGATAAAGGTAGCATTTGAAATCAGCGAGGAATACAAAAACCTACTCAATAAATATTACAGAGGAAATAGCAGTCTATTTTGGGGAGGAAGGGAGGTGGAAAGCCACCCTCCACCTTACAACGTATATAAAAATTAACTCCAAATGTTTAAAGAGCCAAATCTAAAAAATTGCAAAGCAGAAGTATTAGAAGAAAAACACAGAAGATATTCATAAATATATTTTAAATTTTTAAGTAGAAAAAGCCTTTCTAAGCAAGACCTAGAAGCCACAAAAAAAGACTAAATATTAAAAATTAAAACTTGTATATAATGAAAGATACTCATCTTAAAGGATAAAACCTAAGTGAAAAAAAGAAAACATATAATCCACTCCATTAAAAATCTAGAAATTGGTCAAACATTGTGGCTTATGCCTGTAATCCCAACAATTTGGGAGACCAAGGCAGGAGAATCACTTGAGCCAAGGGGCTCAAGACAAGCCTGGGCAACATGGCAAGACCATGTCTCTACAAAAATAAATTAGCTGGGTGCAGTGGCACGCACCTGTAGTCCCAACTACTCAGGAGGCTGAGTTGAGAGGACTGCCTGAGCCCAGGAGCTCAAGGCTGCAGTGAGCTATGATCGCACTAGTGGACTCCAGACTGGGCAAAAGTATGAGATCCTGTCTCAAACAAAACAAAACAAACAAACAAATAAAATATATTAATTGTAAACTAGATATTTTGCCCAACATACAAAAATGTAAAAGAACAATAACCTTCAGAGCTGGCAATAATGTAAAATAAAAGAAAATCTCAATACCCATGTTGGTGGTAATAAAAACTGATGAACCTTTTATCCCAAATTCTCATATCCTTCAACCCACCGATTTCCACTTCTAATAATCCATGCTAAATAAATATGCACATAATTATGTACAAGGACATTTACTATAGTACTATAATGGTGAAAAAATTCACATAGATTCCTACAGTCACTAAAATGTTAACAGTGAAAATAATAATTATGATATGCAGACATGGAGCAATACTATTAAATGGGGTAAAAAGTCTAAGTTGCAGAACACTGAGTATGATATAAACCCAATTATGGACTAAAGAAAAACAAATCAAACAAGAAACCCTGCAAAGAACCATCCTGAAATGCATGTGTATATGTACACATAGAACTCTGGAAACTAGTTGTGCATAAAGGGAATTGATCCTTTCACAGGGATAATTGCTGGAATGAAGAATGGGTGGGAGAAAAGTGAAAGGGGATCTTCATATTTGCTAAGTATACTTCTGTATTAATAGTCTCAGCTTTGAAAAGTTAATTGTGTATTATTTGTATAATTTGAAGAAGAGAAGGAGGGAGGCAGAAGAATAGAAAGAAAAACAAAAGAAGCCAGAGGGTCATAGCTCTCAACTTTAACAGTAAATTGTCCAGCAGATTCTTCTTACTGGTGTTTTCTTCTAAGTTGAAGCAACACCAACAGGTAGAAAGAGATTCAAGTGATATCTGTACAAAGGCTTCAGTATGTGACCTTAGAAATTTCTAAACTGTCCTTAGGCAACAGGAAGTAAAACTTAACGACAAATTAGCAAAATAATTCAAAAGCTGTTTAGCAGGAAGAAGGATATAGAAAGTAGCCAATCATATCCTCAAAAAAGAAATAGGCTTAAAAGAAAAAAAAATTAAACACACTTTTTATGCCCCAATTCCTACAACATTTTTGCCATGAGTAAGGCACAAAATTCATATTTTTGTACGTATGAGATCACTCATTCTCAGGTTCTGTCCCAAATAACTGTCTAAGAAAGACTTCTCCCTAGTCATTCCGATACCCTACTATAAAAACGGTACATTAAAAATGAGTCAAATGATAAGTCACTGTGCAATTTTCCTAGCTTTATCCCAAGCTGGTTTTTAATGTTCAAGCAATATTCATTTTTAGTAGGTTAATTATAAATTACTATTAAAAAGAGGAATAGGCTGGGAATAGTGGCTCATGCCTGTAATCCCAGCACTTTAGGAGGCCAATCCCAGCACTCTGGGAGGCCGAGGTGGGCAGATCACTTGAGGTCAGGGGTTCGAGACCAGCCTGGACAACATGGTGAAACCCCGTCTCCACTAAAAACACAAAATTAGCCAGGCGTGGTGGTGGGCACCTGTAATCCCAGCTACTCAGAAGGCTGCGGCAGGAGAATCGCTTGAACCTGGGAGGTTGCAGTGATCCGAGATCATGCACTGCACTCCAGCATGGGAAACAGAGCGAGACTCCATCTCAAAAAAATAACTAGTAATACTAATAGCCAACACTAATGTAGAATTATAATACTAATTATACAATTAGCAATCTAGTACCTGTAAAATAGTTAGCAATTTATAATTTTGGGTAAACCAGATATTAAATGTAAAACTCATAACATGCAAACTTCTTAAATGCCAATGAATAACTGCAAATTAAATTCTTGTTTAACTTTGGAAGCATAAAAGTAAACATTTTTCTTTTGTTGTTTAGAGAACCTTGTATAATATCTTTCCTCGTGGTGCTCAAGACATGGAGCAATACTATTAAATGAAAAACATAATACACATAAATACACATAAACACATCAGAGCACAAGAAGAACTCTGAATATTATACCTGTATCAGCTTCGTGTTCTTTATTCTCATCTGTAAGGGGGTTGTCATGAAGCTTCAAATAGATCTCTATAGCAATTCTTGCTGCCTTGAAGTAAAATGGATGCTGTCGAAGTACATCTTCTAGTTTTAATAAGTCCACATATGATCTAAGGGTAATCTTCCTCATACAGTATGTATGAAAGTCAAACTGGTCATCAGTGATTTCTATAAAATGCTAACAAAATTATCTTTTTATTATTATACCGAAGTACAGCAATGGCTAAGAAAACTATAAAATCAAAGCATTGGAATACTTGTTACTTTGGCATGAAAAAAACTAGTAAAATTTTAAAAAAACAATTACAATTATTCAACAGGAATATTTTGCATTTCAAATAAGCAAATACAGTTAGCCATTGTCTAGCACAGGATATGGCATACTGCAGGCACAGAATCATTTGTTGAAAAAGGAAGCTTTAAAAATGTTTATTCATTATCCCTTCCTTAATTATACTTAAAGCTATTGTGACAACATCAAACATAATTTATTTACATAGTAGTGCAAGTAGACTCACATGTTAAACATTGAGTTTTTATATTTAGAATCATTTGCAAAGGATTATAAGATGTATTTGATAATTTTTTTTTGAGGATACAAATCTGAATCCTATGCAATGTGATGCTGGTATGTGGAAAAGAAATCAATTAGCAAGTAAGTCAAGCAATCAGGAACTTGATGCATTTCAACTAAGCTTTGGTATTCTATACTTGACAATATTGCAAATGTGAAATTAGTTATATAAACTATGTTTATCTGTGTAAAACACAAAAAAGAAAAACCAACCACTAGTCATGGAAATGAGTCAGACGTGAAGAGAATTAAGAAAACAATTTTATCAAACAGCATGAAATTAGATAAGCTACAGAAGAAATATTGTGAAAAGTCTTCCAACATTTATATCTTACCAAGGGTATATGGCATCATCAATAAATTCTACAATGAACAGGGTCCTAGGAGTACTTTAATCAGCTGTGTATGTACTACTAAAGCGGCAGCAGCAATTTGGAAGGTTCAAAAATCAATAAAAACATAGCCAAGATACAAATTTTCCATAAAGTTTTTTAAAAAAGAGTTCTTACCACAAGACAATAGAGACCCTGGCTGAAAATGCAGTCTATATTTCCAGTATGAAAACTGAAAAAAGTGAATACTGATTTTAAAAAGCACCTACTATGAATTATAAAGAAATAGAAGAGAAAAAAACTATGAAATTTGTCCAAAACCATCGACAGAATAAAACAAGAAAACTTTTATGTAGAAGGTACTTACTCTCTCAATCTCATGACATTTCTTAAGTGCTTCACCAAATTTATTCATTGCTTTATAAGCCTGGGCACATTCTGTTTGGAACCACATGCACTGCATTTCATTCAAATTCTCTACCGCTGATGTTCCTTCCTATACAGAAATCAAATATTTTCAAGATCACTTTTTATCATAGACATCATTCTACCACAGAATTTTAAAAAACAAAGATGTTAAGCTGATTGGGACTCTTTCAAAAAAATTTTTAAAACATTCTTAAAGAATAGTTAACATGGGAAAACAACTGATATTCTCTAACTACTAAAAATAATTTGTAGTTTCACAGGTGAAACTGTGAAACTTTTGAACACACACTGTGTGTTCAACACTGTGAAACTTTGAAACACAAATGTAGTTTCAAAGGTCTACATAATTGAGGGTAGGGATTAATACAAGAAAAAGAACACCACCACATAGCAGGTATTCAATAAATTTTAGTTCCCTTGACCCCTAAAAAATTTATCTGAACGTACATGAATATAAACCAGTTTAAAAGTCCATTGTACAACCCTCTAAATGGAAAATCCTTTATATCAATGTTGACTCCAGTATCTTCTGATACAGTGATTTAATTAAAATCTTGGCTATTACGGTGTCAAAAATATTAAAGACAAACTTTGAAAAATAAGCATGTTATACAAGTATGAACTGGCTCATGTCTTCTTTATTCATAATTAAGAACACTAGCTGTACAAACCCTTGTAAACTTTGAGCACATTTCTTCAGCTTCTTTAATCAGGTTGGCTTTTAGCATGTATTTTGCACATTTGGAGTTGATAAATCTGTCTGCTGTGTCCAAGGCCTGGGCCTCATCCATCCACCTTGCAGCTTCTTTAATATTTCCAGCATGCTTATAAGGTACAAAAGCAAAATAAACCAGTTAGCATGCTAAGTTTACTGTGCAGGTAATTCATTATCTGTTGATAAATAATTTAAAAACAAATGAAAGTAAAGGCATTCTTGTGACTCTTAGATGCTAATCAATATAAAGAAATGCATTCTTCCATAATATAAGTTCTGATTCCTTTTTCCAGCCTTCTAGAATGTAAGCTGTCTGACAGTAAAGATTTATTTTAATAGTTTTGTCTACTGTTAATATCGCCATTGCCCAAAACTGCCTGGCACATAGTAAAAATACTCAAAAATAATTGTTAAAGAATAAATAAGGCCGGGCGCTGTAGCTCATGCCTGTAATCCCAGCACTTTGGGAGGCCGAGCCGGGTGGATCACTGAGATCAGGAATTCGAGTCAAACTTGGCCAACATGGTGAAACCCCATCTCTACTAAAAATACAAAGTAAACCAAGGGTGGTGGCGCATGCCTGTAATCCCAGCTACTTGGAAGGCTGAGGCAGGAGAATCACTTTAACCCAGGAGGTGCAGGTTGCAGTGAGCTGAGATCATGCCACTGCACTCTAGCCTGGGTGACAGTAAGACTCCATGTCAATAAAAAATAAATAAATAATAACAGAAATCTTTTTTTTTTTTGAGATGGGAGTCTCACTCTGTCACCCAGACTAGAGTACAGTGGCACAATCTTGGCTCACTGCAACCTCCGCCTCCCGGGTTCAAGCAATTCTCCTGCCTCAGCCTCCCGAGTAGCTGGGCCTGCCACCACACTTGGCTAATTTTTGTATTTTTAGTAGAGATGGGGTTTCACCATATTGGCCAAGCTGGTCTTGAACTCCTGACCTTGTGATCTGCCCACTTTGGCCTCCAAAAGTGCTGGGATTACAGGCATGAGCCACAGCTCCCGGCCAATACTAGAAGTCAAAACATAATTAAATGTGAAAGTCATAAAAGGCATAGCCAAATCTGTACGCTAAAGGAACCATGGAAACATTACTGATTAGGACCATTAGTAGACATTCCCCAATGTTCCTCATTCTAAGTTACCTAACTAGTCCATCTGGCAAAGCTTCAAAACTAATGAGCCATAATCTAGTTTTAAAAAGTGCTTCCTGGCACATGTATACCTATGTAACAAACCTGCACGTTGTGCACATGTACCCTAGAACTTAAAGTATAATTTTTTTAAAAAATCTAAAAATAAAAAAATTAATAAAAAAAATAAATAAAAAATCAAAAGTGCTTCTTTAGCCAGGTGCAGGGGCTCATGCCTACAATCTGAGCACTTTGGGAGGCCAAAACAGGTGGATCACTTTAGGCCAGGAGTTCGAGACCAGCCTAGCCAACATGGCGAAACTCCATCTCTACAAATAATACAAAAATTAGCTGGGTATGGTGGTGCATGCCTATAATCCCAGCTACCACTCCGGAGGCTGAGGCATGAGAATTGCTTCAACCCGGAAGGCAGACATTGCAGGGAGCTGAGATCGCGCCACTGCACCCCAGCCTGGGTGATGCAGTGAGACTCTTTCTCTCTCTCAAAAAAAAAAAAACAAAAACAAAAACAAACAAAAAAACTTCTTAAATATTACTTAATTTCATTATTTTCTTGCTAAACAAATTACTGGTTTATTATCAGTCCCTCAAGAGCTTTCATTACTAAATTTTATTTGCAATATGACAGAGAAAAGCCAACTTTATTTTAAGATGATACTAAAATATATGACTAAAAATTCTCAAGCAAGGCCCAGGAGTTGAGAAGTCAAAAGAGATAACCTGTAGAATTCATAATAGAATCTTCACAGTTTCATCTCAATAACATTGCCAGATACTGATATGTTATCATACTCAAATTTTAATAGAAATACACATTTCACAGCAAATAAAATTTCTTTTGGATTACCTATATACTCTTACTCTCCAAACCCAAGAGAATTACCAGATACGTGTGAATACATATACATTAATGTATGTACGTATGTGTGTGTATACGGATATAGATAAATCACCAAATTAGCATGACCACAAGTCTCAAAGTAATTGGACTGAGAAATGTACTATACTTGTTACTTCATGTTTTTTGAGTTATCAAATGTCACTTTTCCTATATTTAGAATCTATAAAATACAGAGAAAAAGTTCATGACAAGTCTCATTACCTTATAAGAAAATAGAAAAAAAGATTTTTACCTTATAGATTTTAGCTTTCACGAGAAAGAGTTCTATTAATGTAGGTGTACTTTCAATAGCAGTATTTATGTACTCCAAAGCAATAGATGGCTGACCAATTTTGTCATAATGTTGTGCCAAGTAGTACTGGACCCAAAGTAATGTGGTTGGTGGTTCCTCCTTTCCATCATCTTAGGAGAAGAGGGAGAAGAAACCAAGATGAGGCATTACATATATTAAGAGCACCCCCCAAAATGGTCCCTATGTTTATTAACAAGGGAGGTACTATGAAAGGAGTTTATTTATGTATCTAGCTATAAAACTCCTCCTAAGTTTATAAGATCTTTGGAAAGGTCCATATTTTCTTTTCTGCATCCTTATAACCCCTAGCACAATCCCTTTCATATAATAACTTTATGAAACAAACATGGGAGATAAATAAGGTCTAACTACCTAGAAAGAAAACTGAAACAGGTAGGGGGGAGACAAGCTGTACTAGAACTATGAGAGCATACTGATCAGGATGTTATTTATAAAGGGGGAAGAAATTAAAAATGTTCTCTATTCATGTGAGGTTAAAAAAAAAAAAAGCCCTGGCTGCTTAATTGAGTTTCTAGCTAATGCACCAAACTGTTATAAAATATACTTGTAATGTGGTTATTTTGAATTTGGTGATTATATTCTTAATATATTTTAATATGCTGAATATGCAAAGATGCATAATTTAAGTCAAATAAAAACTATACCCCAAAAATGAGATGACAAGTAAAAAAATTTTTATATTTTAGTTCATGATTTAATTTTAATATACTGACAAGAAAATGTGTAAGTTAAATATACAACCCACACGTTAAAAAATTCTTTTTTAATACAAATTTCTAAAATCTGAGAACTGATACGTGCTTTCAAAGAAAGCAACAGATTGCTTTTTAAAAAATTTTTCCTAGTAAAAGCAGGATGGCTCAGTGGACAAATAATAGGAGTGGAACTCACCAACTCCCCATCTGACAGATCTGCAACAAAAGTGCTGCATATTCTTGGGCAAGTCATTGAACCTCTTCCACATTTGTAAAATATGTAGGAAAATGCTGATAATCAAAGGAACATTATGATGATTAACCAATGAAATCATGGAAAAAAGTACTATTAAATTAATCTGAGACCTAGAAACAATGACCAACCCAATAGCAATATGCACCCAGGGTCCCATACCGGGCTTTCCCACTACAGGAACCAGAACTCCTAGGAAAAACAATTGATTCCAGATCTGCAGTGGCAGCAATAAACTGGAATATCTTGTCTTATTAACACCCAAGAAGTTATCAACTACTACTATGGTATGTAAAGAATGGGACCATTTGAGATTTGTAATGTGGTTATTTTGAATTTGGTGATTATATTCTTAATATATTTTAATATGCTGAATATGCAACATCAAATATTTGATATAAAACATCAAATATGCTTAAATCCATGAATTCATAATACTTTTTAAAAACGTATTTGCTGTCTTTGAAGGATGCTATTGAACCAACAATTCATTATTTTGAAAACTGGTAAAGAAATTTTAAAAAGGAGGGAGTGGGGAGAAAAAATCCATTTATCATGCTTTTCCTATGTAAACTGAAACATTGTGTAAACAGGTAATAGAGGAAGAAAATTTTCTCTTTTAAAATAATAAAGAATAATAGAGTATCACCAGTTGGTAATTCTTAACAGTTGCTAACATATAAAACTAACACGTATGCCTACTAATAGAAGAATATGCCACCACCTGTAAGAATCTCACTCACTCCTCTGTTTAAAAAACAAAAGCAAAACCATCAAAACAATATTGAATCTCATCAAATCTCTAGTTGGACCTGTCCATTAGAAGATTCTGTCATGACAGAAGTGTCCTGTATTTTCCCTTTCCAACATGGTAGGCATTAGCTATATATAGCTATTGAGCAGCACTTAAAATGTGGCTACTGCAACCAAGGAATGGAATTTATTTTATTTAATTTTTTAAAATTTTAATTAGCCACTGTGCTACTGGCTATCATACTAGCAACAAACTTCTACACTGAACTACCAGTTTATAGGAAATTCAGAGAGCAAGGAATAATGTGTTAAGCAACACATGGGGTACAGTCAGCAAACTCTAGACTGGGAAAACTGAAAAAAAAAATAAAAAAATTTCTTCAACAAATAAATTGCAGGAAAAGGGATAGGACAGAAACCCAAAAGATAAAAAGAGTTTAAGAGACACATCAACCAAATTCAAAGTACACATCTTATCTGAATCTTCATTCCAACAAACTTCAAAAAAGGAAAGGCAAAAAAAAAATGGCATTTATAACATAACTGGAAATGTGAACATGGACTGAATAGTTATTATTAAGAAAGTATTAATTTTTGTCAGGCGTGGTGGCTCATGCCTATAATCCCAGGACTTTGGGAGGCCGAAGCAGGCGGATCACTTGAGGTCAGGAGTTCGAGACCAGCCTGGCCTGGCCAATATGGTGAGACCCCGTCTCTACCAAAAATACAAAAATTAGCCAGGCGTGGTGGCAGGCACCTGTCCCAGCTACTCGGGAGGCTGAGGCAGGAGAATCACTTGCACCTGGGAGGTGGAGGTTACAGTGAACTGAGATCATGCCACTGTACACCAGCCTGGATGACAGAGCAAGACTCCATCTCAAAAAATATATATATTAATTTTCAGGTATGAGAATGGTATTAGGTTATGTTTTAGGTTAAGTCCTTCTCTTTAGACATACTGAAATATCCATGGATAAAATGATGTGATGTTTGGATCTGCTTCAGAACAATATGGGAGTAGAGAAAAGTAGGAGAAGCTATAAATAAATTCAATTATGAATTAAAAATTATTGAAGCTGAGTGCTGGGTAAAGAGAGGATTATTATACTGTTGCATTTAGTTTTGTAGATGTTTTTAAAATTTTACATAACATTCTTTTCAATAAACTAATGCGAGGTGGGACACAGTGGCCCATGCCTATAATCTCAACACTTTAAGAGGCCAATGCAAGAGGATCACTTGAGCCCAGGAGTTTGAGACCAGCCTGGGCAACAAAGTGAGACCCTAAGTCTACAAAAAATCTAAAAATTAGCCTGGCATGATGGTGCATGTCTGTGGTCCCAGCTACACAGAGGACAGAGGCAGGAGGATCACTTGAGCCCAGGAGGTCGAAGCTGCAGTGAGCTGTGTTCACACCACTGCACTCCAGCCTGGGGAACAGAGCAAGATCATGTCTCAAAAAAAACCCAAAACACAAAAAACAAAGATAATGTAATTCTCTTCTAACCAAATATCATCACACAATGTGCAAATTAATGGATCTCCCTCTCAAAGAGAAAAAAATTTAATGCACTGTGCTTACTGCCTAAGTAATAATACTGACCTTCTGATTAAGAATTTCACAATGTATTAAAATTTTCAAGATGTTTTTAAAACATAAAACTTGAGGACTTACCATTGGGGTTAAATAACCGGCAGCTTTTTAGAGAGGTTTCATAACCTACTACTAACTCTTCTATGATTGCCACCTAGAGTACAAACACACAAACACACTTTAATAGAAAAAACACACATTTACTATTCTTATGCAAAATGTGTTATTTTCTACTAAAACACTAAATAAACACTCCAACACACACACCCTCCTTTATTAAAAATATCTTAACCTCTAGATACAAATTTTAAAATACATCATACTTTTGCACAGGTGTACATTAAGATGTAATTTTATAAAAACTTATTGGTTACTCCTTTTCAGCTGAACCAGAAATCAGGAAGAGTTGGACAAAGACAGGCAATATTGTGGATGATTTATATCTTGATTCTTTTAACAAAGTTTGTATAAATGAACACCCACAGTAAACATTTGCATTTAAGAATTAAATGCTATGTGAAAAGAGAAATTCTCTAAGTAGATGACAGTATTCAACTTTCAATTTCACAATCCAGGGTAAAACATTAGTAAAACTCAAAGAATACTCTGAGAGTTTGTTAGGTCCAGGAGAATGAGTGGCCATCCAGGTTCTGGTTTCTCTTGAGTCTTGACTATACTACTCGCTCCTGGCTTCCTGAGAGATCTCTGAGCATTTTTTATTTACTACTTCTGTTCTTTGTTTAATCCATGTTTAAGGGATTTCTATTACTATTATGGCTTTATTGAATGACCTCAACCTAACTGACTCAACAGACTAATATCAGCTCTTTCCAAAACCTCAATAAATTGTGAGGACTAAAGATTGCAGCTAGGTTATTCTGGTGCACCCATGTTCCCTCCTACAAGCTGAGCTACAAGCCTACTAAGACTGTTTTGTTTTCTCAAACATCTTTGAATCAGTTGCATTTATTATTCTAATGGCAGAATTCAGTATTGTGTAAACTTAAGATGTGAGAATGAAAATGACTGTTCCATAAGTTGAATACCAAGGAAAGACTAAAAAGATAAATTAGGTATTTTTAACCAGTTTAGATCTAAATCAAAATATCTTAAGTAGAAGAAAATCATAAAAATATAGGATTCTATACATAAGACCACTTCATAAACATCAAAGTCTGACTCTTTCAAAACTGGAAACAAAAGATCCTACTTGGCCAGGCATGGTGGCTCACATCTGTAATCCCAGCACTTTGGGAGGCCAAGATGGGTGGATTGCCTGAGGTCAGGAGTTCAAGACCAGCCTGGCCAACATGGTCAAACCCCATCTCCACTGAAAATACAAAAATTAGCCTGGTATGGTGGCACGTGCCTGTAATCGCAGCTACTTGGGAGGCTGAGGCAGGAGAATCGCTTGAACCCGGGAGGCAGAGGTTGCAGTGAGCTGAGATCACGCCATTGCACTCCAGCCTGGGCGACAAGAGTGAAACTCCGTCTCAAAAAAAAAAAAAAAAAAAAAAGATATTTTATGGATGTGATTTATGCAAGAAAAAACAAGTGAAACAGCAATCAAAAAAGCCCATACGTTGGGTCTCCAACAAAAGACCGGCAAATAAATGCACATTATGTAATTCTGGTTAAAGTGTTTCATATGTCTCATTTGCTCCATCTTTGACTCTTCAATGTAACTGATTTTTTAGAATCCAAACAATATGCCTTGATGACACTGTACTTATAACCAAAATAATCTAAAAATTAAAATTAAAATACCCTTGGCCAGGCACGGTGGCTCACGCTTGTAATCCCAGCACTTTGGGAGGCCGAGGTGGGCGGATCATTTGAGGTCAGGAGTTCAAGACCAGCCTGGCCAACACGGTGAAACCCTGTCTCTATTAAAAATACAAAAATTAGCCAGGCATGGTAGTACGCGCCTGTAATCCCAGCTAGTTGGGAGGCTGAGGCACAAGAATTGCTTGAACCCAGGAGGCAGAGGTTGCAGTGAGCTGAGGTCATGCCACTACACTCCAGCTTGGGTGACAGAGCAAGACTCAGTCTCAAAAGAAAAAAAAATAATTAAAATAACCTCTAAAGAAGCATTCTGAATATTATTAACATGTAGCTGAAAGAGTAAGCTGACTTATTAGAACATCAAAAAAACTCTTCTGACAGAACTTTTTGTCTACCAAATTTAAAAAGGAGAAAGAAGACTAAGCTAAAACTTAAGTTAAAAAAAAAACAAAAAACAAGCACACTCTGGCTTCTGACCATGAACAAGATGAAAGAAAATGGTGAAGAAATTATTACCTTATCAACTTTTTATAACCTACAGTGACTCATTAAAAGTTTATAGCAGAAAGGAAACAGAAAACAAGCAATAAGTTACTGGGCTAAAGAAAAAAAAGAGGATGAAATGGAAAAAAGAGGAATCAGAAGCATTTAAACTGCAAACTGGGAAGACTGACATGAGATTCACAAAACACGTACTACTGTGCAGAGATAATCAAGAATCAATAATTCCAAATACCGAGCAAAGAAATGGTAGCCAAAAGAAAGTATCATATTTCACTTTACCTTTTCTTTGTCTTTGTATAATGATCTTAAAGTATTGAAGACTGGTGGGCAACCCTTGCTGAAATTCATCCTTAGGAACTTATCCAAACATTCTTTAAACTTCTCACCTTGGAAGAGAAAAATCCTTTTCGCTTATATTTATCAAGTATTTACTTACATTTACCAAAGTATTTAC
Organism: Homo sapiens; assembly: GCF_000001405.40. Classification (NCBI taxonomy): domain Eukaryota; kingdom Metazoa; phylum Chordata; class Mammalia; order Primates; family Hominidae; genus Homo; species Homo sapiens. The sequence continues at coordinate 139,351,436 of NC_000004.12, read as the reverse complement.
TTACATTTACCAACTTACATTTAGCAGAGTTGTTAGACAACTCTAACAATGTATAGCTTAAACTTAATATGCATACTCATACTTAAAACCAAGAAAAGAAACTTTAAATCATAAAAGCATTTCTATTCCTTTGCAATTATTCTCACTTACCAGATAAAAAGTTTAACGGCAGCCTTCTTGGCACCAGTCCCCTGGGATATTTAGTCCAGGCTTCCTCATAAATTTTTAGCCGTTCTAACATATTAGCTGCAAACAAAGAAAAATTCTTTGTTATATATAATCATAAATTGTATATTTTTTCTGGAAAATTACGAACTTCTCAAAGTATATTAAAATTCTAATATTTAAAAGAAAATTGGAATTATTTGTAATCTTACATCTACTATTTCAACAATTATTTTAGACTATTTCTTTTCAATTTTTTTTATCTTAAGTACATAATTATCTTTATCCTGTTCTGCTTTAGGTAGGCTTTTAAAACCTGAGAACTTCTTTAGTTCTGAAAAAGCCTTGGTTATCATGTTTCCATATATTGCTTCTCCTACTATTCTCCTTAGCTTCTCCCCTCTAACTCCTCTCCTCTGATTTTGGCCATGGCCTCTCTTCCATTCAATTAAAATTTTTATTTTAGTAAGTAGGTTTTTCATTTCAGATTCCTAATTGGTACTTCTCCTAACTATTCATGTTTCATGGCAGCAATTACGTCTATCTTAGATTCCTCCATCATCTCTACTCTTCCTTTTGCAGACAGTGGTGATTACCATTCCTTGCTGGTGTTCCTAAATCAGTCTGAGAATCTTTGTTACAAAGTAATCTGCAAGAAGGTTTCTCTTGTATATTTCAATGGCTCACAACTAGCCTTGAAGGAAACAAATCAGATCACCTCTGCTGAGGATCCTGCCTATTTGTTTCTGGGCCTGTTCCCACAAGTGGACCCCACTTATGGGAGAGGATGACTGGGGGACCACGTCTGAATCCAAGTTTGAGTGACAGAAATTTAACCCCTCTTCCCACAAAGGAACAGTGATGCTCATTCAGCCTGGCTACATTTACGTGACCCTGGCAAGTCACTTCGATGCAGCCACAGCTTACCACAGAGCTTATTCTTGCTTTTAAGAATATATCTCCGTTTCTGTCAGTGGAAATTTCCTTTTATTTAAGAGGCAGTGTCTCACCATGTTGCCCATGCTGAGCTCAAACTCCTGGGCTCAAGCAATCCTCCCGCCCCAGCCTCCCAAAGTGCTGGGATCACAAGTGTGAGCCCCTACACCTGGCTTCCTTTCATGTTTTTGATGCTACTATGCATTTGTGAATTTTTTTCTAAAGTTGTCTCTAAAATTATTTTCTCAACCATTCTATAAATCTATAAAAGAGAGGTTTCAGAACATGCTCAATCTGTCATATTAAATAGAAGTTTGCAAATGTACTTTTGTATTCAGATTTTTTTTTTTGAGACACAGTCTCGCTCTGTTGCCCAGGGTGGAATGCAGTGGCACTATGCTGGCTCACTGCAACCTCTGCCTCCTGGGTTCAAGCAATTCTCGTGCCTCAGCCTCCGGAGTAGCTGAGACTACAAGGCACACATCACCATGCCAGGCTAATTTTTTGTATTTTAGTAGAGACAGGGTTTCACCATGTTGTCCAGGCTGGTCTCGAACTCCTGAGCTCAGGCAATCCATCCACCTCGGCCTCCCAAAGTGCTGGGATTACAGGCACGAGCCACTGCGCTTGGCCTGTATTCAGATTTCGAACCAATTCTTAACCACTATTATTCTAGTTGTGCTTTTCAATGAGTAAATAAAATATATATTAACAAAAGAAACAATAAAACTTAGTAAGTTTTAAACAATACTACCTGGCTTGAGTGCTTTTTCCAAGCCTTTGTAATAGGCCCAGTTTTCAGGATTTCTCTCTTGCAATCCTCTATAAACATCTGCAGCATCTTCCAAACGACATAGTTGCAACAGAAGTTCCCCTGATTAAAAACAGAAAAAAAAAAAATTTTAATATCTGAGAAAACCTTCCAATTAGAATTTTAACTTTTCCTCAAAATTTCTCTTAAAATCTCATTATAAATCAGTGCTGCTAAGTGGATGGACCTGGTTCCAGTTCCCTTAAGATCATTTACCAAGTTATGTTATGGTCTCCTTCCTTTTTTGAAGTTCACATTATTTAGAAATGCCATCCTCTTCACATCCTCAATTTATTCAGAAAATCTGTCCAATGCCCGGCCAGATTCTCACATTCACTCAACACACTGTCACCAAGCCATCTTCTACTCCTCAATTATTCCTGATATCATATGGAACAACTTCAGCATCAAAATTAATGACTCAATTCAATATCCTAACCTTATGATCCCTTAATCAGCTACAAAACAATTCTGCCATAGCAGCCCTTAATCTGGCTACATTAAAAACTATCTAGACTTTACCTTTTAATGTCTTCCAAGAAGCAATTAAGCATCCTATTTTAAGCTTAACTGTCTTTTCTTTCTGTCTCACTAATCCTACTATTCAACTTCAGAGAAAAAACTATCAACCTATCAGCAACTTGTCGACTCACTGTTGCCTTCCCTGGACTGCATGACCAATCACATCATCCCTGAATGATATTAGCAGCCCCAATTATCAAAAATCAATCTTAAAACCTAGGCTCTTTTGTTTACTAATTTTAAAGCCCAGATCATCCCAACTGTTTATTTGCTCCACATTTTCTTATGGAAGGAAACAAGCCAGATGAAGAGAGAGAGACAGTGGTTTCACTATTATATATGAGCTCCAAAGCCATATAAGCTTCAAATATTCAGGATTCCTTTTCTCTATCCTTAATGTGCTTCCCTTCATCCAAGGTATTATTTTTAAGCCACTACTTCACCCTTGCATCCTTCACTCTCTGTTATATCTTTCGCTCTCATTTGATAATAAAAATGAACACTTACTGAGTACTTACCATGTGCCAGTGACTTTTTTTTTTTTTTTTTTGTGATACAGTCTTGCTCTGTCACCCCAGCTGGAGTGCAGTGGTGCGATCGATCATGGCTCACTGCAGCCTCGACCTCCTAAAGCGATCCTACCACCTCAGCCTCCCTAGTAGCTGGAACTACAGGCATGTGCCACCATGCCTGGATAATTTTTGTATGTTTTGTAGAGATGGGTTTTCGCCATTTTGCCCAGGCTGGTCTTGAGCTCCTAGACTCAAGTGATCCACCCACCTTGGCCTCCCAAAGTGCTGGGATTATAGTCGTGAGTCACCGTGCCCGGCCACCAGTGACTTTTAAACGCTTCACATGCGTTAACTAATTCAATTCTCAGAACTCTATGAGATAGATTACTATTACTTTCATCACTTTAAAACTGAGAGGACTTAAGTAAACTTTCTTTTTTTTTTTTTTTTTTGAGACGGAGTCTCGCTCTGTCGCCCAGGCCGGACTGCGGACTGCAGTGGCGCAATCTCGGCTCACTGCAAGCTCCGCTTCCCGGGTTCACGCCATTCTCCTGCCTCAGCCTCCCGAGTAGCTGGGACTACAGGCGCCCGCCACCGCGCCCGGCTAATTTTTTGTATTTTTAGTAGAGACGGGGTTTCGCCTTGTTAGCCAGGATGGTCTCGATCTCCTGACCTCATGATCCACCCGCCTCGGCCTCCCAAAGTGCTGGGATTACAGGCGTGAGCCACCGCGCCCGGCCGACTTAAGTAAACTTTCTAAGAGTCTTGCAGATAGTGATGGAGTTAGGATTTGAATCCAAGCAATTTATCTGAAAGAGCACATATTCATTCATTCATTCTTTCTTTTTGAAGACAGGATCTCATTCTGTCACCCAGGCTGGAATGCAGTGGTGCAATCCTGGCTCACTGCAGCCTCAACCACTTGGGCGTAAGCAATCCTTCCACCTACGGCAGCCTCCTGAATAGCTGGGACTACAGATGTAAGCCAACACACCCAGCTAATTTTTTTATTTTTATTTTTTGTAGAGATGGGGTTTCCTTATGTTGCCCAGGCTGGTCTCGAACTCCTAGGCTCAAGTGATCCTCTGGTCTCAGCCTCCCAAAGTGCTGGGATTACAGACATGAGCCACCATGCCTTACAAGCCCATATTCTTAGTATCTGTACCAGCGGTTCTCAACCAGGGGCAGTTTTACCAACATTTAGCAATGTCTGAAGACATTTTGCTTGTCTCAGTAAGGGTGTTGAGTACTACTGGCATCTAAATAAGCTAGGAGCGCTACTAAACATCCTACAATGCACAGAAGAGATCTCCACCCTCAACAACTCAGGCCCAAAATGTCAACAGCGCCAAGGTTAACAAAGCCTGCACTATACTAACCAAAAGCCAACTTCATCAAAAACACTAAAAATAACCCATAGCTGAGTACGATGGTTCGCACCTGTAGTGGGAGGCTGGGGGTGGGGTTTGGGGGGAGGATCATTTGAGCCTTGTTCAAGTCCAGACTAGGCAACACAGCAAGACCTCACCTCTAAAATAAAAAATAAAAATAACCTGCACCTTTACTCCCCTCTACACTATACCCATCCTCGTTTCCTTCCCTCTATCTTCTACCTTTTCTGAGCAGAAGGAACTGGTGGTATAAGAATAAACAATAAAAAATTTTGCCTAGGCTGGGTGCGGTGGCTCACGCCTATAATCCCAGCACTTTGGGGGTCAGAAGATCAAGACCAGCCTGACCAATATGGAGAAAGCCTATGTCTACTGAAAATACAAAATTAGCCAGGCATGGTGGCACATGCCTATAATCCCACTACTCGGGAGGCTGAGGCAGAATCGCTTGAACCCGGGAGGTGGAGGTTGCGGCGAGCCAAGATCGCGCCACTGCACTCCAGCCTGAGAAACAAGAGTGAAACTCCATCTCAAAAAAAAAAAAATTTTTTTTTTGCCTAACTGTGCCCATTGATCCACTCTAAGAAGTTCCTGAGTGATCTTGACCATCTTATCTTCTCCCACCAACTATCCCTACCAGCAACACTGCCTTGAATTTCTAAAGATTGCTAGAATTTCCAAAGATTGATTCTACCCTCACTTCCCTTCTATTCTCTTTATACACCCTGTCCCATTACCTAACTCAAAGTAGGTATTCAATACATATTTTGTGGAATGAGCTGATAGCCTTATTTCTTATTTCATGTAGAAAACGGAAGCAATTAGAGGAAACTCCAAAATATGCATTACATCTACACATTTACTTGCCCGCCACTTACACACCACCACTACTTGTTGATGTGAACTATTCATGTTCTTACCTAAATTAATCCTTCACATGACATCAATCTACCACATGACATTCTCTCTACTGTATCAAATATTCTATCTCTATTGGATCACTCCCCAGTCAGCACAAATACACGCTATGAAAAACAAACAAACAAACAAAAACTTTTTGAGCCTGCATCCCATTTCACCTACCGGCACCCCATTTGTTTCATTTACAGCAAAACTCCTCAACTGAGTCATGTGTGCTTCTTATCTTCAGTTCCTCTACTCCCACTCCCTTTTTTTTTTGATACGGAGTCTTGCTCTGTTGCCCAGCCTGGAGTGCAGTGGCACAATCTCAGCTCACTGCAAGCTCCGCCTCCCAGGTTCACGCCGTTCTCCTGCCTCAGCCTCCCGAGTAGCTGGGACTACAGGCGCCTGCCACCACGCCTGGCTAATTTTTCTGTATTTTTAGTAGAGACGAGGTTTCACCAGATTAGCCAGGATGGTCTCGATCTCCTGACCTCGTGATCCACCTGCCTCGGCCTCCCAAAGTGCTGGGATTACAGGGTTGAGCCACCGCGCCCGGCCTCAGTCTCTTTTAAATAGACTTGATGTTTGGGCTTTTACCATCCTTCTTCCAGAAGCTCAGAAAGTGCTTTTGTTAAGGTCACCAATGACTTCTAAATTGCTAAAAATCCACTGGTCAGCTCTGAGTCCTTTATCTAACTTTACCTATCTGCCATTCTTCCTCATTAATGAAGTTATCAAAGGGATCAAATGAAATAATTTGTCATTTATTTCCATAAAGAAACTTGAGGCCCAAGCCTTGACTCTGTTCACAGAGCTATTTAGTGGCCAATGAGACAAGTTTTTTCCAGACTTGCCATCTTTCCAGCAAGTCAGAAATTTCCTTCCTTTGTGATTAACAGACTACTAAAGAATGACTACTTCAAATGAAAGAAGGTTGTCTTGGATCTGCAGTTCACAAGAGAGCTCCCTCCAGAAGTCTTAGAATTCCAGTTTTTCTTATCAGTACCATTATCCTCCGACAAAAGTTTATCTGGCAAACAATGGCTATACCTATTATGCACATGGATGTATATTATACTTTTTGTGTTCAACCTCAAGGTGAGCCAAGGGAATGTGAAACCAGCAAACTTCAGTTCCCTAGACTAGCAAGGACAAAGCAGCATTTCAGAAGGTAATTTTTTAAAAAATCACTTGTCCTTTCATTACTTGTTATTCTTCTTTTATTTTCTATAATCACGCCCTCAACTTCTAAAACTGTTAAGACTCATTTTTCTCAGCCCTCTGCTGAGTGGGATCTACCCCTCCTATCACAATCTACATATTATGAACCCAAATCTCTGGTCTCCCTTTCTTCCAGAACTCATATTCTTTCTGTGTCATCGAAGACATTCAGATTAACCATAAAGACTCTCAGAAATATCCTATATGTATTTTAGTAAAGACTGATTCATCAATATATATTATTAGCAATAAATCTGGCACATACTACATACACTATAGTTTATTAATAAACTGTTTCTAAGAAATGTCATCCTCTGTCTTATAAAACTAATTGTCTCTTGTGTTTTGATCAAATTCCATAATATTTTTAATACAAAGATACTTTATTTAAAGAATGTTATGAGTCATTTCATTCAACTACTTTTCATTGTTCACAATCAACTTTCTCCTCTATCTACAATATTGTTTAAATGTACATTTTCCCACATCATAAACTATTAAAAGTACACGAGTAAGAAATAGATTTCCTATCATCAAAAAGCTGAATTATATGAAACTGTCAGCAGCAACTAGATTTTTCAGCCTTGCTCTGTCATATTTCAATATTAGAATAAATGACAATTCTTTTAAAAATACCTTTGGTTTCTTCTACAGCAAGTTTATCACAAATCTGCTTTTCATAGGTACAAAGATGTTCCAAAGCTTCTCTATAGAGACCTGCTTCCCGAAGAACTTGATTCTGATATAAGAGTAGTTCACTATATTCATAATCCACCTTGTCAGGGGATGTCTGTATATGGATATAAGGAATACTGACAGTAAGAATTTTATTTTCATATCAGAAAATTGTTCACAATACTCAAAAACATGTAAGAAGTCAAAGGATAACATCCGGTTGATAAAACTAATTTTTAAAAAATTCTTAAGTATCTACAGAGCAACTGAGTAAATAATGACAATATTAGGATATAACAGGTTGAATAAAATAATAATCCATAAGTCCTTACACACAATAAATATGGGGAAGAAGGGAAAGCTCTTACTCAGGAGTAGAATGCCAAATAATAAACCTACAAGGAATGACTAGAGTTAAGAGAATCACCATTTTGCGACTATCATAGTAATACTGATTCAGGCAAGAATCATAATCAATGAATGCTAAAACTAGATGGTGAAAGTTTGATGAGCAATAGGCTATTCAGTCTCAAACTGCATATTAAACACAAAGAGAGAAAAATACGTTTACAACTGCAAATACAACTTTCACCATGTAATCAAATGGAACGAACTGATGGCATGTGCCTCTTGATGTAATGAACGCAGAAGGACCCAATATCATTTATATGGTTTCCTGCCAAAATTATAAAACTCTATCTAAGAATGAGGAACCATCAGAAAAATCCAAATTGAGGGACATCCTACAAAAGCACAGCCTTCTTCAGAAATGTCTATGTCATAAAATACAAAGGAAGTTTTCAAAACTGTTTCAGATTAAAAGAGGCTGAAGAGAAATGATAACTAAATGTAAGGTATGATTCTTAATTGGATCCTGCAATGAAATCAAATTGCTAGAAAGGCTATAACTAGGACAATTAGTAAATTCTGAATATGGGCTGGGGATTAATTAGATAACAGTCTATCAGTGTTAAATTTCCTAATTTTTATAATCTATCCCTATAATACTATCTAGAGAACTGAAAACTATACAGTTATTTTTAGAAAATACACACTAAAGCATTTAGGGGTAAAGGAGCATGATGTCTTGCAATTACTCTCAAACATTTAAGGAAGAAAATTAAAATAGATAAATAGATACACAAATTTTAAAGTAAATGCACCAAATATTAACAATTAGTTTAGTATGAATGAACCCCTATGTAGAGTTCTTTGTGCTATTCCTGCAACTTTTCTATAAGTTTGAAACTATTTCAAAATTAAAAGTAAGCCAGACTATGCACATTATTTTTTTAGTTATACTTAGGATCAGACTTAGTAAAATGGCTTCTAGTTATTACCTGTTGTGTTTTCCTAAATTCTTCTAAAATCTTTGCTGCCATTTCATAATCTTCTAATAAATGGTAAGCAATAGCATAACCAATCCATGATGCTCTCTGCGCAGGTCGAAGCTGAAGTAACTGATACCTCGTTTCCTTTAAAAGGAAAAAAATAAACACTTTTTCTTAGGCTTTTAGTAACAGCAAGTGCTCCTTTAAAAGATCTCCATATTAGGCCAGGCGCAGTGGCTCACGCCTGTAATCCCAGCACTTTGGGAGGCTAAGGCGGGTGGATCACGAGGTCAAGAGATCGAGACCATCCTGGCCAACATGGTGAAACCCCGTCTCTATCAAAAATACAAAAATTAACTGGGCATGGTGGTGCACGCCTGTGGTCCCAGCTACTCAGGAGGCTGAGGCGGGAGAATCACTTGAACCCGGGAGGCAGAGGTTGCAGCCTGGCAACAGAGCAAGACGCCGTCTCAAAAAAAAAAAAAAAAAACACACATTAATTTATCCCACAACCCCAAGCATTTTACAACACAATGATGGGAACAATAATAGAAAATACTTCAAACATCCATATTGTGTAGCTTTATGGAGGCAAAGAAATATTTGTTAAGAACATAATGAAGCCTCCAAGCTAATCTTAGAATTTTTTTAAAACTTAAGACCAGATTTAAGTTTTTAAAACTTAAGACCAAACTTAAGACCCTTCTTTATTTCTTGATCTGCTCAGTCCCAGAAAAGAGGCAGGATGGAAAGAACAGCACAAAGGAAAAATATTCAAAAATGTTTTTAAAAATTAAGTGTCCAACTACAGAGTTAACATACATAAAGAGGAAAGAATATGAAAGAGGAACTAAATAGATCTAACACTAATTTAAGGGTTAAAATCGAAGCTACAAAAATATATTAGAGTCAGTGGAGGTAGAAAGAAGAAACAAAACATTTGTTTTTGCCAGGTGCAGCAGCTCATGCCCGTAATCCTAGCACTTTGGGAGAATAAGGTGGGGTGGACTGCCTGAGCTCAGGAGTTCAAGACCAGCCTGAGCAACATGGTGAAACCTCATCTCTATTAGAATATAAAAAATGAGCTGGGCATGGTGGCACATGTCTGTAGCCCCAGCTACTCAGGAGGCTGAGGCATGAGAACTGCTTGAACCCAGGAGGTGGAAGCTGCAGTGAGCCAAGATCATGCCACTGCACTCCAGCCTGGGCAACAGAGTGAGACTCTAATGTCTCCAAGAAAAAAAAAATTTTTTTTTTGTTTTGCTTTCCAGAAAAATGTGGGAAGTAAATGTTAGAGTTACATGTCAATACTAGACAAAGGCATTGTTTATTTGAGGAGTACTGATTTTCTTTTTTTTTTTTTTTTTTTTTTTTTTGAGACAGAGTTTCGCTCTGTTACCCAGGCCGGAGTGCAGTGGCGTGATCTTGGCTCACTGCAAGCTCCACCTCCCGGGTTCAGGCCATTCTCCTGCCTCAGCCTCCTGAGTAGCTAGACTACAGGCACCTGCCACCACGCCTAGCTAATTTTTTGTATTTTTAGTAGAGATGGGGTTTCACTGTGTTAGGCAGGATGGTCTCGATCTCCTGACCTCATGATTCACCCACCTGGGCCTCCCAAAGTGCTGGGACTACAGGCGTGAGCCACCGCACCTGGCCTGATGTTAATTTTTATCAAATTAAGTCAACCCTACACAGTAGGCCAAATCTGCCTCACCATAAAATAATTTATTTTTAAAGATCTGATTATTCCAATCATAAACATAACCACTGTGGTAGGAGGAAAAAAAAATTCAATTAAATTATTTTCAAAATGAAATAAAAAATTTATGTATCTGAAAGTACTCAAAGTTGTACATATTTTCCCCTTAGAATTAAAAAAAAAAGTCTCTATTTTACTTACCCTGTAACCCTCAAGATCTCGCATTTGAATCTGTAGTAAGGAAAGGTCCCTTAAGATTTGAAGATTGTCTTTATCCCATTTTAGTGCATTTCTGTAACACTTAATGGCTTCATCATACTTCTTGTCTGACCTCTGAAGAAGGCCATAAACGTGCCAACCTAAAGAATTTAGTTAAGGGTACAACCTACAAGTCAAAAATTACTATTCCAAACGACCTCCCAAAAAACTTGGAGAACCACAGCCATTTATAAAACTACAAGCTTAAAAAGAAGGGGAAGGGGAGGGGGAGATTGATTTCAAAGATATAAAGCAGTTTAATACAGTGGAAAAGAGCACAGCTTTTGCAGCCAGAGAAAATTAGGTCTTGCCTACCTTATCAGCTCTGTAACCTTGGACAAATCAGTCTCATTAAGTTTCCTCATTACTAAAATGTAAACAAATAGTCTATGCAGCAAATCATACTACTGACAACTAAATGGGATAACATATATAAAGTGCTCACTGGCTGGCACAAAGTCAATATATATATATGTAAACAGTTACTATATTATTAATAGTAAAAGGAAAAAGAAGGAATGGGTCTTCATGGAATCCAGTTATGTAAAGTCATGAAGATTTTATTTTCTTGAACTAACAAGATTCTTAGGACAACCCTTAGTGTAATACAAAGTTTCTAAAACTCAGCCACATATAAAATAAAAACATTCATTCATTTAACCGTAATTATTAAAACTTCTTTCCCTTTTTTTGAGACAGGTATTGCTCTGTCACCCAGTCTGGAGTGTCGTGGTGTGGTCTTTGCTCACTGCAACCTCCACTCCCTGCACTCAAGTGATACTCCCACCTCAGCCTCCTGAGTAGCTGCGACTACAGGCACACACCAGCATGCCAGCTATTTTTTTCTATTTTTGGTAGAGATGGGATCTCGCCATGTTGCCCAAGATGGTCTCAAACTCCTGAGCCCAAGCAATACACCTGCCTTGGCCTCCCAAAGTGCGGGGATTACAGGCATAAGCTCCCAAACCCAGCCTAAAACTTCTTAATAACTAAGACGTAGGTCATCAAAATAGCCTCCTATATTAAAAGATCTTAAAGTCTAGTAAAGGACAGATAAATAAGCAAAATTAAAGTAGGTTGTAAAAACTGCTATCAAGGAGGAGAATATTCCACTTCCCAAATACAGCCCTTTTTCACTTTAGATCTTGATTACTGTACCAGCTACCCAACCCACCTATCTTCAGTCTGTCTTCTTTTATTCTCCTACCAAAGTAATTGGGTTTTGTTGTTTTTTGTTGTTGTTGTTGTTGTTTGTTTGTTTTTGAGATGGAGTCTCGCTCTGTCACCAGGCTAGAGTGCAGTGGCATGATCTCAGCTCACTGCAACCTCTGCCTCCCAGGTTCAAGCAACTCTCCTGCCTCAGCCTCCCAAGTAGCTGGGATTACAAGCGTCTGCCACCACGCCCAGCTATAATTTTTGTATTTTTAGTAGAGACAGGGTTTCACCATGTTGGCCAGGATGGTCTTGATCTCCTGATCTCGTGATCCGCCCGCCTCCTAATTATTGCGTTTTTTAAAAGAGATGGTCTCGCTCTATCACCTAGGCTGGAGTGCAGTGGCACACTCATAGCTCACTGTAGCCTCAAACTCCTGGGCTCAAACAATCCTTCTACCCCAGCCTCCAGAGCAGCTAGGACCACAGGCACATGCCACCACCACATGCAGTTAATTTTTTATTTTCCATAGAGACGAGGTCTCACTATGATGCCCAGGCTAGTCTTGAACTCCTAGCCTCAAGTGATCGCTGCCTCAGCCTCCCAAAGTGCTGGGATTATGGGCATGAGTCACTGTGGCTGGCCCAAAATAATCTTTTTAAAACACACTCAAAAGAAAAACGGAAGTCCACTTCCCTTTCCAGAAACTTATAACGTTTCTTTCTGAGATCAAGCTCAAACTTCAATCTGGCCAGGTACAGTGGCTCACACCTGTAATCCCAGCACTTTGGGAGGCAGTGGTAGGTGGATCACTTCAAGTCACGAGTTCGAGACCAGCCTGGCCAACACTGCAAAATCTCGTCTATACTAAAAATACAAAAAACACCCAGGTATGGTGGCATGCACCTGTATTCCCAGCTACTCGGGAGGCTGAGACAGGAGTATTACCTGAACCCAGGAGGTAGAGGTTGCAGTGAGCCAAGATCACACCACTGCACTCTAGCCTGGGTGACAGAGTGAAACTCCATCTCAAAAACAAACAAACAACAACCTTCAATCTAACAACTTTTAGGCCAGAGGTCCTCAACAGAGTCAATAAAATACAGAATGTTGGCCAGGCATGGTGGCTCACACCTGTAATCCCAGCACTTTCGAAGGCCAAGATGGGTGGATGGCTTGAGGTCAGGAGTTTGACACCAGCCTGGCCAACATGATGAAACCCTGTCTCTACTAAAAATACAAAAATTAGCCAGGCTTGGTGCTGTGCACCTGTAATGCCAGCTACTTGGGAGGCTGAGGCAGGAGAATCACTTGAAGCAGGGAGGCAGAGGTTGCAGTGAGCTGAGATCGTGCCATTGCACTCCAGCCTGGGCGACAAGATCAAAACTCCATCTAAAAAAAAGCACAAACAAACAAAAAAAAACCCCAGAATGTTTAGGATGGCATGCATGAACTAAAAACACATATTTAATATTACACATTTTTAAAGCAAGTCAAAATATTACAAATTTTATTTGAAAAATAATCTTGATTTCCGTAATACAAATGACAAAGTGCAACTGGATCAAATCCTCTCAGCCGTTTGGATCATGGTTTTATAAACTAGGAAACACTACCCATTAAAATCTAGCTCCCATTACCTATCTTTCCACTCCCTCCCATTTCTATCACTAATATCCTGTATTTCAGGACTTTACCTCTCTTAAATATTGCAACAGCCACACAACTGACTCTCATCTTCATCTCCTAAAAATCCCACCCTCAAAGAGTTTAACATTGCCAAATATTTAAAGAAAATTATGTCCATCAAGAGGAACTCAAATAAATCATAATAAAACATTGGCAGAACACTATACAATCATTAAAAATGATGGAAAGACATCTATCTATGACAGTCTTAATAGTTAAGCCTTTGCTTGTCTTTCTAGTCCTCTAGTCACTCTCAATTCACATACTTCTGCTTTACTGGATTAGTGACAATTACTTGAATAAACCATAACATCTTATGTAATACTCCTAAATGTTCTGTAAATGTTTCTAATCAGTATCTTCCTTCACCAGACTGTAAGTTCTTTGAGAGCAAAATCTGTTATCTTTTCTTTGTCTGTACTAAGCCAAGGGCCTGGTAAACATCTGAAAAATTGCTAATTGTTTCAGCACTTAAAATTGTGTCAGCCCACAAAGTTGGTATAGAAATATTTGCTAAAGTCTATCTTAAAAATAGCAACCCACAATTTTTTCTCTATCCTCCCTCAGACATTTCTATTTGCTCTTACTCTTCCTTAATAAACTATTTATCCAATATGGTACTTAGCATTATCAGGGGCTATGTTATATATCTCATCATTAAGTCTTTAAACCAACACAGTGAGGTGGGTATGATTATCCCCATTTTACACATGAAGAAACTGAGCTCTAAGATCACACAGAAAGAAGCTGAAATGGGTTTTGAACCTAAGTGAGGCACACTCTAAGCCTATACTCCAAAAGCTTGTGCTCTAAACCAGGGTATTATAATGCCGCTCTAATATTCCTTATTTTATATCCTTTTTCTTTTTGAGACCCACCACCTACCACTATCACATTGGTGATTAGTTTTCAACAAATGGGGTAGCGGAGTGCCACACAAATATTCAGACCCTAGCAATGCCCCCTTTTTAAGAGTGAGAAAAGCTTTCACAGATATTTTTAAAGGCAAGTTCCATTTATCTGTGAAATAAGAGAATGTTAAAACATGGTTAGGTATATAAAAATGTTCCCTGAATGAAGGCAGTTGCTGTTACCCTATTTAAAAAATAATTTCCTCTGTAATAGCACAATAAGAGAGATCTAAAACTTTGACTCTCAAATTGCTGCCTTAGCTCAAAACACCCCACTCAAACCTTAAATATATCTCAAAAAGGATACACACATGACTCTTCAAGTCATTTCTCAAACCTCTACGAACCAATTCATAAGCTTCTTCCTTTTTCCCCAAACAGTTCAATGTTAATCCTTTCATAGCCAAGGTTTCTATTTTCAAAAACAAAGAAGAAAAGGAACATTTTAAAAAAATAAATATTAAAAATAAATAACAACAGAACCATAATCTCAAAAACAAATGCTACACTGCCTTAAGAATTAAAAATGTCAAGGAGATTACTAAGATACTTTCCACTTTCTTGCAGATTTAAAACATTTTTAAAATTGGCAATCCAAGTAAACACAGATTTCCAGACTCTATTATTGGAAAGAGACTCTCCTTTTTTTTAAGATAAAAGATACAAAATGCATGCTATTTGACTAGAAAGATAATCTAGTAATTCATTCTTCAGGGGAATTCCATGGGATAACCTTACATATCTACTTCATTAAAATATAAAAACTTTATCTTGAAAATATACTTTATTTCTGTGAACCTAGGTTATATACGGGTTAAACTCATCAGTGATTTAAAAAATACACATAAATTTCCTACATTTTTTATTTTCCTAAATTTATTTTAAAATGATTATTTGAGATTACTATTAAATATACAAGAAAAAGATGTCAGAAATCTATCATTGGCAACCAAAAGATTAAAAGAGAGTTAAAAGAAATATTAAGTTTTCAGAAGAGGAAAACTAAACTCTAATTTTATATGTATCCTATGAAGCCTAAAGGAAGTGAAAACATTATTTGCCTAACTTTTTAATTTATTTGATTGATTTCTCTTTTAGACTAAAATTTAGACTTTAGAGAGAAATTAATTAGGCACAAAAGATAAGGATTAAAGATATAATCCTGAGGAAGAATCAACATGTACCGTTTAAAAATACTTTTGGCCAGGCACAGTGCCTCACACCTGTAATCTCAAGACTTCAGGAGGCCAAGGTGGGCAGATCACTTGAGGTCAGGAGTTCCAGATCAGCCTGGCCAACATGGTGAACCCCCGTCTCTACTAAAAATACAAAAATAGCCAGGTGTGGTGGGGGGCACCTGTAATGCCAGCTAGTTGGGAGGCTGAGGCACAAGAATTGCTTGAACCCAGGAGGCAGAGGTTGCAGTGAGCCAAAATTGCCCCATTGCACTCCAGCCTGGGCAACAGAGTGAGACTCCGTCTCAAAAAAAAAAAAAACTTTCAATGAAATTATGACAATTTATATGCAACCTGAATTCAGGTATGTTACAGTGGCAGGGCAGGGAGTTGGAGAATCACATTTTAGAAACAGTGAAATAGGCTGGGCGCAGTGGCTCACTGTAATTCCAGCACTTTGGGAGGCCGAGGTGGGTGGATCACCTGAGGTCAGGAGTTTGAGACCAGCCTGGCCAACATGGTGAGACCTCATCTCTACTAAAAATACAAAAATTAGCCTGGCATGGTGGCACACGCCTGTAATCCCAGCTACTTGGGAGGCTGAGGTAGGGGAGTCGCTTGAACCCAGGAGGTGGAAGCTGTAGTGAGCTGAGATTGCGCCACTGCACTCCAGCCTGGACAACACAATGAAACTCTATCTCAAAAAACAAGAAGAAAAAACAGTGAAATGATGTAGGGAAAACTGCATTTCAGAAATAATGAAATCTGATACTTTTCTGTATTGAACACATTATGAGTATGCCTACTTTAGAAATGAATATCAAACAACATAAAGCTCAGCTGGTCAGCAAAAATAATTTTTAATATGGAAAAAGAGAGATAAATTTATTTCTATTTACTTGTTTTTTTAAATATATGTTTTGTCATAATAAAGACAAGGTCCCGCTATGTTGCCCAGGCTGATCTTGAATTTCTGGCCTCAAGCAATCCTCCTGCCTCAGTCTCCCAAAGGGTTGGGATCATTAGGAGTGAGCCCCAGCACCCAGCAGAGAGATAAATTTAAATACTTTTATCTCCATTGTTTTCCATCTCCAAACAATTACAGTAAAAGAAAGTATAAAGTGAAACACAGTGAAAGAAAGTGAGATTATAAAGATAGGCCAAAAAAAAGGCAAGGAATCTAATGGAGAATTACTACTCTCCCCCTTCTCTTCAATACTAAGAGTGCATTATCAATAGTTACTGAACAGCCACGTTTCTTAACTGTACAAATCAGACCTGCCAAAACTTATTTTTCCTTTGCCTCCTCTCAAGTTTAGCCACACACTCTCCCCTTGCTCTACAAATATCTCACCATCCAATAATCTACCTTCACACAAGCAAAAGCCTATAAACTTTCAGAACATTACAATATACAAATCATGTCTTAAACATGACTTGGTCTTGAGAAACTGAAAAACATAAATAAAAAATATGATAGTTTATGAGCAAAGGACCAAATGGTCACTTTCTGAATAAGATTATAAAGCATACAATTTATACAGCTCAACCAAAGTTCTAAAGTAAATTTTAGCATTCTATCCTATTATTTCTCTTTTCCTACAGAGGTAATATTCAAACTAAGAATAAATCAGAACTCAAGTAAAATGTGTTATCATTTTCTTGATATTAAATTCAAAATTCAGTATTAAATTTCACTTTCTCACAGAAGTCAAAGATGAGAGGGTCTGTTCTCTCTGGAAAACAGTTAAGGCAGCTGGGAAGAATACAATCCAGTAAGAGAGGCCAGACAGGTATGTAGTAAAGCTTTATCTACTTGCACTTACCTCCATGCTCTGCAAATTTGGGATTAGAAAGTATTTGTTTACAGAATTTCAATCCATTTCTATACTGTTTATGTTCATAACACCTCTGTCAAAACAAAAAAGAAAAATTTAAGTTTAGCAAGGAATACAAACAACTTTAAATTCAACGCTAAATTTCTCTACTCTGTTAAATACAACAGAATGCTATTTCCATATGCTTCTAAATCTCGGTAAAATGCCAATAAAAAATACAAAAGGTTCAAATACAGGAAGTAAAAGACAAAGGAACAAAATATAGATTAGTAAAGTCCAACAACTGAGTGATGCAGAAAGAGAACAGAAAAATAAATGGTATAGAATTTCTTTTATTTATTTTTTTTTAAGACTGAGACTCACTCTGTCACCCAGGCAGGGCACAGTGGCGTGATGACAGCTCACAGCGACCATATCCACCTGGGCCCAAGGAATACTTCTATCTCAGCCTCCCAAGTAGCTGGGACTACAGGCACACGCCACCATACCTGGCTAATATTTTTATTTTTTGTAGAGACAGGGACTCACTATGTTGCCTAGGCTGGTCTCAGACTCCAAGATTCTCAAGCGATCTCAGGACTCACTCAAGCAATCCTCCCACCTCGGCCTCCCCAGGGGCTGGGATAACAGGCATGAGCCACTATGCCCAGCTAGTTTTCTAAAGAACATTTTCTTTTTACTGAAGAACGTTTTCTTTTTACTGAAGCTTTCAAGCTGAAAGGGCCAAAAAAAGTCCATGCAAAATACACGGAAAAAATACCCAGACTGTAACATATCATAGTGAAATCTCAAAGCCTGAAAATAAAAAAAAAAGGTCCTTAAAAACTTCCAGAGAGGGGAAAAAAACAAGTCACATAAAAAAGATCTATAATCAGAATAGCAATGCACTCTTATTTGAAAGTAAAAATGAAATACTGTTGAAATCTAGAAGACAAATATACGGCCTTCAAAAGTCAGAGTGAAAATTAAGTTTCAACTTATAATTCTGTACCAGCTGAGTCATCAATCAAGTACAGTCAGGCCCCATATCCATGGGTTCTACATGCGTAGATTCTGCTAACTACAGATAGAAAGTATTAGGAAAAAAAAAAACTGCATCTATACAAACTTACACTTTTCTCTTGTAATTAATGTCTAAGCAATACAGTATAACAACTATTTACACAGTATTTACATTGTATTAGGTATTATAAATAACCTAGAGATAATTTACAGTATACAAGAGGATGTGCATAGGTTATATGCAAATACTATGCCATTGTATATCAAGGACTTGAGCATCCCTGGATTTTGGTACCCAAGGGAGATCCTGGAACCAATCTCGCAAAATGTCATTTTGCTCCCATACATTAAGACTATATAAGAGGCCAGGCACGGTGGCTCATGCTTGTAATCCCAGCACTTTGGTAGGCCAAGGTGGGTGGATCATCTGAGGTCAGCAGTTCGAGACCAGCCTGGCCAACATGGTGAAACCCTGTCTCCACTAAAAATACAAAAATTAGCCAGGCCTGCTGGCGCCACCTGTAATCCCAGCTACTCAGGAGACTGAGGCAGGAGAATCATTTGAACCCAGCAGGCAGAGGTTGCAGTGAGCAGAGATCGCACCACCACACTCCAGCCTGGGCAACAGAGTGAGACTCCGTCTCAAAAAAAAAAAAAAAAAAAAAAAAAAAACATACAAACCAAAATACCAAGACTGTATAAGAGCAAAAAGACATTTTAAAGCTTTGCAAAAAGCTAAACTTTTGTGTCCATGTATTCTTCCTTAGGAAGCCATTAAAAGAAATTAGGATAAATTTTTTAAAAGGCACTATCGAGGGCCAGGCGTGGTGGCTCACATCTGTAATCCCAGCACTTTTGGAGGCCGAGGCGGGCAGATCACGAGGTCAGAAGTTCGAGACCAGCCAGGCCAACATGGTGAAACCCCGTTTCTACTAAAAATACAAAAATTAGCTGGGCATGGTGGCGGGCGCCTGTAATCCTAGCTGCTTGGGAAGCTGAGGCAGGAGAATCGTTTGAACCCGAGAGGCAGAGGTTGTAGTGAGCCGAGATTGCGCTACTGCACTCCAGCCTGGATGACAGTGTGAGACTGTATCTCAAAAACAAAAGCACTATAGGACTTAGTAAATAAGGAATATAATACAGAAAAAAGAACTAGAGAACAGCCACTCCAGAGTGGAGCAGAGTCAAAAGCTACTATGGAATAGGTTTCCAGCAAGAGCAAAAATCGAACTAGTGTGCTTGCTAACATGGAAAATGTTAATCATAAGCTCATGACAGAAATACAGGCACATTTGCAGGAAACGAGCAATAGGTCTACAGAAAACCAGTCAACTGCCTAAATAATAGGTATTAACTCCAGAAAAAACAAAAGCTTGTATAAGACTTGGATTTAGTACAAATTTGGCTCAATACTGAACAATATATGCATAGTTATAAAAATGTAAACATTCTGTACTAGTTTATAAAAAACCTGTGATATGGCCGGGCATGATAGCTCATGCTTGTAATCCCAGCACTTTGGGAGGCTGAGGTGAGCGGATCACTTAAGGTCAAGAGTTCGAGACCAGCCTGACCAACGTGGTGAAACTCTTTCTCTACTAAAAATACAAAAAAAAAAAAAAAAAAATTAGCCGGGCATGATGGCATGCAGGCGCCTGTAATCCCAGCTACTTGGGAGGCTGAGGCAGGAGAATCACTGGAAGCTGGGAGGCGGAGGCTGCAGTGAGCCAAGATGATGCCACTGCACTACAGCCTGGGCAACAGGGCCAGACTCTGTCTCAAAAAAAAAAAAGAAAGAAAGAAGAAAAAAAAACTTGTGATATAATTATGTTGAGGAATGAGGAAGATGAAAGTGGGCAAATGTGTGAATGAGTAAGTTCTGAGTCCTCATTTTCACAAACCAGAGGTCAACAAATATTTAAAAGCTATGTATCAAGAAGAAATAGTGATGTATTACTAAGCAACAAGAAGGCAAATACCAGACAAAATAAAGGGCTGAAGTTGCTTGATTCTGGAGGGGGAAAGCAAGGGGATGGGAGAAAATAGGGAACATTATTTCTTTCATCATAAATCTTTTAGTGCTAGCTGACTTTTAGACATCAACATATGCTTTCACATGAAAATTTATTTTTAAAGCATTGTATTTGTTACAGAAAAAAAAAGTGCTCTAAAAGATACAATTCGTGCCAGAATACATTGATATAAATTTTAAACAATTTTGCTCATAATTTTTGAGGCAATATATTTAAAATCTGGGAAAGAAGTTAATGCAAGTGATGACAAAAATCATGGTAGAAAATGTGTAGAAACAGAAAAATAAAAATGTAAAATTTCACATTTTAGCATGAAGAAATCAATTAAGTTCACACTACAGCAAACTAGAGTTGCTTTACAACCAACTATATACCCATCATCTCCACTTTGTTGTTGCTTTGAGACAGGATCTCACTCTGTGGCCCAGACTGGAGTACAGTGTCTCAATCACAGGCTCCAGCAATCCTCCTGCCTCAGCCTTCCAATGCTGTTGTTTTGCATCTGAAACCTAATATATCCAAATACAACTGATTTTTCTCGCCCAAAATGTATTCTGCACCAAGTCTTCACCATCCTGAAGATAGAGTTGATTCCCCCTCTTCAACTCAACCAGACGATTATGCAAAAAAAACCAATCATCTTTGGTGCTTCTCCTTCCCTTATACTTCTGTCCTCTGGTAGGTCCTATCAGACCCGGTTTCTTGGCAATAGCTTCCTAACTGGTTGAATATTTTCTTTGTCTCCCACAATCAACTATGCATTCAGCAGGCACAGTGATTTCAGGGATAAGAGGAGGAGAAAGCAGAAGCAGTTACTTGAGAGCTATCATTCATCATATGTAGCCAAAGAAACATAGTAAGACTAAGTAACTAAATTTAGTGTTCCCATTTACTTAGCAGAAAGCCTAAAAGTAGCTTGTTTTTCTTATAATAAGAAAGCACTAAAGGAAGCTATGATGTAAAGACTAACATAATTAAAAGGAATATTCTTGATTTCTTGCTGTTTATGAAAATTCATACCTATAAGGAAGAGGGTTAAGTGTCACTGTTCATAAAACCTTCAGCTTTCTGAAATTTTACATGTATAAAAATGTAGTTAGGTGACTTTCACTTTTGGCATGATGGAGTAGGTGAAGCTGAACTTTTTCTTTCATCATAAAGAAAACTGGACAAAATATATGAAATAACAGGTTCAACAGGTGGTGCTAACAGGTGGCGCAAGACTGTGAACCATGAGAACGGGAAACAAACATGATGAGCTCTAGTAATGCCACCACTTTACTCCTGGAGGCACTTCCTAGCTCACAGCACAGGAAGAAGGATCCCAAGCAAACTACAGGAGTCCACAGAGTTAACAAAGACTGATGTTCAACGAGGCTGAGGCACTCTGCAAGAGATGAAACCACCCTGAGAAAGAGATCCAAAAATCCACAGAAGATCCCCATGTGTCTGTTGTTGAAAACTGTTGAGTACTAAGTTTTGCATATGTAGGGTGAAACATAACAAGGCCAGACAAAGAATGATGAGGACGCATTAAGTTTAACAATTCTCACAGCCCACATGGTAGTAAGAGTTCCAACTTGCCAGAATGGAGTGTCAACGAACAGCTGTAGAATTCAGTAAATACTGCAAAAAGGTCATTCCTTAAGAGTAGACATACACTAGCCCTAGAGTATTACTTTAGACCCACCCTAACAAACCCTCAAAAAAAATCAGGTTGACAGACAAGCATCTTCACTGTGCACCACAACAAAGTCCAACACCACTCTTTAAAGACAGTTAAATTTAGTAAAATAATATAAAACCTATAATGTATAACATCCAATAGAAAATATCTAGACACCTAAGAGCAGGAAAACATGATCCATAACCAGGAGAAATTAAAAACGTGATGGAATTACGATAAAGAAGTTAAAACAACTATTATAAATGTGCTCAAAATTTAAGCAATGGATAAACAAATGAAGAGGAAAATGAAATATATTCGAAAAAAACAAATAGAATTTGTAAAGATGAAAATACAGTATTAAGGCTGGGCACAGTGGCTCATGCCTGTAATCTCAGCACTTTGGAAAGCCAAGATGGGCAGATCACTTGAGACCAGGAGTTTGAGACCAGCCTAGCCAACATGGCAAAACCTTGTCTCTACTAAAAATACAAAAAAAAAAAAAAAAATTAGCCAGGCATGGTGGCGCACACCTATAATCCCAGCTACTTGGGAGGCTGAGGCAGGATAATTGCTTGAACCTGGGAGGTGGAGGTTTCAGTGAGTTGAGTCAAGATCATACCACTGCACTCCAGCCTGGACAACAGAGCAAGACTCTGTCTGAGGAAAAAAAAAAAGAAGGCCGGGCACAGTGGCTCACGCCTGCAATCCCAACACGCTGGGAGGCAGAGGCAAGCGGATCACGAGATCAAGAGATTGAGACCATCCTGGCCAACATGGTGAAACCCCATCTCTACTAATATTACAAAAATTAGCTGGGTGTGGTGGCACGTGCCTGTAGTCCCAGCTACTCGGGAGGCTGAGGCAGGAGAATCACTTGAACCCGGGGGGTGGAGGTTACAGTGAGCCGAGATCACGCCACTGCACTCCAGCCTGGCGACAGAGTGAGACTCCATCTCAAAAAAAAAAAAAGAAAAGAAAGAAAAAGAAAAAGAAAAGGAAAAGGAAAAAAGAAAATACAGAATTTAACATGAAACCAGCCAGGTGTGGTGGCTCACGCCTGTAATCCCAGCACTTTGGAAGGCCACAGCAGGCAGATCACTTGAGGTGAGGAGTTCAAAACCAGTCTGGACAACATGGTGAAACCTCCGTCTCTACTGAAAATACAAAAGTTAGCCAGGCGTGGTGGCGGACACCTGTAATCCCAGCTACTTGGGAGGCTGAAGCAGGAGAACTGCTTGAACCTGGGAGGTGGAGATTGAAGTTAGCCAAGATCGTGCCACTGCACTCCAGCATGGGCAACAGAGCGAGACTCCATCTGAAAAAACTAATAAAATAAAATTTTAATTTCAATTTTTTTAAAATGGAACCTTTCCCAGATAAGAGTAAAGCAGATTTTATGACACTTCAGAAGAAGAAAAAAAAAATCAGTGGGCTAGAAGACAGACATAGCAACAGAAACCACCTCAATGAAAGAGAGAGAAAAGATAATGTAGAAAAATATAATTAGTGGAACTACAGTGACCTTTCTTCATAATAAAAAACATCTAAAAACACTGCAGATCTAAATGTGTAAGTTAAAATGAAAAAGCTTCTAGAACACCTGTAATCCTGGAACTTTGGGAGGCTGAGACGGGTGGATCACCTGAGGTCAGGAGTTCAAGACCAGCCTGGCCAACATGGCAAAACCCTGTCTCTACTAAAAATACAAAATTAGCGGGGTGTGGTGGTGCATGCCTGTAATGCTAGCTACTAGGGAGGCAGAGGCAGGAGAATCGCTTAAATCCGGGAGGCAGAGGTTACAGTGAGCTGAGATTGTGCCACTGCACTCCAGCCTGGGCAACAGAGTGAGACTCTGTCTCAAACAAAACAAAACAAAACGAAAACAAATACACATACTATCTGATCCAATCCTTCCAACCTAGGTGTACACACAGAAACGTATATTCACCATAAGATAGGAAAAAGAATGAGAATAAGATTTACTGGTCAGGCTGGGCGCAGTGGCTCACGCCTGTAATTCCAGCACTTTGGGAGGCCAAGGTGGGCAGATCACCTAAGGTCAAGAGTTCGAGACCAACCTGGCCAACATGGTGAAACCCCGTTTCTACTAAAAAATATTTTAAAAATTAGCTGGGCGTGGCAGCGCACGCCTGTAGTCCCAGCTACTTGGGAGGCTGAGGCATGAGAATCACTTGAACCCGGGAAACGGAGGTTGTGGTGAGCAGAAATTGCACCACTGTACTCCAGCCTGGGTGACAGAGCGAGACTCTGTCTCAAACAAACAAATAAACAAACAAAGATTTACTGGCCTGGCACGGTGGCTCATGTCTATAATTGCAACACTTTGGAAGGCCAAGGTAGGAGGATTGCTTGAGCCCAGGAGTTCAAGACCAGCCTGCATAACATAGTGAGACCTTGTCTCTACAAAAAAATCAAAAAATTAGCCAGGCATGGTGGTGTGTGCCTTTAGGCCCAACTACTCAGGAGGCTGAGGCAGGAGGATTCCTTGAGCCTAGGAGGTTGAGGCTGCAGTGAACTATGGTCACACCACTGCACCCCAGCCTGGGCAAGACACAGAGAGACTCTGTTTCAAAAAAAGGAAAAAATATTTATTAGTAACTGGTTAAAAAAAATTAAAACGACAAAAAGGACACCCAAAATTAATGACATACCTAAACTAAAAGTACTAACTTATAGTCTCTTTTAACTAAATAAGACTAAGTAAAAATTTATTTTAATTGACTTTGTATTAATGGCCTTTATGCCAAAGGCTTAAATTACCAAAACTAATACAGTAAATATGATATAAAAGGAAATCTAGGCCTCATCTGTTAAAAGTATAGAATTGATAAAGTATCATCACTGTGTAATAATCCTAGCATTACATTCCAAGGTAATTTTTATATAACAGAAACACTATGAACGGAAAAATTTACTTTGAGGAATTAACGAAGTAGTGAAAAGGGCCACCTTTGGAATCAAAGGCTCTGGTTTCAAACAGTGACTCTATACTTTAATTCTATAATCTTATGTAGTACTTTGCTGAGTATCAAAAAGAATCCTTAAATCATGGAGAGCAATCATGAGAAAAAGACATGTAAAACACTTAACAATAATAACAGCTAATATTTAATGAGCATTTACTGAGTCCCAGGCACTGTGCTAAGTGCTTTACAGGGAAAATTTATTTAATCTTAATGATATGAAGCAGGTAGTCTTACTATCTTCATTTTACACGAGATAACTGAGGTCCAGGAGGTTATATAATTTGGCCAAGGTCACACTGCTATTAAGTGATGGAAAAAGAATCTGAACCCAGACAATCCAGATACAGAACCATAACACCTAACCATTGTAACTACTTCCCTAACCTAGTGCCTAAAACATTTTACAAAAAAACATAAAACTGCTAACACAAGTAATGGCCATTGTAGAAAGCTTTAAAAAAATGAAAAAAGAAAATCAACCCATAATCTCATTGCAGACACAACTGCTATTAAACATTCTGATTTTAACAAGAAAGTTTTCATCCAAAACTTATGGAATAGTTTACTATTCTACAATACTTATGTGAACCTATACAAATATAATTCAAACTAGCATATAAAAACAGACAACGGCTGGGCATGGTGGCTCACACCTGTAATCCCAATACTTTGGGAGGCTGAGGTGAGAGGATCGCTTGAGGCAGGAGTTTGAGACCCACTGTCTCTACAAAAAAATTAAAAATTAGCTGGGCATGGTGGCATGCCTGTACTCCCTGCTACTCATGAACCTGAGATGGGAGGACGGCTTGAGCCCAGGAGTCCAAGGCTGCAGTGAGCCGTGATGGTAACACTGCACTCCAACCTGAGCGACAGAACAAAACACTGTCTCTTAAAAAATAAATAAAATTGATATTCTTACTTGACATGCACAATGTAACTTTATTTTACATAGCTGATTTTTAAAATATTCAGGATTCCAATTGGTATTTTTGGTGGTGTGACTGGAAACACCTTTATTTGTTTATCGTATGTTTTTCAAAGAGACTCCTCGGTAACATTTAATCAGCATGATAATCCCATAAGCACAAAAGGTTTAATCCTTATTGTAGAGGTAAAATTTAGAAAACAAGTAACTTACCCCAGATTACATACCTAACTAGTGGCAAAATTTAAGACTATAATTTAGGCTCTCTGACTCCTGGTTAAAAGCTCTTTCCATCACCTACAGAAATTTTATTAAATGTTAAAGGTTATTAAACCCAAAATTTTTATCTTTTAAAAGATCTTCTAATCAACAAATTCAACTGTTACATTGCTTACCCAGTCTTATAATCAAATGGACAATAAAAATGCCCAAAATAAAGTGAGAAGTGAACATACAAAATTAAACTAGATAATCCCCTCCAAATAACTGACAGGAAAATTAAAAACTAAACCCCCCGCCCCTTGAATGAGATATGTTTACATTACAGCAGTTAGCTTTTTACTTCATCATACTTAGAACAGTAACTGAGTTTTAGATCCTAATGATTATGTTCTCAATTAATGAAATTCAGCTATGTCCTTATTGAAATTATATTCAATGCCATTAATTCAATTATCTCCTGTCAATGTGAGCTGTAAAAATAATTCAGAATGGCAGGCCCCTCCAAATAACTACTACTAATTCATTTCTCCTCAACAAGAACCAACGTGCATTTAAGTAAATAGATCTCAATTTTTTTCACGAAATGCACTACTTCTATAATAGGTCACTTATTACAAAGGAGAATAGAAAGGAAAAAGTAACAAAAAATATCCAATTTGGATGTTGGCCAGGCTGGTCTTGAACTCCAACCTCTGGTGATCCCCCTGCCTCGGCCTCCTGAAGTGCTGGGATTACAGGCGTGAGCCACTGCGCCCGGCCCTAAACTAACTTTTTAGGGAACTTACTTTGCTTTTATTTACGGAAAGTGAAATGCAAAATACTACATATGGTATACTTTCAACATATGTTTTACATTCAATTCACTTAAAACAGGTTTTATAAAGTGACACAGTAGACAGACATTTTCAGTTCTCCACAGAAGAATCATTGCATTAAACAGAAATACAGGTCTACATTCCCTCATCTGAAACTCTTGTGTTTGGGGAGTTCTTGAAATTTCAAAACTGTGAATAAGGATTTCCCTTGCTATGGAAGAAATGCCAGAGTATCTATTTGTCCTCCTACCTGTAACACCTGCATATGTTAGTTCAAAATCTAACATAATACTTTCAAAAATACTAGAAGAATAATGCAGGCTATTGTTTTTCAACAGGAATTAACATTTAAAATTTTAACACTCTGCTATAGAAACAATGAAGCAAAGAAGCAAACCAGGATATAATTAAAACAAACTGGGCTGGACTCATGCCTGTAACTGCAGCACTTTGGGAGGTGGAGGTGGGCAGATTGCTTGAGCAGGAGTTCCAGACAACCCTGGGAAACATGGTGAAACCCTGTCTCTACAAAAAATACAAAAATTAGCTGGGCCTGGTGGTACATACCTGTAGTCTCAGCTACTGGGGAGGCTGAGGTGGGAGGATTGCATGAATCTGGGAGGACAAGGCTGCTGCACTATAGCCTGGGCAACAGCAAGACTTGCCTCAAAAAACAAGAGACTGAATTGTTCTAATAGATAATAAAGTCGCATGTGCTAAATTCTGGCACCATACACTCTGAGACTTCTGCTCCCAAATGTATAAGAATAACTGACACTAGATGAGGTTCCTGCCAACTATAAAACTGGAAAGTAAACATAAAATAGCTGTTTTCAGCTGTTGGACAAAAGCCAATACAGGACTACCGTTTCAGAAGAGAAGCAGGGTAAATCCCAAGAAAAATCCCTATTTGTCTCTAGAAGCATCTTCCAGACTGCAGAATAGGTGTAAGAGGTGTAGGGGTGTGGGTGGGGGACCTAAACAGAGCTTAGCAGTCTCACTGACCTGAGTAGATATGAGAATTAGAAACTGCTGGAATTTATGGGGCAGGGTGCTACAGAGAACTATATATAGAAGAGGCTTCAGAAATCTGCCACAGGAGTTGGACACGGTGGCTCACGCCTGTAATCCCAGCACTTTGGGAGGCTGAGGAGGGCAGATCACTTGAGGTCAGGAGTTCAAAACCAGTCTGGCCAACATGGCAAAACCCCGTCTCTACTAAAAATACAAAAATTAGCCAGACATAGTGGCACATGCCTGTAATCCTAGACCTTTGGGAGGCCAAGGCCAAGGTGCATCACCTGAGGTCAGGAGTTCGAGACCAGCCTGGCCAACATAGTGAAACCACATCTCTACTAAAAATACAACAATTAGCTGGGCATGGTGGCAGGCGCCTGTAATTCCAGCTCCTCAGGAGGCTGAGGCAGGAGAATCGCTTGAACCCAGGAGCTGGAGGTGACAGTGAGCCAAGATCATACCACTGCACTCCAGCCTGGGTGACAAGAGCAAAACTCTATCTCAAAAAAAAAAAAAAAAAAAAGAAAAGAAAAGAAAAAGAAATCTGCCACAGGAATCCTCCATCCTCCGTCAAATACTAAGCTGAGGCTGGGAGCGGTGGCTTATGCCTGCAATCCCAGCTATTGGGGAGGACAAGGTGGGCGGGTCACTTGAGGTCAGGAGTTCGAGACCAACCTGGCCAACACGGTGAAACCCATCTCTACTAAAAATAGGAAAATTAGCCAAGCATGGTGGTGCATGCCTGTAATCCCAGCTACTCGGGAGGCTAAGGCACAAGAATCGCTTGAACCCAGGAGGTGGAGGTTGCAGTGAGCCAAAATTGCCCTATTGCACTCCAGCCTGGGCAACAGAGCAAGACTCCGTCTCAAAAATAAAAAATACACACATATACACACTCACACAGAGTAGGCTGAACAGGTACACAGCAAAGGTCTATGAAAGCTGGGCAAAGAACAATTACCAAGTAGCATGAGCCTAACAACTACTGGTGCTCATGCATGG
Source organism: Homo sapiens (assembly GCF_000001405.40). Taxonomy (NCBI): domain Eukaryota; kingdom Metazoa; phylum Chordata; class Mammalia; order Primates; family Hominidae; genus Homo; species Homo sapiens. The sequence goes on along the minus strand of NC_000004.12, from coordinate 139,322,574 downwards.
CTGGCAGACATTTGAATTCCAAGTATCAAGTTAAGAGACTACGTTAAAGACTGCAGAATTCAGCAGAGATCCAGAAAGCTCACACCTTAGGAATAAGATTAATCTAGACCCATGTATTAGTCCATTTTCATGCTGCTGATAAAGACATACCTGAGACTGGGCAATTTACAAAACAAAGAGGTTTATTGGACTTACAGTTCCATGAGGCTGGAGGAGCCTCACAATCATGGCAGAAGGTGAAAGGCATGCCTTATATAGCAGCAAACAAGAGAAGAGAGCTTGTGCAGGGAAACTCCCCTTTTTAAAACTGTCAGATCTCATGAAACTCATTCACTATCATGAGAACAGCACAGGAAAGACCCTCCCCCATGATTCAATTACCTCCTACCAGGTCCCTCCCACAACACGTGGGAATTCAAGATAAGATTTGGGTGGGGACACAGCCAAACCATATCAACCCATCTTTATTAAAACTTAAAAACAAGCCTCAAAAAGTATAAGCTGATAAACAAGCAAATTGTCTGCCAAAACAAAACTCTATTAAGAAAGGCAAGAGGATCCAGACATTAAATATCCTAGGATCCATACTATACAAAATTATGGGAGGAAAATTACTATAAATTCCAAGCAGGAAACTAACCCATGACCTACAGGAGAAAGAAATCAATAAAAAAAGAGTCAGAAATATTAATAACAATGACGTAAGTAGCTGAGACTTCAAAACAAGTTACTATTATGTAACACTAAAGGATTTAAAGCAAAACACAAAGGCAACAAAAAAACAAATGAGGGGGCCAGGCACGGTGGCTCACACCTGTAATCCCAGCACTTTGGGAGGCTGAGGCAGGCAGATCATGAGGTCAGGAGATCGAGACCATCCTGGCTAACACAGTGAAACCCCATCTCTACTAAAAATACAAAAAAAAAAAAAAAAAATTAGCCAGGCGTGGTGGCGGGTGCCTGTAGTCCCAGCTACTCGGGAGGCTGAGGCAGGAGAATGGCATGAATCCGGGAGGCGGAGCTTGCAGTGGGCAGAGATTTCACCACTGCACTCCAGCCTGGGCAACAAAGCGAGACTCCGTTTCAAAAAAAAAAAAAAAAAACAAATAAGGGCCAGGCACTGTGGCTCAAGTTTGTAATCCCAGTGCTTCTGGAGTCTGAGGCAGGAGGATCACTTGAGGACAGGAGTTTGAAACTAGTATGGGAAACACAGTGAGACCCAGATTCTCCACAAAAAAATAAGTAAAAGGCTATAAATTTTTTTTAAGAAGAAACAGAAAATCTCAATGAAGAAATGGAAACTATTTTTAAAATGGAAATGTTTAATAGAAGTCACCTTAAGAAATTAGAAAAAACAAGAGCAAATTTAACCCAACATAAGCAGAAGCAAATAATAAAAACAGAGTCGATTAAATAGAAAAAAATTAGAAATATTTGGCTTTGGCAAAAGAAAAAATACGAAAAAATAAGAAAAACAGAAGAAATTTGTGAAATCAAAAGCTGGTTCTTTGAGAAGATCAAAAAAAAAATGAATAAATCTCTAGCTAGACACAGTCACAAAAGTGCACAGCACAGAATAGCTTATTAAAGGCCCAGCTTTCTAGCCAGAGGATAAAAAGAAGGTGGCTGGGTGAGGTGGCTCCCACCAGTAACCTCAACACTTTGGGAGGCCCAGGCAGGAGGACTGCTTGAAGCTAGGAGTCAAGATCAGCCTGGGCAACATGATGAGTCTCAGTCTCAAAAAACACCAGGGAGGCCAGACGCAGAGGCTCACACCTGTAATCCCAACACTTTGGGTGGCCGAGGTGGGCGGATCACCTGAGGTCAGGAGTTCGAGACCAGCCTGCCCAACATGATGAAACCCCGTCTCTATTAAAAATACAAAAATTAGCCAGGCGTGGTGGCATGCGCCTGTAGTCCCAGCGGCTCAGGAGGCAGAGGCAGGAGAATCGCTTGAACCCAGGAGATGGAGGTTGCAGTGAGCCGAGATCATGCCACTGCACTCCAGCCTGGACGACAGAGTGAGACTCCGTGTCAAAACATAAATAAATAAGTAAATAAAAAACCCGGGGAAACATTCAGGAAGATCACAGAGAAAGAACTGGGAAAAGCAACACCACAAAGTTGTTTATGAATCCCTAGGTTTGCCCCCTAACCTATACATGCAAGAATATGACCCTACTCACAATATTAAAGACTTTGAAAACCGAACTAACAGATACTCCGTTCAGGCACCAGACTGGCTATGAAGTGGCACATACATGGAATAGACCCAAATAGGACTGCAAAGATGTTGAAAAATAAACTGACATTAGAACAACATCCCAAAGAGGAGTTGGGACTTGAAGCTTGAACCTAACCAAATCACTAAAACAAAATTATCAACATTTTCCACAGGATTTAAGTGAGATCCAGAGTCTAATAAAATAGTATGCAAAGAGGAAAATCTCAACTTGCCTGGGAAAAGAAACAGATACCAATGCAAAGATGAAAGAGATATCTAAGACTTTCTATTCAGTGCTATAAAAATGCTCAAGGAAGCAATAGTGAACACTCTGAAACAATTTTTTTAAGGAGAAAATACCTCACTGTATGGACTCAAGAGCAGAAAGAAGATAACAGATAACAGGAAAGTAGCAGTGTGCAATAAAATTTATCCAATCTGAAAAACACAAAGAAAGATGTTTAAAGAAACAGAGCTTTAGGAACCTGTTGGTAAGAGGAATCCCAGAAAGAGACATTCTCAGTCGCCAGGCACAGTGCATCAGCACCACAGCTGAGCTGAAACACCATATCATGAGATCATGGCATCTGAAACCCACAATATTAAGAAATAGAACTTGGCTGGGTGTGGTGGCTCACACCTGCAATCTCAGCACTTTGGGAGGCCAAGGTGGGCAGATTGCCTGAGCCCAGGAGTTCAAGACCAGCCTGGCAACATGGCAAAACCCATCTCTACTAAAAATACACAATTCTCCAGGCATGGTAGTGTACACCTGTAATCCCAGCCGCCCACGAGGCTGAGGTGGGAGGATCGCTTGAGCCTGGGAGGTTGAAGCTACAGTGAGCCATGACCATGTCACTACACTGCAGTGTTGGCAACAGCGAGTGCCTGTCTCAAAAAATAAATAAATAAAAGCAAAAATAAAATAAAAGAAATACAACTTTTGGCTGGGCGCGGTGGCTCACGCCTGTAATCCCAGCACTTTGGGAGGCCAAGGTGGGTGGATCACAAGGTCAGGAGTTCGAGACCAGCCTGGCCAACGTGTTGAAAACCCATCTCTACTAGAAATACAAAATTTAGCCAGGCTGGAGTGCAGTAGCATGATCTCGGCTCGCTGCAACCCCCGCCTCACGGGTTTAAACGACTGTCCTGCCTCAGCCTCCTGAACAGCTAGGATTACAGGCATGCGCCACCATGCCTGGTTAATTTTTGTATTTTCAGTAGAGACGGGGTTTCACCATGTTGGCCAGCCTGGCCTGGTCTCCAACTCCTGACCTCAGCTGGTCCACCAGCCTTGGCCTCCCAAAGTGCTGGGATGACAGGCGTAAGCCACAGCACCCGGCCTACAAAAATGTTTTTAGATATACTGATCCAAACTATCGCCCTGTAACTGGATAAGGGATTATAGCTCTGTAAGAATTCTGTTTTCTTTTATTCAAGCTAAACAGCTTTGTTCTTTTAGCTGTTACTTATATGAAAGTTTTAAGTTCCTTTTTTTTTTTTGAGATGGGGTCTGTCGCCTAGGCTGGAGTACAGTGGCGCGATCTTGGCTCACTGCAACCTCCACTTTCCGGGTTTAAGCAATTCTCTTGCCTCAGCCTCCCAAGTAGCTGGGATTACAGGCACATGCCACCACACCAGGCTAATTTCTGTATTTTTCGTAGAGACGGAGTTTCGCTGTGTTGGCCAGGCTGGTCTTGAACTCCTGACCTCAGGCAATCAGCACACCTCAGCCTCCGAAAGTGCTGGGATTACAGGTGTGAGCCACCATGCCCAGCCTCCTTTGACATTTTAGACCACTCTATGAAGTTGATATAATATTATTCCCATGTTTCTATGTTTTACTTATTTTTTTTATATTTAAGAAAACATGGAATATTTCATGAATTTACATGTCATCCTTGTGCAAGGGCCATGCTAATAATCTTCTTTGTATTGTTCCAATTTTAGTATATGTGCTGCCAAAGAAGCACCGTATATTTAAAAAACTAATAGGGTTTCAAAAAAACAAACGGGGGAACCGAAATGGAATTGCTAAATTTTTATTTTTCCAAATAAGCCATTAAAAAAAATTTTGGCGTTAGTATTTCACACACACACACAAAAAGCATCTTAATATTATAAAGGTAATAAATACTCAGTCTCAGAATAAAAAAGACAAGAAAGATCTGTAAGGAATTTTACACCAATATTTTTGTGGAGTACAAGCATTAGGGCGTCATTGGTCTTTATCTTTGGAAGTTTTGGACACAGAAGTGAAAATTACATATATGGTCTTACTAGCAAGCAAAATTGAGTGCAACAATCACCATCCACTTTCTGAATATTATACTCTTGTAAATGTATCATAAAATGTGCCAGATTTTATATTTCATTTACTTTGTAGCATGAAATTATGTCACTTGAAGAAAGAACATTAAAGTGGCATTTCAGATTCCTGCTTGATAAGAGTAGAAATCTGCAAAACAAGGATTACACACATGATTGACAGACAGCTATAAAATATAACCTCATAGTTATTTCCATGACAAATACTTCCAAGAGAGTTTGAAGAGAGAACAATGGGGTAAAACAGAAGTATAACCAATTATCCAATTATACAAAACCTGAATTGCAAATTATTTTAAAGCAAACACAAATATTTTCAAGCATAGCACATAAAAAACACAGATTAAGTCCCCTATAGGTTAATGGCCATCCTCTAATTTGGGTTTGTTTTGTTGTTTTTTCAAGACAGTGTCTTGCTCTGTCACCCAGGCTGGAGTGCAGTGGCATGATCTGGGCTCACTCTAACCTCCGCCTCCCGGGTTCAAGAGATTCTCCTGCCTCAGCCTTCCGAGTAGCTGGGATTGCAGGCATGTGCCACCATGCCCAGCTAATTTTTGTATTCTTAGTAGAGACGGGTTTCACCATGTTGGCCAGGCTGGTCTCGAACTCTTGACCTCGTGATCTACCCGCCTCGGCCGCCCAAAGTGCTGGGATTACAGGCGTCAGCCACCGCGCCCGGCCCACGATCCTCTAATTTCTACACCCTCCACAAATCCTCATAAAAACCATACAGGCCAAGAAAAAGAGCAAATAAAATCATCCATAGCTGACCCCACAGCATTATAAGGAGATGAAATGACTAAAAACTCCAATTTACGTATAAGAGCATAAACATTGAAGACCAGAAGCTTCAATGGGAACTGTCCAGAAGAGCAATATAGCAGAGTCCTAGTGGTAACCGAATTACATGTAATATGACTGAGGATTTACCATCAGGAGAGGGCCCCATCTGAGAGAAAGTACTGGCACATCTGATACATGACAGTGAGAGCAATGGCTACTGGGAAGTCAAAAATACACTTAGAAAGTATGTAAGATCAAAGGCAACAGTTTTAGCAAGGCACAGTTTCTGGGAGAGAAGGAGGTGTCATTTGGAGGGTTGATGATAAAGGAAAAAAAGGAAGTGACCAGAGCATAGATGGCCTACTAAAACAAGACAGAACTATGGCGGGGGGTGGGGGGAGGTGTTAATTTATTTTTAAAACTACATTTCACTGTGGCAACAAATCAGAATGCTCTTGAACTAAGAGACTGAGAAGGCCACCCTAACCCCATCACCAAAATAAGACAAAATAAGATAACAATATTGTTGGTACAATAAAATCTGGCACAAACAACCTGAACAGAAAAAAGGACTCAGCATTCATACCAAATTACTTATAAGGAATAAAAAGTAAAATACTTGGGCAGACGAAAACACATCAAAAACGCTTACAGAGAAAAGATGTAATATCACCATATCCATCGCAAATTTAAAGTAATTAAATAACAAATGCAGACATAAAAGAACACCTCAAATGAGAAACTCAAAATTTTAAACAGAGTAGACAAATAACAGGAACTTGTAAAACATGAACAAACTGAACTTAAATGAAGACTAAATTACAAAAGATGCCCTAGAGAGAACAGATATGATCTAAAGAGATAGAAAATAGGAATGCTTTCACATAAATGAAAAAGAAATAGATGTGAAAAGAATCAAAGAAAAGTCATACATATAGAAGAGACAGAACAGGTGGTAGATGTGAATCAAATATTTTATATCCAGCCAAGCTGTCCTTCAAATATCAAGGATATAGGAAACAATTTAAACATGTAAAAATTTAAGAAATTGTTTCACAAGCATTCCTGAGGAATCTACTAGATGATGAGCTTTATCCAAGAAGTGATTGAGAACTTCAAGAAAAGATCTGTAAATCTTTAACAATATTGTAGTACTAAATTTAAAACAAAGGTATTGACGAGGAAGAATAGTATGTAAAATGACATACTCTCACAAAGTAAATATAACTTCAAAAAATCACAGGAAAAGAGACAGAAAAAAAAGAAACTGGAATAAGACTTCACACGTAAGAAAATGAAACCAAATGGCTCTAATTTAAAGCTGATAAACCAAATAGAAGAAACCTAAATTTTTTTTTTTAAAAAAGAGAGAGACTAAGAGGATTTTTAAAGGTATAATATAAAGGTAACTAATGAAAATATAAACTCTCTTAAGTAAAAAATAAAAATAAAAAATAAGCAAATAAAAACATCAAACAGAATATAAGACCCAGAGTAAGTATAACATAAACCAAAGATGAGATCAATTCAGTGAAAAAGCTAAGGTTTAAAATAGACTACATCTACAAAAGAGCAAGTACTAATAATACACGTGCTTTACCATTGGGCATGCACTTGTATACGTATCTCACTACCTAATTTGGGAGGTAGTTTAGAAAAGTACTGCTTTTCTCTTTTACTCAGATTTGCCGAGTCGTTGTTGTTGTTGTTATTGTTGTTCTTGAGACGCGGTCTCACGCTGTCACTCAGGCTGGAGTGCAGTGGCATGAACACTGCTCACTGAAGCCTGGACCTGCCACGCTCAAGCAATCCCCCACCTCAGCCTGCCAAGTAGCGGGGATTACAGGCACGTACCACCACGCCTGGCTAATTTTTGTATTTTTGTACACATAGGGTTTTGCCATATTGCCCAGGCTGGCCTGGAACTCTTGGGCTCAAGTGATCCTCCCACCTCTGCCTCTCAAAGCACTGAGATTACAGGCGTGAGCCATCGTCCCTGGCCTATTTCCTGGGTTTTAAAATGTCACTTGGTCTCCCACAGAAATCTTTAAAATGAATTAGCCTCTATCAAAAGCTTCCCTAGGCCGAGGCAGAGCTTGCAGTGAGCCGGGATCGCGCCACTGCACTCCAGCCTGGGTGAAAGAGCGAGACTCCGTCTCAAAAACTAAACTAAACTAAACTAAACTAACCTAACCTAACCTAACCTAACCTAACCTAACCTAACCTAACCTAAACTAAACTGAACTGAACTGAACGCTTCTCTAGGCCGGGTGTGGTTGCTCATGCCTGTATTCCCAGCACTTTGGGAGGCCGAGGCAGGCGGATCACAATGTCAAGAGATTGAGACCATCGTGGCCAACATGGTGAAATCCCGTTTCTACTAAAAATACAAAAATTTGCTGGGCATGGTGGCACACGCCTGTAATCCCAGCTATTCAGGAGGCTGAGGCAGGAGAATTGTTTGAACCCGGGAGGCAGAGGTTGAGGTAAGCCAAGATCATGCGACTGCACTCCAGCCTGGTAACAGAGCGAGACTCCATCTCAACAAAAAAGCTTCCCTAACAAAGAAACAGTTGGAAGATGCTTAAGTCTCCTTGGTTTTCATTTAGTGGCAGTGGCAACCTAAGACGGCAAAGAATGTGGCACTATCTCAGGTATTAGATGCAAGACTAGGGCTCTTAGTAAACAGCCATACTTCAGAGTTAAGAACTACTCAAACACAGGATATATGATCTCTACAACTCTAAGTTAAATCATGTACAGGTAAATTCTGTTACATTGCTTGTTTTGAAAACACACATTGGCTCCAACACAATTCATGGGGAGCATTTTTAACATTTTAAATTTCATGTTTGCTTCTATGAATTTCATCTATTAGAAACTCTAGATGAACACAGAAAACAGCACCTAGCCAAAACAAGTCTCATAGGCATGCACAGCAGCACCCAGACACACACCTCAAACAACTACCTCAGATCCCCTTGTATGTTGTGAGCCACAATGAACCACACCCATCTACATCTGATGTTACAACTTACCATCAGATTTCAGATAACCTGACTTTCTCCACTTCACAATAATTTACAAACTGTAATCCTTCAGATGCCCACTTCTGCAAGCAAGCACTGTCTTTTTCAAGGTAAAGTGCAATATTTACATCATAGTATTATGTATTTGTTAACCATTTAACATATGTAAAACAGTACTACCATTTTAAGTTCTTATCTTTGTTTTTAATCTGTCACTAATAATGTTTTTTAATGTTGTGGTCAAACTCATTTTCCCCATAAGCCCTGTGGTTTTTATTGCGTGATTTTGCAAAGCGCAGCGACTTTTAGGAATCTCCATGTCCCGATACAGTGGAATTACCTGTATATAAAGCATTTAGAAATATACTGTAACAGGCCGGGCGCGGTGGCTCACACCTGTAATGCCAGCACTTTGGTAGGCCGAGGCGGGCAGATCACCTGAGGTCAGGAGTTAGAGGCCAGCCAATGGAGAAACCCTGTCTCTACTAAAATTACAAAATTAGCCGGGCATGGAGGCACATGCCTGTAACCCCAGCTACTCGGGAGGCTGAGGCAGGAGAATCACTTGAACCAGGGAGGCGGAGGTTGCAGTGAGCCAAGATCACGCGGCCACTACACTCCAGCTTCGGCAACAAAAGCGAAACTCCGTCTCAAAAAAAAAAAAAAGAAAGAAATATACTGTAACAATGTAGTCATTAAGTATTGGCTATACTTACAATTTCCTTAAGGGAGTGTCACAAAGTTTATATCAGCTAACATGTAAAAAGTCTAGCATAAAATCTGGCTCAAAATAGATACTAAATAAATACTGCTTTGCTTAATGTTCCCCTTCTTAAAAATTCTAACTTGGTCCTCAAACATTGATAATTAAAGGTAATCTTGTACTACCCAACAAGTTCTCTTTGAAAAATAGAGTAACATTTTAAGTGTAAGCCATTTTAGCCATTTTATTGTGAGAGGAAAAAAAAGTTTTTGAATTTGAACAGCAACCATGTGTAAAAGGAGACAACCAACCAAGGCCAGGCTTTTTTTCCCTAGGTCTACTGTTTTTAAAAGCAAACTTTCACTTCTCCTTTTATGTAATCAGATAAAACAACTCTTACAGATGCCACTCAGGAATGTTTACATAATCTCCTCTGTAATAAAATCAAATGGAATCTTTAAAATTAAAAATAATACTGGCTTCAAATAATATTATTTCCCCAAGGTGTTTCAGTAGAAATTTCACATTATTTCAACTGAAGATTTGTTCATATTATACTAACCAAAGAAAGTGCAGTAGAGCCCATCAGATAACAAAAACATCAACCTGTCCATCATTTAATTCTTACACTGCAATTTTTATTTTACTTTTTTTTTCCCCCCCAGACAAGGTCTCATTCTGTCACCCAGGCTGGAGTGCAGTGGCATGATGATAGCTCACTGCAGTCTTGAACTCCTAGGCTCAAGCGGTCCTCCACCTCAGCCTCCCAAGTAGCTAGGACTACAGGTTTGCACCACCACCACATCCAAGTAACTTTTTCATTTTTTACAGAGACAGAGCCTTGCTATGTTGCCCAGGCTGGTCTCAAACTCCCGACTTCAAGAGATTTTCCACATTGGCCTCCCAAAGCGATGGGATTACAAGCTATTTTACTTCTAAATAACAAGGAAAGAAAAGATTGCTTTAGTTAAAAGTGTAAGGGATTATTTTAATGCCATATTAAGTAGTGAACAATATAATTTCCTATCTTACCTAGGAGGAAAAAAACCACAGGCAACAAGTTAGACTAGTGTTCTTAAAGTTACAACTTTAATACAAGTTTGTACAGCATGTATCATAAAACAACTTAGATGTTTAAGCCTACAGCTGGCATTTCAGGGAAATTTCCAAAAGTCAAGAATACAACCACAGCATAAAATTCCTTCCACACCCTAACATTTACACTGAGAACTATTACTGAATTTAAGCCTCTTCACTCACCCTTCTTACTATCAGAATTGGCAACTGACATTCTTTTCAGAACTATTTCTCACTAAGAATCTTAAGTTTGTCTCCTCAACAGGATATTGCCTGTAAATAGAGAGCAAAATTGTATTTAGATATGAATGCTGATTGCTGGCTAAGCTCACTGTTATGTGACTTGTTCTCTCTTCCACATCAGCTTCCCAGCATACCAAGAATTAAACTTGATTTTTAAATTTTCTGAAAAACACAAAGCAACTCTAACACTACGATTACTTTCCCTCAAATTTTTTTTTTAAAGAGATAGAGTCTCGCTATGGTGCCCAGGCTGGAGTGCAGTAGCAATTCACAGGCGCAATAATCACAAACTATAGCCTTCAACTCCTGAGCTCAACCAATCTTGCTGCCTCAGACTCCTGAGTAACTGGCATGCACCCCTGCGCCCAGCTCTTCTAACATTTTATATTTTAAATTTTATAACAGGTCTATTTCTTAATATCATATATAGTGGTCATCAACCCTGACTTCGTGTCAGAATCGGTTGTAAAGCTTTATGAAATGACGTATGGCTGAGCCCTACTATCTGAAGATTCTAATACAGCAGCAGGCTCCTCACAACAAACTCATTTAATCCTGATACCATTTCTCCTCCAATGCCAAAACCAAAGAAACAATAACAAAATTTTCCTCTTATTATGCTTTTGTGATGAAAGGCTATATAAACAAATACTATAATTCATTTATAAATTAAACTTCAAAGTCTTACCATAATATAGGCTCTGCCCAATATCCTACAATTATTTCATACACTAATGTACTCTGTAATGCCAAAGCCCAGCTTAACTCCCTTCTCCAAAAATTTATGCAAGCACACAATCCAAAGATCTTTTTCTCTCTTGCCCTGTAATCACTATTTTCACACTCACTTCACATAACAAATATTTATTAAACATCTACTATGGTACATCATTTTAACCAATGTGAATAGAGCCATTAACAGACGTCCTTATCTTCATAAACCCTACATTTTAATTGTGGAAAACGTGATAAACATAAAAGTAAATGTATGTCAGAAGCTGATAAATGAGAATAAAGTAAGAAATAAGAAAATAAGGTGAGAAGGACTGACTGCTAGCCAAGGAAGGTCTCTAAATAACATTTAAAGGACACCTGTTTAGCCAGGCATGGTGGCATGTGCCTGTAGTCCCAGCTACCCAGAAGACTAAGGTGGGAGAATCGCTTGAACCCAGGAGACAGAGGTTGCAGTGAGCCGAGATCACACTACTGCACTCCAGCCCTCCAGCCTGGGCAACAGAGTAAGACTCTGTCTCAAAATTTTTTAAATTAGGCCAGGCATAATGGCTCACACCTGTAATTCCAGCATTTTGGGAGGCCGAGGCAGGTGGATCACCTGAGGCCTGGAGTTCAAGACCAGCCTGGCCAACATGGTGAAACCCCGCCTGTACTAAAAATACAAAAATTAGCCAGGTGTGGTAGGAGGCACCTGGAATCCCAGCTACTCAGGAAGCTGAGGCAGGAGAATCACTTGAACCCAGGAGGCAGAGGCTGAAGTAAACTAAAATTGTGCCACTGCATGCTAGGCTGAGTGACAGAGCAAAACCCTGTCTCAAAAAATAATAATAAAAATAAATTTAAAATTAAAAATAAAGGACATCTGAGCAGAAGTCCTAAAACAAATAAGAAAAATGAGTCACACAGGTATCTGGGGGAGAAAATTCTGAACAGTCCTTTGCATATGATCCTTTATACGACATAGCTTTTTATGTCCAAAAATGTTTTTTTTTTTTTTTTGAGACGGAGTCTCGCTCTGTCGCCCAGGCTGGAGTGCAGTGGCGGGATCTCGGCTCACTGCAAGCTCCGCCTCCTGGGTTCACGCCATTCTCCTGCCTCAGCCTCCCAAGTAGCTGGGACTACAGGCGCCCGCCACTACGCCCGGCTAATTTTTTGTATTTTTAGTAGAGACAGGGTTTCACCGTTTTAGCCAGGATGGTCTCGATCTCCTGACCTCGTGATCCGCCCGCCTCGGCCTCCCAAAGTGCTGGGATTACAGGCGTGAGCCACCGCGCCCGGCCCAAAAATGTTTTTATGAAGAAAGAAGATATATTTGAATCAATGCTCTGTCAGAACTTCATTGTCAGAAGCAGAAATATTAAAAGATATAAGACTGCACACTAAGGAGAGGGATCCCTTCAGTTGAGGCCAGCTGGACAGTATCTCTCCAGTCCCCCAATCACACCGAGCACCATGCCCGCCCCTCTGGAAACTGTTCATTAACCAGCGCTCCAATAGTTTGGATGGCAATTCTATTATCATCAAATAACTAGTTTGAGCCCCAATAATGACCCAGGACTGCAAGACTTTGACACATCTAAAAAATGGAACATTAAATTCAGTTCCCTTTTAAGCTTTAGTCTGCTTTTCTGAAAATATAGTGTTGTCCATCTACTACTATTGAAAACTGAACTGTGGTCACTCTGCACAAACAAGTATTTTTAACCCACTCTATTGACGCAAAAGAATTTTTAAAAAATATTTTTTAAAACATTTCAGGTTTCTAACACAATACAGAATTTTAAAAATATATGCTGTCAGTTTAAAACAAAAACATATATTTGTTCATTCATACTGCATCTCACTCCAGAAAGACAAAAATTAAAAAGTAAGCAAACAGGCCAGGCGCAGTAGCATGTACCATAATCTCAGCTACTTGGCAGGCTGAAGCAGGAGGATCACCTGAGCTCAGGACTAGCCTGGGCAACACAGTGAAATCCTGGACACACACACACACACACACACACACACACACACACACACACACTTAAAAAGCAAGCAAAGAATAAATTTACCACATTATTAAAAGATTTTCACTTCTCACTAGATTTTTTTTTTTTTTTTTGAGACGAAGTTTCACTCTTGTCCCCCAGGCTGGAGAGCAATGGCGCGATCTCGGCTCACTGCAACCTCCACCTCCTGGGTTCAAATAATTCTCCCGCCTCAGCCTCCCAAGTAGCTGGGATTACAGGTGCCTGCAACCACGCCCAGCTAAGTTTCGTATTTTTAGTAAAGACGGGGTTTCACCATGTTGGCCAGGCTGGTCTCTAACTCCTGACCTCAGGTGATCCACCCGCCTCAGCCTCCCAAAGTGCTGGGATTACAGGCGTGAGCCACTGTGCCCGGCCCTCACTCGATTTTTACAGAAAAATCATTTTGTAATTTTTATAATAATTATATACACATTATATACACATATATAAAATAGCAAAACTGCATTTTGTTTTCTGGTATACTTTTAAGGGATAATTTATCCGAGTTTAAATTTACGATTACCGGCAGGGTGCGGTGGCTCACGCCTGTAATCCCAGCACTTGGGAGAGGCTGAGGTGGGTGGATCACCCGAGGTAAGCAGTCTGAGACCAGCCTCGCCAACATGGCGAAACCCTGTCTGTACTAAAAATATAAAACTTAGCTGGGTGTGGTGGTGGACACCTGTAATCCCAGCTACTGGGGAGGCTGAGGCAGGAGAATCACTTGAACCTGGGAGGTGGAGGTTGCAGTGAGTCGGAGAGTGCAGTGAGCTGAGATCACGCCACTGTACTCCAGCCTGGACGACAAAAGTGAGACTCCATCTCAAAAAAATAAATAAACTTATGATTAACTACTAAGAGCTGAATGGGATTTCAGAACAGACCAAACTTTGTTTCCATTTTTTGATTTTTTGTTATATTCTAAATATATGAAGTACAAGCAAAAGTATATTAAAACCAATTTCAAAGTTACTGTCCACTCTTAGTTGCAAAACTGGAATTCTGTCACAAAGAAATTAATCAGTTAAACTTTCATGTGCATATGGACACCTACTTGCTAACAATTCCTAATCTAAATTTCATCAGCAACTGAAGCTAAACTAAGTATCATTAACTAGCAGAAACATTAACTTTCCCAAAGAAAATAAATCACATAAAATAATTTACCTATTATACAATGGGCCGGGCGCGGTGGTTCATGCCTGTAATCCTAGCACTTAGGGAGGCCAAGGCGGGCAGATCAGGAGGTCAGGAGATCGAGACCATCCTGGCTAACACGGTGAAACCCCGTCTCTACTAAAAATACAAAAAATTAGCTGGGTGTGGTGGCAGGTGCCTGTAGTCTCAGCTACTCAGGAGGCTGAGGCAGGAGAATGGCGTGAACCCGGGAGGCAGAGCATGCAATGAGCCGAGATTGCACCACTACACTCCAGCCTGGGCAACAGTGAGACTCCGTCTCAAAAAAATAATAATAATAATAATAATTTACTTATTATACAATGTATACAGCCACCTAATAAGTATTACTACTCCTTTGCCTAACAATTCCCTCACCCTCCTCCTACACCCCTCCCCTAAATAGTTAAACACTAGGCAGGTGTGATGTTAAGTGCCCTGAAAAGAAAAAAAGTTTTATTCCAGACTGTAACTAACACTAGCTGTTGACCTTAATCTCAGTCTGTTTGCTTAATAAAAATGTCCCCACCTTGAAAAGTTTTGAGAATTAAGAAAGGACTCTAAATAAAGCATGCTGTGTCCAAAACGGTAACCATTCACCACATGTGACTATTTGAATTTAAATTAAGATTAATTAAAAATTCATTTCCTCAGTTGCACTAGCCATATTTCAAGTGTGCAATAATTACATGTGGCCAGGCCAGGCACAGTAGCTCACATCTGTAATCCCAGCACTTTGGGAAGCCAAGGCAGGAGGACTGCTTGATCCCAGGAGTTCAAGACTAGCCTGGCCAACATGGCGAAACCCCGTCTCTACCAAAAATACAAAAATTAGCCAGGCGTGGTGGCACGCCTGTAGTCGCAGCTACTCGGGAGACTGAGCTAGGAGGATAGCTTGAGCCCGGGAGGTGGAGGCTGCAGTGAGCCGTGATCAAACCACTGCACTCCAGACTGTGTGATAGAGTTAGACCCTGTCTTAACAAAAACAACAAAAAACAAACCTACACATGGCCAATGGCTATCATATTAGAGCAGATAACAAATATTTCCATCATCACAGAAAATTCTACTGTGCAGTGCTATTCTAAAGCACCTAGAGCAGAGCCTGGCAAATGGTAGATTTCTCATTTTACCTGGCAAATAGTGACAAATCACAAACATAATCATCATGCTATTTTAACTTCTCTCACCACTTTTCTAGGAAAGAAAAATTCTGTCCTTTAACACTTACAACTAACAATTTAAATCATTCAGGCTAAAGTCCAAAACTACATTTATTGATGTACAATATTTTAACTATTCCCAACTTAGATTTTTCTTATAACTGACATTAACATTTGAAGAGCAAAAAAGAGAGAAGGAAGCAGCAGCAACAGCAACCAACCTACCAATACTTGATTGAAAGGCATTAGGATATGTCCATCTTTTCCAAGCAGGTTAAAATCTAAGGTGTGGATTTTGTTCTACTCTGGCAACCTCATTTTTCCTACCCTTAACCTAGATCCTAACAAAGTGGTATAAATATCTGGTAACCTCCTCAAACTTTTAGATAAACAAATAGCATCAACAGTAGGCAAAGGCCACAATTTTCTAATGACTTAATTTTCCAAATAAGTTAAAAGTTTGTAATTACAAACAAAACAAAACAAAACAAAACAAAAAAAAAACCAGACCAAAAAAAAAAAAACCAGCTTCTGGCAAACACAAGTCTTCCTTAAACTCTTACATAGGACCAGGTGCAGTGGCTCATGCCTGTAATCCCAGCACTTTGGGAGGCCGAGGCAGGCAGAACACTTGAGGTCACTAGTTCAAGACCAGCCTGGCCAACATGGTGAAACACCATCTCTACTAAAAATACAAAAAAAAAAATTAGCCGAGTGTGGTGGCAGGCGCCTGTAATCCCAGCTACTTGGGAGGCTGAGGCATGAACCCAGGAGGTGGAGGTTGCAGTGAGCCAAGATCACACCACTGCACTCCAGCCTGGGTGACAGAGCAAAACTGTCTCAAAAAACAAACAAAATAAAATAAACTCTTACATAGTATATGTCACATTAAATTCATCCCATCCTTTTTCTAGACAAATTATCAGCAAGAAACATTATGCAAGCATTTTGACTAACTTAGGACAATGCTTTAGTCAGAAAACAGAAGAGTAATATTGGAAAAAAGAGAAAAATATACAACAAAACTGAATTTTAGAGATCAACTAGACTAGATCAAGCCAGGCAAATCCACTGCAGAAACTCTAAAATTTTTGCAAACTTATGTGTAAAGCAGGTTTCCATTAAAAATTTAAGGAAAAAAATGTTTATTTTGAAATACAAACTAACTGTATTTCCTACTTAAGTTTATCATAACAAGTACAGTACAACTAACAAAGTAGCAGCTCAAAAGTTGAATGCTGCAGGAATGATTTAACAAGTTACCAAGCAGCCAGGAGCAGTGGCTCAGGCCTGTAATCCCAGCATTCTGGGAGGCCAAGGCGGGTGGATCACTTGAGGCTGGGAGTTTGAGACGAGCCTGAACAACATGGAGAAACCCCATCTCTACTAACAATACAAAATTAGCTAGGTGTGGTGGCACACGCCTGTAATCCCAGCTACTCAGGACGCTGAAGCAGAACTGCTTGAACCCGGGAGACAGAGGTTTCGGTGAGCCGAGATCATGCCATTGCCCTCCAGCCTGGGCAACAAAAGCGAAACTCCGTCTCAAAAAAAAAAAAAAACAACAAGTTACCAACCTAGCAACACTTGATTACATAGAGCACACACATCACATTATGTCCAACATTTCCTTTATCAGACCGGGCAAAAAAAAAAAAAATCTTAAAAGCACTAACTTACTATCAAATCTCAAGAAACAGAAGCAATTTCAAAAAATCAATACTATCCTTTTGGTCAGTAACACTTTCTTCATTCCTAATGTATGAGAACAATAAGGACATTTTAGCTCCTTTACTCTTCCTTCATTTAGTGACTTCCACATTTCTCTCACATATAACTTATCAATAGATCTTCAGCACTGTGATTTTGGCAATAAACTTACAGGTTTTTGCCCCACTAACACTACCACAAAAAAATTAAGATGTTTAATCAAAAATTGCTATTATATGGATGGTTAAACACACTGTGGTACATCCATATCATGGAATACTACTTGGCAATAAAAAGGAATAAACTATTAGCTGGATGTAGTAGCCCTGTAGTGATCCCCCCTACTCCGGAGGCTGAAGCGGGAGGACTGCTTGAGTCCAGTAGTTTGAGGTTACAGTGCCCTTTTGATAGAGCCTATAAATAGCCACTACACTCCAGCCTGGGCAACAGAGGAAGACTCTATCTCTAAACCCAAAAGAATGGCAAAATTATACAAATAGAGGACATGTACCGGTTGCTGGAGCCTGCAGCGAGAGGGGATGGGAGGGCGGTGGGAGAGATAATGGATGTGGTTCTAAAAGGGCAACAGAGGGGGGTACTTTGGACTGAAGGAACTTGTTCTGTAGCCTAATTGTAGTGGTGCAATCTATACATGGGATAACGCTGCATAGAAGTAAATACAGTCAGCTCTCATTATCCTTGGTGTCTGCATCCATAGGTAAAAACTATTTTTAAAAATACAATAAAAAATACAAATTTTTAAAATACAGTATAACTATATAACAGTAATATTGCATTAGGTATTATAAGTAATCTAGAGATATTTAAAGTATACATTCGCATAGGTTATATGCAAATACTACACCACTTTACATAAGGGACTCAAACACCTGCAAATTTTGGAATCTCGCGGGATCCTGAAATCAACCCCCGACAGATACCAAGGGATGACTGCACCCGCGTGCGCGAGCACTCACACGCGTGTACAAGTAAAGTGGGGAAATCTGAATAAGACTGGTGGATTGTATCAATGTTATAATAATGAACCATGGTTTTGCAAGGTATTAGTGTTGGGAAAACTGAGTAAAGTGCACTGTATTATTCCTTAAACTACGTGATTATTACAGTCTTCTCAAAATTAAAAGTTTGATTTATTTAAAAAGTGCTAACACTTGGCCGGGTGCGGTGGCTGACGCCTGTAATAGCAGCACTTCGGAAGGCCGAGGCGGGCGGATCACTAGGTCAGGAGATTGAGACCATCCTGGCTAACATGGTGAAACCCCGTCTCTACTAAAAAATACAAAAAATTAGCCAGGCGTGGTGGCGGGCACCTGTAGTCCCAGCTACTTGGGAGGCTAAGGCAGGAGAATGGCGTCAACCCAGGAGGCGGAGCTTGCAGTGAGCCGAGATCGCGCCACTGCATTCCAGCCTGGGCGACAGAGCGAGACTCCGTCTCAAACAAACAAACAAAAAAAAGTGCTAACACTTGAGAAAATCTCCATATGAACCAGATATTAGACAATATTAGAGAATGATTGTTATAAGTATACAAGACGATGTCCTTATTCTTAGGAGATGCTTGCTTAAGTATTTAGAGATGAAGTTTTTTGTTTTTGTTTTGAGACAGTCTTCCTCTGTTGCCAAGGCTGGAACTGCAACCTCCACCTCCCGGGTTCAAGCGATTCTTGTGCCTCAGCCACCCTAGTAGCTGGGACTACAGGCGAACACCACCATGCCTGACTAATTTTTGTATTTTCAGTAGAGACAGGATTTCACTACGTTGGCCAGCCTGGTCTCGAACTCCTGACCTCAAGTGATCCATCTGCCTCAGCCTCCCAAAGTGCTGGGATTACAGGCATGAGACACCGTGCCCAGCCTAGAGATAAATTTTACATCTACAACTTACTTTTATACAAATGTATATATACATATACATAGGGAGAGAGAAAGCATATATGGCAAATAAATATAAGTAAAGGTTTATGAGTGTTCCTTGTTCTCTCAACTTTTCAGTTTCATTTTTTTCAAAATAAAGAATTGTGAAAAAGAGATTAAAGATAAATTGCTATTCTAAACTTATGTTACAGTTCTACCTGCACACCAATTAGTCTTTTTAAGGGTTTAAAAGTAACTTTTTTCCTAAAACTATTTTACAGCTCCACCTACACTCTTAGTCTTAAAACAAAACAAAATTCCAGTAAGAATTTCAAGGTAACAGTTTTGCGACACTGCATGTGACTTTCTAATGTTTTTCAAAATGAATTCACTAAATCTGTAGGGCATATGGACACTTTTGTAAAATCAAAGTTAGTTCAAATGGATGATTATTCATTTCTAGAAAAACTGAATCCCCAGAGTTGTTCTACTTTTCAAACAGGTGAAATAAATTATAACTGCGGGGGAAAAGGCTAACACTTTCACACACACATCCCAAATTTTAAAAGTCTTAAATTTGGCAAATACAGTTAATTCTATCATAAGGAAACGTTTGCGTGAAAGGGGGAACCCACATACTAAATGCCAAACAAAAAATGTGCTACAATGTGTTAATTATAGCTCCAAGGCTACAGGACATATTTTACAATGTAAACAGTCCCTGCAAACATCAATGCATTTATGGTTTAAAAAAATACAAACTGCACACATTTGAACCGTAGGGAATAAGTCTGAGCTAGCGTCAACAAAATCCATCTCAAAAGTTCTTATATTCTCATTTCTCTGGTAAGTTTTTGCATGTGTTAATATACTTCAGTGTATAAGAAAAGTCTAGGTCTGCAACGTTTCAACTAAAGACTCAACTTTTTACTTCCTACCGAACCGCCCCCTCGCAATGGGCCCCACCTCCCGAGAAGAGTGACGGGGTGGGGCTGTTTCCCGCTCGGAAACTAAGAAATAAATGCCTCATCCCTACTCCAGAAACGAGAACAACGGAGGCAGAGGAGCTGAAGACTCCAGTATGCAACTGACTACAAGGAGGTAGTCGTTTGAAAAGCTTTCTTTCCTTCTCTGAACTCCTTCTTTCCCTCCTCTCAGGTCATTGGGTGACCCCGGGCCGGGCGGAGACAGGTGAATCCCAAGAGAGGAGGAAGAGGGAGGGACAGATGATGGAGGGAGAACCGCGTTTAGGCAATGAATGAGCCTGCTGCATCCGCACCACCTGTTCCTTCCAAGGGTGCCACCCCGACCTGCCAGCAGGGTTCCCACACCAACCGGGCCGCGACTCCTGCCGGTGTCGCCCACTTGCCCGCCAAAGGCCGGGCCTCTTCTCCCCCAGATCGGGGAGAATGAGAACCGGCAGTCTAGAAGCCGGGAGGTCGGGGCCTAGTCCGGAACCAGGGCCTCAAGCGTGGGGATGGAATGAAGAAGCCTGTGGTCCCTGGCGCGCGGGCCATAGTAGGAACCACAGAGAGGGAGCAAAGCAATGCATTCGGCCTGACGAGAGCTATGAAGGCGGGGTCCCGGGCGGGAGTGGCTCAGTGCCCGCCGGGCCGAGGTTAGGGGTGACAGGCCCGGTTACCGGCTAAATCCTCCCCACCGCTTGCCCGGAGCCTCACACTTACCAAGATCCGCTTGAAGAGCGCATTCTCCTTGGGCGGGAGGCTCACGGCCGGCATCGTTCCGGCTGCTCCCGCTGCTCCCGCCACCACCCGGCTCGGTCAGTCAGTTTGTCCGACCGCCGCCGCTGCCGTTCCGTAGCTGCTTCAGCCTTGAATATCTCGATCCGCCGCCACCACCAGGCCTCGGGTGTCGCCGCGTTGCCCTACCCGGACACCTCCTTTTTCCTCGTTGTCTTTTTTCCTTTCTCACTTAACGCTGCCGCCGCCTCCCCCACTACGGGTCTCCGTCGGCGGTTCACGTGGTAACTGAACAGACCGACAGAGGCAGCCAAAATGGCGGACGCGGAGGGTTTTCCCACCCGGGTCACGCTTCCTAACACGCAGGCGCGGTGACCTCCTTTCCCCACCTCCTCTGGGTTTCGGAGCTTGCCGGGAAACCTGGAGGCTGGCCTGCCTGTGGAGGCCGGGAGGGTCGGGGCAGGCCCCGCCCATCATTTCAGTGCGTGGTACCCTCGAAGCGCCCGCGGAGCTACGGGAGGCTAGGCAAGTACGGTTCAGACCGCCTCCTCATCAAAAACAGCCTCTCTGGCGCCTTCCTGCTAGATCGACCTTTCATTCCTTGGAAAGAGTCTCGCACACTGTGTGATCATCGTTTGAGCCCAAAGTGCTAAAATACAGGTGTAGGTGTTTGAGAAGCGCTGTAGTTGATTATGGACGAAATGCCTAATTTAAGGAGCAGAGGCGGAGTGGAAAATGAAAAAAGCTTCACCGCAGTGGAGACTTGTTAACAGCCCTGGGGAGAAAGGGGCTTAACAGAGTCTGGAAATCGTGAAAGAGCTTGACCGATGAAATGGGCCTGGCTGTCGTATCGGTAATTTGGTGAATGTTGCTTAAGATCAGCCTGGAAAGGTAGTTAGTCAGATCCGAAGTGACATATTTGCACTGCCAAAGGAGGCTCTGGAGGTTAAAGTATGTGTTTTAATTTCGTTGTTGAGGCCATATAATGCAGAGTTGACGGACCGACCTTATGAGTCACCTTGGAGCGGAGTAGTGGAGACTTAAAGACAGACTACCCTGGAGCTGGCTTCAAACTAGTTCTTAATATTGTGACTCGAACTCCCCATCCCCAGAAATTCTCAGATCTTAGAAGCCAAAGACTGGCAAGGATACTAGAGGGAACTACTCGAGTAGGCGAGGTCAGACTACATACCGAATAGGAGTCCTTCCAAAAATGTAAGTCATTTCATTAACAGCTGACCGTAAAACTTTTTCAAAGTGGCATTCCATTGATCTAAAAATTTTCAAGTTATATGAGCCACTTTTAACCTTTGGTTTTTGATTACCTCTTTCCAAATCCTGATTTCACTCTGTAGCATTCTTTGCATCATGAATTATTAAACAATATGTGCGTGTTTTTTACTGTTTTAAATTTATTTGCAAAGATATTTTAATTTTCAAACTTCTCTTAACTGTCCCTGAAAGGTGTGAGTTGAGATACATGTTTCCCAATATAAACTTGGGTTTTGTAGCTGCTATATTGATTGTCCTCGCCCTTCACCGGGGTCATAAATAAGGTTTTTAACAGTCAAATCCTGGAGTTTCCTTAAATTCTGTGATCTCTCTTCAAAAGTTTGAGAAAAATCATATATACAGGAAACTATGTTTCAGTTTGAAATATGGCCAGTATTTTAACCTTAACTTTATAAAACTAAGAACAAGCTTATAATTCATTTTTAAGCTGTTACTTAGTAATAACCTGCAAAATTCACTGCCCCAAGAGATCTTTCAACTGTCTGAACTATTGAAAGACAGAAAAAATAGTCTAAATGCAGTTGATAGTTTTAGCTTGGATTTCCAAATCTCTGGCTTCATATCCAAATTTCTGGCTTCATATCCAAAAATCCCTACAGCAATACTATTTGCTATAGTTCTCTAAATTTCTCCTGTAAAGAATATTCTATTTTCCTTCAGAGGAAGAAAATTTCTGGTCTTTGAAACAATCAGTAGCTTCCACCAGAACCTGAGTACCTGATTAGATGAGCCAGAAATAGAGTTTGGCAAATGTTACATTCTTTTTGGGTGATGACAAAGAAATGGCAATTTTAAAGGCTCGGCAAATACTAGTCTGATTCAACATTTAACTGATTCATTTGCTAGTTAAAATGCACCTACAGATAACAGTCTGACCACACAGTAGCCTGAATTGAATAAAAAAATATATATTTACTCTGATCACCACAATTTCACAAATAGAGATCCCATTTGAGTTATACTGTAAGTAACAGCCATGCTTTCAGAAAGTTAACATATCCAAGGCTATATGCTGCCGCTGCTGCTGCTGATGATAGTTAATTCATCTTACCCCATGTGCTTGCATGTCACTATGTTCCAAATGCTAACTCTAAAAAATATTAACCAAAAAGAAAGAAATAAAATCATTTACCTTGCAAACTTTAATTCTACAAAAGGGATATGTTGAGTGAAATTTCTCCATATATGTAAGATGTTCTCTATTGAGACTGTTACATCTTATTAAGTACTTGGATCTTATTTAAAAAAAAAAAAAAGGCTGGGCTTGGTGGCTCACACCTGTAATCCCAGCACTTTGGGAGGCTGAGGCGGGCGGATCACAAGGTCAGGAGTTCAAGACCAGCCTGACCAACATGGTGAAACCCCGTCTCTACTAAAAATACAAAAATTAGCCGGGTGTGGTGGTGCGTGCCTGTAACCCCAGCTATCCAGGAGGCTGAGGCAAGACAATCGCTTGAACCTGGGAGGTGGAGGTTGCAGTGAGCCAAGATCGCACCACTGCACTCCAGCCTGGACAACAGAGTGAGACTACATCTCAAAAAAAAAAACATAGGCCAGGCATAATGCCTCATACCTATAATCCCGACACTGGGAGGCTGAGGCAGGAAGATCGCTTGAGCCCAGAAGTTTGAGACCAACCTGGGCAACATAGTGAGACCCTGTCTCTACAAAAAAATTTTAAAATTTGCCAGGTGTGGTGCTGTGAGCCTGTAGTCCCAGCTACTTTGTGGGCTTGGGTGGGAAGATTCCTTCGGCCCCAGAGGTCGAGACTGCAGTGAGCTGTGATGACACCTCTGCTCTCCGGCCTGGGCAACAGAGCTGAGACCTTGTTCCAAAAAAAAAAAAAGAATATAAAAGAAATTCATGTATTTGTCACCTAGATTTAACAAATGTTAACAATTTGCTATTGCTTCTGGGTTTTTTTTGTGTGTGTGTATAGACAGGATTTCTCAATGTTGCCCAGGCTACTCTTGAACTCCTGGGCTTAAGCAATCCACCCACCGCAGCCTCCCAAAGTGCTGGGATTATAGATGTGAGCCCCAACGCCCGGCCTGCTGCTGAATCTTTTTTTTTTTTTTTTTTTTTGAGACAGAGTTTCGCTCTTGTCGCCCAGGCTAGAGTGCAATGGTGCGATCTCAGCTCACCGCAACTCTGCCTCCTGGGTTCAAGCGATTTTCCTGCCTCAGCCTCCCGAGTAGCTGGAATTACAGGCATGCACCACCATGCCCGGCTAATTTTGTATTTTTAGTAGAGACAGGGTTTCTCCATGTTGGTCAGGCTGGTCTTGAACTCCCGACCTCAGGTGATCCGCCCGCCTCGGCCTCCCAAAGTGCTGGGATTACAGGCGTGAGCCAGGGCGCCCAGCTGCTGAGTCTTAAAAAATAAAAACTTATAGATACATCTTGGTGTGTGGGGAGGTGGGAGGTTGTTGGTTTTTTTCTTTTGTTTTGTTTTTGTGACAGGGTCTCACTGTGTCACCGAGGCTGGAGTACAGTGGCAGAGTCTTGGCTTACTGTAGCCTCACCTCCCAGGTCCAAGCGATCTTCCAACCTCAGCCTCCCGAGTAGCTGGAACCACAGACATGCACCACCACACCCAGCTAATTTTTTAAAAAATCATTTTGTAGAGATAGTTATCTACCTATGTTGCACAGGCCAGTCTTGACCTCCTGGACTCAGGCAATCCATTTACCTTGTTCTCACAAAGTGCTAGGATTAGAGGCCTGAGCCACTGTGACTGGCCCAAGTCCTAAGTTTGATTCATAGTATTCTCATGCATGCTGTATCAATAAAAATAGGGATTTTTTGTTTTGTTTTTTGCATTTTATACTGTTTTTCAATTCTTGCTCTTTTTTTACCTTCCTTGGGAGATGTGATTTTTTCCCAGTGGAAAAATCTTGGACTGAAACTTTGCTTTTCTAGCTGCTAACTCAAATCCTCTCTCTTTTCACCTGGATCATAAATAAGATTTTAGTGTTCAAATTCTGAAGATGCTTACATGAATGTTATGAAGCAACTTCTAACAAAATATTATAGATATTAGTTCCTAGCTGGAATTACTTAATCAGGATTCTTTTCTAGATGCAGTTTCACATACAGCTGGGTACTCCAAGTGTACAGTTCCCATCAGCTCTAATATGGTGAGAAAAATGTGCTTATACTTCATCACTTTCCCAAAATACACACTAGTAAAAGGATACAAGGGCCAAAGCTCTGAAAAAGAACAAAGCAGTCTTTCTCAATAGCAGTACTGAAATTAGTAATTTGCTTACTGGTTCTGAATACTCTGACTAAAGATAGCATCTGTTTCAACTTGTTGGATACTAGCAAAAGCTTCATCAGGACAAGCTTCCAACGGATGGTGTAGAAAGGATATACAACTGACAGGTTGCTGAGTGGACAATAAGTGGCGAACCAACAACTGGCTCAGCACATTCATTGGGTAGTTTACTTACTTGAGCATGAGTCCAGGAGGCTCAAACTAGGTTACAAACTAAAGTGACTCACAATTTAGCAATCCATTTAGCCACCATTTGCATGTTAAAATGAGCCAGAAAACACAGTGCAATTAATTGACTTTTTGGTCAATAATTTTTGGTTAAAAAAGATCTTAAAATAACATTGCTAAAGAGAATATAGGAGATTTGCTAACATTTATTTTGGTTTTAAAATTAATGACATAAAGTTTAAAGGATTAGTTTTAAAGGGTCAAAATGTATTGTCTGTTACCTATAAATATTTTTACTGGTCTTTAGACATCAGATTGAACTGAATTGAATGTACAAAGATCTGGCTCAACTGTGCAAGATAAAACCTATTCCTCAGAACGATGTCTTTAATAGGCAAAACCAAATAAATTGTTTACTACTACCAGACACTTGTTTAAGCTTCTCAGCAACCCTATAGGTTTTATGTTACAGATGTAAAACTTAGGTATAGAGAGGTTAAGTAATTTGCCTAGAAATCATAGAGCTAAAAAGTGGTGAGCAGAATGGCTTTGAACGCTGATTCTACAGCTTATGGTCTAGGGTGGTCCAAGTCTGTTAGGTGGGCTAATGAGGATCACTAGATCTGGAGTCAGAAGACCTCAAACTGTATCCCACCTCTGCCATCTGTGTGATCTTAAGCCTACCTAAGGCACTAATTCTACTTCACAGGTTTGTGAGGCTTCAGTATGATCGTGAGTGTAAGTGGTAAGTGTTAAGAGATCTTTTCAACTGTAAAATATAATATGTCACCTTGGATGAGTAGCTGTCTTCTTTAAGCTTCATCTGTAAATTGAGGCTTATAACCACGGCATGATATGTGCTCGTTTTGAAGATGAAATAAGACAATGAATGTAAACCATATGATACATTAATGCACCGTGCCTGGACCACAGAATTCAATCCAAATGCTAGTTATTATTCAGCACGACACTTTTCTTTCTTCTGGCTCATGTAGGAAAATTTTAATAAACCTCTTGATGAATAGCCGTAGAGATGGGGTGAAAAACCCCCAGAGGACAGAGAATAGGTAAACTCTTTTTTCTTTTAATTATTTTCTTCCTAATTCCACTGT
This sequence comes from Homo sapiens, assembly GCF_000001405.40. Taxonomy (NCBI): domain Eukaryota; kingdom Metazoa; phylum Chordata; class Mammalia; order Primates; family Hominidae; genus Homo; species Homo sapiens. Next base: position 139,295,964 of record NC_000004.12, on the reverse strand, counting down.
ATAGACAGAAGGCTGAGGCCGGGGTGCTAGAGAACCTTGCCGTGCTGGAATTCACGTTGACGCCCCCACGGAGCTCTGCTGCAGAGCCCTCGAGTCCCGCACTTCCGGCCGCCAGGTGGCGCTGGTTCTGTTGCCAACTCGGAGAGACTGAGCTGGGCCACGCAAGATGGCGCCGTCCGCCTTGCTGCGTCCCCTTTCCCGGCTGCTGGCCCCCGCCAGGCTCCCGAGCGGCCGTGAGTATCCTCCTCGTGCAGGCCGACTCGACCCTCAGATTACCCCTCCTAAGGCGGACCCAGCCCACGGGTGCAGGAGGCGGCAGCGGCCCGGGTTCGTCCTGCAGTGACCTTCGCCGGCAGACGACCCAAGGCCCAGCCCACGCCTGTCCCCTACGCAGGGCTCTCTGCTCCCCATCACCCGCCTCTAGCACTTATCCAAGTTCAACCTGACCACTCTTGGCCTTTGTAAATGGACTTTGGGTCCTTGCCTTCCCCACCTCTGTACGTTAGGTCCCGTAAACCGGGAGAGGAGACACCCTCCCCGGGGCGCCCCTTACATGACCACTCCCGAGTCGTCTGAGGGTCCGCAAGCCCTTAAACGAGGCTTTGAAAGCCTCGGACAGGACAGGTGCGTCCTGTCTAACTCGCCAGTGGCCCTGGGCGAGGTACTTGATCTCTTTGAACCTCTATTTCCTTGGCTGTTTAAGTGGGAGATGGGGGAGTTGAAGGGAGAATTAAATGCGATAATACGCACGTAAATGTTAGGGTTTTTTCCCTACAAGGCAGTAAGTTACAAATTTACAGACCCTCTTCCCCTTTCAGCTTCAGTGCGATCAAAGTTCTACGTGCGAGAGCCGCCGAATGCCAAACCTGACTGGCTGAAAGTTGGGTTCACCTTGGGCACCACTGTCTTCTTGTGGATCTATGTAAGTACTTTACTCCCGGATGTCGTGAGACTACACCAGCGTGGTAAGGGAATGACATAACATTGCGAGATTGAATGGTGCTGTTATATGTTGTATGGCAGTGAAACTCTCATAACAGTAGGATATTTATATAATCGCTGATACGTATTTTTCCATAAGAGAAATCCCAAGGACTAAAAAGAAATTAAGATTTCAGCAACATTGAAAAAGTATGATGGGACTAAAATTTCTGTTATTGTTCCTTAACATGGTTTTGTAAGGAATGGCAGTTTTACTAAATAGTAATTATACTTTTTTTTTTTTTTTTTGAGATGGAGTCTCACTCTGTCTCCCAGGCTGGAGTGCAGTGGCGTGATCTCGGCTCACTGAAAGCTCTGCCTCGCGGGTTCACGCCATTCTCCTGCCTCAGCCTCCCAAGTAGCTAGGACTACAGGCGCCCGCCACCACGCCCGGCTAATTTTTGTATTGTTGGTAGAGACGGGGTTTCACCGTATTAGCCAGGATGGTCTCGATCTCCTGACCTATTGATCCGCCCGCCTCGGCCTCCCAAAGTGTTCTGATTACAGGCGTGAGCCACCACGCCCGGCAATAGTAATTATACTTTATTTCTTAATGAGAATTGAGGCTAATTGGAGTTTTATGAAGGTACCTTTTTCAGATGCTGTAAGGACAAACCAGCAGTGTGCAAGTTGTACAAATTGAATCCCAGTAGACTTCCATTAGGTTTTAATCAATGTTTGTATAAATACATTGTTGGAAATTGTACATAGTGTGTAGCGACCTTTTTAAAAAAATTTTCAGGCCGGACGTGGTGGCTCACACCTGTAATCCCAGCACTTTGGGAGGCCAAGGTGGGCGGATCACGAGGTCAAGAGATCCAGACCATCCTGGCTAACACAGTGAAACCTCGTCTCTACCAAAAATACAAAAAAAATTAGCCAGGTGTAGCGAAGGGCGCCTGTAGTCCCAGCTGTTCAGGAGGCTGAGACAGCAGAATGGTGTGAACCCGGGAGGTGGAGCTTGCAGTGAGCCGAGATCGTGCTACCGCACTCCAGCCTGGGAGATACAGCGAGACTCTGTCTCAAAAAAAAAAAAAAAAAAAAAAAAAAAAATTCACACCACATGCTTTACACATAAACTTGCGTTTAATCATTTCAACAACACTACGTGGCACCTACTATTGTTGACCCGTTACAGATAAGAAACACTTGGAGAAACTAGTTTGCTGAACCCAGTTCTCCTGACTTCAGAGGCCACACTATCCTAGAAAAGACTGTGAAACACTGCCTCTGTTGGGATAAAATTTCTTTTTAAAGTTAAAGTATCTGCTATATTAATATTTAAAATTTTGTTTTTTATCTAATGGGTTTGGGACTTCCTCCACTGTCCCCCAGCTCTAAGATATTTTAAATTTTCTTGTTGAAGTGGTTCAGATTTTTGACTTGGAAAGGGGTGAGAGATTTTGAGTCACTTACAACTTAATAGTAACTCATCTTTTTGAATAATGTTGCTTATAATGAATTTTATACATTCTTAATTTAAGGTTTTCTCTAACAAGAAGCTTAATTACTGCTGAGAGCACTAGTGATTGAACTTGGATCTTTGATTGCCATGAATGTCATCGTATATAAGCCATTTTTCCAGTTGCATATTCTGTCAGACAGTGGTCCTAAAAATGTGACTGTCCTCCATGACATCTAATTAATACACATACAGTTTCGTGATGGGGTTGGTCATTCAATCAAGGTATCCTACTTCTAAGATTAGAAGCATAACACGCACCCACCAACCAGCCTGGATCCCATTTAATAACCAAGTTGTGCTGTATCATATTGATTTACCCCTTCATGATAAGCCATTTCATTACGTTTATTACCCACCAAATGAGGTAAAATTTTTGGCAGTAGTTTAATTTAAATTTTTGGCCAGGTGCGGTGGCTCATGCCTGTAATCCCAACACTTTGGGAGGCCGAGGCGGGTGGATCACCTGAGCTCAGAGTTCGAGACCAGCCTGGCCAACATGGTGAAACCCCATCTCTACTAAAGATACAAAAATTAGCCAGGCGTGGTGGCAGGCGCCTGTAATCCCAGCTATTCAGGAGGTTGAGGCAGGAGAATCGCTTGAACCCAGAAGAAGGAGGTTGCAGTGAGCCAAGATCACGCCATTCCACTCCAGCCTGGGGTGGAGCAAAACTCCGTCTCTAAATAAATAAATAAATATATATATATATATTTAAGGGCTCCCTTCTCAAATTTAGGATGTCACATTGTGGTGAGCAAGTTTATACCATTCCTGGTTTTTGAACTTTTGGATCTCTTAGCCTTTTATTTCTAACTAGAATAGTTGTTTATTTTTTCTATCCTTATTCCTTTACAAAATATAAGTATCCAGGAAGATTACATTTCTAATTTTAACTGTTTAACTCTTTGTAGCTCATCAAACAACACAATGAAGATATTTTAGAGTACAAAAGAAGAAATGGGCTGGAATAAACTTTTGAAACACTAATGTAGTAAGTATACAAGCTTATTGGATGAATAGATTATGCAAATTAACTTGACCTCTTTTTTAAATACTGAAAAACAAGCTTGTTGTTTGTTTTGTATTAGGTTTATACATTTTAGCACCCATATTTCTGTCTGTGACAAATTTATAAATTTGTAATACCTTGCCTCAAGCAGTTGGTTTTGTTTTGGGGGGGATGGGGTTTTTTTTGTTTGTTGTTTGTTTGTTTGTAGACCTGTTGGCCAGGCTGGTCTCACTCCTTGCCTCAGCTTCTGAAAATGTTGGAATTATAGGTATGAGCCACTTTGCTAGCCTCAAGAATCTTTTAGCGTAATCATTTTTAATCATTAGTCTTTGACTCTGTTCAAAGAAAGGTATGTTTAAGAATGAAACCAAAATCTGCCAGGCGCGGTGGCTCACGCCTGTAATCCCAGCACTTTGGGAGGCCGAGGCGGGTGGATCACAAGGTCAGGAGATCAAGACCATCCTGGCTAACACAGTGAAACACCGTCTCTACCAAAAATACAAAAAAATTAGCCAGGTGTTGTGGCGGGCGCCTGTAGTCTCAGCTACTCGCGAGGCTGAGGCAGGAGAATGGCGTGAACCCGGGAGGCAGAGTTTGCAGTGAGCCAAGATCGTGCCACTGCACTCCAGCCTGGGTGACAGAGTGAGACTCCTTCTCAAAAAAAAAAAAAGAATGAACCCAAAATCATATTATTTTCTTAAATCTGATAGTGCTTTACACTTTGCTTTCATAGCACTTATGACAAATTATTATTCTTCGTGTGTGTATTTCTTAATGTCTGTTTGGTATCTTGTACACTTGAGTGTGAATTCCATGAGAACAGAAACCTATTTTATTAATTATCCTTTATTCAGCAACTTGCTCATCTGGTCCATTTAGGAGTTTAATATTTGTAGAAGTGATGAATGTATAACGGCAATCGATTCTTTTTATTTTATTTTATTTTTTGAGACGGAGCCACCAGGCTGGAGTGCAGTGGCACAATCTTGGCTCACTGCAACCTCCGCCTCCCAGGTTCAAGCAATTCTCCTGCCTCAGCCTCTCGAGTAGCTGGGACTACAGGTGCGCGCTACCACGCCCAGCTAATTTTTGTATTTTTGATAGAGACGGGCTTTTCCCATGTTGGCCAGGATGGTCTCCATCTCTTGACCTCGTGATCTGCCCGCCTCGGCCTCCCAAAGTGCTGGGATTACAGGCGTGAGCCACTGCGCCTGGCCAGAGCAATCAATTTTTAAATTTTTTTCTGCATGACTATTTCATTATGATTGTCAACTCAACTAATACCCAGTTGGACAGTTCCTGGTAAAAAACCTAGTTATGAACAAGATAGTTTATTCTGCATGGTCTGTGATTTAAAAGAGAAAGTTTATTATATATATATATATAAAATATATACATCTGGCTGGGCGCAGTGGCTCACGCCTGTAATCCTAACACTTTGAGAGGCTGAGGCGAGTGGATCACTTAAGGCAAGGAGTTAGAGACCAGCCTGGCCAACGTGGCGAAACCCCATCAGTACTAAAAATACACAAAAAATAGCTAGGCATGGTGGTGCGCGCCCGTAGTCCCAGCTACTTTGGGAGGCTGAGGCACGATAATTGCTTTAACCCAAGAGGCAGAGGCTGGGAGGTTGCATTGAGCCAATATTGGGCTACTGCACTCCAGCCAGCCTGGGCAACAGAACAAGACTCTGTCTCAAAAATAAATGAATGAATAAATAATATATTCATCTATAGATATGTATCAAATATATATAAGTATACCATATACAGTGTACATATATATATATATATATGGTGTATTTCTGAAAACCTTTTTTAAAAATCCTATATTAATCCTTTTATAAGTGAACAGTCACTTAAAAATCTCAGCTTTCATAATTGGGTTGATTAAGTAACTTATATCTGCTGTATAATAAACATAGCGATCACAGACTATCCTTTTTTTCCATATTTTATAACTCTGAAACTGAGCTCTTTACTGTTGATTATCCAAATCTTTTGCCTTTTTTCTATTAGCACCCTGCCCATTTCACTACTCTAATCAGCCAATCAAGAGATAAAATGAGTCTGGGCTTGGTGGCTCATGCCTGTAATCTCAGTACTTTGGGAGGCCTAGGCAGCGGGATAGCATATGCCCAGGAGTTTGGGCAACATAGTGACTTTGTCTCTACCAAAAAAAAAAAAAAAAAAAAGAGGTAAAAATGAAATAGGCATTGAAATACAAACCAGATGGCTTTTGCTGTTCTTTCATAGTTAAGGCAAAATATTTTTTGTTAAAATTAAATAAAATAAGGTATTGGTACTCTTTGTGGGTCTTTTCTAGACTTTTTCTGATGTTCTAAGGTGAATTCAGAGTAGTTTAATTTTAATATTATTTCTGCTGGTTAATGCTACAGTTTTTTTTTTCTTCATTATAGGTATGCTCCGTATAGTGATTGTAGCTGTTCCTCTGGATTCACCATCTGTTGAGTTGTAAATGTGAGAGAAAAAGTTATATGTGAATATATATCAAGCCAGCATTTGTATTTTGCATCATTAAATAAAAAGAAATAAAAATACTTCTGTATTCTTCAGATAAAGCATATTGTGACAACTTGTAGAAAATGTTAATTCTAAGGTACATTAATAGAAGTATTTCAATATGGAAGGTACCACCTGATAACAAGGTCAGTGGTAATTAAGGACACTTTGGTAAGAAAAGTTGTTGTGAACATAGATTCAAAAATCAGGGCTGGCTGGGCGCGGTGGCTCAACGCCTGTAATCCCAGCACTTTGGGAGGCCGAGGCAGGCAGATCACCTGAGGTTGGGAGTTCAAGACCAGCCTGACCAACATGGAGAAACCCCATCTCTACTAAAAATAAAAAAATTAGCCGGGCATGGTGGCACATGCCTGTAATCCCAGCTACTCAGGAGGCTGAGGCAGGAGAATCACTTGAACCTGGGAGGCAGAGGTTGTGGTGAGCCGATATCGTGCCATTGCGCTCCAGCCTGGGCAACAAGAGTGAAACTCTGTGTTAAAAAAAAAGAAAATCAGGGCTGAAGGATTTACTCTTGTTATCACCTCTTAATTTCTGATCAGAACATTTATTTAGTATATCAGGAAGGCAGAACTACCTTGTTACTCAGAAAACATAGGATCACAAAGATTGTTTTCTCTAGAGGAGTCATTTTGGTAAGTTAGAAAGGAAGGATGAATCCTGTTACCAGAGTGTTTTCTGACTCCTTTAATTTGAATGATTTTCATTTGGGCGACTACTTTTACACACTGTTATGGCAACACAAAATTTGTTGTCTTTTTTTTTTTGCTAATATGACTTTAAGTCTATGATTTAGCAAACTCTAGCTCTTTTTTTTTTTTTTTTTTTTTTTTTTTTTTGAGACGGAGTCTTGCTCTGTCGCCCAGGCTGGAGTGCAGTGGCGTGATCTCAGCTCACTGCAAGCTCCGCCTCCCGGGTTCATGCCATTCTCCTGCCTTAGCCTCTCCGAGTAGCTGGGACTACAGGCGCCCACCACCACGCCCTGCTAATTTTTTGTATTTTTAGTAGAGACGGGGTTTCACCATGGTCTCAATCTCCTGACCTCATGAGTAGCTGGGATTACAGGTGTGTGCCACCACACCCGTCTAATTTTTTTTATTTTTAGTAGAGACGAGGTTTTACCGTGTTGGTCAGGCTGGTCTCGAACTCCTGACCTCGTGATCTGCCCGCCTCAGCCTCCCAAAGTGCGGGGATTACAGGAGTGAGCTGCTGTGCCTGGCAATTTTTTAAAGTTTTTGTACATGTGGGGTCTTGCTATGATGCCCAGGCTGGTCTCAAACTCCTGGGCTCAAGCAATCTGCCTGCCTCTGCCTCCCAGAGTTCTGGGGTTATAGGTGTGAGCCACCATTCCGGCAAAGCCCTTTCTTGTGAATCACTTAAAACTTGTTTCAGTTGCCACTTCATTAATTTGTAATTTAAACATTTATCTCGAATTATGTAGTTGGGCCCAATGTAATCACAAGGTCCCTATAAGTGGGAGAGGGAGGCACAAAAATGTGTCAGAGTGATGTGATGTGAGTGACAAAGAGTCTTCTTTGCCATTGCTTCTTTGAAGATGAAGCTAACAGCCAAAGTACATCAAGAAAACGAATCCCCCCCTAGAGCCTGCAAAGTGGAACACAGCCCTGCTTGATTTTAGCCCACCTTTGTCAGATTTCTCACCTACAAAACTGTTAAGATAATACATTTGTGTTGTTACAATAGATAGGTTTGTTATAGCAACAATATGAAGCTAATATGATTTGTCACATAGTAACAGAGTAAGAGTTCAAGTATCAACTACCAATTCAGGGCACTTTTCACTAAAACACTTAAAAATTCACATCTCTAAAGGGAACAGAAAACTAAGACACTTGAAATTTTGGAAACTTACAGCCTCAGTAGGTGGAAATAAAGTACACCTTTAATAAACAGAACTTAGTGTACATTGGGCTTTGAGAATATAGCTACTTTGTGTTGTGTGGACCTTCCTCTAATTTTTTTTCTTTTTTTTTTTTGAGACAGTGTCTCGTTCTGTCGCCCAGGCCGGAGTGCAGTGGCGCAGTCTCGGTTCACTGCAACCTCTGCCTCCCAGGTTCACGCCATTCTCCTGCCTCAGCCTCCCGAGTAGCTGGGACTACAGGCACCTGCCACCACGCCCGGCTAATTTTTTGTATTTTTAGTAGAGACGGGGTTTCACCGTGTTAGCCAGGATGGTCACAATTTCCTGACCTCATGATCCACCCACCTCGGCCTCCCAAAGTGCTGGGATTACAGGCGTTAGCCACCGTGCCCGGCCTTTTTTTTTTCTCTTTTCCTTGTCTTCGCACAACTGATGATGGACCTTCCTCTTGATTATGCCCCTTTAACTCCAGGGAGCCATTCATGGAGGACCAGGGCTGTCCAAAAGAACTTTCCAACGATGGGAATGTTCTGTCTGTGCTGTCTAGTACAGTAGCCACTAGCCTCTTGTGGCTAATAAGCATTTGGAATGTGATTAGTGTGACTAACTGTTTAGTATTATTTAATTTTAATTAATTTTTTTTTCCTGGAGACAGAGTCTTGCTCTGTCACCCAGGCTAGAGTGCAGTGGCGTGATCTCAGCTCACTGCAACCTCCATCTCCTGGGTTCAAGGAATTCTACCTCAGCCTCCCGAGTAGCTAGGATTACAGGCACCCACCACCATGCCCAGCTAATTTTTGCATTTGTAATAGAGAGGGGGTTCCACCACGTTGGCCAGGCTAGTCTCAAACTCCTGACCTCAGGTGATCTGCCTGCCTCAGCCTCCCAAAGTGCTGGGATTACAGGCGTGAACCACCGTGCCTGGCCTTAATTAATTTTAAATATATATTTGTTAATACATTTAAGAAAAAATGTTTTGTAGAGACAAGGTCTCACTATCCTGCCCAGGCTGGTTCTCACACTCCTGGACTCAAGCAGTCCTCCTGCCACGGCCTCTGAAAGTGCTGGGATGAACAAACCTGAACCACCGCTCCAGCCTAACTTTAATTAATTTAACTAGCTAGATGGGGCTGGTGGCTGCTGTACTGAACAGCACTATTTAGAATTGTGCCACATAGTGGCGCTGGTAAAAATGCTTCCTAAATTAAATAATTGAAACCTAACTCAAACTATGATTTTTTTAAAAAAATTGTGAAGATAGGCCGGGCGCAGTGGCTTACACCTGTAATCCCAGCACTTTGGGAAACTGAAGTGGGTGGATTACCTGAGGTCAGGAGTTTGAGGCCAACCTGACCACCATGACAAAACCCCGTCTCTACTAAAAATACGAAAATAAGCCGGGCGTGGTGGCCAGCACCTGTAATGCCAGCTATTTGGGAGGCTGAGACATGAAAATAGCTTGAACCTGGGAGGTGGAGGTTGCAGTGAGCCGAGATCAAGCCATTGCACTCCACCCTGGGCGACAGAGCGAGACTACGTCTCAAAAAAAAAATATATGAGGATAGAGTGACTCACAGACCCCAAGAATAGGAGTGGACCTGAGCCCAGGAACAATTGAAGCCTGGGACCCAAATGTCATTAAGATTCTTGCTCTTGACTCAGCTATCTGTGAGTCTGCCTTATCTTCTTGGCACATGGACCTTCTCTTCCTCAATCCACATTGTAAAGAGAAATCCACAGCAAATGGTTCCTGAGTTACTTCTCAATTCAAGAGAGTAGCTGGACTGAGCAAGAATCATTCTGATTCTTCCCCAAAGGAATTTAGAGTTGCCTGTGGTCAAGGGATGATTCTTTCAGTAATGAAAGAGTTTCCAGGCCAGGCGCAGTGGCTCACACCAGTAATCCCAGCACTTTGGGAGGCCGAGACAGGTGGATCACGAGGTCAGAAGATCAAGACCATCCTGGCTAACACGGTGAAGACTAAAAATATTGTATATGAATACTAAGAATACTAAAAATACACGGTCTATACTAAAAATACAAAAATTTAGCCAGGCGTGGTGGTACTCACCTGTAATCCCAGCTATTCAGGAGGCTGAGGCAGAAGAATTGCTTGAACCCAGGAGGCGGAGGTTGCAGTGAGCCAAGATTATACCACTGCACTCCAGCCTGGGCAACATAGCAAGACTCCATCTCAAAAAAAAAGTTCCCATATAAAGGAAGATGCAGACAAAATCATATGTCGAGTATAGTCAAATAGTTTAATAATCAAAATCAGGTAGACCTTTCTTCAAGATTTAGGTAGTCACACTTGAAATTATTAAGTTGCCTTGGAAAAACAGGCTGTATAATCTAAGTTTCTGATATAAGAAGTTGTGGGTTGAATTGTTTCCCCAAAAAGGATATGTTAAGATCCCAACTCGTAGTACCTCAAAAAGTGGACTTAATTGAAAATAGGGTAATTGCAGATGTAATTTGCATTACATACTGGAGTAGAGTGAACCCTTAATCCAGTATGACTAGTATATTTAAGAGAAGAGACACATAGGAGAAGATGGCCATGTGATGACAGAGGCAGAGACTGGCTGAATCTACAGCCAGGGATTGCCAGCAAACAATAGAAGCTAGAAAAGGCAAAGAAGGATTCTCCATTAACTTAAAAATCACAAGATCTACAAGTTTGGAAATGGAAACTTTATTTCTTGTAAAGGGTTACAGCCTACAAGGTGGCCATCCTACAGACTGGAAAATATAGCCTCCAGCAGAGCCCAGAGACAGGCACTTTGGAGGAGAAGGGATTGGGGTAGGAGCTTTATGCTGAACAGTTGGCTAAGCATTCATATTCAACAGGTTACAGGAGGAGCTATGAATATTCACAAAGGTCCTTGTTTTAGCCTGTTCTCACATTGCTATAAAGAGCTACGTGTTGGTCAGGCATGGTGACTCACACCTATAATCCCAGCACTTTGGGAGGCCGAGGCAGGTGGATCACCTGAGGTTGGGAGTTCAAGACCAGCCTGACCAACATGGAGAAACCCTGTTTCTACTAAAAATACAGAATTAGCCGGACATGGTGAAGCACGCCTGTAATCCCAAGTACTTGGGAGGCTGAGGCAGGAGAATCACTTGAACCTGGGAGGCGGGGGTTACATTGAGCTGAGATCACGCCATTGCACTTCAGCCTGGGAAACGAGTGAAATTCCGTCTTAAAAAAAAAAAAAAGAGCTACCTGTGACTGGGTGATTTATAAAGAAAAGAGGTTTAATCTGCTCATGGTTTTGAAGGCTATACAGACTTCTGCTTCAGAGACGACTCAGGAAACTTAACAATTATGGTGGAAGGCAAAGGGGAAGCAAGCACTTCTTCACATGGCCAGCAGGAGAGAGGGTGAGCGAAGGGAAAAGTTCTACACACTTTCAAACATCCAGATCTTGTGAGAACTCACTATCATGAGAACAGCAAGGGGGGAACCCACCCCCATGATCCAATCACCTCCCACCAGGTCCCTTCCCCAACATTGGAAATTACAATTCAACATGAGATTTGGGTGGGAACACAGAGCCAAATGATATTAGTCCTGATGCATGTGTATTGACCAAACATGCATGTAACATACAACTTATGTTCGCTTTGGAGTGGAGACTTAACATTTAAATGTATTATAATTAGGCCCTATATGTCAAAAATCTTTTTAGGATATGAAGGACTCAAGTGTTCAGCATCTGTAAACAGGCCAGAGCCAGTTCCTGGTAGGTGGTCTTTTTTTTTTTCCTCCCCAAAGAAACATGGCCTTGCAGTGCAGTGGCACAATCAGGTCATTGCATCCTTGAACTCCTGGGCTCAAGTGATACAGGTGGGTGCTACCACACCCAGCCATTTTCTTTTCTTTTTTTGTTTTTAGTAGAGATGGAATCTCAACATCTTGCCCAGGCTGGGCTTGAACTCTTGGGCTCAAGTGATCCTCCTGCCTTGGCCTCCCAAAGTGCTGGGATTACAGGCATGAGCCACCACACCAGCCCAGTGGTCTTATCAGGAGAAAGTTACTGAAATCAGTCTCTCGTCCAATCAAAGCTGTAGCTATAGCTTGTGGAACGGGGTCAGTTAGTGTCTAGTGATGAGCGACAATTGTTTTAATATTCCTTATCTGGAGGCCAGTGCTTGTTTAGCTGCTAGAGAAAAAGAAAAACCTGTGGCAGTTAGAAATAGTTTATTCTTTAAGTGTAGGAGTGAGTGACTTAACCCTTGCCTAGCATGGCCTTAAACTTCCATTTATAATTTGGTATCTTATTGCCACAAAGTCTATTCTGTCAGTTTTAGGATCTCTATTTTAACATTTATGCTGGCCAGTTATTGTATCTAAAGTGCAAAAGGGAGCGGGTGTAACAAGAGTTGTCTGACCTCCCATCCCATCATGGCCAGGAACTCAGTTTTTAAGATTTTTCTGGGGTCCCCTTGGCCAAGAGGAGGTCTATTCAGTTGGCAGGGAGCTCAGGATTTTATTTTTAGTTTACATCCCCTATAGGTTTCAGAGAGGAAATGGCCCTGCCAACATCTTCATTTGAGACTTCTATCCTCCAGAAAACTGTTAGAGAATAAATTGTTTTAAATAACATCCAAGTTTGTATCCTTAGGAAAATAATACAGAAGTGTTAGGAAATCTGATGTTTATTTTGTCACAGAAGAGATAGTTAATAGATGGAGATAGTACTGAATGACTTTCAAGAATAGTCAGTCTGGGCACAGTGGCTCACGCCTGTAATCCCAGCACTTTGGGAGGCTGAGGTGGGCAGATCACAAGGTCAGGAGTTTGAGACCAATCTGGCCAATGTGGTGAAACCCCGTCTCTACTAAAAATACAAAAATTAGCCAGTTGTGGTGGCACACACCTGTAGTCCCAGTTACTAGGTATGCCGAGGCAGGAACATCGCTTGAACCAGGAGGCAGAGGTTGCAGTGAGCCGAGATCGCACCACTGCACTCCAGCCTGGGCGACAGAGCAAGACTCCATCTCAAAAAAAAAAAAAAAAAAGTTGAGAATTGACCATCTTGATTATCTTTTCTCCTTCACTTTAAGTAGTTTAAACCATGAAAAATATGCTTATCAGGACTTTCTTAACTGCTTGCCAATTTATCCTCCTAGTTGCTCCTCTAAATTGTTTAAGTGTGTGTCAGTATTTATCTCTCAAAACATATAGGCAATAGCCTAAGAATTGAGTGCTCAGAAAAACTTAGCTGATATTTCTGTGAAATCCAGGAAACCACTCAGACTTTGAAAATTTCTTTTATTTATATAGCTGTTAAGCCTTGAAAGTATAATTAATGTTGCCAGTAGAGGACCTTTATAATAATGTTTTCAAGACTAATATAATCCTTGTCAATAATCACAGTTAGATGGAGGTCATCTAAGGTAAGCCGAGTTATCTCTGACCCTAAATTCTTGTTTTTCCAACCAAACGAAGAAAAATTTCAAGGATGTGCTCAAGGGCAGCATTACGAACAGTATGATTAATAGTTAGGAAACTATTGGCTGAGCCTTACAGAGTCTTCCATAGCAAAGATGTGTTAAATTTATCTGGGGTTTGGAAGAAACAGTCTGCTCTGGAGTGAATTTGACAACTCGAGGGCATGTCCTCTCTTGGAAAATGTTTCATCAAGATTTGAAAAGAATTTGCCATCAAAACGGAAAGCCACAGGAGCAGCTGAGTAGATAGAAATTCCCTTCAACTTGAAAGGCATGAGCTTTTAACTAAGGAAAATAATCTGGAGAAATGGAACTATTTATCTCACAGTTCTTTTATATCCCAGCTGGTATGGCCATATTCAACCTAGAGAGCATGATAACCTCCCACTGGACCGTACCATCTAATAAGAGATGGTGGGATATAATGAATCCGGCCATGTGCCACACTGAAAGGCAGCAGAGTGTAGCAGGAGAGCCTTGAGCTTCACCTTAGGCTGGAAGTCAGAATCTAGCACTGCCTCCTCCAACTAGCTGAGCACATTTTATATCCTTTATTTTTTTTACTTTATTTTTTACATTTCATATCTAATGTGCCTTTTTTTTTTCTTTCTGAAAAAGAAACAGATGAGGTTTTGCCATATTTGCCAGGCTGGACTTGAACTCCCTAGCACGAGCAATCCTTCTGCCTCCACCTCCCAAAGTGCTGTGAGCCACTGTGTGTGATTTTTTTTTTTTTTTTTTTTTTTTTTGAGACAGGGTCTCACTCTGTCACCCAGGCTGGAGTGCAGTGGCAAGATCTCAGCTCACTGCAGTCTTGACCTCCTGAGCTCAATCAGTTCTCCCACCTCAGCCTCTGGAGTAGCTGGGACTGCAGGCATGTACCACCACACCCATCTATGTTGTAAACTTTTTTTTTTTTTGAGACTGAGTCTCGCTCTGTCACCCTAGTGATTAAACTAGTTAACTCTCTTTCTGAGTATCAAAAAACCAATCTGATCATTGGCTTGTACTCTTCTTATGAGAATATGTTAAATATAATTATAATTAGGTTCAGGACTATAACTTCTGAGAAACGTCTATTTACATAGCAAATGAACAAATATTGTGCCTGTTACATGCCAATAGAACTTTAAGCTAGAAGTATTATGTTCATGTCCTTTTTGTTTTTTAATTCATGACCACCAGTAAATCCCTGGACATTCCCACCCACCACCTGGTGGTGGCATTTGCTAAAGGGAATAATTGCCACCTCCCTCAGAGGGTTGCAGTGAAAATTAAAAGAGATAATAGATGTGAAAGTGCTTTATAATCTTTCAAGTGCCAAACACACATAAGGGATTATTATAGTAGGAAATGGTGTCTTCCAAAGAGTAATCATTTAGACAATGTTATAAACGTAATAAATTATTGGTTTCCATATTCAAACCATGACAAGTTCTTGTAGCCACGATGAGACGGAAAACTAATAATTTAGTATTTTTAGTTGATGTGTTTTTTTGTTTTGTTTGTTTTGTTTTGTTTTTGGGGTTTTTGTTTTGTTTTGTTTTGCTTTTGAGACAGGGTCTTGCTCTGTCACCCAGGCTTGAATGTAGTGGCATGATCTCGGCTCACTGCGACCTCCGCCTCCCGGGTTCAAGCGATTCTCCTGCCTTAGCGTCCCGAGTAGCTGGGATTACAGGCCCGCGCCACCACTCCCGGCTAATTTTTTGTATTTTTAGTAGAAACGGGGTTTCACCATGTTGCCCAGGCTGCTCTCCAACTCCTGACCTCAAGTGATCCGCCTGCCTCGGCCTCCCAAAGTGCTGGGATTATAAACGTGAGCCACTGTGCCCGGCCGCTGATGTGGAAATATTAATTTCACATCCCATAGAGGAATATACAGTGTTTTTGATATTTTAAAGTCGTTTTAACAGTGAGCTGTCTAGAAATTCAACCATTGTCTGCAGATTTTCTTACGATTCTGAGCATCACCCAGTGCGCTAATGGAAGGCTGAGGCTACCCCTTCGCTCTTCTCATTTTTAAGAAACTTCCAGCTATCCTTCCCTCTCCTAGGAAAGCTAACGGAATGCAGGAGATAAAATGGTTTCAGATTACATCCAGCGTGATAAACTGTGTCCTTGTCTTAATCTCGTCCAATTCCCAAAACATTTCCAGCTTGCTGTGAGGAGTTACATTCAGTGGTACAGAATGAGCCAGGCAGGCGACGGCGACTTGTAGGTTCCCCATCCCTTTTCTGAGATGCCGCGGTCAGCTCTAGAGACCTCAGGGATAGCAACAGAGCTGGAGATGGGTTAGGGGAGGATGGTGAG
Organism: Homo sapiens; assembly: GCF_000001405.40. Lineage (NCBI taxonomy): Eukaryota > Metazoa > Chordata > Mammalia > Primates > Hominidae > Homo > Homo sapiens. The sequence goes on along the minus strand of NC_000004.12, from coordinate 139,280,319 downwards.
GACTACAAAGGTCTCCCCACCTCCCGGGGGCCGCGGAGGCGGGGCTGGATGAAGGTCGACGTGCCTCCTCCGGGCGGGGCGCTGCCAGGCTCTCAGCCTCTCTGTGGAAGGGCAGCCTGCGCCTGGGTACCGAGGCTGCTGCGCGGCGGACAGCGGGCGCGATGTATCTCCGCAGGGCGGTCTCCAAGACTCTGGCGCTGCCGCTGAGGGCGCCCCCCAACCCCGCGCCGCTCGGAAAGGACGGTGAGTAAGGAGGTCTAGCCCGGAGAGGAGGACGGGCGCCTCGGGTGCAGATTTCGCCCGCGCCAGGGAACCGGCCGGCACCCAGTTGGCCAAACCCGACCCAGAGCAGCAGAAGCCTGGATTGGAGGTCGAGGAGACTGGGGGAGACTCCCGGGAAGACGTCCCGAAGCTCCTGCAGACTTTGGAAGTAGGGAACTTTTCCAGGGTGCCTCAGAGTCCAGATTATCTGGGTTCGCATCCTGATCTTGGACAAATGGCTTAACCTGTTTCCTCATCTATAAAATGAGGGCGATGATGGTTTTCCTTTTTAATGAGTTAATGTATGGTTAAAAGCACTTAAAAACGTGCCTGGCTGACAAAGTCGCAGCTTACCACTTTTATTGTTAGAGGCACCATTCGCTCTCCAATCTCCTGAGGAAGCAGAGGAACGGTGGGAAGGTGGACGCCGATCAGCGAGCGGGCCCGGCAAGCGCTGGGAGGCAGTGAGGCAGGGCCCGCTCAGTGGACGCTGGGCGAATGTTCGTGGGGTAAATAAACCTAACCCTTGGCAGGGTCTCAGCAGCCTGAACCCCGCGAGCGCCTGGCTCTGAGATCCACAACCCCCAAAAAGGAAGCGGCCTTCGGGACACTTTCCTTTGAGGTTGCACGTCGTCCTGCAACTGCTTGGCTCTGTAGTCCAAATATCGACACCTTTGGTTCTGAGGATACGCGAGAAAAAGCAGAATACTCAGCAATTAACTAAAGGGGGAGTTGCAGTGTGAACTGGAGGCTTATTAAATAAAAACGGACATATAGGAAAGCGCTTCGTATAGTGCTGGGAACATAGTAGGTGCTTAATAGGTGTGAGCAAGGAAGATTGTTTTTCTTCTGGGACCAGGCTTGCGCTCCAGGGCGGTTCTGCCCCAGCCGCTTTTCCCTAGTCCCCATCCGTCACCCCTCTCTCTTCCACTCACGACTGGGGGACGGCTCTTAGACAATATCGTGAAGGGTTCTTAATGCTCTCTTCACTTAGCCTCACTTTCTGAGCCTTCCGAGATAATTTTACCCCAGAGGGTGGATTCCAGCAGGAGAGAAAGATGTGCGCGGAGAATTCCATGGGCCGATTTTTTTTTCACGTTGATTAGGCCTCTGTTGGTGGTGGTGGGAGGGAAGGACGGAGGTCTAACTAACTCGCTTTATTTTTCTTGTAAAATGCTGGTGGAAGGAAGTTATCCCTCAAGTATCAGAAATAAGACATCTTCGTTTTCCTAGATCTTTATTGCCTTTATTTTTCTAGATCTTTATACCAAATGATATAGAGCTTTTAAATATATATATACACTGATGAAGTAGGGAGAAGCCATTTATTTTAAACTTCGGAAGATAACGGGACTGTTCTGTTGAGAACGGGGAGAAAGATTAGTCCTCTGACCGTGGCCTTTCGTTTTATCTGTCTGCGTTCCCCACCGACATCATGCGCGCGTGCACGCACACACAAACACACACACACACACGCGCACCTTTTTTTTGTAGCTGCAGAAATTCCAAATAATTTTCTTCCCAATTTGCGGCAAAATAGAAGTAGTTTAAAAATTTTAAATACGTATCTAGCAATGCTGCTTGTAAAGGTACTGGTCTTTCTCTGATTTTCATCTAACTATTTTTGCAGCACTTAAAATGTATTTAAGAACTATTATTGATTGGAAACAAATTTGTCTTCAGTCGTGGACATTACTTAACCTTTTGTTCATACTTTCTACTTTGATGAAAAATAATTTTTTTCAGTTTTATTGAAGGAAAAATTTTTAACTGTGTCTCATCACATTTTGTTCTCTCCTTTTTGCTTTTAAAAGGGTAATTTTATTTTTTTGAGACAGAGTTTCACTCTTGTTGCTCAGGCTGGAGTGCAATGGCGTGATCTCGGCTCACCACAACCTCCGCCTCCCGGATCCAAGTGATTCTCCTGCCTCAGCCTCCGGAGTAGCTGGGATTACAGGCACGGGCCACCACACCCAGCTAATTTTGCATTTTTAGTAGAGATGGGGTTTCTCCATGTTGGTCAGGCTGGTCTTGAACTCCCAACCTAAGGTGATCCACCTACCTCGGCCTCCCAAAGTGCTGGGATTACAGGTGTGAGCCACCGAGCCCAGCCTTAAAAGGGTAACTTTTTAATGAATAAATAATTTAGATTTATAATAGATAATTGGGGAAAAACAGGTAAAATAAAAAATGGAATTCACCTGTAATCCTACCACTCAGTGAACACAACTAATTACGTTTTAGTATATTTAGTTTTCCAGACCTTTTTTTTCCCCTCATTCCTTCCTTGTGCACATTATTTCCACAAATCTTGGATAGTCCCAGAGTATTTTGCTATGACTTTTCACCTAATACATTGTAAATATTTTCTCATGTAAGTAAATATTGTTCTGCAAAAGTTATGTCTATTTGTTTCACATTGTATGAATGTGCTAAAATTTGTCTAATTAATCCTTATTGAAAAATTTCTCATTTCATTGTCTTTTTAAGTAACTTGTCCATCATTGTATTTGTATTTAAGTCTACTTAAATCTCTGGTAATTTTAGTTCTATTTAAAAAATATTTCTGATATTTTTGTCTGTTTGAGAAATATGAAGGCTATATATTCCCTATTTGATCACAGATGTACTTTTAAGCCATCAGAAGTCCCACCACAAGTCAAAGCGATAACCTCTTCTCATAGCCTTTGGGGCACATTAGAAGGAAAAAAATTTTTTTCCAAGAAACGGCCATTTATATCCAAACTAAGAACATAAACAGGAAATCGTTGTGATTTTGCTACTATGAAGGTTTGTAAGCATGCCTTAAGATTCGCCCTGTGCAAATCATAGCTTTCCACTAGTCCCTGCACCCCTATACTTTATGTTAGGCCACATCAAATTGCAGGTTGGACATGCTTAATCCAAAAATCTAAAACACAAAATGTTCCAAAATTAGAAACTTTCTGAGCACTGACATGATGCCACAAGTAGAAAATTTCACATGTAAGTACTTAACACAAACTTTGTTTCAAGCACAAAATTATTCAAAATATTGTATGAAATTACCTTCAGGCTATGTGTGTAAGGTGTATACGAAACATAAATGAATTTTTTGTTTAGACTTCAGTCCCATCCCCAAGATATCTCATTATGTGTATGCATATATTCCAAAATAAAGAATATCCAAAACCCAAAACACTTCTGGTCCCAAGCATTTTATTTTATTTTAATTATTTTTTTGGAACAGAACCTTTCTCTGTTGCCCAGGCTGGAGAGCAGTGGTACAATCACAGCTCACTGCAGGACTCAAGTGATCCTCCTGCCTCAGCCTCCCAAAGTAGCTGGGACTACAGGCACATACCACCACTCTCAGCTAATATTATAAAATTTTTTTGTAGAGATGGGGTTCACCACATTGCCCAGGCTGGTCTTGAAATCCTGGGCTCAAGTGATCCTCCCACCTCTGCCTCCCAAAATGTTGGGATTACAGGCATAAGCTACTGCACCCACTGCTAGCATTTTAGATAAGGGATATTCATCCTGTACTTTGTACCTTCTGGGTCACGAATCTCTCATGCTTTTATACGTTACACCTTCTGCCTCCAGTGCCATTCCTCTTTCCCTTATTTTCCTTCAAAACTCAGGTCTCTTCTATTATGACAACTACCTTGGCCAGCTAGTTGAGTTTTACTCTGCCTGTAGCTTGGCTTAACACTTATTACATTTGTCATACTGTATCACAATTATTTGTATGTTCATACCCTCCTTCTAGACTGTGAATGGCTTGAGACTAGGGACCTTATCTGTCTTGTTCACGGTTATATTCTTAATGCTTCTAACAATTCCAAATACGTAGTAGATGCTCAGCTGTGTTAGTTGAAAGAATACATAAATGTGTTTATGTCTTTATTTTTAAAATAAAGAATTTGAGTTGTATATACTTTAAGCTCCTTCCGACTTTAAGTTTATTGTAAAAATTTCAATTCCAGGGCATTATAGGATATGCAAATGTTAGTACTACAAAATAAATGTTTAAATATAATAATATAGTACCTTTATCTGTTTCTATTAGTTTATACAGAATTGTACTTCTATTTCAGATACAACCTTTCTGCAACATTTGGCTTAAAAACGTTTTATCTGCCCATATTTGCTTTATAAGAGAAAAATTGAGATTTCTTTCTATACCTACATGTGTATTATAGATTTATAGAAATATGATGGATTTCAACATAAATGCTTGATTTAACATATAAATACAAATTGTATTACATTTTAGGTATAAACATACTGAATTCATTTTTTAAAAAATAATATTTTCACTGAATCCTGTAGTGGAGTACATATAGTACATGGCTTTCTCTTGCTAATGTGCACTTCATTTGGCTGTTAAAATTTTTTAGTGCTTTTGTCATTTCTCCTTACCCACACCTGCACCCCTTCCAAGAAGGCATGATGCTCAGCATCAAGATGACAGGTTTCATGAGTGTTTATCAAATTAGATTGGGAGACTGTCAAGTGGAATTATTACCCAGCCTCGTAATACTGTATTCCCTTAAGCTAAAATCACTTGATGTTAATAGATTCTAGGTTCACTGAGTAGAAAAATTTTGAAAGATGTAATTATTTAAAATAGTTTTGCTCAACTAGTGAAGCTAACTGTGTTTAAACATTTTTTTCCTAGCATCTCTGCGCCGGATGTCATCTAACAGATTCCCTGGATCATCTGGATCAAATATGATTTATTATCTGGTTGTAGGCGTCACAGTCAGTGCTGGTGGATATTATGTAAGTGATTATATAACCACAGTGCTCAAGAATTCATGTATTTTACAACTCATGGTAAAGCTCAAAGCAACGTCAAGATCAGGACATGAGATTAATTAAATATACAACATAGCAATAGATTTAAGTGTCATTAAGCATACACATCTGAAAAATAGGTGGCAATCATTAGAAATACAGGGTTTTCATAAGAATATATTAGCTAGACTATTATGAAGGTTTTTCTTTTTTAGTTTATTTTTAAGTTTTATTTCATTCGAACCTCAGCTTTCTAAATTATGAAGATTTTTGTATTTGTAAAGTCAGCATTTCTTAATACCATTAATATGGATGATTTTCAGTAAAAATAATTTTATTATAAATGCTAATAGTGATAGCTGATACTTGAGTGTTTATCATATGCCAGACTCCTGGATCATTTAATAATTACAACAAGTCTACAAGGTAGGCACTATTATTAACATTTTAAAAGAATTATTTTGAAAGATTAACTTAAAAATTAATATAGGAGCTGGGTGCAGTGGCTCACGCCTGTAATCCCAGCACTTTGGGAGGCTGAGGCAGGTGGATCACCTAAGGTCAGGAGTTCGAGGCCTGCCTGGCCAACATGAGGAAACCCCATCTCTACTAAAAATGCAGAAATTAGCCAGCATGGTGGTGTGTGCCTGTAATCCCAGCTACTTGGGAGGCTGAAGCAAGAGAATCTCTTGAACCTAGGAGGCTGAGGTTGCAGTGAGCCAAGATCACATCATGGCACTCCAGTGTGGGCAACAGAGTGAGACTCTGTTTCCAAAAAAAATTTAAAAAAATTAATATAACTATTAAAAAAATTAATAGATCTTTTTTTAGAGCAGTTTTAGGTTTACAAAATAATGAGCAGAAAGTACAGAAACTTCCATATAACCCCTCACACCCCCTCCTCCTTTCCCCTATTAAAATCTTGCACTGATGTGGAACATTTGTTAAAACTGACAAGCCAATATTGATATATTATTATTAACTAAAGTCCAGGGTTTACATTAGGATCCACTCTTTGCGTTGTATGTTCTGTTTTTACAAATATATTACAATATCATCCAGAATAAATTATAGTATCATACAGAGTCGTTTCATCACCCTAAAAATCCCTCTACTCCACCTACTCATTTCTCCCTCTCTCCTCCCAATCTTTTTACTGTCTCCATAATTTTTGTTAGTTTTAAATTTTCACACAGTTTTATTATTTGAAAAATTCATATTTGTTCATAAGTTTCTAAAAAATGCAACATAGACATATATAAAGTGAAAAGCATATTTTCCTTCCCAGTCCCCATGTCCATTCCCTCCAGGTAAACCCTGTAAGACAAAGGTTTTAATAGTGAGATTTTGGGACTAAAATGACAGACATTTTTTAGTTAAGTAAGTTAAGACTTGAGTCATTCACCATTTTGTCATAAACTTTCTAAATCAAAATATAATCTTTATTAAGAATAAAAGTAGGCCAGTCATGGTGGCTCACGCCTGTAATCTCAGCACTTTGGGAGGTCAAGGTGGGCAGATCACCTGAGGTCAGGAGTTCAAGACCAGCCTGGCCAACATGGTGAAGCCTCATCTGTGCTAAAATACAAAAATGAGCCAGGCATGGTGGCAGGTGCCTGTAATCATAGCTACTCAGGAGGCTGAGGCAGGAGAATCACTTGAACCCAGGAGGTGGAGGTCGCAGTGAGCTGAGATTGTGCCACTGCACTCCAGGCTGGGTGAGAGAGCCAGACTCTGTCTCAAAAAAAAAAAAAAAAAAAAAAGAATAAAAGTAATGCGGTGGCTCATGCCTGTAATCCCAGCACTTTGGGAGGCTTGAGTCCGGGAGTTTGAGACCAGTCTGGGGAACACAGTGAGACCTCATTTCTACAATAAAAAATAAAAAAATTAGCCCAGCGTGGTGGTGTGTGCCTGTGGTCCTAGGTACTTGGGAGGCTTTGATGGGAGGATCGCTTGAGCCTGGGAAGTTAAGGCTGCAGTGAGCTGAGATTGCACCACTGCACTCAAGCCTGGTCAACAGAACAAGACCCTGTCTCAAAAAAAATAATAATAAATAAAAAAGAATAAAAGTAGAGCCTGTAGTGGTGGCTTACGCCTATAATCCCAGCACGTTGGAGGCCAAGGCAGGAGAATTGCTTGCAGGAGTTTGAGACCTGCCTGGCCAACATAGCGGGACCCCATCTCTACAAAAAATGTAAAGAATAAAAGTAGAATAAGCAGAAATTCTTTGTAAACTCTAAGAGTACACAGTCACTATATTTTGGTTTGGACCTACGGAAATATGAATAAAGCCGGGCCGGTGGCTCACACCTGTAAACCCAGTACTTTGGGAGGCCAAGGTGGGTGGATCACGAGTTCAGGAGTTCAAGACCAGCCTGGTCAAGAAATGGTGAAACCCCATTTCTACTAAAAATACAAAAATTAGCCGGGCGTGGTGGCGGGCACCTGTAATCCCAGCTACTCTGGAGGCTGAGGCAGAGAATTGCTTGAACCGGGGAGGCGGAGGTTGCAGTGAGCCAAGATTGCACCACTGCACTCAGCCTGGGTGACAGAGTGAGACTCCGTCTCAAAAAAAAAAAAAAAAAAAGAAATATGAATAAAGAGATGTTTAGTCATAACTAGAAGCAGTTTCATAGGACTATGTAAGATGGCCAAACCAAACCAAACCAAAATACATATTCTAATCCTCAGAATTTTTTTTTTTTTTTTTTTGGGAGGGGACAGAGTCTCGCTCTCGTCCAGGCTGGAGTGCAGTGATGCAATCTCGGCTCACTGCAAGCTCCACCTCCCGGGTTCACGCCATTCTCCTGCCTCAGCCTCCTGAGTAGCTGGGACTACAGGTGCCCACTACCACGCCCAGCTAATTTTTTTTTGTATTTTTAGTAGAGACGGGGTTTCACTGTGTTAGCCAGTATGGTCTTGATCTCCTGACCTCGTGATCTTCCTGCCTCGGCCTCCCAAAGTGCTGGGATTACAGGCATAAGCCACCAAGCCCGGCCTAGAAATTTTTTTAAGGCTAGTCATAATCTTCAGAATTTTGAGAGCCTCAAGGAGTCAGGAAACTGCAAACTTGTCACTTATATTGTTGTCCTCTACTAATCTGCCAGCTTTCACTTGTGCCCAGATTCCTTTGTTCTGTCATCTTTCTACTGTTTAATGTTGAATTCATGGCTCAAACCCACTCTAGTTGAGGTGTAGGCCACCAAAAAAAAAAAACAGAGATTGAGACTAGGCCATGTGATAGGCTGGGAAGCTAGAAGGATGAATTTCATTTGGACATCACTATACCCCTGATTATATTAATATGTACCAGTGCCAAAAACAAACTTTGCCAGACTGCTAACTCACTGGTTGCAAAAGGAATCTTAAACTAAAAGGTTATACATTTATAAACCAGCCATCCCTGAGAACCCTTTCTGGCCTTGTTCTCTCACAGTAGGGATGGAAGTTGTTCCCTTCCATTTCTAAGTTTATGTGATTTTAATCTCAAATGTTGGAAGCCTTAATTGCCAGGAATCTTAGGCTACTTTCAGGAGGAAATGCTGAATGTAAGGCACTCCAAAACCTGTATACTTGTTCTCCCCTTCCATTTCATGTCCTGTACTAAAATAATCTCTATATTAGATTTTTATGAATTGACCCCACAGATGCTTAGTAGCCAAAAGCAGTTTTCCATTTGCAATCAAAATCCTCGACTATTAGGGGTCATTGGAATCTGAAAGAGGCCCAGATCACTCCAGTTTTTTTGAGGGTCTGGGTATCTCTTGTCCCCCAGGCTGGAGTGCGATGGCGCAATCTCATCTCACTGCAACCTCCGCCTCCCGGGTTCAAGCGATTCTCCTGCCTCGGCCCCCTGAGCAGCTGGGATTACAGGCGCCTGCCACCACGCCTGGCTAATTTTTGTATTTTTAGTAGAGATGAGGTTTCACCATGTTGGCCAGGCTGGTCTCGAACTCCTGACCTCAGGTGATCCACCCGCCTCGGCCTCCCAAAGTGCTGAGATTACAGATGTGAGCCACCATGCCCGGCCTGGTCTGGTATATCTTAAAAAGTAGTACCAGACTGGCTTATAAAAATTGTAGTATATTTTAAATGCTTATACTTAATAAATACTTAATATCATTTGTAAATAACTGCCAAAGTCTAAATTTGAGACCCTCTCTTTTAATAGGCCTTTATTCTACTCTGTGCTCGACTGTGCTGGATTTGGAAAACCTAGATTCTTTGGGCCACACATTAGGGTGAATTATTCTAGTATTGTATCTCTTCAATTCTCCCTAAAGTTAGTCTTTTTTCTTGCCTTGTGTTTTAGCCCCTTGAGCAATGAGACTAATGTCCCTTGGAATGTTGTTCCTGGAATGATCCTTTCAGGGATGTGAACTTGTGTACTGGTTCGGTTTGTGTACTGAGAACTGGGGATACTGACTTATCATATTGGTCCTACAAGGTGTCAGGAACACACACCCTACTCGGAAAATATTCCTTGCTTTTATACAGAAAATGTTGATTATCATTCCCGTTGATCATATTTGCTCTGTATGTTTCAAAGCCAAATGATTCAAGTCTGAGTTCACTAAACCCCGGGAAGTTTGCTATAAAAGGGTCACTTTACATCACTTCTACCCGACATTATAGATTTTCTTTTCTTTTTTTTTTTTTTTTTTTCAGACGCGGTCTCGCTCTGTCGCCCAGGCTGGAGTGCAGTGGTACGATCTCTGCTCACTGCAAGCTCCACCTCCTGGGTTCACGCCATTCTCCTGCCTCAGCCTCCCGAGTAGTTGGGACTACAGGCGCCCGCCACCACTCCTGGCTAATTTTTTGTACTTTTTGTAGAGATGGGGTTTCACCATGTTAGCCAGGATGGTCTCCATCTCCTGACCTCATGATCCGCCTGCCTCGGCCTCCCAAAGTGCTGCGATTACAGGCTTGACCCAGATTTTCTTTTCTTTTCTTTCTTTCTTTTTTTTTTTTTTTTGAGACGGAGTTTCCCTCCTTTCCCAGGCTGGAATGCAATGGTGCGATCTCGGCTCACTGCAACCTCTGCCTACAGGGTTCAAGTGATTCTCCTGCCTCAGCCTCCCGAGTAGCTGGGATTACAGGCATGCGCCACCACGCCCGGCTAATTTTGTATTTTTAGTAGAGACCAGATTTCTCATGTTGGTCAGGCTGGTCTCAAACTCCCGACCTCAGGTGATCCGCTGGCCTCAGCCTCCCAAAGTGCTGGGATTACAGGTGTGGACCATTGCACCCGGCCCCGACATTACAGACATTCTATTTTCACAGCATAATTTTTACACTGTAAAATTGTTTGTAATTAAGTAGTACAATTTTTAAATAAGGTACTTGGTTTCTGATGGTTAAAAATTTAGAAGACACTATATATAAATAAATTTTAGAAATCTATCATCTTACCATTAAAAGTTAAACCACTACCAACATTTTCTTAAAAGCTAAATTAATACAAACAATAGTAACTGAATAATGAGATTTTCATTTTTTATATCATTTTCTAATATGAATACAGGCCAAAGAAGACTACTTAAATATAAAATGAAAGGAAGCCTGCACATTTTGTCTGTGATTAAAATAGCTTTCTTCCCAATACTGTTTCTTTCTTTCTTTTTTCTTTTTTTTTTTTTTTTTGAGATGGAGTCTTGCTCTGTCGCCCAGGGTGGAGTGCAATGGCATGATCTCGGCTCACTGCAACCTCCACCTCCTGGGTTCAAGCAATTCTCCCACCTCAGCCTTCTGAGTAGCTAGGGCTACAGGCGAGCACCACCACCATGCCTGGCTGTTTTTGTATTTTTAGTAGAGATGGGGTTTCACCATGTTGGCCAGACTGGTCTCGAACTCCTGACTTCAGGTGATCCACCCACCTCAGCCTCCCAAAGTGCTGGGATTACAGGCATGAGCCACCGCACCCGGCCTGATTCCAGTTTTTGACTATTACAAATAAAGGTACCATGAACATTTGTGTACAGGTTTTCATGTGAACCTAGATTTCCATTTCTCAAGGATAAATGCTAGAAAATATTTGTATATGCCTGTCAGGATATTCTGGTTGTAGCATAATTCATTTTTTTCTTCCTTGTTTTTAGTTATCTTTGGCTAAGATAGTGCATCTATTTCCTTCCCTTTTTAAAAAGTTTTATTTTAGGTTAAGGTGTACATGTGCAGGTTTGTTAATAGGTAAATTATGTGTCATGGGGGTTTGATGTATAGATTGATTTGTCACCCAGGTAATAAGTATGGTACCCAATAGGTAGTTTTTCTCTCCTCATCCCCTGTCTCACCTTTCTTCCTTTTTAAAGCATTCTATTTAATAACAAAGATTTCCAAAAGGGAAGTAAAAGAGTAAGTGGTGTGCACTGATTTCTCTTCTTTGCTACACTGGGATTATGGTTTAAACTTCTAATGGTGATTACAGGGAGACTTGAGTGTACCTTTGGATGTGGCGTGACAAATCTTAAAGCTCAAGAAATAAACCTAAGCATACATTTACTTTCAGGCTTACAAGACAGTCACATCAGACCAAGCCAAACACACAGAACATAAAACAAATTTGAAAGAAAAAACAAAAGCAGAGATACATCCATTTCAAGGTAAATGAATTTCTTAATTTTTTATTTTTATTTATTTTTTGAGGCACTAATTTCCATCCACTTAGTCTAGCAATGAACACTATTTGCTTTTGGCTTCTTTCCTAGCTTAATCCAGAATGACTCTAGGTATAAGTTCATTTAGAAAGGAAAAGTTCAACTGAAACCTGAAGAACACTGTTACACCTTTTGGATGAATGCATTTGACAAATGAATGTTTTACATTTATATTGCTGACCAGTGACTTTTGACTCCTTTGTGTGGTAATATTATTTTCCCCTGCTCAGGCATCCACCCATGCAGGCATGAGCTTTCATTTTTCTCATTATCTAAAAATAATAATATAACAAATTATCTTTCAGTTTTGGCTAAGACCACCTGTGTGCCTTTGTGCAAACAAGGTACATTTGACATAATAGAATCAGTTGTGTATAATGAGTCCTTCAGTTGATAAAATGGTGACCATGGGAACAGAAACTTTATATTTTCACTCTTTCCTTCCTTCCTACACTTCTTTTTCCCACCCTCCCTTCCTTCCCCCTTCCTTTCCCCCTTCCCTCCACGGGCTCTCCCTCTGTCAACCAGGCTGGAGTGCAGTGGTGCAATCATAGCCTACTGCAGCCTTGAACTCCTGGGCTCCAGCAATCTTCCCATCACAGCCTCTCAAGCAACTAGGACTACAAGCATGCACCGCTACACCCAGCAAATTTATTTTTTATGTTTTGCAGAGACAGGGTCTCACTATGTTGCCCAGGCTGGTCTTGATCTCCTGGCCTCATGTGATCCCTCCTGCCTCAGCCTCCCAAAGTGCTGGGATTACAGGCATATGCCACTATGCCTAGCCACTTCTTGCTTTAAACCATACTTTTTTCCAAGCTATTATTATCAATTACTATGATCACTATTTAGGGATAGAGATATTAGGGGCTTATGAATCAGTTTTAACCTGTCATGACAATAATAAGAAACAGAATATCATCAATACATATTATTGAATATAATCATGCGGTTGTTTATAATACTAATAAGCATTTGCATAGAACTTTTTATTTTAATCCCCTTTTCATATACAGTATTTTAATTAATCTTTACAATAACCCTGTGCAGTAGATATTATCAATACCCTATTTTACAGATGACAAAAATGAGATTGAGAGAGGATTAGTGATTTCTGAGTCACCAGCTAGGAACTTGGCTACTCTTCCATGCTGTCTCATATGAAAGGTGAATAGGATAGCTACTTATTTTTGTATTCTTCATATTTGCCTAAGTAATATATTCAAGTGTGTTTTTTTTTAAGTTCAAAGAGTTTACAGAAAAGCAGATCCCCCATTTTCCCTCCAAGAGGCAACCAATAGAACCAGTTTCTTGGAATCCTCCTGGAGAGTTTTTGCAAATACAATTATCTAGGCATACAACTTACCCCCCTCCTGCTCCAACCTCATTTTGCCCTAACAATAGTAGCAGACTGTATACATTGTTCTTTTTTTGCTGTTTCACTTGAGAGTCTACCTTGAAGACTGTTACACATCAGTGCATGTAGTTCTGTCTTAGGTGTTTAAACGACCGCAGTGTTTCATTGCCTTCCCACGATCTTTAAATTAATACCTTGCTTAATGACTAATTCTTAAAGGTGAAAAGGAGAATGTTGCGGAAACTGAGAAAGCAAGTTCAGAAGCCCCAGAAGAACTTATAGTGGAAGCTGAGGTGGTAGATGCTGAAGAAAGTCCCAGTGCTACAGTTGTGGTCATAAAAGAGGCATCTGCCTGTCCAGGTCACGTGGAGGCTGCTCCGGAGACCACAGCAGTCAGTGCTGAAACCGGGCCAGAGGTCACAGATGCAGCGGCGAGGGAAACCACGGAAGTAAACCCTGAAACAACCCCAGAGGTTACAAATGCTGCCCTGGATGAAGCTGTCACCATCGATAATGATAAAGATACAACAAAGAACGAAACCTCTGATGAATATGCTGAACTAGAAGAAGAAAATTCTCCAGCTGAGTCAGAGTCCTCTGCTGGAGATGATTTACAGGAGGAAGCCAGTGTTGGCTCTGAGGCTGCTTCGGCTCAAGGCTAATCTCCAGCCGGTAGACATTTCAGCAACAAATGCCATAGGGTGTCTGATAAGTGCTTTTGTGTTTTTAGTACACTTAGTTTAAAAAAAAAAAGACTTATTTTCTAGAAAACGTTAATGGGTCTTGAAGATTTTTGGCATCCACTGATAGATTTTAGGACTGAGAGACTTGAGATTGTACATTTCTTACTACTCTTCTACTGTCTGAGATCAGAATATGACATTGCAGTAAAGAGCTTAAATAGTTTCATCTTTGGTTTTTTTTTCTAGACACTTTTCTTTTATCCCAGTCATCTCTGAATTTACATTTTATATTAAAGAAATTGAGCTATCCATACAACCTGTATTTACTTTAATTTCACTATGCTTTCAGCTTACTTTATTGTATGATATGTAGGTCTAAAATATAGTTTGAGTCAAATAAAATTAGAAAAGCTTTGGTGCTTCTACTTTTTTCACTAATATTTGCATGTACAAATAATACATATTAACATACAGGTACATAACATCACATGAGAAATGTAGGCTTTCGTAATATTATTGAAGAAAGAGCATATAATCTATGGAGAACCCTGCATGTAACAATATGTATGCCCTCTCCCATCTATAGTACTTACACAGGGGACTATGTAGATATTTTCTGTTTCAGTTCAGTTCAAACAATATTTATTGAAGATTAGCACTTTGTGCCAGGAATCTTTCATTCATTCACGTGTTCAACAAATATTAGCTGAGCACTTACAACATAATAGGTATTGTTTTAAGTGCTCCCGGTTTATATTCTAGAGTGGAACCAGGTAAGAAGACAAATGAGAAAATGATATAGTGTGTTAGGTACTGATAAGTGCTAAGGATAAAAGTAACGAAAATAAAAGGATTGTAAGTGTTAGTCTGAGGTGGAAGTTGTAATTTTAGATAGGATGGCCAAAAGAGGCCTTACTAGGAAGGTGTCTTTTGCGTAGAAACCTGAAAGATATATAAGGGACCATCTAATGGTAGGAGTTAGGGGAATCAGCCAGGTAAGGGAACAGAAAAGGGCAAAGGATCTAAAACAGGATCCTGCTGGGAATTTGAGGAATTGCGAGGTGGCCAGTGTGGCTAAAGTGGAGTGAAAAAGAGGGAGAGTAGCCAGAGATGGTCTCAGAGAGAAAGGGAGTGGGTAGGCAGGGTGGGCTAGATCATGCAGGGTCATGTAAGGTTTTGGCTATGGAGTAAGTTGGGAAATTGTAGTGGACACTGCCGATGCTCTGCCTAGATCCCCTTAATTGGACCCCTTAACTGGGTACATTTATCCCCAGCTGCTATGAGTGTTACACCCCACACCCCACCCTCACCATAGGCAGTTCACAACCAATGACTGACTGCCATAGTATTACAAAAGATGGCACCAACTCTGCAGTACAATTGAATAGTTCATGCTCCAGCCCACCCCAAGGAGCAGATTGAAGCTGGTCTCCAGCCGAGATGACTTCCCTGCTTAGCTCTTCCCCCTGCCCTTTTCTGCTTTCCTCCCTCCATTCTCCGGGGAATACTCTTCTCATAAAAGACTGGCCAAAGAATCCCTGTTTCTAAGGAATATCACTTTAGATCATTGGTACTGCATGTGATCCTACGAAGCAGGCTCTAAGAATAGGATTCTGGAGTTGTTATCATTCTTCAGCTAGAGGGCAATGAGACCTTGCCCACACATACAAATGCATTTTCCTCCATTTTCTACTAAAAATAACAGAAACATACTCAAAAGGGATTAAATGACAAAGATCATTATTACATAACTAGATAGATTGTTATTATATAACTAGATATCCAGGGTTGGCTTATTTCGTGGCTCAGTCATCAAGACCTTGGTTGTATCTGTTGTCCTGCTCTACCAAGAATGTTTTGGGCAAGGCACAGTGGCTCACACCTGTATTCCCGGCACTTTGAGAGGCCAAGGCAGGAGGATCACTTGAACCCAAGAGTTTGAGACCAGCCTGGGCAGCCTGGTCTCTACAAAAAAATTAAAAAATTAGCCAAGTGTGGTGACAACTGCCTGTGGTCCCAGCTACATGGGAAGCTGAGGCAGGAGGATCACTTGAGCCCAGGAAGTCGAGGCTGCAGTGAGTCATGTTCATGCCACTGCACTCCAGCCTAGGCGACAGAGCAAGACCCTGTGTCAATAAAAATAGAATGTTTTGGCTTTATCCTTCTCATAATCATAGGATGAATCGCCACAATTCTAGGTATTTTACAGAGTCTACTAGGAGTGTTTCAAAAAAAAAAAAAAAAAAACACAGGCCAGGCAAGGTGGCTCACGCCTGTAATCCCAGCATTTTGGGAGGCAAAGGTGGGCGGATCACCTAAGATCAGGAGATCGAGACCATCCTGGCCAACATGGTGAAACCCCGTCTCTAGTAAAATACAAAAAATTAACCAGGCGTGGTGGTGCGCACCTGTAGTCCCAGCTACCCAGGAGGCTGAGGCAGGGGAATCGCTTGAACCCAGGAGGCAGAGATTGAAGTGAGCCGAGATTGTGCCACTGCACTCCAGCCTGGCGACAGAGCGAGACTCCGTCTCAAAAAATAAAAATAAAAAAAAAATAAAAAAAGAGTTTCCTCATCTTAAAAAAACTTCATACTTTTTTATTCTAATGTTTTATTGTATAAAATTTCAAACACAAGTAGTGAGAATAGTATAATGAATCCTCATGTGCACTACACCCAGATTTACCAATTATCAACTCGTGGCAAATCTTGTATTCATATTCCTATCCATTACCTTTGACCACCACGACTGAGGGCCCACCTACAGCTAACACTAATTTGAGACATGTGAGTAAGGTTATAAAGTCAAATCTATGATACTGGATATATGTCTGTAAAATAATAATAATTGTTTACTATTGTTAATTATCTAGTCAATGATCAAATTTTCCTCAACTGCTTCATAAAGGATTTCCCTCTCCCTTCAGTTTGTTTCTTAAGTCAGAATCCAATTAAAGTCCACAAATAGGTGGCCGGGCATTGTGGCTCACGCCTGTAATCTCAATACTTTAGGAAGCCGAGGCAGGCAGATCACCTGAGGTCAGGAGTTCAAGACCAGCCTGGCCAACATGGAGAAACCCCATCTCTACAAAAATACAAAAATTAGCCAGACGTGATGGCGGGTGCCTGTAATCCCAGCTACTTGGGAGGCTGAGGCCGGAGAATTGCTTGAACCTGGGAGGCGGAAGTTGCAGTGAGCCGAAATCACGCCATTGCACTCCAGCCTGGGCAACAGAGTGAGACTCCATCTCAAAAAAAAAAAAAAGTCCACAAATGGTAAATACATCTTTAAGTCTCTTTTTCTACAGGTTGCTCCTCCATCTCTCTTCTACTTTTCTTTGCAATTTATGGTTTCAATAAAGTGACTAATTTGATCTGTAGAATTTTTCACTCTGGACTTCGCTTATTGCAACCACATGTGTTTGTCTTCTTTTAACATGTTCCTCTCCCCCATACTGCCTATAAATTGGTATTTAGATTTAGAGATTTGATCAAAATCCTATTTATTTATTTATTTTAGGGACAAGATCTTGTTCTGTTGCCCAGGCCAGAGTGCAGTGGCACTATCATAGCTCGCTGCAGCCTCCAACTCCTGGGCTCAAGCAATCCTCCAACCTCAGCCTCCCAAGTGGCTGGGACTACAAGCACATGCTAATTTTTAAAATTTTTTTATAGAGACAAGGTCTCTCTATGTTGCCCAGGCTGGTCTTGAATTCCTGGTCTCAAGTGATCCTCCCACCTCAGCCTCTCAAAGTGCTGGGATTACAGGGGTGAGCCACTGTGCCTGGCTTTGGCAGGAATTATTTGTAGTTCATGTTCATACATCCATCAGCAGGTGCATAATATTTGGTGCTTTTCTCTTCATTATGTTAGAAGCCATTGATTCATTATTTTATTAGGAGTTGTTAAATAGTGATACCCTTTCTCTATATTCTTTCCATCTGTTCCTTCCACTTTCCAATACAGAATCATTTTGGCTTATCGTTCTTTCCATTTTTTAATATAAACTAGATATATGTATTTATATATACCATATAGCATATATAGTATATATGTTATATATAGCATATATATAGCTTATACAAAGAAAAAATGGAAAGAACGATAGGCCAAAATCCTTCTTTCTTAGCTATATATATAGACAGAGAGCTTATATATATATATATAAGAATATATATATTTTAAGAATTTCTTATATATATAAGAATTTACTCACAAATTCTTCCCATCCTTTATATATATAATATATATAAACTATATATATTACATATATTATTATTTTTCTTAAATAAACAGTAATTTACTATACGCATACATTTTTCTACCTTGCTTTTTGCATTCAAGTATATGCCTGGAGATTACTCTAAATTATAGATAATAATATTTCTCATTGCTTTTCATGGTTGCATAGAACTACGTTGTGTGGGTACCATGGATTGTTTATTCAACCAGTCTCCTACTGATGAACATTTGACTTGTTTCTAGTATTTGCTATTACAAATAGTGCTGCAATGTATAGCTTCATGCATATATATTTTTGCCACTGTATCATTGGGATAGATTTCTGAAAGAGGGATTACTAGGTCAAATACATTTGTAATTTTGCTGCTATTACCAAAGTCCTTTCATAGGAGAACTACCGTTTTACATTCCCAAAACAACAATGTATGTGAATGCCTGTTTCCTGTTTTACACGCAGTAACAGCAATGTATGTGAGTGCCCTAACATTTGGGTTTTTGCTCATGTGACAAACGAAAAATACCTCAGTGCAGTTAAAATTTGCATTTCTCTTATTAAGAGGGAGGTCGGGGCCGGGCGCGGTGGCTCATGCCTGTAATCGCAGCACTTTGGGAGGCTGAGGCGGGCGGATCACGAGGTCAGGAGATCGACACCATCCTGGCTAACATGGTGAAATCCCATTTCTACTAAAAAATACAAAAAATTAGCTGGGCGTGGTGGCGGGCGCCTGTAATCCCAGTTACTGGGGAGGCTGAGGCAGGAGAATGGCGTGATCCCAGGGGGCAGAGCTTGCAGTAAGCCGAGATCGCGCCACTGCACTCCAGCCTAGGCTACAGAGCGAGACTCCGTCTCAAAAAAAAAAAAAAAAAAAAAAATAGTGAGGTAGGGCTGGACCCCGTGGCTCACTCCTGTAATCCCAGAACTCTGGGAGGCTGAGGTTGCAAATCGCTTGAGCCCAGGAGTTGGAGACCAGTCTGGGCAACATGGTGAAACCCTGTCTCTACAAAAAATACAAAACATTAGCAGGGTATGATGGTGTGCGCCTGTAGTCCCAGCTACTCAGGAGGCTGAGGTGGGAGGATTGCTTAAGCCTGGGAGGTCAAGGCTTCAGTGAGTCATGATTACACCACTGCACTCCAGCCTGAGTGACAGAGTAAGTCCTTGTCTCACACACACACACACACACACACACACACACACACAAGTGAGGTTGGATATTAAAAAAAATTGTCTTTTTTTTTTTTTTTTTAAGATGGAGTCTCGCTCTGTCACCCAGGCTGGAGTGCAGTGGCGTGATCTTGATTCACTGAAACCTCCTCCCCCCAGGTTCAAGGGATTCTCCTGCCTCAGCCTCCTGAGTAGCTGAGACTACAGGCGCCTGCCACCATACTCGGCTAATTTTTTTTTTTTTTTTTTTGAAACGGAGTCTTGCTCTCTCTCCCAGGCTGGAGTGCAGTGGCTCAATCTCGGCTCACTGCAAGCTCCGCTTCCTGGGTTCACGCCATTCCCCTGCCTCAGCCTCCCGAGTAGCTGGGACTACAGGCGCCCGCCACCACGCCCGGCTAATTTTTTTGTATTTTTAGTAGAGACGGGGTTTCACCATGTTAGCCAGGATGGTCTGGATCTCCTGACCTCGTGATCCGCCCGCCTCGGCCCCCAAAGTGCTGGGATTACAGGCGTGAGCCACCGCGCCCAGCCAGTCAGCTAATTTTTTGTATTTTTAGTAGAGACTGAGTTTCACTGTGTTACCCAGAATGGTCTCAATCTCCTGACCTTGTGATCCACCTGCCTCAGCCTCCCAAAGTGCTGGGATTACAGGTGTGAGCCACCGCGCCCGGCCAAAAAAAATTTTTTAACATACTTTTTTTTTTGTAGCTACAGGGTGTGACTATTTTCCCTAGGCTGGTCTCGAACTGCTGGCCTCAAGAGATCCTCCCGCCTCAGCCTCCCAAAGTGCTGGGATTACAGGCATGAGCTACCACACCTGGACTTTTTTTTTATGATTAGGGACCATAAAAACATTTTTTTTAATGGTAAGGACTCTATGCATTTCTTTTTCTGCAATCTGTCTGTTTACATCTCAGTGCATTTTCCTGTAGTGTGTCAGTCCTTCCTTCTTCTGTTTTTTAGAAGCTCTTTCTATGCTAGGGACATTAAACTTTAGTCTGTGATATAAATTACAAATATTCTTCCAAGTTTGTGATTTATCTTTTTATTTTACTTATGGTATGTTTGTAGTATAAGATATTTTTATTTCAGTGTAATCAAATTGATCAATCTTTTTATGTATTGTTTCTGAATTTTGAGCCATTGTTAACATAGTAGATTGAAAAAAAATAGTCACTAATTCTTCCCACCTTTTTGTATACACTCCTGTTAATTGTGACTTTAGGTCAGGCATAGTGGCTGACACCTGTAGTTACAGCACTTTGGGAGGCCAAGGCAGGAGGATCACTTGAGCCCAGGATCTTGAGACCAAGCTGAGCAATATAGCAAGACCCTGTCTCTACTTAGAATTTTTTTTTACTTAAAAAAATTTTTTTAAAATAAAAAAGAAATGTGGCTTTACATCTCTTCCCATCAAAAGATAGAGACTGTTTCTTCATTCCCTTGAATTTGGGCTGGCCTTGTACTTTGTTTTGACCAACAGAATGCTATGGAAGTGACTTTCTGAGCTCTCACCCTTTTGAAATCCTGATACTACCATGTGAAGAAGCCTGAGCTACCCTTCATGAGAAAGAGAGATCATATGGAGAGAGGTGCCCCATCTACAGCTAACACTAAACCCAGATGTGTAAGTGAGGCCATCCCAGACCATCGAGCTCCAGCCACGATGCCACATGACTGCAGTTATATGAATGACCCCAGGGGAGACCAGAAAAGAACTACCCAGCTGAACACAGACCAAATTGATGACCCGCTAAATTGTGAGCAAATAAGATGGTTGTGTTCTAAGCCATGAAGTTGGGGTAGTTTGTTAAGTAGCAATATGTAGTTAAAATACTTAGGAAATAGGGCAGGCTCAGTGGCTCATGCCTGTAATCCCAGCACTTTGGGAGGCCGAGGCAGGTGGATCACCTGAGGTCAAGAGTTTGAGACCAGCCTGGCCAACATGGTGAAACCCTGTCTTTACTAAAAATACAAAAATTAGCTGGGCGTGGTGGTGGGCACCTATAATCCCAGCTACTCAGGAGGCTGAGGCAGGAGAATCACTTGAACCTGAGAGGTGGAGGTTGCAGTGAGCCCAGATCATGCCATCGCATTTCAGCATTCCAGCCTGGCTGACAAAAGAGAAATTCTGTCTCAAAAAAAAAAAAAAAAAGAAAGAAAGAAAGAAAAGAAAAAGAAAAAAATGCTTAGGAAATAAAACAATTTTGAATATGACGCACTTTTTTTTTTTTTTTTTTTTTAGATTTAGTATCATTGCTTTTCACATTCCTCAATGGGAATAAAGAAAGAACTAGCTGTGCCTAACAGAAACAGATTTTGTCTGGCTTAGCCTTGTGGCCGGCCAATTGGTACCTTTTCTAAATTCTTTTCAGAGCTGCTAAATGCTGAAATGTGACTGCATATAGAAGAATTTTTTTTTTCATTTTAAAATTCAGTATTATTTTAATGCTGAGGCAGGAGGATCACTCAAGGCCAGGAGTTCAAGACTAGCCTGGGCAATGTAGCAAGACCTCATCTCTACAAAAAATTTAAAAATTAGCTAGGCATGATGGCATGCGCCTGTAGTTCCAGCTACTCAGGGGGCTGAGGTGGGAGAATCACTTGAACCCAGAAGTTGGAGGCTGCAGTGACCTATGGTAGCACCAATGCACTCCAGCCTGGGCAATAGAGCAAGACCCTGTCTCAAAATAAAATAAGATAAAATAAAATGACGCTTTGAAACAGCAGCTATCAAATCCAAAAGCAGCCTATGTTTTATTGATCTTTTTTGAGTTTAACAACCAGAATAATGAAGGTTTAACAACAGTATTCCATAAAAAGCATTTTTACTCTTATACCATTGACTGATCTTATTTATTTATTTTTTTTTTTTGAGATGGAGTCTGGCTCTGTCGGCCAGATTAGAGTGCAGTGGCATGATCTTGGCTCACTGCAACTTCTGCCTCCTGGACTTAAGTGATTCTCTTGCCTCAGCCTCCCAGAGTGCTGGGATTAGAGGCATGAGCCACAGCACCTGGCCTGACTGATCTTAATATAAAAAAAGTACTATATATTGAAGAAGTCAAAGTGAGATAGAGTGTGAGGTATAGAATATGAAATGATTGCAAAAGATAAAAATTGACACAGAAGCCTGGGTGCGGTGGCTCACGCCTGTAATCCCAGCATTTTGAGAGGCCAAGGCAGATGGATCACTTGAGGTCAGGAGTTCCAGACCAGCCTGGCCAACATGGTGAAACCCCGTCTCTACTAAAAATTCAAAAATTAGCCCAGTGTGGTGGTGCACGCCTCTAATCCCAGCTACTCGGGAGGCTGAGACAGGAGAACTGCTTGAACTCGGGTGGCGGAGGTTGCAGTGAGCTGGGATTGTGCCACTGCACGGCAGCCCAGGCAACAGAGTGAGACTCCATCTCAAAAAAATAAAAAAATAAAAAATTAATTAATTGATTTAAAAAACAGGCACAGAATCAAATAATTCAGTTACTTCTCTTTGATGTAGACAAGAGATATAAAGGAAGCCTAAATTAGAAAATCTAACACATTTTCCAAACACTGACATGACCATAAAATTTAAATATTAATGTATTAATGGCTGGGCATGGTGGCTAATGCCTGTAATACAAGTGGCTTTGGAAGGCTGAGGTGGGAGGATTGCTTGAGGCCAGGAGTTCAAGACCAGCTTGGGCAACAAAGAAAGATCCTATCTTTACAAAAAAAAAAAAATTGCTGAGTGTGGTGGCACACACCTGTAGTCCCAGCTACTCAGGAGGCTGAGTCAGGAGGATCACTTGAGCCTGAGGATTCAAGTCTACAGAGAGTCGATCACACCACTTTACTCTGGCCTGGGCAACAGAGCAAGATCCTGTCTCAAATAAATAGATAAATAAATAAATATTACCTTAATTGTGAAAAAATATATGGAGCAGTCTTTAACAACGGAGCTGAGATAACTATTTTTGTCCATTTTTTAAAGTGTGAATTTTCTATTACAAAGTACAGTATACTCCACAGCCAGTTTTTGAGAGTTCAAGCTGGATTCAGGGGAGATTACGTTCTGAATGTGTTAGTGGTTTTGGTGCCAACTATTTGTCCTGTCAGATAGCATTCATTGACTAGAAACAACACTGTCTAGTATAATAAAACATATTGTATAATGTTTTTCTCCAGTGAATAGAATCACTAAAAGAATTTCTAGAAAAAAATTATTTTATTTAGCTTTTAGAGTAAGATTTTAGTGAACAAGTTGGAAGAATTATGAAAGTTAAATATTATTTGAATTTCACACATGGATATATAATTTCAAATAATCATTGCTCAATTTAATAATTAAACTAATAAAAAACTCATTTTCTGACATTATTTCTTATGGATAGTGATTTCCAGGGGAAAAAATGGATTAAGGGTATATTAGCAGCTCACTTCGGCAGCACATATACTAAAATTGTAATGATACAAAGATTAGCATGGTCCCTGCAGGAGGATGACATGCAAATTCGTGAAGTGTTCTATGTTTTTAAAAACAAATTAAAAAAGAATTAAATTAGCTTTTCCCTTTATCAAGTGGCATGACGATGAGAAGATTGTGGGCATTACTACTTCCCCTTTAGGAATGAGAATTCTTCACATATCAGAAATGCTTTCATTCAGAACTAGGAAAAGGAATGTTCCTTTGCAGTAGAAGATTCTATGAAGATTGTGGTTATATCTATAATGTCTCAAATAGAAAACAAATAGAATGAAAAATTAAACCAAGTTTTAAAATTAATTTTAAGATTAGATGGTAATTAATTAAATTCACAATGCAGTGATTTTATTGTTATTAAGATGTCCAGAATAACAGTTGTTATAAAGTCACAATGCAGATATTTTAGTCATATAGAACCTTCAATAAAGAAAATATGTCACATTTTTCAAAAGAACTAAAGGACCAGCGAAGTATGCTGAGCATTTTCAATTTTACTTCTACCACATCTCTCACTCCTTCCCATTCTCTGCATCTCCAGATTGTTACCTTAGTTCACTTCTTCATACCTGTAAACTCTAAGCGAATCTCCCTACTGTTAAGTTCACAGAATTACTTACCTTCTAAAATGGTAAGTTGATCGTGTTAACTCCCAGCTAAAACTTCACTAGCCTACTATAATCTGATTGAAGACATTTAATTTGTTATATCCTGCCGGGCACACCTGTAATCACAGCACTTTGGGAGGCCGAGGCAGACAGATCACCTGAGGTCAGGAGTTTGAGACCAGCCTGGCCAACGTGGCGAAACCCTGTCTCTACTAAAAATACAAAAATTAGCCGGGCATGGTGGTTCATGCTTGTAATATGCTTGAACCTGGGAGGTGGAGGTTGCAGCGAGCCGAGGTTGCACCATTGCACTCTAGCCTGGGCAACAAGAGCAAAACTCTGTCTCAAAAAAAAAAATTGTTATGTCTTTACAGTCAAAATTCTTATAGTATGACACTGAAGGCAGCCTATGCTTGTTCATTCCACAATCCATACCTGTTTAATCTCTCTCCATACTTATTTTCTGTCCTTACTCTTATTTTCCTGCAGCCTCCAGCTACCTTCCCTCCCCTATAGATCCAGACATCCTAAATGATTTAACAGCATTATTCCTTGAACTTGCCATCCTGTTTGTGCCTCAAAGACCTTACATAGGTAGTTCACTCCATCTAAAAAGACACTGTCCATCCCTCAACCAACCCAACTCCTTTCTAATTACTCAACTAAACATCACCTGCTTTGTAAAGTCTTTCCTTGCCTGACTGAGCTGACCCGATGACACCTTTCTTTGTGCTATCCTGTCCCTTTACTATTGCATTCCTCATTCTGATTTGCAATTATTTGTGTATATTTTAGAATTCCTCACTAGAATGAAAGTTGCCTGAAAACAAAAGCTACATTAGGGCCTTCAATAAATGTTTGCTGAATGAAATTGTGAGACTTGTGGAACTGTGGCCTGTTTTATAGAGCTGAATCCTATGAATCTGCTGGTATTTGGCCATTTCTAACCTACCAAAACAGCCATTTCACAGGGTTCAACCTAACTATTTTCCAAAAGGTAAATCTTGGCCGGGTGCAGTGGCTCACTCTTGTAATCCTAGCACTTTGGGAAGCCAAGGTGGGTGGATTACCTGAGGTCAGGAGTTCGAGACCAGCCTGGCCAACATGGTGAAGCCCCGTCTCTACTAAAAATACAAGGTGGTGGGTACCTGTGATCCCAGCTACCGGGGAGGCTGAGGCGGGAGAATTGCTTGAACTGGGTAGGCAGAGGTTGCAGTGAGCTGGGATCACACCACTGCACTCCAGCCTGGGTGACAGAGCAAGATATATATATAGATATATGTGTGTGTGTGTGTGTGTGTGTGTGTGTGTGTGTATATATATATGCCTATTGTTTGTTTCTCAGTACAAAGTCCAATTGTTATGCTGAATGGAATGTTCATTCCATTTGTACTTTTTTTTTTTTTTGCTGGGGGTATTGGCAGGGAGGTGGGGAAGGAGCATTCTATTTATTGATATCTTGCTCAGGTTTCCATCTAGACTGTTGTCCTTCAAATCTTTGTTAACAAACTAGAGAGGCCAAATGTAGGACTGGGGTTCAGCAGCGCTCTGGGAAGCCTTTTGAGCTTTGGAACAAGCATCATCTCATTAATCAGTTTACATGAGAACTGTAGCTGCAGGCAGATTCCAGTGCAATTACATGTGCCACCTCACATTATTTTAGCTTCACTGTTCATGAAGAGATTGTTTCCCAAGTATTCAAACCTGACTCTTCATATAAGAGTGACTAAATTTCTCCTAAGCTGAAAGTTGACAAATACTCAATATCTTTATATTATTCCTTTAAACCTGCTCAGGAATCAAGTCAGTGTAATAAAGTTGATATGAGAGCTCCTAAAACCACTGTCCTTAAATATACTGCTTGTGAGCTTGTGAGCTGAGGAGGGGAGGCAGATTTGAGCCCATCTTCTGTCTCCTTGCTCAGCTGTCTTGCAATAAAACTTTCTCTCTAAAATAATTAAAATAAAATACATGAATAGAGTTGATATGAGAGCTTATATAAGTTCTTGCAAAGAATTTTCTTATCCAATCATATCTCATTTCAAAAGACTTATTCAGGAAAACAACGGTAATGAAGCAGGGTCCCAGGACCATCTTAACTCCCTTTTACCTGTTGGCTATTTGTTTGCAGTAATATTTCCTGCTTCTCCCTACAGTTCAATTTCCTGTTTCCTCACAACTCAGTATTAATTGGAGGCAGATGTTCTCATATTTTTGTCAGCACACACAGTTGGCCTTCATCTGGACTGTCTGCAATTTCTTCGCATGAATGAATTTTTCGTCTAGTCAAGTTCCCATAGTTTAAAGTCTAATATAAATATAGGGCTAAAATATATACCATTAAAAGCTGAAGAAGCCAGGGATGGTGGCTCATGCCTGTAATCCCAGCACTTTGGGAGGCCGAGGTGGGCAGATCACCTGAGGTCAGGAGTTCAGGACCAGCCTGACCAACATGGAGAAAGCCGGTCTCTACTAAAAATACAAAATTAGCTGGGCATGGTGGCAGGCACCTGTAATGCCAGCTACCCGAGAGGCTGAGGCAGGAGAATCACTTGAACCCGGGAGGCAGAGATTGCAGTGAGCTGAGGTCACACCATTGCACTCCAGCCTGGGCCACAAGAGCGAAACTCCATCTCAAAAGAAAAAAAAACAAAAAACAAACAAATAAAACTGAAGGAAAGGGTGTGTGTAGGGGGGTGACTTACCCTACTAAATATAAAGACTTATAAAGCTATTAAGAATTAAGATAGTTGGTAGAGAAAAAATAGCTAATAGAAAAGAATATGGAACTGAGATAAATGCTTATACATATATGTAAATTAGTATATGACTGGTTACAAACCAGAGAGGAAATGATGGGCTCTTCAGTAAGTGATGTGGAAACTACTGGGTACCCATATGGAAAAATAAAATAAAGTTAGCCTCTTACCTCATAATATAAGCAGAAAAAATTGCAAATGAATTAACAATTAAAAAATGAAAATAAAAATTCCAAAATTTTTTAAAGAAAATACTTTTGTGACTTCAGATAAGGAGGGATATCTCAAGGCACAAAATTACAAAACAGAAGGAACCAATTGATAAACTGGAGTATGCTAATATGAACAATTTTTTTTTTTTTTTGAGACGGAGTTTCGCTCTTGTTGCCCAGGCTGGAGTGCAATGGTGTGATCTCTGCTTACTGCAACCTCCGCCTCCCAGGTTCAAGAAATTCTCCTGCCTCAGCCTCCCTAGTAGCTGGGATTATAGGCACGCACCACCAAGCCCAGCTAATTTTGTATTTTTAGTAGAGACGGGGTTTCTCCATGTTGGTCAGGCTGGTCTCGAACTCCCAACCTCAGGTGATCTGCTCGCCTTGGCCTCCCAAAGTGCTGGGATTACAGGTAAACAACTTTTATCCAACAAAAGTCACCATAATGAAAGTGAAAAAATAAGCCATAGGTAGAAGATATATGCAAGATATAAAACTAGCAAGGACTAGGACTAAGATTCAGAATATTTGAACAATTTCTACCAATGGACAAGAAAAAGAGAAACACTCTAAATAGAAATTCACAAAGAATAAGAATTCATAGAAGAAGAATCTGAATAGCTAATACATATATATGAAAAGATATTCAACTTTACTGGTAACCAGGGCAATGCAAACAAAAAATATGCAATATTTAATATTAATAATAATGTAATATGTAATATGTAAACATTTTATACCCATCATCTTTACAAAAATTTCAAAAATCTAACAATGCCAAGCAATGCATTTGTATATATAGTGCTTATTGGTAGAGCTGATTTGAAAAGGAATTTGACAATATCTAGTAAAGATGAAGATACTCATACCCTATGACCTAACATTTCATTTTTAGGTGTGTACCCTACAGAAACTCTGACATGTGCTCAAGATGATAAGTACCAGAACAGTACCAAAAACATTGTAATAGCAAAAAAATTAGAAATGACCTAAATTAGGCTGGGCACAGTGGCGCACACCTGTAATCCCAGCACTTTGGGAGGCCGAGGCAGGCGGATCACCTGAGGTTGGGAGTTCGAGACCAGCCTGACCAACATGGAGAAACCTTGTCTCTACTGAAAATACAAAGTTAGCCGGGCGTGGTGGCGCGTGCCTGTAATCCCAGCTACCCGGGAGGCTGAGGCAGGAGAACTGCTTGAACCTGGGAGGCAGGGTTGCAGTGAGCCGAGATCGTGCCATTGCACTCCAGCCTGGGCAACAAGAGTGAAACTCCGTCTCAAAAAAAAAAAAAAGACCTAAATTAATATTAATAGAAAATGGAGAAATAATTTATGGTTTGTTGATACAACTATGTCCTGGAAAAGTCAGATTCTACATGGATTTTTGTGTGTTTAAGTCATTTATTTTTCTAGGAAGTCAACTTACTTAAAAAGAATACCCTTATATATTACATAAGGTTTATATATTAATTGTACATCTAAATTAACAAGAAAAAGTTTAATGTTTTACACTAAACTTTTGGTTTAATTATAACATTACTAAGAAAAATCAACCTCCTAGATCAAACATAGTCTATAATTTTTTTTCTATGATTTTTTTTTTCTTCTTGTACCCAGGACAGTGCTGACACATAGTTTATAATTTAAACTTAGAGTAAACAAACTTTCTATAGCAATCATTATAACAAATGTAATTACCTGTAATAAAAAATTATTCTTGTTGAAGCTACTAAAATAAAACTTTTGAGGTTACAGAGAATTTGTTTTTTGCCATTTTTAATAAATAGGCTTAGAAAAGAAATTTTCTATTGCTGAGATAGAATAACCATATAGATTTCACTTAAATTTTGTGGTAACTGGTATGCAAATATAATATTCAGCCTTGTCTTTTTCTAAACAAAAGATAATTGTTAATCTTGTGTTTGACACTCTAAAAATTTCATTTCAATGGCTTCTTAACATTTTTCATTGTGTCATTGAAATGTAGGACCTACAATTTCATTTTTGTTTTAGCTTCACTATTTCTGAAAAATCATTTCCCAGGTATTTTTTTTCTTTTCTTTTGAGATGGAGTCTCCCTCTGTGATGCAGGCTGGAGTGCAGTGGCACTCTGCAGTGGCTCACTGCAACCTCCACCTCCTTATTTCCCAAGCATTTAAACTTGACTCTTCATGTCAGAGTGACTTAGTTTTCTACTTACTGATTATAACAATAATGAATCCAAAAATTGGAGGTTTATATATTTTTATTTTTGTAAGCAGAAAATCAGTAGGAAAAAAAGAAAGAATGGGAATACTATATATCAGTGAAAACAGAAGAAATAGAAGAACTACATTTATCAACATGGATAAATCTCAAAAATATAACGTTGAATGGAAAAAACAAATTGTAAAAGGATATGTAGAGTATGATGCTATATACTTAAAAATAAGAAAAATGTTATCTGTTGTTTGTAGATACCTATATGTATTATAAAAGTATAAAAATATGAAGCGAGGGCTGGGCGTGGTGGCTCATGCCTGTAATCCCAGCACTTTAGGAGGCTGAGGCGGGTGGATCACAAGGTCAGGAGATCGAGACCATCCTGGCTAACACGGTGAAACCCCGTCTCTACTAAAAATACAAAAAATTAGCCAGGCATGGTGGCGGGCGCCTGTAGTCCCAGCTACTCAGGACGCTGAGGCAGGAGAATGGTGTGAACCTGGGAGGCGGAGCTTGCATTGAGCCGAGATCGTGTCACTGCACTCCAGCCTGGGCGACAGAGCAAGACTCCGACTCAGAAAAAAAAAAAAAAAAAAAAAATGAAGGGAGATGATATGTATTTTAGGATAGCAGTTACCTCTGAGGAGGAAGGGAGAGAGGGGAATGAGATGGGGAGGAATACAGGAAACTTTACCTGTATTTTTATTGTATTATTTGTTTTGAAGGATGTGAAGCAAAAAAATGGCAAAATGTTAGGATACTTTCAAGCAAGGTGGTATGTACATGTGTATTTATTATACTATATCTTTTTCTGTATGTCTGAAATATTTTGAAATAAAAATGTTAGATAAAAGTAAGATAGGCCAGGCGCGGTGGCTGATGCCTGTAATCCCAGCACTTTGGGATGCCAAGGCAGGCAGATCACCTGAGGTCAGGAGTTTGAGACCAGCCTGGCCAACATGGTGAAACCCAGTCTCTACTAAAAATACAAAATTAGCTGGGCATGGTGGCAGGTGCCTGTAATCCCAGCTACTCAGCAGGCTGAGGCAGGAGAATTGCTTGAATCCAAGAGGCGGAGGTTGAGTGAGCCGAGAACACGCCATTGCACTCCAGCCTGGGCGACGAGAGTGAAACTTTGTCTCAAAAAAAAAAAAAAAATGTGAGATAAAGCTGGGGATGATGGCTCATGACTGTAATCATGCCACTGCACTCCATCCTAGGCAAGGGAGTGAGACTCTGTCTCAGAAAAAAAACATGAAAAAGAAAGAAAAGAAAAGAAAAAGGCAGGAGTGCAGTGGCTCACGCCTGTAATCCCAGCACTTTGGGAGGCCGAGGCAGGTGGATAGCCTGAGCCCAGGAGTTCAAGAGCAGCCTGGACGACAGAATGAGACCCGTCTCTCTTTTTTTTTTTATTCTGAGGCAAGTCCCACTCTCTTGCCCAGGCTGGAGTGCAGTAGTGTGACCTCGGCTCACTGCAACCTCCGTCCCCCAGGTTCAAGTGATTCTCCTGCCTTAGCCTCCCAAGTAGCTGGGATCACAGGTGCCCACCATCATGCCCAGCTAATTTTTGTATTTTTTAGTAGAGACGGGGTTTCACCATGTTGGCCAGAATGGTCACAAACTCCTGACTTCAAGTGATTCACCCACCTCGGGCTCCCAAAGTGCTGGGATTACAGGCATAAGCCACCATGCCCGACCTCTATTTTTTTTAATTAAAAAAAAAGTGGTATGACTTCACAGTTTTCTGTTTAACATGGCACTTTATCATTTTTTCAAAAACTAGAATAATATTTGGCTAACTGGTCCTTTCAAAATAGAATAAACATACATTTGGCATATTTGAAATAGAAACAAATACATTTGGCAACACTATTGAGAACTTGTAAGCCTGGGTTTTACTCTCCTTCAGCACTAAACTAACTGTATGGCCTTGAACAAATCATATATCCTCTCTAACCTGTAAAATGAGAAAGTTGAACTAGAATGTCTTCGGAGTTTCCTTCCGACTCTAAAAAGTTGAGATTACCACTGTACCTGTGAGAATGGATGGAAGAAAGAATTTGTGCTGTTATTAACGGACCTATTCTGAGGCTAAATAGCTGCTAGGAGACTTGGAAACCCATGTTCGCCGTGAAGGCAGACACTGCCTATGATGTAAAAACTGTAATGCTGCAATGCCTATAAATCCTACCAAAGAGTAAGGCAGATCATGAAATTCATCTTTTAGGAATGCTGAGTCTTATTTTCTGCCCCCTGCCCCTATAGTTAATAACTAAATTATATTGTTGTTTTTCTTCTCTGAACTTCTCATAGCTCTTCTGCCATAAACAGAAGATTACACTTACTTATCAATCTGGCTGATTCTAAATGGTTTATTTTCTTAAGGATCTTAAAATCCTTCTCTCAAATGCCACTTCTATGGTCTATTAGGCCTCAAAAATTCTATAGCACCCTTCTAAATAAAGTTAAAGATATTGACTGCAGGCTCCAGCACTTTCCACCAGTTAGTTCTGTCTTAATGGCCTTCATTACCAATCGTGTCTTTGCTGATTTACAGTCTATAAGTCCATCAGGTACTTTTGTTTCCTTATTTTTCATAAATCATTTCCACAGTCTCCATTTCCTTTCTGCCTCTTGGCCTTTTCAGAAGATGTTCCTAATATTTGCAAACAAATTACTTTCTCCCTTTAATTATCTCTGTTCTTCCTTTCAGCATTATCCCAAGAGAAATAAAATAAACTTGCATTATATATTTATCATTTATCATCATATATCATGCTATGTATTTGTTGATTTGATCTTTGCCAGTTTATTAGAGCTTGGTGTCACATGCTGTTACATAAATTGTTGCAATTAAAACTGGGAAACATGTTCCTCTCTGCACTTGGCTCCCTTCTTCGTGGAGATGTGATTAGCAGGTTAGAGGATGATAGAAATCAGGCCAGGCTTGGGAATTAGAAACCGGTGTGTTCTAGTTATCTCTGTTTTGTTTCAGGAACAAAACCCACAGTCCCTACTCTAAGACTTCTATAAAATGTATGCATGAGTCAAAGAAGAAGCCACTAAGGAGTAAGTGGTTGGTGCAGCACAAGCTCATTAGTACTACTAGAAAAACATTTCAAACGTAATGCCTGACTTGTGGATAAATAGTATAAATAAGGTATCACTCCTTATCTGAGTCTCTGGGTTACAATCTACATAAGGACACAAAATATTCCGAACAATTGGGTTCAGCATAAAAAATAAACAAATAAATAAATAAATAAAGGACCCAAAATATCTTATTAGCCTTTCTCCATAGCATACAGAACAGTGCCAGAACACATAAGCACACAGTGATGATTAAGAAAATGTTTTAGGCCAGGCATGGTGGCTCATGCATGTAATCCCAGCACTTTGGGAGGCTGAAGCAAGAGGATCACTTAGCCCATGAGCTTGAGACCAGCCTGGGCAACATAGTGAGATCCTGTTTCTACAAAAAAAAAAAAAAAAAAAATTAGTCAGGCATGGTGGAATGTGCCTGTGGTCTCAGCTACTTGGGAGCCTAAGGCAGGAAGATTGCTTGAGCCCAGGAGGTTGAATCTGCCATAAGCTGTAATCACACCACTGTACTCCAGCCTGGGTGACAGAGAGAGACCCTATCTCTAAAAAAAAAAAAAGAAAATGTTATATATTAGTTATTTACTTACAATATTTACCCATATGGACTTCAAAAGGTATTGGTAGTAACTTGCAATAAATCACAGGATATAGGAAAATGTAAAACCAAGTAGAAGGAGGAGGCAATTATAGATTTGTGAGTAATTTTTTTTTTTTTTTTTTTTTTTGGAGAAGGAGTCTTGCTCTGTCGCCCAGGCTGGAGTGCAATGGCGCAATCTCAGCTCACTGCAACCTCTGCCTCCTGGGTTCAAGTGATTCTCCTGCCTCAGCCTCCTGAGTAGCTGGGATTACAGGCGCCTGCCACTAGGCCCGGCTAATTTTTTTGTATTTTTAGTAGAGACACAGGGTTTCACCATGTTGCCCAGGCTGGTCTCGAACTCCTGACCTCAGGTGATCCACCTGCTTCGGCCTCCCAAAGTGCTGGGATTACAGGCATGAGCCACTGCGCCGGGCCACATGAGTAATTTTATTAAATATAAACTCCTCTATTGCTTTAAACCTTCCACTCTAAGTGAACCACTCACTATGCTGATTTCAGTTGTAATTTTAGTTTTAAGGAAGCACAAATATTATATTTCTTTAACATGGAAAAGAAACACAGTAATGAGAATTCATTCAACTAAGATCAGAATGAGTCCCAGTTACTACATTTTAAAATCTTAGGATTTAATAAAAGTCATAGGGAGATAGAGAGTATCCTTTTCTGCCTCTGCATGAGTCCCAGAGATTCTGTAAGAGACCCAGAAAATACAAACAAATGACATTTTCAGGAAGGCGTTTCTGGTTCCCTGTTGCATCCTCTGCATCTAGAAAAGATAAAACCAGCTAGGCACTTCCCCAGTCGCTACAGACTCAGAAGAGGAGCTGCAAGTGACAGCCAAAGCATTCCCCATGGCCAGACAATGAGACAAGGAGAAGCAGCTGGCTATCCCCCTCCTTTGGACTGTTGGGACACAGGAGATCAGAGAAGGGCCGGGTATATTCCCAGATACCAATAGTAATAACCCAGTGAAAGGGGCAGCCAAATATGATAGCATAATAGTGGAATAACAGCTGTTTTTTCTCTCTTTGGGCTTTAAATAATTAGACATTACTTGCTTTTTTTCCCCTTTGGCAAGTTTATTTTATTTTATTTTCCCTTTTTTTAAGAGATGATCTTGCTCTCTTGCCCAGGCTGGAGTGCAGTGGCGTGATTATAGCTCACTTCAGCCTCAAACTGCTGGGCTCAAGTGATCCTCCCACCTCAGACTTTGGAGTGGCTACGACTGCAGACATGCACCACCAGGCCCAGCTAATTTTTTAATTTTTTATAGAGATAGGGTCTCACTATGTTACCCAGGCTGGTCTCAAACTGCTGGCCTCAAGTGATCATCCTGTCTCTGCCTCTCAAAGCACTGAGGTTCCAGGTGTGACCCACCATGCCTGGCTCCCTTTGGCAACTTTTAATTTTTGAAAAATTCCATTCTTCTGAATAGTTTGAAAATATTTGCTTTTCTTCCAGGCATTTTCTTGAAGTAATTTCCTGTTTTACTTTCAGAAATGTAAAATATGTGACGGGGATAAAGAAAGATCTGCCTGATTTTAGGACATATAATACTTATATAAGGCCCTATCTAAAGTATCCCAAGAGAGGTGTATATTTGTCATCTTTTATAATTGATTTAAAAAGATTGAACTAAAAAGTAAAAATCTGTCACTTGCTTGCCTTGCGATTAATGTGGGAAAGGTTCCGGTTCTGTGTTGAGGTTGCTGGGCTATAGGGTCAAAAACTGGCCTGTCATCCCCTCTAGGATTTGTTCCTTGTTCTGTGATTTGCTGAGTGATCAAAGACCGATGATTATATGGCTCTGCATCTGTATTTCTGTTAAATGGAAATTTAAAAACAATTTTTTTCTTAGACGCAAGCGTTGCAGATTTGAGGCTAGATCCTCACATTTTGTGGTCAAGAGGGAATTAGGAACGTGCCATCCCGAACCTGGAAGAGAAAGAAAAAGTACAGAGCAGTCGGTACCTGGTTATAATTTCTGTCAGTCATTTTCACAGCCACACAGCAAGAACCCGTGCTGAAAATAGAAATAAAGATGATTGTCCTCATCTGAGATTTTTCTAAGCATAAAAAAAGAGGCATCATTACTTCTTAGTATCCTCCTGGAAAGAAGAAACTGAAAGAAAAGTGAACACTGCTTCTCAGTTTTTTCCTCTTAAAGATCACTGGAAAATTTTGTAGCATCAAAGCTTATTGCAGATAGAGCTATCTAAGCTACTTTTATTTGATCAAATTAATTCACTACTTTTCTTTTCTTTTTGAGATGGAGTTTCGCTCTTGTTGCTCAGGCTGGAGTGCAATGGCGCGATCTCGGCTCACTGCAACCTCCGCCTCCTGGGTTCAAGTGATTCTCCTGCCTCAGCCTCCCGAGTAGCTGGGATTACAGGCGCCTGCCACCACACCCAGCTAATTTTGTATTTTTAGTAGAGACGGAGTTTCACCATATTGGTCAGGCTGGTTTCGAACTCCTGACCTCAGGTGATCCGCCCGCCTCAGCCTCCCAAAGTGCTGGAGTTACAGGCATAAGCCATCACAGCCGGCCAATTCACTACTTTTCAAGACTCTGAATAACATTTCTTAGTGTATATTTGTTGAGCTGCCTACTATAGTAATTGCATTTTACTAGGTGCATGAATAGACTGAGAAGCTTACCTTCTGGGCAGAGGGAAAGACAAACAAAATATGCCATGTAATGTGTTAACTACACAGAAATTTGAAAGATGCTATGGGGGCTTATAGGAGAAGTGGGGAAGTGAATTATGCTCAAAGAGGGCTCCTGGCTAAGGAGAAAATCTTACCTGAGTTTTGAAGGATAAGCAGGGGTAGCCAAATGGAGAGGTGGGGACTTAGACTGATCTAAGATAAGTGGGATTCTAGGTAAAGGGAGCAGTCAGGGTGAATATTCGAAGTCTAAGATCTTCGGGGTCTGCAGGTGATTCTTGTGGACACTACTACAATTATTTTATTTTATTTTATTTGAGACAAAGCCTCACTCTGTCGCCCAGGCTGAGTGCTGTGGCGCAATCACAGCTCACTGCAGCCTCGCTCTCCTGTGCTCAAGCGATCCTCCTACCCTTAGCCTCACAAGACTGAAGGTGAGTGCCACCTCACCCAGCTAATTTTAATTTTTGTAGAGACAGGGTCTTGCGATGTTTGAAAGGCCGGTCTTGAACTCCCGGGCCCAAACAATCCTCCTGCCTTGGCCTCCCAAGGTGTTAGGATTACAAGCATGTGCCACTGCGCCCTGCCTACTATTTTAATTGGAGTTTCATGGCTGAGCACAGTGGCTCAGACCTGTAATCCCAGCAATTTGAGAAGCCATGGAACTGCCATGGAAACTGCTTTAACTGAAATTTTGGTTCACAGCCTTCATTGGATTATCTATTGGGGCAAGCTCGTATTGCCTGGAGGATTGCCTAGAATTTGAGGCTGCAGTGAGTCACTGCACTCTAGCCTGGGTGACAGTGAGACCCATATCTAAAAAAACAAACAAAAAATTAGAGTTTCTGGTTACTGGAGAGTTTCTGCTGGTTGAGTTTCAGTGCTATCTAGAGCTCTAACCCTTTTGAACATAACAACAATGAATCACAGCGTATGGACATGTTTGGACTGGTACATTGCCTTATTGGTCCTATTACAGTTACTGCTGCCTAATGCCTAAAGCATGTCCATGCTTTCACATGAACTAGATTTTTTTTTAAATGTAGATATTATGTAATCAGAACACCAGTACCTGGAGGCAACTCTTATGCCATTAATAAAGTATTTTATTGACTGCTCTTAGTCTCAGCTAACCCATCTGGATTACATTGTACTACTTTTCAATCATGGAAAGTTGCCTTTTTTTTTTTTTTGAGATAGAGTCTCTCTCTGTCGCCAGGCTGGAGTGCAGTGGCGCGATCTCGGCTCACTGCTACCTCCACCTCCCGGGTTCAAGTGATTCTCCTGCCTCAGCCTCCCAAGTAGCTGGGATTACAGGCACATGTCACCATGCTAATTGTTGTTACTTTTAGTAGAGATGGGGTTTCACTATGTTGGCCAGGCCGGTCTCGAGCACCTGACCTCGTGATCTGCCCACCCTGGCCTCCCAAAGTGCTGGGATTACAGGCATGAGCCACCACATCCGGCCCTAAGAGAAGAAAATTTTTAATGTCATTATTATAAAGGCTATTTCCTGACACCTGTCTCCCAAAAAACAACACAAGCAAACAAAGAGAAAAAGCAACTCTAAGCAGGATTACAGCTGTGTTTCTGGACCACACAAAGTGATTATTTCTGTTTCTGAAACTCAGCATATGGTCTGTCTAGAACTCTCTCTATTTGTATGTGGAAAGGTCGCTCTTTTGGACAGG
Source organism: Homo sapiens (assembly GCF_000001405.40). Lineage (NCBI taxonomy): Eukaryota > Metazoa > Chordata > Mammalia > Primates > Hominidae > Homo > Homo sapiens. Next base: position 139,242,871 of record NC_000004.12, on the reverse strand, counting down.
AGTCATGGCTCTAGATTGGCACACATGGAGCAGGAGGATCAGTGAAATCACTCCTGGTCATCAGTGGGGTGACAGAACACCCTCACTCTTGACTTTCTAGATGAGTTAGTGTAAAGTTTTCCTTTTATGGGTAACTCCTTCTAGTCTCATTGATCACTGACTTCCAGATCTTGCCTGCCCTGCCCTGTGGCCCCCGGGGGCTCTGCCTCCCTGCCAGGAGAGCTGCTGGGATGCTGAAACCCAGAGAAAACCACAGGTCAAGGGCTTGGCTGGGTTCCCACTCATACATTCATCCTCTCATTCATTCATCATTCCACAAGTATTTATTGAGTGCCTTCTACATGTCAGGCACTTTTATAAGCAGACACCAAAATAGACTAAAATCTTCGTTTTCAACAGTCTTCTTCTATTCTAAGGTACATTTCCATTAGCCCTGGTAAGGCAGGAAAATAGGGTCTGGAGGCAGGGAACATAAGGCAGATTCACACTTGAGCTATGATAGGAAATATCCTCTCCATAGGGCGAAGGCCAAGTAAATGACTTTGTAACTGTACTTCATCCTCTCCATTTACATAGGGCGTACCCAAGTAGAGGGTATTTCAACTCCCAAATATTCTGCAACAGGGACTTTGAGACTCTATGCTCAGGCCCGCTCCCACACCATGGAGCGTACTTTCGTTTTCAATAAAACCCTTCATTCCTTCCTTTCCTTGCTTGTGCGTTTTGTCCAATTCTTTGTTCAGGAAGCCAAGAACCGGGACACTCTCCACCATTAATATTTCGGCGAATCAGACAGGAAGAAGAGGTAAGCCGAAAAGTTTGGGATTCATTTTACTCCCTTTCCTTTCCGCTCCATACAGGGGCGCGCTCTCTCTTTTCCTTTCCAACTGGGGACCCTTGGTGGGCGGCGTCTAAACATGGAAACAGCTGCAGATTTCTGGCCGTGGTTCGTGAAACTGAAGGGTTTCCATGTTGAGGATGGCCTAACTGCCATCTCATGTTTCGCTTAGGGGAACAGGGTCTTTTTACAGTTAGCTTAAGGAATCTGGGTGTTTTTCTTTCTTTTTTTTTTTCCTTTCTTTCTTTTCAGTCTTTCAGCGGCTGTTTATAATTGCACTGTCCAGAAGGGGGAAGGAGATCTAGGCGATCCCTGATCCCTGCAGCTCAGAGCAAACTCGCGCGTGTTTCAGGGGACTTAAACTTTCTTTTCTTATGCTAAGTTCTTCCCTTACGTACTCAACTGGCTAAAGACAAAAAGCCCACCTGGCATCCTGTTCTCATTAGAGTTCATGGCTATTATAAGACTCATACTAGGAGGTAGGCCTTGGAGGGGAAAACCTGCACGTGGTACCAGTGCCCACCCAAGGTCAGAGACATCTGACACTCTAAGATTGGACCCCACAGGAGGATGCTCCGTGGGTCCTGTGGACCTCAACCTGCTCAAAGGGGATGCTCTTAGCAGAGGCTCTGAGGTCTAGTACTAAATCCTCCTTAGAATTTTCTCTCGCAATTGCAATGCTGTCTGGCCCAAACATTGTTTGGAATCTGGAGTTTACTGTCTAAAGGGAAAGTGGAATGGCATTGCATGTATCCAGGCTTTTGTGCTGCGGTTCTAAGCTGGGAGCCTGGTTAATGTGTGACACGCTACTTTGGTAGGGTTTGGCCCCAGTGCTCTTTGGAGTCTGGGAAGGTTTGGTCTTTAAAAATCAAGCTGCCATGGAAACTGCTTTAACTGAAATTTTGGTTCACAGCCTTCACTGGATTATCTATTGGGGCAAGCTGGTATTGCTATCTCATGGCTAAGGTTCCAAGCTACTGGATCTTCATTTATGTGTGTGTATGCATGTCTAGATGTGTTTATTTGTATGTACACTTATTGTTATATGTTGTGTCTACCAAAATTGGCTTATAAGTAAAAAAGCACTTATAAATTAAGTAAATAGGTCTAAGCAATTTTCAAGTTCACATGATTTAAAGTATAACTTTAGGCCGGGCGCGGTGGTTCATGCCTGTAATCCCAGCACTTTGGGAGGCCGAGGCGGGCGGATCACGAGGTCAAGAGATCGAGACCATCCTGGCTAACACGGTGAAACCCCGTCTCTACTAAAAGTACAAAAAAAAATTAGCTGGGCATGGTGGCGTGCAACTGTGTCCGAGCTGCTGGGGAGGCTGAGGCAGGAGAATGGCGTGAACCCGAGAGGCGGAGCTGGCAGTGAGCCGAGATGGCACCACTGCACTCCAGCCTGGGTGACAGAGCAAGACTCCGTCTCAAAATAAATAAATAAATAAATAAATAAATAAATAAATAAATAAATAAATAAAGTATAACTTTAATAAACAAGCTAGCTTTAAAATTATTGGTGGAATAAAAACAGAAATGCCTTCAGAATTGTCAGCATACATTTTGTCTGAATTTTATGTTTGTCTTTGCTAGGTATTTTAAAATGTCAGTGTTAATTCAAGCTGGGAGCTGCTAGGGGCGAGCCTGCCTCCCGCTCTATTCAAAGTCTCACTGAGATAAATGTATATCTGATTGCTTCCTTGGGAAGGGCTAATCAGGAACTCAGGAGAATGCAACTGTTTGCCTCCCACCTACCTGTGATCTGAAAGCCTCCAAGCTCCCTCCTCACCTCAGAGTCCAAACCAATGTTCATTTTACATATGTTGATTGATGTCTCATGTCTCCTCTGTTAACAGTAAAAAATAAAGTACAGTGAATGGGATAAATGTTTTAGGTAGACATTTTGTGTGAATTAAAATCTTTTTTTTGAGATGGAGTCTCACTCTGTCACCAGGCTGGAGTGCAGTGTCATGCTCTCGGCTCACCGCAACCTCCAACTCCCTGGTTCAAGCGATTCTCTTGTCTCAGCCTCCTAAGTAGCTGGGATTATAGGCACACACCACCACGCCCGGCTGATTTTTGTATTTTTAGTAGAGACTGGGTTTCACCATGTTGGCCAGGATGGTCTCGATCTCCTGACCTCGTGATCGGCCCGCCTCAGCCTCCCAAAGTGCTGGGATTACAGGTGTGAGCCACCGTGCCCCGCCCATAAATTAAAATCTTAAAGTTATTTTTGATGCTTGTGGAAAGTAAAAAGTTTCCTCTTCAAAGTTCCCCTTCTTGTTAAAGCATAAATCATAAGTGTTAGAAATAATAGTTTCTTTTAAAGACTAACTTTCTTCAAGCATCGTTGCTTTGTGCTAATAACTCTTGTTAAGCCCTATCTTATGTAACTGTTGGACATGCTCACAGTCACGTTCCAGCTCACAGCCTATGCCCCTTCCTTATTTGGAAATGTTATTGCTTCCTTAAACCTTTCGTAAGCAACTTCTTTGTTCTTCCCTGCACTTACCTATTTAGAAAAGTTTTAGCTATTAGCAAATCGGGTATCAGTTTGAGTGTGAGGTCCCGCTCCAGTCAATGGATGCAGGGCACAGCAGTAAGGTCGACCCAAATGCATAAGGGATAAATATACCTGCTTTTCCTTTGTTCATGTATGCTCTCGCCATTGTTCCATCTGTGACTGAGTACCCTTTCTGCAGAAAGTAAAGATTGCCTTGCTGAGAGATCTTTTGTCTCTCTGCTGACTTTTCTTTGTGGCACTGATTATCTATTTCTAACATATTTCATATTTCTAACAATGCTTATTTAATATATGAGTCATTTCCAATTAAGAAAGGGTTGTAATATAGGAATATGTTTCTGAAATTGTGGAATTGTTCTTATCTGTAAATGTCCATATCTGATAGTTCAGGATTTCTTGCTTTTTAGGGTTTCACTAAAGTTTTAGGCTAATAAGGATAAAAATTCTAGTTAACACGTAATTCTGTATGTAAAATGTGCCAGAATCAGTTATTAGTGGAAAAATAATAATTTTGTCTAATTCAGAAGTTATCTAAAAGTTAGTTCAAATTACAGATTTGCAAAGGTTATTTATGAAACAGTGTAGTAAGAAGCCATTAAGTAGGGGAGAAAGATGTGGAAAAAGTTTAAATAATAAAATATTCTTTAAAACCTGATAAAAAATTGGAGACATTTGGCTATTTAACATTTTCATAGTTAAAGCTCTTAGTCTTGATTAAAGTAAAATAAGAAGTATTGTAAAAAATGCATTGGCAGTTTGGCAATTTTTTTTTCTTTTATTTGAGACGGAGTTCTGCTCTTGTTACCCAAGCTGGAGTGCAATGGCGTGATCTCACTGCAACCTCTGCCTCCCAGGTTCAAGTGATTCCCCTGCCTCAGCCTCCCGAGTAGCTAGGATTACAGGCACTCGCTACCAAGCCCAGCTAATTTTTTGTATTTTAAGTAGAAACAAGGTTTCACCATGTTAGCCAGGCTGGTCTCGAACTCCTGACCTCAGGTGATTCGCCCGCCTCTGCCTCTCAAAGTGCTGGGATTACAGGCGTGAGCCTGTAACCATGCCCGGCCGCCAATTCTTTTTTTAATATAGTTAAGCATGAAACTGGATTTAGTGTAAAGCCAAATTTCACATACATGCTTGCATTGCTTCACACTATGTTTACTGGTTTGTGTGGATAGTGCCTAGAATACTTATTGGTCATGTGCCTAAAGTGGATTTTTTGATTGCACAGAATGTATAAAATATTGGTGAATATAGGGATATTGAATTGTGTATCAGGAGCAAAATATTCATTATGTGGGTTTTTTGGGGCCCTAGGTAACACCGTAACCACTAAGGTAAATTGAGTAGGAAAATTTAGGGTGGTTTCCTGTTTGTTTTTACTTCTTCTTTTTTTTTTTTTTTTGAGACAGAGTCTCGCACTGTCACCCTGGCTGGAGTACAGTGGCGCGATCTTGCCTCACTGCAACCTCTGCCTCCCAGGTTCAAGCGATTCTCCTGCCTCAGCCTCTCAAGTAGCTAGGATTACAGGTGCCCACCACCATGCCCAGTTAATTTTTTTTTTTGTATTTTTAGTAGAGATGGGGTTTCATTATGTTGGCCAGGCTAGTCTCAAACTCCTGACCTCATGATCCGCCCGCCTCAGCCTCCCAAAGTGCTAGGATTACAGGTATGAGCCACCGCGCCCAGCCTATTCGTTTGCTGCTTATTCACCTCTGACTGGTTGTGTATCAATATATATAAAACCATGATGCTTTTTAGTTTCTAGTAGAAGGCTTTCCTTTGGTTCTGTGAATAGTTATTTTGTTTCCTATGCATTTCTAGCAAGTCATCATTAGTTCCATTTATCTGGAATTCCCAAGCTTCCTTTGTCGGGCCTGCAGGAATTAATGGAGCACACCAGCTTTCTATCCTTAAACTAAAGTTTTGGATTTTAGGCTTCCTGATATTTTAAGTTTGTTGAGTATACTCTCACAAATAGAATTTAACTCTTTTTTTAGTTTCTCCAAAATTTGTAAACTATCTATGAATATTCTTAATTCATAGCAATGTGTCTCTTTGCATACGGTCAAGCAGGGTCTCCTGGGCTGCTCAGGGAGAGAGAACCCAGAAACCTGGCATGCCGGCAAAAGGGTAAGAATTTCTTACCAGTCAGTCTCTCTCTGGTCTCTTTCTCTCTGTGCAAACTGGTTAAATATAAAGTAAAATTCACTGTTTATCTCCTGTGTAAAGTTTTAAATTAATTGGTTTAATAAGAAGAAGAGCTTAAATCAAATATTTTGTCAGAAAACTAGAAAGTATAATGCCTTTTAGTTCACATGACTTTAGCAATCTTTGGGAAATAAAGATGGTTTTAAAGATTATTGGTAAAATACAATATCTTCACAATGTAAACATGTGGTCTAAGTTATATTCAAATATTAGGTTTGCTAAATGCTTTAAGTTCATAAATTGCTTCTTTGGCTTTTGAAAATTGTTTAACTTGCCTGCTTTCCAGCTAGGTAAGGCCTGGGGATGTGTGGAGTTGGCCACGCTCCTAGCTATGCTGAAAATAGTCAAATCTTACCAGAACATAACTTACCAGGTTTTACATTAAAGTTAAAATTGCTAAGAGTTGCCACTGTAACATGCAATTAAGACTACTAGAAACAGTTTTACAGGCTGGGCGCGGTGGCTCACGCCTGTAATCCCAGCACTTTGGGAGGCCGAGGCGGGCAGATCACGAGGTCAGGAGATCGAGACCATCCTGGCTAACACGGTGAAACCCCGTCTCTACTAAAAATACAAAAAAATTAGCCGGGCGTGGTGGCGGGCGCCTGTAGTCTCAGCTACTCAGGAGGCTGAGGCAGGAGAATAGCGTGACCCGGGAGGCGGAGCTTGCAGTGAGCCGAGATCGCGCCACTGCACTCCAGCCTGGGCAACAGAGCGAGACTCCGTCTCAAAAAAAAAGAAACAGTTTTACCTGCAAGATGTGTAAGAACAGTTGAATGTGGCTTTTTTTTTTTGTAAAAGGTTATAAAAGATTTTTACTAGTTTAAAATTTCTGAGTCATTTTGGCAAAATAAATAATTTCTGGTAATCTGGAATTCTAAAATCAAACTTCAGTTTCAAAGTTGTCTTTCCTAATCCCTGACTTTTTGGATGGATAAGAGGGTCCTGAAAACATTCAGAAAAGAGGTAAACAGGATTTTCTGACATGTTAGGTACATGGGATTGCCAAAATGATGTTCAGTCTTCTTTAGGTTTTATTTTTGTGAATATTACTAATATATGTTCCAAAATTATATGGGATTTCTAAAGTAGTATGTGCTATTAATTATAATTATGGTTATTAAATTGTTATTGTAAACCACAGAAATAACCAAATTTCCTTGTATAAAGCTACTAACCCGAGTAGAACAAAAATTAATTAAATACCAAGAAAATACTGTCAGATTTTCATATTAAACCAGCTGATACTGAAATTGTTTAAAACATTTTATAACCAAAGCTTGGTTCCATATTCCTGGGAAGATAAAGTTTCACGTACATTTGGTCACCTGGTGGGCCATTTAAACATTTTATAAAGGGATTTCATTCAATTGTTATTTTCAATGTATGTTTTCTGGTTTTATAAAAGCTTTCCCATGCAAGAGGGCTGATGTTATAACAGTAGACTATTATGCTGCAGTGTGTTTTCACCAGGTGAAAAAAAAGCTTTTTTATGGTTTGGATCTTCTGGAAACATCAGAGAAAGACTGTCCTTGTCATCCACACTACAACAAAACTTCAGAACCTTGGGCTTTGGGTTTATGGTCTCACAACTGAGAAGGGTCCCGGGTCCCTCCACACTTTTGGAACTGTGCATCCATTGGAACCCTTGAGGTAAAGCTGACCAGGGAAATGTTTCCCGAGAAGCAGATGGCATCCTTGATATGAACAGTTTTTCCCTAATTCACAGATTAAGACTTCTACTGTCATGAAACTCTTATCTTTGAATATTTTTTCTTATGCCTCTATGAACAATAGAAGTAGAAAAGGGGTCTGTTATGTGCATTAATGTGGTGTACTTTTATTGTGAAGGAGTTTGCAGCCAGCCTTATACATGGATACCCTTGTACTTTGATAGATAAAAGATGAAGGCCCAATGTAGGTAAGAAACTTTAATGATACATACGTTGCCTCATAATCAGTCAAAAATAAAACATTTATTCATTCCTCTTAACCCATATCATGGGTTAAAGAAAACACTGCCAGGAGGCCTTCACTCTTCTAAAAGGGCATCATTTGTTAGGTCCTTTTTCTGTGGTTTAAAGTAAAAGAAGCAACGATTAGAAATACATCCCTCAGGCCGGGTGCGGTGGCTCATGCCTGTAATCCTAGCACTTTGCGAGACCGAGGCAGTGCAGATCCCAGCACTTTGAGAGGCTGAGGTCAGGACTTAAAGACCAGCCTGACCAATATGGTGAAACCCCGTTTGTACTAAAAATACAAAAATTAGCCGGGCGTGGTGGTGGGTGCCTGTAATCCCAGCTACTTGGGAGGCTGAGGCAGGAGAATCACTTGAACTGGGAAGGCAGAGGTTGCAGTGAGCCAAGATTATTGTGCCACTGCACTCCAGCCTGGGCAGTAGAGTGAGACTCTGTCTCAAAAAAAAAAAAAAAGAAAAAAAAAAGAAATGTATCCCTCATGATAGGCTCTATAGCAAACTCTACTGTAAAGGCTACAGTTACACAACAAACTTTAAATTCTTTTGTGAAAGTAGAATTGGCTGAACAAGGAAGTATCTGCAGCTGCTGGCACTTTTGGCCTATGGAGAAATACATCAAATGAAGATTATAAAAATTCAGTGGTAGGGGATTAACAAAGAGACTGCCTAGTTAAGTGAGTAAACTCTTTAGCTCATTCTTTGATCTATTTGATTTTAGGAGGTTTGGTTTTTGGGGGACCTTGGGTAAGGAGCATACTCCAAACTCTTGCTTTTATCCTCCCAATAGTCATAATAATAGTCTCCCTGGTGAGCTGTTTTCTCTCAAAGGTTTTAAATGCTGCATGCAGCTGTCTCTAGGATGTCATATGGTCTCTTTTCAACTGGAGTAACTGGAGCTGAAAGAAATGTGCAACCATGAGGACACTGTAACCTACAAATGACATGCTGCGACCGGAAACACAAAATGATGGTAACTGAGAGTGGCACTAAGGCCTTAACTTTTGGTCACATTCTTCACTTAGGTGAGAAGGAGGAATTTTTTAAACAAAATTCTGGGAGGCCATCGTTTTGGACTAAGCTCATGCACTAGGCCCCAACAGACCAAACCAAAATAAAGTTGGTTGTGCTAAGACTTTAAGGAAACACATGAATCCTAGAACAGATCAGGTTTTGTCTTTTCTTCTGCAAATCTCTGTAACAAACATTCTTGACAGCATGGGTATCTACCCCTTGAGGTTCCCATTAAATCTTTTAACCAAATTCATTTCCTCTTGCCTAGAGACCATCAAGTTCCAGATGATCATGCAACAAAGGTTCCAGCCAGTTCCAGGTGAAGACACCACCCCTGGTCATCAGGAAGCTACCCTGTCTCTACTAGACAGAACAGGGCGAGAGTTCTGTGATCCCCAATAGGTAGGGACTATGCCCCAAGTCAGCATGAAGAACTTACAGAAAAAAGACCGCCGGTCCCTCTGCTTCCTATAAAGATTTATGAGGATCACATCTCTTAGTGGGGAGTTGAGGCAGGAAAACAAGATCTGGAGGCAGGGAACATAAGGCCCATTCACACTTCAGCTATGATAGGAAATATCCTCTCCGTAGAGCGTGGGCCAAGTAGAAGACTTTGTAACTTTATTTCATCCTCTCCATTTACATAGGATGTACCCCAAGTAGAGGGTATTTCAACTCCCAAAAATTCTGTAACGGGGCCCTTGAGCCCCTATGCTCGGGCCTGCTCCCACACTGTGTAGTGTACTTTCATTTTCAATAAATCCTTCATTTCGTCCGTGTTTTGTGCACTTTGCCCAGTTCTTTGTTCAAGATGCCAAGAACATGGACAATCTCCTTCCTTTTTTTTCTTACTTTTTTTTTTTTTTGAGATGGAGTCTCGCTCTGTCACCCAGGCTGGAATGCAGTGGACCAATCTCGGCTCACTGCAAGCTCCGCCTCCCGGGTTCACGCCATCCTCCTGCCTCAGCCTCCGGAGTAGCTAAGACTACAGGCGCCCGCCACCACGCCTGGCTAATTTTTTGTATTTTTAGTACAGACGGGGTTTCACTGTGTTAGCCAGGATGGTCTCAAACTCCTGACCTTGTGATCCGCCCGCCTCGGCCTCCCAAAGTGCTGGGATTACAGGCGTGAGCCACCGTGCCGGGCACCCTCCTTCCTTAACACTGGTGCCCTGCTCTTTGTTTCTAGGGCAACTGAAACAGGTCTCTGCCAATGCAGCTGGGGCTCAGTGTTTCTTCCAGGTACTTGCTCCAGTGTCACTCTCAGAAGTGGCTTTCTCAGTACAGCACTTCAAACTCTTCAAATACAGACATTTTCTTCAAGACGTTGTATAGTATCTAAGTAGGGAGAAATTTCTAGTTCAACTACACATTGCACCTCAAGGTAACATCTGCCTTCAATGATTCAGGTCCTGCAGAAAGCTCTGGGTCATCCATTCAGATAGCTCCGCCCTTATAGTAAATTTCCTGTTGGGTATTTCACCCCTACTCCACCCCCATTATCATTTTAACTGTCTTATTCCTACCAGGCTCTCTACGGCCGCATTTGTCATCAGATATGTGCTGATGAACTTGAATCTTAAAGATCCCAATTTCTAATCTCATGAATTTTTTTCCCTCCCATCCTATATAAATTTGTAGATGCAAATGAAAATGAGAAAAGAAATACCTGGCTGGGTGCAGTGGCTCACGCCTGCAATCCCAGCACTTTGAGAGGCCCAGGTGGGTGAATCACTTGAGCCCAGGAACTCGAGACCAGCCTGGGCAATATGGCAAAACCCCATCTCTACAAGAAATGCAAAAACTTAACTGGGCGTGTTGGCACGCACCTGTAGTCCCAGCTACTCCAGAAGCTGAGGTGGGAGGATCGCTTGAGCTTGGGAGGTTGAGGCTACAGTGAGCTGTGATCAGACCACTGCACTCCAGCTTGGGCAACAGAGTGAGATCCTGTCTCAGAAAAAAAAAAAAAGAAGAAGGAAAGAAATGCCCTCCAGCTTCACTAGACCACATTCAAGATTAAAGGCCAGTAGATGTTACTTCTTTTTGTTTAAGTGTCTAAACCACAGGTCTTTCTTGAGCTAAAAAAAAAAAAAAAAAAGGTCCTATTGTTGGATGGGCAGGTGGCTCACACCTGTGAGGCCGAGGCTGGGGGATCCCTTTGAGCTCAGGAATTCGAGACCAGCCTGGGCAACATGGTGAAACCCAGTTTCTACTAAAAATACAAAAATTAGCCATGTGTGGTGGTGCATGCCTGTAGTCCCAGCTACTCTGGAGGCTGAGGCACAAGAATCGCTTGAACCTGTGAGGTGCAGGTTGCAGTGAGCTGAGATCTCACCACTGCACTCCAGCCTGGGTGACAGATCAATACTCCCCCTCAAAAACAAACAAAAAAAAGTTCTGTTATCTATGAAATACCATAAATATTGTGCTAAAGTTGACTTTTTAAAAATGATGCAGGCCAGGCGCGGTGGCTCATGCCTGTAATCCCAGCACTTTGGGAGGCCGAGGCAGGCAGATCACGAGGTCAGGAGATCTAGACCATCCTGGCCAACATGGTGAAACCCTGTCTCTACTAAAAATACAAAAAAATTAGCTGGGCCTGGTGGCGTGCGCCTGTAATCCCAGCTACTCAGGAGGCTGAGGCAGGAGAATCGCTTGAACCAGGGAGTCGGAGGTTGTAGTGAGCCGAGATCGCGCCACTGCACTCCAGCCTGGCAACAGAGAGACACTCTGTCTCAAAAATAAAAAACAAAAAATAAATAAAAATGATACAAGGCAAGACTCCGTCTCAAAAAAAATTCAAGGCTGGGTGTGGTAGCTCATGCCTGTAATCCCAATACTTTGGGAGGTCAAGGTAGGCAGATCACTTAAGCCTAAGAGTTCGAGACCAGCCTGGGCAACATAATGAAAACCCGTACAAAAAATACAAAAATTAACTGGGCTTTGTGGTGGGCACCTGTAATCCCAGCTGCTGGGGAGGCTAAGGTGGGAGGATTGCTTGAGCCTGGGAAGTTGAGGCTGCAGTGAGCCATGATTGCGCCACTGCACTCCAGCCTGGGCGACAGAGCGAGACTGTTTCAAACAAAAAAGAAAACAAAAACCTTCAGATGTTTCCTGGCCTTTTATTTTATATTAAACCCATTCAGTTTTTGTTGGAAAAGTAATATATAATCATTTTTAAATTGGCAAATGTACTCACTTCAGCAGCACAAACACTAAAATCGGAATGATACAGAGAAGATTAGCATGAATGACATGCAAATTCGTGAAGCCTTCCGTATTTTCCTGTAGCACTGTAGGATGACTATAGTTAATAGTTATATATTATACAGTTTCAAGTAGCTAGCTGGAGGGTATTGAATGTTCCAACACAAAGAAATCTTAAGTGTTTGAGATGAAATGCTAACTACGCTGATCTGATCGCTATACACATATGTGTCACAACATCACTATGTATCCCGTAAGTATGTAATTATTATGTGTCAATTTAAAAATTTAAAAGTAAAAAAATACATAAAATTGGAAAAGAAAGAAACCTAGAAAGACAAAAAATACAAGCCATATTCTACCATCCAAAGGTAATACTTATAAATGTCATTGCATTTTACACATCTTAACTTCCCATCTATTAAAAATTAGTTTTTATTACATTTTTAAATTTTTCATTATCGTCAAAATAATCATGTAGAAAGACATATAGTATAAAAATTTTCCCAGTTTCCTCCACAGCAGCATTTCTGAGTTAGTCACTGTTATCCCTCTAGACAGTTTTATGTGTCTATTAAACATATTTTCAAACTTTTTGAATAAATAGGTTTTTGTTTGACTCAAAAAATAATACGTTTCTTGTTTTTTTGTGTATTTTTGAGACGGAGTTTTACTCTTGTTGCCCAGGCTGTAGTGCAATGGTGCAATCTCGGCTCACTGCAACCTCTGCCTCCCGGGTTCAAGCAATTCTCCTGCCTCAGCCTCCCAAGTAGCTGGGACTACAGGTGCCCGCCACCACGCCCAGCTAATTTTTTGTATTTTTAGTAGAGACGGGATTTCTCCATGTTGAGGCTGGTCTCGAACTCCTGACCTCAGGTGATCCACCTGCCTCGGCCTCCCAAAGTGCTGGGATTACAGGTGTGAGCCACCATGCCCGGCACATTTCTTGTTTTTTAACAACTTTGTTGAGGCTTATTTTACATATTATATATAATTCACTGTTTCAAGTGTACAATTCAATAATTTTTAGTACATTTATTCTATTTTACATGTGTAGCCATCACCATGTCAGTTTAGAATATTTTCGTCACTCAGTAAGATCCCTCATACACATTTACTGTGAACCCCTGTTCTCTTGAGCCTCTACCCTAGACAATTACTAATCTTTTTTTTGTCTTTATAGATTTGTCTTTTCTGGACATTTCATATAAATGGAATCATACAGTATAGATTTCTTGTCTGCCTTCTTTCCCTCAGCATAATCCATTTATTTCTAAAAAAGAAACTAGAGAAAAATGTTTATGGATGCTTAATAAATTTATCTGAAATGATCTCTCACAAGCAAAAAATACAAAAGAACTTTTATATTCTGGTATAGGGAAAGAACTAAAACCAGTTATCAACTATCGTGAATCTGTGGACGAGATTTAAATTCTTTGACATTCCACTCTTCCCCCTAGTGGCCAGGACAAAAAGAGTACTGTATATTGTGTTTGTTAGAAAGCATCCCAGATTCTCAAGTGCTAAGTGAGAGGTATTTTACACTTGGAGTTTTTATAAGAAAGATATTTCCTTTCTGTTTATTGGAGGCCTTTTTTTTATAAGGCAAATTTGTTGGGAGGCATAATTAATCATTCTCTGTGATTCTTCCCACTGCTGAATCCACCAGCCTCTCCTTAAAGAGGGATTTAGAATAGTGGTTAAGAGCCCGGGTGCGCTGGCTCACGCCTGTAATCCCAGCACTTTGGGAGGCTGAGGTGGGCAGATCACCTGAGGTCGGGAGATCGAGACCAGCCTGACCAACATGGAGAAACCCCATCTCTACTAAAAATACAAAATTAGCCGGGCGTGGTGGTGCATGCCTGTAATCCCAGCTACTCGGTAGGCTGAGGCAGGAGAATTGCTTGAATCTGGGAGGCGGAGGTTGCAGTGAGCCGAGATTGTGCCATTGCACTCCAGCCTAGGCAACAAGAGCGAAACTCTGTCTCAAAAAAAAAAAAAAAAGAAAAAAGAATAGTAGTTAAGAGCTCAAGGTATGGTACCAACTTGCCCACATTCAAATGTTAATTCTATTACTTGCTAGTTACGGGACCTTACTCAGCAGGTATGCCTCTTCTTTTTGTTTTTGGTTTTTTGTTTTTGTCTTTTTTTTTTTTTGAGATAGAGTCTTGCTCTGTTGCCCAGGCTGGAGTGCAGTGGCACTATCTTGGCTCACTGCAACCTCCGCCTCCTGGGTTCAAGAAATACTCCTGCCTCAGCCTCCTGAGTAGCTGGGACTACAGGCGCCGTCCACCACGTCCGGCTAATTTTTGTATTTTTAGTAGACATGGCCTTTCACCATATTGGCCAGGCTGGTCTCGAAGTCCTGACCTTGTGATCCTCCCGCCTCAGCCTCCCAAAGTGCTGGGATTACAGGCATGAGCCACCGCGCCCGGCCTTAAGTGTCTTCTTCTTTTGTAAGATGAGGATGATTATAATAGCTGTTTTATGGGGTTGTTGTGAGCATTAAATACATTAAGATACATGGAACTCCTAGAATAGTACCACTGAAGCATACTGTCATTCAGCAACCTGAGTATTAAAAAAAAAAAAAGTATTTTAAAAACACAAACCAGAATTTGTTTCTGCTTAAAACTAATGTTTTGGCCAGGTGTGGTGGCTGACACTTGTAATCCCAGCACTTTGGGTAGCTGAGGTGGGAGAATCTCTTGAACTCAGGAATTCAAGTCCAGCCTGGACATGCAGTGAGATCACTATACTACAAAAAATAAAAAAATTAACCTGACATGGTGGCACACAACGTTAGTCCCAGCTACATGGTAGGCTAAGGTGGAAGGATTTCTTGAGCCTGGGAGTTTGAGGCTGCAGTGAGCCATGATGGCACCACTGCACTCTAGCCTGGGCAACAGAGCAAGACCCTGTCTCAAAAAATAAAAAACAAAAACTAGGGTTTTGTGTGAGTGGGTTATTCAGATGCTGTGTGTGATGGGTGCTGAAAGACTTTCTACTCAAAAATAGCTCCTTCCTAGGCAACTATTGAAGCTTGACAGTCTGCTTTTCCAGAGCCAGCCCTGTAACCACTGCCTCCCCAATTCTGGAGACAGCCCTCAGCAATAACCTATTTTTACCCACAGGTGGTGTCTGAGATTAATTGGACTGGCAGCCCTGTACTTCCACTACTTCCGCATTCCTGTGCTAGCTTTGGGACCCTAGTACCCACCCTCTAAGTTTCATCCTTCTCATAACCTTCTGTGCTTGCACAGGTTGTATGTCCCTAGACTTTCACTGCAGTGTCTGCTTTAGGCACCAGGATCCTCTACAGGAAGTAGAATCTTTCCTGACTACAAACTTATTGGATGTGGCTATTCATTATATGTTTAAGTTTTGCCACTTTTCTTTCCCTGGGGTTGGACTGAGTCTTCATCACATATAATTGATCTGGGTCCTATTGGAGCTAGACAGACCACCCAATACTGCCATTTACCTAACTCTGAATAACATCTTCCTGCCAGGAGACGCCTGCTGATATGCCCTGCCTGCCAGACTAGAATTCCTTGGGTATTGTGGGGGCTTATGCCCCCTCAATTTAGACATACGTGATTGGGCAAATTCCATGGTGCAGATTTTATTTTGCCACAAAAACATATAATAGGTCTATTTCCTCTCCTAGCCCTGTCCCTCCATAAGTGTTCACACATGGTAAACTGACCAGGAAAGGCTCTAATCCTCCATCCCTTACCCCAAGAGGGCTGCAAGTCAGGTAAGCAGCTCAAGAATTCAAATATGCCGGGTACAGTGGCTCATGCCTGTAATCCCAGCACTTTGGGAGGCCAAGGCAGGTGGATCATGAGGTCAGGAGTTCGAGACCAGCCTGACCAACATGGTGAAACCTCGTCTCTACTAAAAATACAAAAAAAAATTAGCCGGGCATGGTGGCAGGGGCCTGTAGTCCCAGCTACTCGGGAGGCCGAGGCAGGAGAATCACTTGAACCCAGGAGGCGGAGGTTGCAGTGAGCTGAGATCACGCCACTGCACTCCAGCCTGGGTGAAAGCGAGATTCCGTCTCAAAAAAAAAAAAAAAAAATTCAAACATATGCCCACATACTATTTATCTATATATGTGTAAAATGTAAACCAAGTTAACAGACTGTTTAATAAAATCTATCCTCTTTCCATGGAAAATATACCTTCAGAGCAATAAAACTGAAATGTATATAAAGCTGTGGTTTTTCATACAAACAGAAATTGGCAAATTTTTTTTTCTTTTTTGAGACAGAGTTTCGCTCTTGTTGCCCAGGCTGGAGTGCAATGGCATGATCTCAGCTCACTGCAAACTCTGCCTACCGGGTTCAAGCAATTCTGCCTCAGCCTCCCGAGTAGCTGGGATTACAGGCTAATTTTGTATTTTTAGTAGAGATGGGGTTTCTCCATGTTGGCCAGGCTGGTCTTGAAGCCCTGACCTCAAGTGATCTGCCTGCCTTGGCCTCCCAAAGTGCTGGGATTATAGGCGTGAGCCACTGCACCTGGCCAAAATTGGCAAATTATTAGATGACTGAATTTAGTTATTATTGCACATTTGCCATCTAATTGTTATTGTCTGGATAGTCTATTAATAAGTGATATAATGAAGACCATAATAATTCATAAATTTTTATGAATTTATTTCATGAGGTTCATTTCAGCGAATCACCAATTATTTTTTATTATTTTATTTAGAGCCAGGGTCTTGCTCTGTCACCCAAGCTGGAGTGCAGTGGCACAATCATAGCTCACTGACTGTAGCCTCAAACTCCTGTGCTCAAGCAATCCTCCTGCCTCAGCTTGCTGAGAAGCAGAGACTACAGTCAAATGCCAACATACCCAGGTAATTTTTTTTTTTTGAGATGGAATCTCACTCTGTCACCCAGGCTGGAGTGCAGTGGCATGATCTTGGCTCACTGCAACCTCCACCTCCCAAGTTCAAGCGATTCTCCTGCCTCAGCATCTCGAATAGCTGAGATTACAGGCACGTGCCACCACACCCGGCTAATTTTTTATATTTTTAGTAGAGACAGGGTTTCACCATGTTGGCCAGGCTGGTCTCGAACTCCTGACCTTGTGATCCACCAGCCTCGGCCTCCCAAAGTGCTGGGATTACAGGCGTGAGCCACCACGCCCAGCCAATATTTTGTATTTTTTATAGAGATGGGGTCTCTCTGTGTTGCCTAGACAGGTCTTGAACTCCTGGCCTCAAGCAGTCCTCCTGCCTCAGCCTTCCAAGGTGTTAGGATTACAGGCATGAGTCACTGTGCCCAGCCAATTATGTTGTTATAATCAAGATTTTAACAAAATTTGTATGTTAATGATAACCATGATCTAAAAGATTCAAAACTAATGTTGGGCACAGTGGCTCATGCCTGTAATCCCAGCACTTTGGGAGGCTGAGACGGGTGGATCACCTGAGGTCAGGAGATCGAGACCAGCCTGGCCAATGTGGTGAAACTCCATTTCTACTAAAAATACAAAAATAAGCCAGGCATGGTGGCGGGCTCCTGTAATCCCAGCTACTCGGGAGGCTGAGGCATGAGAATCACTTGAACCCGAGAGGCAGAGGTTGCAGTGAGCCAAGATCGTGCCACTGTACTCTACCCTGGGCGACAGAGCAAGACCCTGTTTCTAAAAAAAAGAAAAAAAAAAGATTCAAAATAAAATGTAACTGCATTCAAAGTATACAAAATTTGAGTACATTTGAATCAACAATTATAAATTAAATATACAAATACAGCTTGAGGTTGAGTGCATTTGGGTACAGGCAATCTCACACCTGTAATCACAGCACTTTGGGAGGATGAGGCGGGATGATCACTTGAGCCCAGGAATGATATAATAAAGATAATAATAATTCATATATTTTGTATATTTGTTTTCTGGTGTTCATTTGAGCAAATCATCAATTATTTATTATCATTATTGTTGTTGTTTTAGAGTCAGAGTCTTGATCTGTCACTCAGGCTGGAGTGCAGTGGCACAATCATAGCTCATTGCACCCTCAAACTCCAGGGCTCAAGCAATCCTCCTACCTCAGCCTCTAGAGTGCCAGAGACTATGGTCCATGCACTAGGCCCAGCTAATATTTTGTATTATTGTGTTCAATATCTATTTTCCCATATAAAAAATTGATGTCAGGCCAGGCATGGTGGCGTGCACCTATAGTCTCAGCTACTTGGTAGGCTGAAGACGGAGGATCACTTGAGGCCAGGAATTTGAGGCTGTAGTGCATTATTATGATTGCACTTGTGAATAGTCACTGCATTCCAGGCTGGGCAATATAGCAAGACCTCATCTCTAAAAAGATTTTTTTTAATTGTTGTCATGGTTAATATTGTATCTAAACCTATGCAATAGCTGGCTACGATGGTTAACACTGAGTGTCAACTTGATTGGATTGAAGGATGCAGAGTATTGCTTCTGGGTGTGTCTGTAAGGGTGTTGCCAAAGGAGATTAACATTGAGTCAGTGGACTGGGAGAGGCGGACCCTCCCTCAATCTGGGTGGGCACCATCTAATCAGCTGCCAGCACAGCTAGGATAAAGCAGGCAAAATTTGGAAGGACTTGACTTGCTGAGTCTTCCGGCCTTCATCTTTCTCCCACGCTGGATGCTTCCTGCCTTCATCTTTCTCCCACGCTGGATGCTTCCTGCCCTTGAACATCAGACTACAAGTTCTTCAGCTTTTGGCCTCTTGGACTTACACCAGTGGTTTTCCAGGGGCCTTTAGCTGCAGACTGAAGGCGGCATTGTTGGCTTCCTTACTTTTGAGGTTTCGGGACTCTGACTTCCTTGCTGCTCAGCTTGCAGGTGGCCTATTGTGAGACTTCATCTTGTGATCATGAGTCAATAATAACTCCTTAATAAACTCCCCTTCATATATACATCTATCCTATTAGTTCTGTGCCTGCAGAGAACCCTGACTAATACACCAGCTTCTAAGATGGCTTCCAATTGTCCTTGCCTCCTGGTATTCATACCATTGTATAGTCTACTGCCACACTGATTCAGGGCTGTTCTGTATGACCAATAGAATATGGTGGAAAAGATGCTGCATGACTTCCAAATCAAGATAATAGAATTCATTGAAGCTTCTCTCTTAATCTGGGATTGCCTGCTCTGGGGGAAGCTGGCAAGCATGAAATGAGAACATTCAAGCAGCTCAAGAAGAGAGGCCCACATGCAGAGGAACTGAGGCTTCCTGCCAACAGCCAGCACCAACTTGCCAGATATGACAGTGAGTCATTTTGGAAGTAGATTTTCCAGCCTCAGTCAAACTTTCAGATAACTATAGACTTAGTTGACATCTGACTACAACCTCATGAGACATCTAAAACCAGAATATTGCAGCCAAACGACTCCTGAATTTCTGATGATCAGAAATGGTGAGAGATGATAAATGATTATCGATGTTTTAAGACACTAGGTTACAGGATAATTTTGTCATGCAGCATTAGATAATGAACATAACTCACACATATTCATATATAAGAGTAAAATGAATTTTTTTCGTTGCAAAATGTTTCTCAGCTGCCATTGCAACTACTGCAAATAAAACACCAATTCATGAATAGCTCCAGAGCCACACATTGAAACATGAGTAAAAGCAGGACAAATACATTTTTATTCTATTGTGAACCAATGCTTTTTTAGTGAAAGAATTTACTGCATTCATGCTGTTGAGAAAAAAAAAATCTGAAAGGTAAATTAATTTGTCTTTTCTTTTACTTAAGAACTTTTGTTACTCAAATCCTCCCCACAGCACAGAGCATCATCTCTCTCCAATGTCAGCAGCAGCACCCCATAAATCTGTCAGCATTCTTTTTTTTTTTTTTTTTTTTTTGAGACGGAGTCTTTCTCTTGCCAGGCTGGAGTGCAGTGGCGTGATCTCGGCTCACTGCAACCTCCACCTCCTGAGTTCAAGTGACTCTCCTGCCTCAGCCTCCTGAGTAGCTGGGACTACAGGCGTGCACCACCATGCCCATCTAATTTTTGTATTTTTAGTAGAGAGAGGGTTTCACCATGTTGGCCAGGATGGTCTCGATCTCCTGACGTCGTGACCCGCCTGCCTTGGCCTCCCAAAGTGTTGGGATAACAGGCGTGAACCACCGCACCCGGCCAATCTGTCAGCATGTAGAGGCAGTTGTGTTGTTTCAAGCACATGGCACAAGAGATGCAGAATGGGGACAGAATGGGCCCTGGGGCCTGAACACTGTTGGTCAGAAGAATGGATATTTAGGGCCTGGGTTCTAGTGCACTGAACACTGGATCCCAAGTGCCAGAGGCACTCGTGTGTTCTTTAACAAATACACGTGCCTTTGTGATATGTGAGGTTGTCTAAAGTGCAGGGCCCAGGGCAGAGGCCACCACTCACCTGGGCCTAAAGCTGGTACTGCAAGTGGACTCATTGTCCAGGTTCTGTGAAAAAAAGAATAATAGAGTGAAGAAGATAAACAGGATTGGCTGTATTGAGGAAATCAATGTTTTCATATGCCCTGAGCAGCAATTATTAGCCTTGACATTGACTGTTGCATACCATTTGGGGAACAGAGAAATCTCCTTTCCCCTGACTCCATGTCTAATCTTCCTGGCCTTTCTCCACCTCGTTCACTTACTGGTCCCTAAAGGAGCAGCAAAGGATTTGAATGGAGAGTTTGGGAGAAGGAGCTGAGCACGCTCAGGTTCTTCCTCCTTTTCTCTTTGAGTATTGCCTGTCTGCAGGGTACACAATCTGCTCTGCTTTTCCATGAGGTTGTCCACTACTGCCTGCAATGAGGCAGGTAAGTTCGATTCACGGGTGAGATGATAGGTAGCCCACTTGGCTAACACACCTAATCAACATCCTTCGACTGCTTTTCACAGCAGTAGAGGTGATAGTTTTTGCTCTCCTGTTGCCTTACTCTTTCACGTCTCTCTCAGTTGGTTCCATATATGGACATGAAACAGGGATATCATTCATTGGGCCCTCTAAATCCTAGCATGCAAGGTGGATGAGGTTCACGAGGGCATATGGTTTGAATATTGTACTTCTTTCATAGATGGGGCCACGTTTGGGCACAACCTTTAACTAATTCTCCATAACACAATTTAAACCATGGTTTCACTGGAGGCTCAGGGAGGGAGTGGAAAACAGAAAATAACTTGTAACTATGGCTCAAGTCCAGATATTCCCTGGGAGTCTCTGGCCAAGTTAGCTCTCTGCCTGGCTCTTGCACCATTATAATTAGTCTGAAGCAGCTCGCGCTGTCCCCGCAAACCTACTTTGCCATTGCAATCTCTAGCATCTCTGCCTCAGAATCTAGACCCTCCCAACCAGCCAGACCATTCTGAGTGCCATGGAGAGGAGGAAGACCATCTCTCCTCTGAGCCACAGCTCACCTCTCCAAATCCTCAATTATTGTCCTGGAACTGACCTCTTTCCAAATTGAGTGACAGTGGGAACATATTTTTCTTTCAGAGAAAAATTCATTGCCATATATAAGTGTGAATTCTGGCCCTATAGTTGTTTTGTTTTTTTGTTTGTCTGTTTTTTGTTTGTTTGTTTTTTGTTTTGTTTCTTTTTTTGAGACGAGGTGTTGCTCTGTCACCCAGGCTGGAGGGCAGTAGCACAATCTCGGCTCACTGCAACCCCTGCCTCTCAGGTTCAAGTGATTCTCCTGCCTCAGCCTCCCGAGTAGCTGGGATTACAGGCACCCACCACCACACCTGGCTAATTTTTGTATTTTTAGTAGAAGCAGGGTTTCACCATGTTGGCCAGGCTGGTCTCGAACTCCTGGCCTCAGGTGATCTACCCATCTTGGCCTCCTAAAGTGCTGGGATTACAGGCATGAGCCACCACACCCAGCCCCTGTGGTTCAGCTTACAATGCAGTGTGAAAGTGCATTTTTCAAAAGTCTGGGCTATGTAGTGTTAAATAACATCATGGATGAAAAAACATTTGATAATCCACAGGGAACTGTATCAAGCCTCGTCTAGTTCCTTTCTTTCCCTTTCTTTCTGCTTGAAGACTTTAGGCCTAAATGTTTTCTTTTTTTCGGTGTTTTTTTTATTTTTTGAGACACAGTCTCGCTGTCACCCGGGCTGGAGTGCAGTGGCGTGATCTCGGCTCACTGCAACCTCCACCACCTGGGTTCAAGTGATTCTCCTGCCTCAGCCTCCTGAGCAGCTGGGATTACAGGTGCCCACCACCACACCCGTCTAATTTTTGTATTTTTAGTAGAGGCAGGGTTTCACCATGTTGGTCATGCTAGTCTTGAACTCTCAACCTCAGGTGATCTGCCTGCCTGGGCCTCCCAAAGTACTGAGATTACAGGCGTGAGCCACCGCACCTGGCCTTTTTTTTTTTTTTTTCCAAAGACAGGATCTTGCTCTCTCACCCGGGGTTAAGTGCAGTGGTGCAATCATGGCTCATTGCAGCCTCAACCTCCTGCCTCAACCTCCTGAGTAGCTGAGACCATAGGCACATGCCACCACACCTGGCTAATTTTTCTTAAAAAGTGGTTTTTTTTTTTTTTGGCCAGGCACGGTGCCTCACGCCTGTAATCCTAGCATAAAATCCCAGCCAAGGCTGACGGATCAAGAGGTCAGGAGACTGAGACCATCCTGTTGCTCAGGCTGGTCTCAAGCTCCTGACCTCAAGTGATCCTCCCACTTTAGCCTCCCAAAATGCTGAGATTACAGGTGTGAGCCAGCACCTACCCACAGATGGCTATCTTATTGTATACTCACATGGTGGAGAGCAGAGAAAGAGGATGTTTTCATGTGTCTTCCTCTAAGGGGACTAATACCACTCATTAGGGTTATGACCTAATTACTTCCCAAAGTTTCCATCTCCAAATACCATCACATGAGGGATTAGGGTTTTAACATACAAATTTTGGGGAGACACAAACTTTCAGTCATTAGCAATCAGATATCCTTGACCAGATATTCCTAAGCTCATTATTTACCAGGTGTGTAAACAGGCCTATGGAAATCAGAAAATGAGACAGGAATGAAAGAGGTTTATTGGTAAATTTAGTCTGTGAGAGATAAAAGAGGTAGTAAGCAGGATGGGGCAGAGAGAGACTTGGGACATTGCAGATTTGACAAAGTCTCAGTCAGTTCAGCAGGGAGCTCCACAGCAAAGATTGTTAGAAGAGGCCAGCTTTGGGCAGAAATGACCAGTCCTACTTACCCTTGCCATGCACGATTATTGTCTGGGGCTGCCCATGAAAAGCATGGCCTCAAATTGAAAGCTGAGGTGAATAAGCTCACTCACTCACTTCCTTCCTTCCTTCCTTCCTTCCTTCCTTCCTTCCTTCCTTCCTTCCTTCCTTCCTTCCTTCCTTCCTTCCTTCCTTTCTCTCTCTCTCTCTCTTTCTCTTTCTTTCTTTCTTGACACAGAGTTTCACTCTGTTGCACAGGCTGGAGTTCAGTGTCATTATCTTGGCCCACTGCCATCCCCACCCCCCGGGTTCAAGTGAGTCTCCTGCCTCAGCCTCCCAAGTAGCTGAGATTCTCCATATTGCCCAGGCTGGTCTTGAACTCCTGACTTCAAGTGATCTTCCTGCCTCGGCCTCCCAAGGCCTCCCAAGTGGCATGAGCTACTGTGCCGAACCCAGCATCACTCTTAAAATACACACCTAGGCCAAGCGCAGTGGCTCACACCTGTAATCCCAGCACTTTGGGAGGCCAAGGCAGGCAGATCACCTGAGCTCAGGAGTTTGAGACCAGCCTGGCCAACATGGCGAAACCCTGTCTCTACTAAAAATACAAAAATTAGCCAGGCATGGTAGTAGGTGCCTATAGATAGACCCAGCTACTCTGGAGGCTGAGGCACAAAAATCACTTGAACCTGGAAAGCAGGGATTGCAGTGAGCCCAGATACAGCCTGGGCAATAGAATGAAACTCCGACTCCGAACAAAAAAAAGATATACATCTAAGCTGTTGACATCATCTTCAAGGTCCTGAGGATCACTCCCATCTCCCTCTTCAGCCTAAGTTCATTCCCTTCACTCAACTGTGATCGAACACAGTGGTCTTCCTTCTATTCCTAGAAAACGTCCCTTGTTTCTCCCTTTCACAGGGTTTTGTATATGCATTTGCCTCGGCCTGGGGACTTTTTCGAATCCATTCTATGTCTGAGAAATTCTGCATGACCCAGGTTGGTGTGTGTTTGCTTGTTTTTCCTTATTTAACATAGTCTAAATTTCCATCAATTAATGCAATTCTTCTTTTTAAAAATTAAGCAAAATAGCTGAGTGCAGTGGTTCATGCCTGTAATCTCAGCACTTTGGGAGGCCAAGGCAGGCAGATCATGAGGTCAGGAGTTCGAGACCAGCCTGGCCAACATAGTGAAACCCCGTCTCTACTAAAAATACAAAAAAATTAGCCAGGTGTGGTGGCGGGTGCCTATAATCCCAGCTATTTGGGAGGCCGAGGCAAGGAGAATCGCTTGAACCTGGGAGGCAGAGGTTAAAGTGAGCTGAGATTGCACCACTGCACTCCAGCCGGGGTGACAGTGTGAGACTCCGTCTAAAAAAAAAAAAAAAGAAAAAAAAATTAAGCAAAATATAGGTCAGAGGGCAGAGCTTTTATTAAAATAAAATTTTAGGCTGGGCGCAGTGGCTCATGCCTGTAATCCCAGCACTTTGGGAGGCTGAAGGCAGGTCACGAGGTCAGGAGATCTAGACCATCCTGGCCAACATGGTGAAACCCCGTCTCCACCAAAATACAAAAAATTAGCTAGGTGTGGTGGCATGCACCTGTAATCCCAGCTACTTGGGAGGCCAAGGCAGGAGAATAGCTTGAACCCGGGAGGTGGAGGTTGCAGTAAGCCGAGATCACTCCACTGCACTCCAGCCTGGCGACAGAGCGAGACTCTGTCTCAAAAAAATAAAAAATTAAAAAAGTAAAAATTTAAAACATATACAAAGTATAAATAGGCATCTAAAATACTGAAGGAAAATATTATCACACAAGTCACACATAGAAAAAGTTGGAGACTGGGTGCGTTGGCTCACTTGTGTAATCCCAGTACTTTGGGAGGCTGAGGTGGGTGGATCACTTGAGGTCAGGGGTTCAAGACCAGCCTGGCCAACATGGTGAAACCCTGCCTCTACTAAAAATACAAAAATTAGCTGGGTGTGGTGGTGGGTGCCTGTAATCCCAGCTACTCGGGAGGCTGAGGCAGGAGAATTGCTTGAAGCTGGGAGGCGGAAGTTTCAGTGAGCCGAGATCGCGCCACTGCACTCCAGCCTGGATGACAGAGCAAGATTCCATCTCGAAAAAAATAAAAAATAAAAATAGAAATTTACCTTCGGAGCCTGTTTCATGAAAAAGTTAAAAAAAAAAATCTTTCCTCACAGTTCTAGAGCCTGGAAGTCTGAGACCAGGATGCCAGCATGATGGTCAGGCTCTGGTGAGCGCTTCTTCCTGGCTTCCAGTTGGCTGCCTTCTCACTATGTCTTCACATCGCACAGAGCGAGAAAGAGAGAGATCTCTTCCTCTTAGAAAGCCATTCTTTTCCGATTAGGAACCTACCGTTATGACCTCATTTACCCTTAATTATCTCCTAAAAACCCTATTTCCAGATACAGTCCCATAAGGATTAAGGCTTCTCCATATGAATTTGGGAGGAGACACAAGTCAGTTCATAGCAGGAACCATGAAAAAAATCATTAATACATAATATTCTGTGAAAAAAAAGCAGAATACAAATTGATAAAATTGGACTCTAATTTCTGGCAGTACAACTAACTGTATATCCTGAAAAACTTTTTCCTATAAAACATCTAGAAAATATAATGAATGAGGTGGAGTTTTTTGGGTTTGTTTGTTTGCTTGTTTGTTTTTTGAGAGAAGGTCTTTCTCTGTCATCTAGGCTGGAGTGCAGTGGCGTGAACACGGCTGACTGCAGCCTCAATCTACTGGGCTCAAGTGATCCTCTTTCCTCAACCTCCTGAGTAGCTGGGACCAGACATGTACCACCATGTGCCACCACGCCTGGCTAATGTTTTTTTTTTTTTTTTGTATTTTTAGTAGAGACGGGGTTTCACCGTGTTAGCCAGGATGGTCTTGATCTCCTGACCTCGTGATCCACCCACCTCGGCCTCCCAAAGGGCTGGGATTAACAGGCATGAGCCACCGCACCTGGCTGATGCCTGGCTAATGTTTTTAAATTTTTTGTAGAGATGGGGTTTTGCCATGTTGCCCAGGTGGTCCTGAACTCCTGGGCTCAAGCAATCCTCCCTCCTTGACCTCCCAAAGTGTTGGGATTACAGATGTGCGCCACTGCATTCAGCCAAATGTTCTTTTAAATATGTAGCTGAACTTTTGCAAAAGAAAGAAATATCTGTAAGGGAAAGGAGGTGGCAAGAGAAAGAAGAGTGAGAACATTAATAATTGAAAATTGTTATTATTGGCCGGGTGCGGTGGCTCATGCCTGTAATCCCAGCATTTTGGGAGGCCAAGGCAGGCAGATCACCTGAGGTCAGGAGTTCAAGACTAGCCTGACCAACATGGAGAAACCCCATCTCTACTTAGAAATACAAAATTAGGCCAGGCATGGTGGCTCATGCCTGTAATCCCAGCCCTTTGGGAGGCGGAGGCAGGCGGATCACGAGGTCAGGAGATAGAGACCATCTTGGCCAACATGGTGGTGAAACCCCGCCTCTACTAAAAAAATACAAAAAATTAGCTGGGTGTGGTGGCGCATGCCTGTAATCCCAGCTACTTGGGCGGCTGAGGCAGGGGAATCGCTTGAACCCGGGAGGTGGAGGTTGTGGTGAGCCGAGATTGCACCATTGCACTCCAGCCTGGGCCACAAGAGCGAAACTCTGTCTCAAAAAAAAAAAGAAAAAGAAAAAGAAAATTGCTATTATTAACAATTTGAATTGTAAATAATAATTGAAAAATTAAATGACGTGTATACAGGTGTTCTTTAAACTATTCTTTGACTTTGCTGTGGGCTTGAAAATTTTCAAATAAAAAAATCAAAGTAAAACAGCAACAAAAATGACAACAATATAAACCTCAAATTCTGAACACAATATCACATAAGACAGGAGGAGGATGAAGGGGTGGCCAAGTTAATGAATTTCAAGGCCCTATATTCTGCAAAAGGGGTAGTGATAACTACTTTTTGTAGACAGAAATAGAGAAGCTATACATATTTTCTTTTTAAAAATTTCATGCTTTCATCTGAGATATTTTCAGTTTCTAAGTGTGACTTCATAATTTTTAATGTCTTGTTAGTCCCAAAGACATTAGACGTGCTTATACAAATATTTCTAAAAGTGGTAAAAAATATATTCAGAAAGATGTTTATCTCAGCATTGCTTATAGTAGCTTCACAAATTGTAAATGACCTAATTGAGGACTGGCTAAGTGAATTATGATACATATATTTAGAGTTATTCTGTGAAATCATGAATAATGATATTTCTTCATATTTATTGACTTAGAAAAATTTCATGCTTGTGATTGAGTAAAATAGGTTACAGAATGCATATATGAGCTCTTTATATAAAATCATTTTACTATATCTGTAATTATGACCATGGTTGTCTCCGGGTAATAATACTCCAGGTGATTTTTACTTTGTACTTTATACTTTTCTGTATTTAGATTGGTTTAAATGGGCATGTTTCATTAAAAAAATTAAAGCTATGCTTAAATATAAATGCTAAAAAAATTCAAGGTTTTTTTGTTCTTTCTATTTCCCCCTGGGCTCTATCCATTAGCAAAGAAGTCTATGAAATCATTGCACCTGGAAGCAAAGGGCAAGCAAGGAAAGAGCAGACCATGGTTGTACTTTTTCCTCTTTTGTAAGCAGTTGAGCTCCTGCAATCTGTAGTAGGACTTTAGTATATACGCAAAAAAAATCTGTTGTTTTCTTCTTGTCTGGTAGTTTGGAAGATGTGGTCTATTGCTGCCTGACAAGGAGATACACAGAGAAAGGGGTCATCATTTCCCTGGTTGATTTGAGTAAAAAAAAGATTCCCTAGGGCTCAGCTACCACTAGGGATTAGAAAAGCAGCTGTGATCAAATAAGTACCCAAAGGCTATGGAACTTAATATCAAAGAATTCTTCTCAATCCCAGTACTCAAGATGACTTCTCCCTTCACATTTTTTTAACATTCCACCCAATTCATCTACCAGAATACTTTTTAGTTCCTTTCTCAGCAACTCATTTTCATTTTCTCTAAACCTTGCACTAGGGCACTGCTTCCATTAGGTTTTAGAAAAGTATGTAAGTGCACAGGTAAGCTTTTTCCTAGTTATGAGGCATGGGTACCTCCCAGGCTCAAAGACAAACCAAAGTTCTTAATGTTATGTAACCCACAGGCAAGGAAATGAATCTGAGAGTCTCTAAAGTATTTAATATTGAAATGTTTATCCTGACCCAAGTCACTTAGCCAAGCCTCCTATTTGTACAGTTATGAACATTTGTCCTTGGAGGTCCTCAAAATCCATTTTCAAAATAATCTAGATTTTTAAAATGTTAAAATCTTTGTTGAGAGTACAGGATAGCCACTCTCAAACACTGTTAAAGGGAGTATAAATTTGTATAATCTTTCTGAAAGACAATTTGATAAAAGGTATTGCTATGAACTGAATTGTGTCCCCCTACCACCCCTCACAAATTCATATGTTGAAGCCCTAACCCCAGTGCGACTATATTTGGAGACAGGGCCTTCAAAGAGGTAAATAAGGTTAGATGAGGTCAGAAGGTGGGGCCCTAATCTGATGGGACTGGTGTCCTTGAAAGAAGAGGAAGAGAAACCTGAGCTCTGCTTCTTCCCATGCACCCAGAGGCAAGGCCATATGAGGACACGCCAAGCAGGCAGACGTGTAAGAGCCAATAAGAGAGCCTTCACCAGAACCCGGCTTTTTGGTTAGAGCGTGCTCTGAATGCAGGACCTTGGTCTGTGTTCACAGTAATGAAGCGGATCTCAGAGTGGCCAACAGTGGCCCATGAGGCAGCCGAACACCTGCAGATCCAGGCTCTCTCTAATTCCTAACTATGAGGACTGTTTCTAATGTATTTGTTTCTTCATTTTTTCCATCCCCCAAATAGAAATATCTTGTCAAAAATGATTTTTAAAACAGTATATATGCACCCTATAAACAATTAGAATAATGCAAAAGTATGTGAACTAAAAAGACTGTCTGCTCCTGTCTACTCTCTGTTTCAGTATTCTTACATAAAAATGATACATCCTGGCTGGGTGCAGTGGCTCACGCCTGTAATCCGAAATTTGGGAGGCCGAGGTGGGCGGATCACTTGAGGTCAGGAGTTCAAGACCAGCCCAGCCAACATGGTGAAACCCCGTCTCTACTAAAAATGCAAAAATTAGCCAGGCGTGTTGGTGGGTGCCTATAATCCCAGCTACTCAGGAGGATGAGGCAGGAGAATTACTTAAACCCGGGGCGTGGAGGTTGCAGTGAGCCGAGATCGCGCCACTGCACTCCAGCCTGGGCAACAGAGTGAAACTCTGTCTAAAAAAAAAAAAAAAAAAAAAAGATACAGCCTATCCATAGTGTGGAATAACATGGGTCTTCACTCAATAACATATATTAGATGGCTTTCAATGTCCAACGTGTACTGGGTGTCTAAAAAGTTGGGAAATCTGGGATAAATTTATTTTATTTTAAAAATTGTGGTAAAATATTCATAACCTAAACTGTGCCATTGTAGCCATTTTTAGGCAAACAGTTCATTAAGTACATTCATAATGTGCAATCATCACTCCTAAGATAAACTTATTTTTAGACAGCAGATAATTTACATTTTCGAATAATATTCTCAATATATTTTTTCAACCTCCAGATACCATTTCAGGTAAAGGACCTTTACATTTAAAGCAATGGGTCCAAATGTTAATCGGAACAAACCAAAATAAATATACTATTTTCCTTGTATTTCCAAGGCTTGTGGACACTGTAGTGCTCGAGGCAGTCAGGAGGTGGAGAGAAGTGAACAGGGTTTCTGTAGTCTTAGCTCAAATACATAATGAATAATGAATATGTATATTGAATAATGAATAATGTATATGTAACTTTGGGCAAGTTAAGCTCTCTGTGTTCTATTATTGCTTGATTCTTCTTTCACCCTACATTGTAGTGATCTCCAGAGAGCTTTACTCTTTTCTTTACCCTGGTAAACACAGTTTTATAAGTTGTTTAAACAGAGACTTGCCTATGTGATAGAATTTAACAGATAGCAAAAGAACTACCCATGCAAACCAACTTTTGTAATAACCTGCCATGTTGCATGGCATTCCAACTTGACATCACTCCTCTTCAGAACCGGCCTCATGGGTGTGCAACCTGTGTGGCTGCACATGTCCCCATGCTTAGATGGGCCCTGTACTTGGTTTAGTGTTCTGCTGTTGCCATCTTAAAATACTTTTTTTTTTTTTTTGAGACAGTGTCTGGCTCTGTCACCCAGGATGGAGTGCAGTGGCATGATCTCGGCTCACTGCAACCTCTGCCTCCCGGGTTTAAGCGATTCTCCTGCCTCTGCCTCCTGAGTAGCTGGGACTACAGGTACCCGCCACCACACCCGGCTAATTTTTTTTTTTTTTTTGTATTTTTAGTAGACATGGAGTTTCACTGTGTTAGCCAGGATGGTCTCGATCTCCTGACCTTATGATCCGCCCGCCTCGGCCTCTCAAAGTGCTGGGATTACAGGCGTGAGCCACCGTGCTCGGCCAGCATCTTAAAATTCTTAATAATTTTTGAGTTAGTACACAAGGGGCCCTGCATTTCATTTTGCCTTAGGTGCCATAAATTATGTAGCCAGTCTTTTGGGTGAAAGCATTGTCTTCAGAAGGGTCTTTTTTTTTTTTTTTTTTTTTTTGAGAAAGAGTCTCGATTTGTCACCCAGGCTGGAGTGCAATGGTGTGATCTTGGCTCACTGCAACCTCCACCTCCCGGGTTCAAGCGATTCTCCTGCCTCAGCCTCCCAAGTAGCTGGGATTACAGGTGCCTGCTACCACACCTGGCTAATTGTTTTTTATTTTTAGTAGAGACCGAGTTTCGCCATGTTGGCCAGGCTGGTCTGAAACTCCTGACCTCAGGTGATCCACCCGCCTTGGCCTCCCAAAGTGCTGGGATTACAGGTGTAAGCCACCGCACCGGGTCCAGAAGGGCCTTATTTTAAGAGCAAACAATTTACCTGGAAAACATACCGTATTAATAATATACCAGTTAACACATTCGCATTTTATCACATTAATTAATGTGTTAATTAGTTAATTAAGAAATCAGCACTCTGAAGGATTGAAGCATAGAACCTCTGAATTTTTTTTTTTTTTTTTTTGAGATGGAGTCTTATGCCACCCAGGCTGGAGTGCAATGGCGCAATCTCCGGTTCACTGCAACCTCCGACCTCCAGGTTCAAGTGATTCTCCTGCCTCAGCCTCCTAAGTAGTTGGGATTACAGGCATGTGCCACCACGCCCGGCTAATTTTTGTGTTTTTGGTAGAGACAGGGTTTTGCCATGTTGGCCAGGTTGGTCTGGAACTCCTGACTTCAGGTGATCTGCCCACCTTGGCCTCTCAAAGTGCTGGGATTACAGGCGTGAGCCACTGCGCCCAGCCAAACCTCTGATTTTTGATGTGGAAAACCATCCTGACTAGGTTCACAACATGAATACTACCTGCCTCCCAGGGTCTCTGAGAGCATGGGTGGGAGGAGGTTAATGAAGTGCACTGAACACCAGAGGACTTGACATATTTTTGTTCAATGTCAGTACAAATAAAATGGGTGAATAAATGAATAAATCAATAAATGTTAGGTGCTAAGGGGAAGAATGGGGAAAACACAAGACTCAAATTTATGTGTGTGTGCGTGTGTGTGTATGTATGTATATATATATTCTATAAGGTATAGGCATACAAATTTAGAGCTCCATCCTAAAGTAGAAACTAAATGATTGCTTCCTATCTGAGCTACTTTGGCTTATGGTATGCACTATAAGAAAAGCCATGCCCTGGGTTGGGCGTGATGGCTCACACCTGTAATCCCAACACTTTGGGAGGCTGAGATGGGTAGATCACTTGAGGTCAGGAGTTTGAGACCAGCCTGTTCAACATGGTGAAACCCCGTCTCTAATTAAAAAAAAAAAAAAATTAGCTGGGCATGGTGGCACATGCCTATAATCCCAGCTACTTGGGAGGCTGAGGCAGGAGAATTGCTTGAACCCGGGAGGTGGAGGTTGCAGTGAGTGAGATCATGCCATTGCACTCCAGCCTGGGCAACAGAGTGAAACTCATGTCTCAAAAAAAAAAAAAAAAAGAAAGAAAAGAAAAAAAGAAAAACCATCCCCACTCTCCTAGTCACAGCAAATGGGATTAAGGACTGAAGCACAGGCTGAAGGCAGTAGCATAAAGCATGATGAGGGCCAGCTGGCTTTGCAGCACTCTGGCAGGCACTCTTGTCCAAGGATGATACTCTGCAATAAATGATGACAAGTCCACTCAAATAAAACATCTCTTTTGGGAAATATAAATACTAGATATACCAAGAAGAAGATGAATAGTTTTAGATAAGATTGCTGTTATGAATAAAGATCCTGGTTCCTGTAGTACCTTTTGCACAATCTCATGAAATATAATGCAGCTGGATGAGGCAATTTCCAGAGCTACCTGCCTTTCTTGAAACCCCAAATCCTTATATATCCTTGCAATACACTCTGTCATTGATGATAACCCATGTGTGTGTTCCTTCAATCTTAAACAAGCTAGCTAATTCAGAACACACTAATAATATTGCTATAACAAAAAATTTTACAGCCAGGCAGGCGTGGTACCTCACGCCTGTAATCCCAGCACTTTGGAAAGCCAGAGGTGGGCAGATTGCTTGAGCTCATGAGTTCGAGACAAGTCTGGGCAACATGTGAAACTCCATCTTTGCAAAAAATACAAAAACTAGCCAGGTGTGGTGGCGCACGCCTATAGTCCCAGCTACTTGGGGGGCTGAGGTAGAGGGATCATTTGAGCCTGGGAGGTTGAGGCTGCAGTGAGCCATGATCATGCCACCGCACTTGAGCCTGGGTGACAGAGCAAGACACTGTCTCAAAAACCAACAACAAAAATCCAAAACAACAAAAAACAAATCTTACATAGACCAGGTGAAAGCAACCCCAATGTGCATTAATGGATGAATGGATAAATAAAATGTGGTATATATATATACAATGGAATATTATTCAGCCTTCAAAAGGGAGAAAATTATGTCACATGTTACAACATGGATAAGTCTTGAGGACACTATGCTAGGAAAAATAAGCCAGTTACAAAAAGACAATTGGTGTATGATTCCACTTATATGAGGTATATAGAGTAGTAAAATTCATAGACGCAGAAAGTAGAGGGTGGCTGCCAGAGGCTGGGGGGAGGAGGGAATGGGGAGTTACTGTTTAATGGGTATAGAGTTTCAGTTTCGTAAGTTAAATAAGTTCTGAATATCTGTTGTACAACAGTGTGAACCTACTTAGCCCTACTGAACTGATTAACACTTAAAGTGGTTAGGATGGTAAATTTTATATTATCTTTTTTTTTTACCACAATTTAAAACATTTAAATTATTTACATTTATATTTATTTTATTTTATTTTTTGAGACTGGGTCTTGCTCTGTTCCCCAGGCTGGAGGGCAATGATGGGATCATGGCTCACTGCAACCTTGATCTCTTGGGCTCAAATAATCCTTCCACCTCAGCCTCCCAGGTAGCTGGGACCACAAGCTTGAGCCACTGTGCCTGGCTAATTTTTTAAAAATTTTTTTGTAGAGAGAGAGTCTCACTGTGTTGCCCAGGCTGGTCTTGAACTACTGGGCTCAAGTGATCTTCCTGCCTCAGCCTCCCAAAGTGCTGGATTTACAGGTGTGAGCCACTATGCCTGACTGCTTTCTTATGAAATTGTGGCTTTTACCAAAATATACACTTTAAGATTGCTAAAATGATGTTAACCATTATGTACTATACTTAACTACTTTCACAGTGGTAGAGCTCCCGACACTTTTGGAGGATGAAGCAGGAAGATTGCTTGAGGACAGTAGTTCAAGACAAGCCTGGGCAACATAGTGGGACCTTGTCTCTACCAAAAAAAAAAAAAAAAAAAAAAAAAACCAAGTATGATGGTGCACCCCTGTAGTCCCAGCTACTTGGGAGGTTGAGGATGGAGGATTGCTTGAGCCCAGAAGGTGGAAGCAAAGCTGCAGTGAGCCCTGATCATGCTACTGTGTGACAAAGTGAGACTCTGTTAAAAAAAAAAAAAAAGAAAGCAAACTTATCTCTTAACCATGAGAATCCTATTGTGAAAACTGTCAGAATCAAAATGGAGTCACTTTTGTTAAAAGAAAGAAAGAAAACAACAACAACCAAAAAAAAAAAAAAAAACAAAAAAAAAACCCAAAAAACCAAACCCTGACAAATAGCGCTAGGGAAGGCCGTGAAGGAAGTGTTTTCTCATGAATAAATGCTGGATGACAGAAACTATTACAAAAGACTCTGCAAAAACCACAATCTTGCACAAAGGCCATCATGCAGATGTTCTGTGAGGACATCTGCTCAGCAACTGCCTGTCCAACCTTGGATTGACGTCACCCTTGTTATTGATCTTTGTAGCCAAGGATAATTATCTCAAAACAATTATGTAATCCTTCTCATGTTTTCTTTAAAAACCTTTGTCTTTCTTTATGTGATGGTTAATATTAGGTGTCAACTTGACTGGATTGAGAGATGCCTAGATGGCTGGTGAAGCATTATTTCTGAAGGGTGTTTTCAGAGGAGATTGACATGTGAGTCAGTGGACTGTGAGAGGGTGATGCACACCCACCCACCCACCCTCAATGTGGGTGGGCACCATCCAATCTGCTGCCAGCGCGGCTAGAGCAAAGCAGGCGGGAGAAGGGATGTTCAGCTTGCTGAGCTCTCTCTCTCTCTCTCTCTCTCTCATTCTCCTTTCGCATGCCAGATACTTGCTTCCTTTCCTCCTGCCTTTGGACATCAGACTCCAGGATCTTCGCCTTTAGACTCTGGGACTTGCACCAGTGGCGTTCAGGGGCTCTTGGGCCTTTGGCCTCAGCCTGAGAGCTGCACTCTTGGCTTCCCTAGTTTTGAGGCTTTCAGACTTGGACTGAGCCACATTACCAGCTTTTCTCTTTCCCCAGCTTACAGAGGGCCTATTGTGGCCTATTGTGGGACTTTGCCTTTTAATTGTGTGAGCCAATTCTCCCTAATAAACTCCTGTTTTTACATACATATATCCTATTGGTTCTGCCCGTCTGGAGAACCCTAATACACTTTACTTTCCATGAATATGCATATTGTTTACTATGGCATGCATATTCCCACTGCAATGTCCTATTCCTGAATAAATATTTTCTTTTAGAGAGCCTCTCTCTGTTTATATATTTAGGTTGACATTATCTATAGGAATTACCACTTTTTGGGTATAAGACATAACCAAGACACCTTGGTTCCACTGTTGACAACATAGTTAAATTTGGTCAAGTGTCAAGGACACTTTACAAACTGAAACCTGTAAAGTGATGACTAATTTACCTTCACTTCTCACAGTGCGGATTGTCAGTTCTGGGAGTCTGCTTTGTCCATTTGAGTTTGGGTCATGGAGGACAGAAGTGAAGTCAAAGGCATGCTGAGGAAGGAACTCTGAGTGGCCATTCACAGTGTGTCCTTGACAGCACTTCCGTTCTCTATTTTATGAGTGTCTCTGCCCCACATGCTTCTGAACTAGCATTTTTACCCCTTCCCACCCAGTTATAGTCCGGTTAGAAGGAAATATGTTTTCCTCTGTTCCCCTCCACCACTGCAGCAAATAAAGAGAGGAGGCAATGGGAGTGTCATCAAAAAGACATGGTACAAATTTAAACAAGCATTCTCTTGTCAGAACAACTTTAAAAAATTTCAACATTGGTGTAACAAGATAGGTAGTATACCCTGTTTCAGGAGAAAGCAAGCAAACTTGGTTTTGTTGACCTATAAAAGACTGTTGACAGTCACTAAATCAGAAATATTAGGAATTTAAAAGATATTGGAAAATGAGACAAATCTTTTTCTTTTTTTTTTTTTTGAAACGGAGTCTCATTCTGTCACTCAGGCTGGAGTGCAGTGGCGCGATCTTGGCGCACTCCAACCTCCGCCTCCTGGGTTCAAGCAATTCTCCTGCCTCAGCCTCCCATGTAGCTGGGACTACAGGCACACGCTGCCATGCCCAGCTAATTTTTTGTATTTTAGTAGAGACAGGGTTTCACCATGTTGCCCAGGCTGGTCTCGAACTCCTGAGCTCAGGCAATCCGCCCACCTCGGCCTCCCAAAGTGCTAGGATTACAGGCGTGAGCCACCACGCCTGGCTGAGACAAATCTAATTTTCAGACATGCTGTTGTCAGGGTAATACAAATGAAGTCCTTTTGAATTCTACTAGGTTTGTTCCCAACAGTTTAAAGCTATTTCAGGCTGCTTGAGAATAACTTGCCTAGGTGTGTACTGAAAGATTTAAACAGAAGAGGGGCACCAAGTCAGAGAGCTTCAAACACCATGCTCACCAGAGGGAGGGGAGAGGGAGAGAGAAGATGGCATGAAGGGGAGGGAGAGGGAGAAAACTGAAGCAGAAGGATAGAGGGACAATTGGTGGATGAGAATTTATAATGAAACCCAATTGCAATTTGAAAAGGAAAACTGTAAGTCAGGAAGGAAGTGAATATTTGTGTGATTTCTCTTTCCATGCTGGAAAGCAACTGGGATTTGGTGCATAAGGTAGAATTTGTGAATGATGTTGCAAAGGAGGGGTGGACTTGAGAGGACTGAAAGAGGTAGACTGCATACTAAATATAAGTGCCAAGTGTAAACAAAGGAAAGAAGTAACTGAAAAGGTCCTTTCTGTGTTTCTTTTCTTTTATTCTTTTTTTTTTTTTTTTGAGATGGAGTCTTGCTCTGTCACCTAGGCTGGAGTGCAGTGGTGTGATCTCTGCTCAGTACAACCTCCACCTCCCGGGTTCAAGCGATTCTCCTGCCTCAGCCTCCTGAGTAGCTGGGATTACAGGCATGCATCACCACCTCCGGCTAATTTTTGTATTTTTTAGTAGAGACGGGGTTTCACCGTGTTGGCCAGGCTGCTCTGGAACTCCTGACCTCAAGTGATCCACCTGCCTTGGCCTCCCCAAAGTGCTGGGATTACAGGCATGAGCCACTGTGCCCAGCTCTGTGTTTCATTTTCTAAAGAAATGGACAAAAAGGCTGGACTATGAAGAAGCAAATAGTTTTTGTCTTACTGACATTTCCTTCCATTTTAATTTTTTTAACATGAAAGTCTTTCAATAAATTTTATAAAATTCTATTCTAGAAGGAAAAATATCATAGTTTATGCTTTTTTTCTACATTGGAAAATTACTTTTCAAATATTGTAGGTAAATTATTGGGAGGAGGGTCAGGAATTTAGTTTTTCCTGGTTAAATCAATAAAGTAAAACTTCATAACATGATAGAGCAAATTTTAGGGTCATACAGTTCAAAACAAATATTTCAATATCCCACTGTAAGAATAATTTCTTGATTTTTACATCTGAGATTTTCCTTCTCCAAGAGAACTGCCCACACTCTTCCCCACTGCAGGACATTTGAACAAGGGCTAAGCTCTTCCTGCTGTAAGAAAGCCTGTTCAGAGCAGCACTGTCCAGCAGAAATGGAGTGCCAACTCTGTGGGTAATTTTTAATGTTTTAGTAGTCACATTTTTAATTATTTATTTATTTATTTATTTTTTGAGATGGAGTCTCACACTGTCACCGAGGCTGGAGTGCAACAGCACAATCTCGGCTCACTGCAACCTCCACTTCCCAGGTTCAAGCGATTCTCCTGCCTCAGCCTCCCAAGTAGCTGGGATTACAGGTGCCTGCCACCACGCCCAGTTAATTTTTTGTATTTTTAGTAGAGATGGGATTTCACTATGTTGGCTAGGCTGGTCTCGAACTCCTGACCTCGTGATCAGCCTGCTTTGGCCTCCCAAAGTGCTGGGATTACAGGCATGAACCACCGCACCCTGCCTACATTTTTTAAAAAGTAAAAAGAAAGAGATGAAATTAATTTTTCAAGTATATTTTACTTTACTCAGTAATTCAAAATATTACCTGATATCAAGTCATCAATGAACAGTTATTAATAACCTATTTTACCTTCTTTTTTTAGTACTAAGTCTTTGAAATAAGGAGTATTTTACTCTTATAGCACATCTCAATTTGGACAAGCTACATTAAAAGTGCTCAAAAGCCACATATGGCTAAGTTGCTAGTGGACATCATACATCCAGAACGTATTTTTTGGTCATGGAAAAATACGCAACCAATCAGTTAAGCGGCAAATTTAATAATGTGTCTAAAATGCACAGCCATCTAATTTAAATAAGCCCAATTCTATGTTAACTTTTAAAATAATTTATTAACAGTTACTAAAATTACTGAATATCCTTTTCACTCCAAATGTTTACAGATTCCTTCCCCAGCCACCCACCTTTGGATATAAGAATAAGAAAGGAAAGTTTCAATGTGAAAGTAATTTTATTTTCATTTTCAACAAAATCATTAAACTACTTTTGATATATGTATCTGGGGATCAGGGAAGTCATTTGCACACTGTCTTTAGTAATTGCAAAGACAATATTCAAAAGCACTAAGGGTAAAAATCTGAGAGGCTGGTGTCTGAGGAATAGCAGTTGTTTTATAGCCTTAAAACAGAAGTACAGGAAAAAAATTTTAAGTGATTTACATTACTTTTGTAAATATTGAAATTATATTTTATAGTGACAATGCTATTATGCACATTTTTCCATACAGATCAACATAATGTTGCAATTTTTCTTTTAACTGCTACAGTTTCTCTATTCCAATAACTTAGTAGCATAGCTTCAAAATGCATTTAAAATTATTTTTTCCTTTCTCTCTAGTCTCAAGATGTAACCTTGAAGAAAACTATGGAAATTTTTTTTCCTTAGTCTTAAAATATAGCCATGAAGGCTGGGCGCAGTGGCTCATGCCTGCAATCCCAGCACTTTGGGAGGCTGAGTCGGGTGGATCACTTGAGGCCAGGACTTCAAGACCAGCCTGGCCAACATAATGAAAACCCGTTTCTGCTAAAAATACAAAAATTAGCCAGATGTGGTGGTGCACGTCTGTAATCCCAGCTACTCTGGAGGCTGAGGCATGAGAATTGCTTGAGCCTGGGAGGCCGAGGTTGCAGTAAGCTGAGATCGCGCCACTGCGCTGCAGCCTGGGTGACAGAGCAAGACTCTATATCAAAAAAGACAAAAGAAAAAAGCCAGGAGCAGTGGCTCATGCCTGTAATCCCAGCACTTTGGGAGGCTAAGGCAGGAGCATCATTCGAGGTCAGGAGTTCAAGACCAGCCTGGCCTACATAAAACCCTGTCTCTACTAAAAATACAAAAATAAGCCAGGAATGGTGGCACACTCCTGTAATCCCAGCTACTCAGGAGGCCGAGGCAGGAGAATCACTTGAACCCGGGAAGGGGAGGTTGTATTGAGTGGAAATCACAACACTGCATTCCAGCATGGGTGATAGAACAAGACTCTGTCTCAAAAAAAAAACTATATATATATATATATATATATATATCCATTAAGTGTACTTTAAGTTCCATGTTTCTCCTTTTGCCAGCATACACTCCCTTACACTGTGTACACTTATCTAACTATATGCTTGTTAAGAAATTCCAGGGGCTAATTTTAAAATGAACCCAGCATGGAAGCCCAGCTGCAGAATTTGCTCCCACTTAAAGACTGCCTCAAAATGGGTAATCTACAGTCTGGCCACATGGAGATGGCACCAGCGCATGCTCCAGGTAGACCACAACTCAGGACAGCTGTTAGAACAAGATATGCAGATCTGTATCCTGTGTTACTCTCGGATGTTTCCCATATAAAGGCTTGCCTTTTTAATCCCTTCCCTCAGCCTAACACTTGAAATGGTCATTTGGAGGCATCAGCCTTGCCATTTCTCATCTACTAGCATTTGGATAATAAAGCTGCTCTCCTTTCACTACATCTTTTTTTTTTTTTTTTTTTTTGAGACTGAGTTACCCTCTTGTTGCCCAGGCTGGAGTGCAATGGCGCCATCTCGGCTCACCACAACCTCCGCTTCCCAGGTTCAAGCAATTCTCCTGCCTCAGCCTCCCAAGTAGCCGGGATTACAGGCATGCACCACCATGCTCGGCTAATTTTTTTTTGTATTTTGAGTAGAGATGGGGTTTCTCCATGTTGAGGCTGGTCTCGAACTCCTGACTTCAGGTGATCCGCCCACCTTGGCCTCCCAAAGTGCTGGGATTACAGGCGTGAGCCACCTCGCCCGGCCTCCTTTCACTACATCTTACTTCTCATGTATTGACTTACAAGTGGTGAGCAACCGACTTGCATTTGGTTACATTCTTCTCTTCTTAAATAAATAAATACAAATGAGGCTACAATAGTCAGAGTTTTAAAATTTGGCACCAATAATCCGGTTGACCTTTTTTTTTTTATAAATCCAATTCTATTTTTAATTTTAACTACAATTTTATGCTTAGAATTGAATGAATTATTATTATTTTTTGAGATGGAGTCTCACTCTGTCACCCAGGCTGGAGTGCAGTGCACAATCTCAGCTCACTGCTACCGCCGCCTCCTGGGTTCCAGTGATTCCCCCGCCTCAGCCTCCTGAGTAGCTAGGATTACAGGTGCCCACCACCACACCCAGCTAATATTTGTGTTTTTAGTAGAGACAGGGTTTTGCCATGTTGGCCAGGCTGGTCTCAAACCCCTGACCTCAGGTGATCTGCCTGTCTCAGCCTCCCACAGTGCTAGGATTACAGGTGTGAGCCAATGTGCCTGGCCAAATTGAATGAATTATATGTGAATAATGTAGTAGTCAACTTTATTTGAAAAACAACATATTTTCTGAGTTGTATAAACTTAACTTTCATAAAATTTTAACATTTTTGAATTGTATGTAGTAAGTTTTGCCATCTCATGATGCTCTATGCAGGATGCTATGATTTATGAATCCATTGACCCTAACATTCTAAATAAGAAATTACTCAACATGCTTGTTTCCATTCCCCTCCCTCCACCCTAATCCTTTAGTTTGGACAGATACTTCTCTAATAGCAGGAATCTCTGGGTTAAATATGGTCCAGCACCCCTTCAGCTGGTTGCTCTGGCTTGAAATGAACTCATTGAACTTACATCTAAAAACCAAAGGGGTCAATCTAGAAAGAAATAATTGACTGTACTGTTCATCTGCTTGCCTCTGCTGCCACCTTAACATATCTCTTTTTTTTCAAGATGCTCTTTTGATAATAGCTATTTCATGGATTTGCTTTTTTTTGGTCAATATTCATACTGACCAACAATTTTTTAAATTTGTTACTTCATAAAAATAAAGAAAGAACACGAAGGAATTTCCTTGATAAAAAGAAGGATTTCCTATTTTTCTTTTAGAAGTTTCTTTAGGCCGGATGCAGTGGCTCATGCTTATAATCCCAGCACTTCGCAAGGCTGAGGATTGTTTGAGCCTAGGGGTTCCAGAGCAGCCTGGGCAACAGACTGAGACTCCATTTGAACAAAGGAAATTTTAAAAATAAATAAATAAATAAATAAAATAGAAGTTTATTTGCCCTGTACTTCAATCTGCCTAAAATCTTGCATACAATAAAATAATGTGTTGTTAAAAAAGTCAAGTTAAGATGCCCATCATTGTAAAAGATAACAAGTCATTGTTTCCTTTTTTTGGGCCCATCTTTTCTTCCTTTCTTCTTTCCTTCACTTTTTTCCTTTGCTTTTCTAA
This sequence comes from Homo sapiens, assembly GCF_000001405.40. Lineage (NCBI taxonomy): Eukaryota > Metazoa > Chordata > Mammalia > Primates > Hominidae > Homo > Homo sapiens. The sequence continues at coordinate 139,201,236 of NC_000004.12, read as the reverse complement.
TCTCCACTTAATTTAAATGCCACTGGATTCAGTAATGTCCAAGCAGTCTCTGAAAAGTTTGGGGCTCAAAAAGTCACCATACGTAAACTGCAGCAACTGTAACCTATCTATAAATTTGTGATTCTTCCCATTGAACTAGGATATCTGTAGACATTTAGAACCTTCATTGTATCCTCTACAAAACTCTCTCCAAGGTTGAATGGTTTAAGTGAGTCTACAAAATACATGCTATCCCTCTCCAGAAAGAAGTGGTCTACGCTCTCAGTGTAGTTTTCCATTTTCCCCTTTTGGACATTCCTTTTGAAGTAATGCTTATTTTTTTCTCCACCATTGTATATGTTGGTGCATTGAGAATATTCAGATTTATTGTTTATTTGTAGGTTGTAATGAAGTAAGGAAATTCATCCATCCTGACCATGAATTGACATGACATAAAGATTCTGGAGCTGGGACAAGAATACGGGTGGCCACATAGTGGCTAGACAAGGAAGTTTTGAAACTGTATGTATGGGATAAAGCGTATGTCTATGAGTGTGGGTGATGGCGGAGGGCGGTGTGCAGCCAAGGAACAAACTTTATTGAACATTTTTTTCCCTCTCTACATTTTTCTTTTCTTCTAGAAACAGCACTCCTGTTTTTGTTGAGAATTGATCCACTCTCACTCTATCCACAAGGTCCATGTGAGGATGTGGGTCTGAGGACTGTAACATCTCTTTTTAAACTTCAAGACTAGTCAAGTGTAGTAGTGAGAAGGAGGGAGAGAGGAGAACAAGAAGTTCGATCTATAACTGCCTCTGAACAATCAGTTGAGATATTAATAACTCACCAGCTTTGGACCAGCCAAGGCTTAACATCTCTTATGTAGCAAGCTAGGTTGAGAGAAAAAAACTGAAGCTATCAAGAGAAGCAGAGAACAATGCGGAGGGAGCAACCTGAAAATGAAAGGTTTTATTACAGTTGTCCTTGCCTGTCCCGTGGTTTGGTTTGTTTTTTTTCTTTTTAGAGACACGGTCTCAACTCTGTCACCCAGGCTGGAGTACAGTGACATAATAACAGCTCACTGCAAATTTGGTTCTTTTTTCTGTTCTTTTTTTTTTCTTTTTTTTTTTTTTTTTTGAGATGGAGTTTGCTTTGTCGCCTAGGCTGGAGTGCAGTGGCACAATCTCGGCTCACTGCAACCTCCACCTCCCAAGTTCAAGTGATTCTCGTGCCTCAGCCTCCCAAGTAGCTGGGACTACAGGCGTGTGCCACCACGCCTGGCTAATTTTTTGTATTTTTAGTAGACATGGGGTTTCACCATGTTAGCCAGGATGGTCTCAATCTCCTGACCTCATGATCTGCCCGCCTCGGCCTCCCAGTGTTGGGATTACAGGCATGAGCCACCGCATCCAGGCTGTTTGGTTCTTTAAAGTAAAAAAAATTCAATGACTCTTGTTAAAGGCAGACTTTATTCAAACCATCACCCTACATGTAGGGACTACTGCAATGCGATTTTTCAGTAGGGTACAGAGATTGAATTCAACTTCCAGTACAGCAAGGACAAGTAGAAATTTATAGCCAAGGAGAAGGGCGGGGGTCAGTGGGTTGAAAATCACTAAGAGGAAACATCAAGGGCAAGGGGGATTTTGGCTAAACTGACCTAACAGGATTCTTGCTGAAGACAGACCAGGGTGATCAGACATCCCTTGCAGGATGCTGAAAGATGAGGAACCCAATATGATATAGAAGTATCAGATATCCAGGGTGGGGGGTTCTTGCTTAACAGACTTAGCACAGTTCTTGCTAAAACTAGATTTCATAAGGAAGTACACAGATGAGCCTAGGAGAAGGTCCAGGAGTTTGAGGATTGGTCAAATAAATAATCTTTGTCAGGTTATGTGAGCCAATAAATTTACATCTTTGACTAAGCTGGCTCAAACTAATTTTTGTCACATGCCAGTAAGAATCCTGATAATTCAACGGGTAAAGTGAAAAATCTTCCTCCTTTTTTCTTTTTTTCCCCTAAAAGTGTAAGTGCCCAATAGGTTCTCCTTGCCTGCTGCCCAGATAGAGCCTATTTATTTATTTTGAAACGGAGTCTTGCCCTGTCACCCAGGCTGGAGTGCAATGCCATGATCTTGGCTCACTGCAATCTCTGCCTCCCAGGTTCAAACAATTCTCCTGCCTCAGCCTCCCAAGTAGCTGGGATTACAGGTGCCTGTCACCATGCCCAGCTAATTTTTTTTTTTAGTAGAGACTGGGTTTTACCATGTTGGCCAGGCTGGTCTCGAACTCGTGACCTCATAATCTGCCCACCTTGGCCTCCCAAAGTGCTGGGATTACAGGCATGAGCCACTGTGCCTGGCTGAGCCAATTTATGAAGACAGGGAAGTTTTAATAGAGAAAGAGTTTCATGTATGCAGAACCCACTAAACAGGAGACCAGAGTTTTATTACTCAGATCAGTCTCCTGCAAAATTTGGAGACTGAGTTTTTAAAGAATAATTTGGTGGGTAGGGGGTTAGGGAGTGGGAAGTGCTGATTGGTTGGGTTGGGGATGAAATCATAGGGGGTCAAAGCGGGTTCTTGCTGTCTTCCATTCCTGGGTGGGATCACTGAACTGGCTGAGTCAGATTACTGGTCTGGGTGGCACCAGCTGGTGCATTAAATGATGCAGACTTTGAAAAATATCTCAAACACTAATCTTAGTTCTTTCAATAGTTAGGCAATCCCTAGGAGCAACTGGAGAGGTTAGGAATCTTGTAGCTTCTGGCTGCATGACTCCTAAACCATAATTTCTAATCTTGTGGCTAATTTGTTAGTCTTACAAAGGTGTTCTGGTCCCCAGACAAGATGGGGGCTTGGTATGGGAAAGGGTTGTTATCATCTTTGTTTCAAAGTTAAACTATAAACTAAACTCCTCCTGCAGTTAGCTCAGTCTATGCTCAGGAATGAACAAGGGCAGTCTGGAGCTGTTAAAGGAAAGATGGAGTTGGTTAGATCTCTTTCATTGTCATCCCTTTTTCACTGTTATAATTTTTACAAAGGTGATTTCAAAGGTGCAATCACAGTTCTATTACCTTCATCACTAATTAATTTTCAATATACACTCTTCACACTGGGATACTATTGTGAGTGATCTCTGCATTAGGGAGGCTAGGGATTAATTTACTTTATAATTTTATTTTTCATTGTTTATTTCTTTTTTATTAGAAACGGGTCTCTCCATGTTGCCCAGACTGGTCTTAAGCTCCTGGGCTCAAGCAATCCTCCTGCCTCAACCTCCCAAAGTGCTGGGATTATAGGCATGAGCCATTGCACCTGGCCTACTTTATGATTTTAAGAGACATAGCTCGGCTGGGCGCAGTGGCTCACACCTGTAATCCCAGCACTTTGGGAGGCTGAGGCAGGTGGATCACCTGAGGTTAGGGGTTCAAGACCAGCCTGACCAACATGGAGAAACCCCATCTCTACTAAAAATACAAAATTAGCTGGGCATGGTGGTGCATGCCTGTAATCCCAGCTACTCGGGAGGCTGAGGCAGGAGAATTGCTTGAACCTGGGAGGCGGAGGATGCAGTGAGCCAAGATCACGCCATTGCACTCCAGCCTGGGCAACAAGAGTGAAACTCTGTCTCAAAAAAAAAAAAAAGAAGACATAGTTCATTCTCTTGCATTTAAAAACTTTTTCAAAATGGACATGTGTATTAGTCCATTTTCATATTGCTGATAAAGACACACCCGAGACTGGGCAATTTACAAAAGAAAGAGGTTTAATTGGACTTACAGTTCCACGTGACTGGGGAAGCCTCGCAATCATGGTGGAAGGCAAGGAAGAGCAAGTCACATCTTCCATGGATGGCAGCAGGCAAAGAGAGAGAGCTTGTGTAGGGGAATTCCTCTTTTTAAAACCATCAGATCTTGAGAAACTTATTCACTATCATGAGAACAGCATGGGAAAGACTTGCCCCCATGATTCAATTACCTCCTAATGGGTCTCTCTCACAACACGTGGGAATTCAGGATGAGATTTGGGTGGGGACACAGCCAAACCATATCACCATATGTTACTTTTATAATGAGAAAAAAGACTAACCTTATTTTTTTTAAAAAAATATATCTCCAGATAAGAAAGGACAAAATTTGTATTTTTGTTTGACAACCTTAAATTTTAGATAGTATGAAAGGGAAATAAAATCTTGGCTCTCCCAAATTCTCTATGCCAAAAGGAATGTTAAGCTTGAGAACTTAGTTATGCAAAACAACAACAGCAATAACAACGACAACAACAACATAAAAACCTGCCTTCCTTTTTGTTCCCACCACAGATAGAAGGTCACATATGTCCCCAGGAGGACTCCCTCACCAATTGCTTCCAAGGAAATTCCTTGTGGGCCCCAAAATCTTTCAGAATACGTACCTCCCCTACAAACTAACCCTAAAACAGAGCTCTGTTAAGTCTCACCCTGACAATGTAAATTAACAGCTTATCTTCATAGGTACAGCACAAAGACAAGACTAGAAATCATCCCACTGCCTACCCTGAGACAAATGCATATTTGGCTTCTTCCTCTACTCTGTTTATGTTATGTAAAATGTAGATTTACTGAGCAGAGATGAATGCATAATTGACTGTTCCTCTACTCCCTCCTTTCACGTGTAAAACATGGATTCAGTGAGCGCTATTCAAAGCCTTACAAGAATATGAAGAGTCACCTCATTGTCTGCCCTTTCCACTTTTTTCCCTTCTTCCCCTCCTGCTCACTTTTTCCCCATTAAATACTGAAGTTCTCAAAACCCTCTTTGGAAAAAGCACAGGCCACGAGTACTACTGAACTTCTGTTTCTTCTTCCCAGGAACATTCTCAACCCTGGCAGAATAAACCTCTAAATCAATTGAGATCTGTCTCAGACACTTTTTGGTTTACATTAGGATACAAGGGGCCTGTCATGGTGGCTCATGCCTATAATCTCAGCACTTTGGGAGGCCGAGGTAAGATGATTGCTTGAGCCCAGGAGTTTGAGACCAGCCTGGGCAATATAGTGAGACCTTGTTTCTACAAAAAATACAAAAATTAGCCAGGTGTGACAGCATGCACCCATAGTCCCAACTACTCAGGAGGCTGAAGTGGGAGGATCACTTGGGCCCGGGAGGTCAAGGCTGCAGTGAGCCATGATCGTACCACTGTACTCCAGCCTGGGGAACAGACGGAGATCCTGTGTCCAAAAAAAGAATTGATAGAAAAGTCACTCAGGTATCCATGAATATACATTTCATTTCTTTATGAACTTGTAAAAGTTAAAATCAATGCATTTCAATATTTGGGTGGAGAAAGGTGATTTTACAATAATTTTTTTTAAATATAAAAAGAAGTCTTTTTTTTTTTTTTTTTTTTTGAGACAGAATCTCGCTCTGTCACCCAGGCTGGAGTGCAGTGGTGCAATCTTGGCTCACTGCAAGCTCCGCCTCCTGGGTTCACACCATTCTCCTGCCTCAGTCTCCTGAGTAGCTGGGACTACAGGCACCCACCACCACACCCAGCTAATTTTTTGTATTTTTAGTAGAGACGGGGTTTCACTGTGTTAGCCAGGATGGTCTTGATCTCCTGACCTCATGATTTACCCGCCTCAGCCTCCCAAAGTGCTGGGATTACAGGCGTGAGCCACCATGCCTGGCCAAAAAGAAGTCTTTTAATTTAAAAGAGTATGGGCTGGGCGTGGTGGCTCACCCTTTAATCCTAGCACTTTGGGAGGCGGAGGCAGGTGGATCACTTGAGGTCAGGAGTTGGAGACCAGCCTGGCCAACATGGTGAAACATTGTCTCTACTAAAAATACAAAAATTAGCCGGGCATGGTGGCATGCATCTGTAATCCCAGCTACTCGGGAGGCTGAGGCAGGAGAATTGCTGGAACCTGGGAGGTGGAGGTTGCAGCGAGCCAAGATCGTGCCACTGCACTCCAGCCTGAGTGACAGAGCAAGACTCTGTCTCAAAAAAAAAAAGGATGTAAGCTTACATTCTGAGAAAAATAAAAAGATTAAAATAAAAAAAAGCATAAGTAAGCAGCCCTGGATACCTCCACAAAATAACAGAAAAGTATAACAGCGAGACTGCATTTGGATATAATTCTATAAGCCACAGGTTCCCAAGCCTCATAGGTTGGCTACTAATTTTTTTTTCTTTTTTAGACGGGGTCTTGCTCTGTTACCAGGCTAGAGTGCAGTGGCGTGATCATTGCTCACTGCAGCCTCGAATTTCAGGGCTCAAGCTATCCTCCCACCTCAGCCTCCTGAGTATCTGGGACTACAGGTGTGAACCACCACACTCGACTACAAAATTTTTTAAACTTTTAAATAATGCAATTGATCCTCTCTCAAGCAAAATACATTTGAAAGGAGGCTGTAGTGAGTAGCAATGATTTGGAGGCTCTTTTGAAGTGAGGTGGATTCTTCTGGCTCTCTCGCAGAGGATGGTGGGATTACCTGAATGAGAGGACACACAAACCTCTAGCAGGGAACGCTGGGCAGCTCTTTGGACAAGTGGGTTCCCAGATCCATCTGTAAGAGATTTACATTTGCTGTACCACCAAGAGTTCAAAACACAAATTGGAATCTTCCTTTTTCCAGCTTGCATCTTCTAATGCATCTCAGTATAGTTAAAATGACCAGATTCCCCTGAAAAACATCTTGGACAAGGCCGGGCCAAGTTCCTTCCACCTTTGCGAGGAACCCCTGCACTTGTCCTCCCCTTGCCACTCTCTGGCCTCAGTGTAAAGGGCAGGATGGAAGGGGAAGCTCCTGGTCCTCTGAGGCCCAGGATGCCAGGGAACAGGTGTTCATTTGGTGGCAGCCACACTGGTGCCTACTGGCTTCTAATCTCCTGCATGCCCGTTTCGTGTCCCTAGGGACCTGCAGCTCTTCCAGCCCCCACTGTCACCACCAGCCCAGTGCCAGCTATCCATGTGGCCTACAACACATTTTTGAGTTACTCCTATGTACCAGACATTATTTGAGTCACTGCTGGACACAAAGTTGTAAAAAGTAATGCTGCTGTCCTCAGGAAAGTTGCAATAGAGAGGACACAATAGAGGCCTTCCTAATAATAATGACCAACCCTTATAGAGCATTTACTTTGTGATAGGAACTGATCTAAGTTATTCTCAGTCAATCCTTTACAAGTATATGAAAAAGGAACTATTATTATCCCCATTTTATAGATGAGGACATAGGACAAGTAATAATAGCTAATATTTATAGAGCACCCATATAAGCCAGGACACTATTCTAAGTGCTTTTTAAATATTAACTTGGCCAGGCACAGTGGCTCACGCCTGTAATCCCAGCACTTTGGGAGGCTGAGGTGGGCAGATCGCCTAAGATCAGGAGTTTGAGACCAGCCTGGCCAACATGGTGAAACCCTGTCTCTACTAAAAATATAAAAAATTAGCTGGGCGTGGTGGTGGGTGCCTGTAATCCCAGCTACTCGGGAGGCTGAGGCACTCCAGCCTGGGCAACAAGAATGAAACTCCATCTCAGATAAATCACTAAATAAATAAATAAAATAAATATTAACTCATTTAGTTTTCATTAAAAACCTAGAAGGTAAGAATATTATTTTACAGATTAATTTAATCTTTACAACAAGCTTATTCGTTTGGCCTTATTGTTGTTCCTTTTTGTAAGCATAAATGGAGATTAAAAAAATATGTGATTAAATAACTTGGCCAAGGTTATGCAACTTTTTTTTTTTTTTGAGACGGAGTCTTACTCGGTCGCCCAGCTGGGGTGCAGTGCTGTGATCTCACTCACTGCAAGCTGTGTCTCCTGGGTTCATGCCATTCTCCTGCCTCAGCCTCCCGAGTAGCTGGGACTATAGGCGCCTGCCACCATGCCTGGCTAATTTTTTGTATTTTTAATAGAGACGGGGTTTCACCATGTTATCCAGGATGGTCTCGATCTCCTGACCTCGTGATTTGCCTGCCTTGGCCTCCCAAAGTGCTGAGATTACAGGTGTGAACCACCGCGCCCGGCCAGTTATGCAACTTTTAAAAGGCCTGAAACCTAATACAATTTAAGGAGGCCCTCTTTAAAAAAAAGAAAAAAAAGAAAAAGAGAAACTACAGTGTCATGGATGAAGTAAGAACCAAAAGCTATAGTGAATCAAAGGAGGGCAAAAATCAAACTTAGTTTGGAGGGTGGGAGGTGTGTCAGAAAATCAGGAAAAGCTTCATGGTGGAGATATATTTGGATGTATAAAAGCTTCATGGTGGAGATAATATTTGAGATGAACCCTGAAGAATATGCAGCTCTGACAGAACAAGAGAGGGAATTTTGTGTAGAAGAAGTATCCTGAGCAAAGGCATATGGGTGGGAAAGTTCAGGCATGATCCGTTTGTAGCCATTTGTGACTGGTGCCCAGACTCCGCCAAGAAAAGTGGTGGGAAGTAAGCCTGGAAAGATAGACATGGGGCTATTGTACAGAGGCCTTCAATGCCAGGATGAGGAGTTTGTACTCAGAGATTCTGAGTAGTAACATCATCACATCTATGCTTTAGGAAGATTAATCTGGACAGCATATATAAAGCAAATTGGAATTGGACACAGAATTAAGCCTACCTGTTACAGGGCTAATGCAGTAATCTGTGAAAAATATAACAGAGCCTTGTTTGAGACACTTTGGTTTGCAAAAAATGGAAACCAACTTGATGTAGCCTATGCTAAAAAGGGAGAGTAGGCCGGGCGCGGTGGCTCACGCCTGTAATCCCAGCACTTTGGGAGGCCGGGGCTGGCGGATCACGAGGTCAGGAAATCGAGACTATCCTGGCTAACTCGGTGAAACCCCGTCTTTACTAAAAATACAAAAAAATTAGCCAGGCGTGGTGGCGGGTGCCTGTAGTCCCAGCTCCTTGGGAGGCTGAGGCAGGAGAATGGCGTGAACCCGAGAGGCGGAGCTTGCAGTGAGCCGAGATCGCGCCACTGCACTCCAGCCTGGGCGACAGAGCGAGACTCTGTCTCAAAAACAAACAAACAAACAAACAAAAAAATTTAGCTGGGTGTGCTGGTGAGTGCCTGTAGTCCTAGCTTCTTGGGAGGCTGAGGTGGGAGGATCACTTGAGCCCAGGAAGTTGGGGCTGAGGTGAGCCATGGCACCACTGCACTCCCATCTGGGTACAGAGCAAGACTATATCTAAAAAAAAAAAAAAAAAAAAAAAAAAGTGTTATTTTTGGTGATTTATTTCCCATTCTAAATAAATATTCTATTTGTACCCATAATTTTCTATTTATTTAAAAAAGAGGGCCTCCCTCAAATTGTATTAAGTTTCAGGCCTTATAAGAGGTGGACTCCCCCCAGCCATTAGAATGATCTGGGTCCGGAAAGCTGCCAGGAACCTACACACTTCTCTCTGCTCTCTAATGTCTGAGTCTCCTTGTGGCAAAGCCACAGCAGAAGGGCTTTTCCTGCTTCTCAGTTTCCATACGGCAGACTGTGATTCTCTCACAACTACCAGCATACAAAATTCCAGAGACATTAAGAGACTGTAGATGGCCTGTTGGTCCCAGTTCCAAATTCTGGAAAGAACAGGTATGATAGGCCCAGCTTAGATGAGGTACACCTTGCTGATTCAATCATTCGGCTATAGCCAAAGAGAGCAATGTCACATGGCAGAAGTATGGCTGCTGGGGCAGAGCCAGGGCCTGGTGGTCAGAGAATGAGGCTGGAGTGAAAGCGTGTGAGAACAGAAGGAATTGGTAGGGAGCCTCAGAACTGATGAGATTAGACTGGGGAGTAAAGCAAGAATGTTAAACAGGAGCAGAACCCTTTTATGGCCCAGTATGGGGGTAGAAGTGATAATCAAAGTGAGGGTCACAGTGGTAGTAGGTAAATCAGTTACTTGAAATTTGCTTTCTTGGGTTAATCCTTGGAGGCTTTGAGTTATATTTATTAAGTGAGGCTATATTTCCTTATAGCATTTCAAGCTCATTTATTGTCTTTTAAGATATTTTTAAAGAGATGTTTTACCTCGTTATAGCTGGTTAAGAAGATTTTTCAGACCTGGCATGGTGGTTTATGCCTGTAATCCCAGTACTTTGGGAGGCTGAGATGGGAGGATGGCTTGAGCTCACGAGTTTGAGACCACCCTGGGCAACATAGTGAGACCCTAACATCTCTATAAAAAATAAATAAATAAAATGTTATAAAGGAGATTTTTCATATGCTACCCTTTTAATGCTATCATTTCAGACTGATGTTAACTTTGTAAGTTCTAAAGCTTAAAAAAATAAAATGTTTGTTTCAGACTGATGTGAACTTTGTAAATTCTAAAGCTTAAAAAAAAAAAGTTTGTTACCTGGTAGACTAAATGGCCTTAAGCCCTGGTAAATATATGTATGTTTATTGTAATCTGTCTTCTCTTTTTTTCCTCTAATCACATCTTCAAAATGTTTATCCTACAAAAATAAAAACAGCTAGAATGCCTGGAATATACAAAAAAGTCCTGCTTTTTTGTCTTACTTTTTCATCCTTTCACTCCATTCATTTCATCCCAAAAATCTGATTCTAGAAAACAGGATCACTGTAAAGATGTTGCAGTGGGAAGAGAATTCCACAAATTCAGTCACTTATATCACAGTCCGTGATACTACTTCTTAATCTCATTTCAAGGTATCTAGACCATTTAGACCAAAACCTTCTGTGTCGTCTGAAAACTCTACACTCAAAAAGCTCAGTGCTGGCCGGGCATGGTGGCTCAATGCCTGTAATCTCAGCACTTTGGGAGGCCAAGGTGGGTGGAGCACGAGGTCAAGAAATCGAGACCATCCTGGCCAGCATGGTGAAACCTGTCTCTACTAAAAATACAAAAATTAGCTGGGCGTGGTGGTGCGTGCCTGTAGTCCCAGCTACTCGGGAGACTGAGGCAGGAGAATCGCTTGAACCTGGGAGGCGGAGGTTGCAGTGAGCAGAGATCGTGCCACTGCACTCCAGCCTGGGGATAGAGCAAGACTCCGTCTCAAAAAGAAAAAAAAAAAAAAAAAGCTCAGGGCTATTCACTTGGTGCTGATAACCACATGTGCATCTTCTGTAAAACTTTTTCCGTTGCTGTTCTCAGCATACTGGCATTTGGGAGTTCAGTATATTAGGGCCTGAGAGGCACTAAATAGTTTATCTAATCTGGATATTCGGGACTGATGTTATAGGCACACCCTAATATCTAGTTCCTGCCTAATTTAACAAGTATTACATTAATGATTGAAGGGCTCTTTGGGCTAATGATAAATAAAAAATATTAAAGACTGAAATTTTTAATACACAATATAAAAATAATTAAATTTTCTATCACATAAATATTAGAAAAATACCAAAATTGGTTAATAGTAAATGTCAACTACCATATAAAAATACACAAGACATCCTGAGGAAAAACTGAAAAGCAAAATAATTTTGAACATACAGACACGGCTAGCTATAGTCAAAATTATAAAGTAGGCTGGGTGTGGTGTCTCATGCCTGTAATCCCAGCACTTTGGGAATCCGAGGCAGGAGGATCCCTTGAGTCCAGGAGTTCAAGACCAGTCTGGGCAACATAGTGAGAACCCTGTCTCCATAAAAAATAAAAAATTAGCTAGGGATGGTGGCATGCACCTGCAGTTCCAGCTACTTGGGAGGCTGAGGTGGGAGGATTGCTTGAGCACAGGAGATCCAGGCTGCAGTGAGTCATGATCGTACCACTGAACTCCAGCCTGGGTGGCAGAGTGAGACTCTATCAACAAAACCAAACCAGAAAACCCCCAAGTTATAAAGTAGATAATTGTCCACATTCAAGTCCACTGTTGGCTAATGAATTTTAGCTCTTTCCTATTTTCCTTAGTTTCCTAATTTCCCCAATCTCTCCCTGCCTCACTAGATCCAAGCCTGCCTCTGTCAATCTATACTTGACTTCCTCTCTTCCCCTCAGCTTCACTAGTTTGCTTGCCTCCTGCCCTGACTCAGCAAGTTAATTAAAGAGAGCCCGTTATTGCTAAATCCCTTCCTCTAGGCTCAAGGGCATCACCTAAGACCTTCCTCTTTCCCACTTCTCACTTCAGTGACCTCAAAAAGGGAGCCTGTGAAAATAAGAAAAACTGGATTCAAATTCCATTTCTGCTCAGCTGTATTAGGCAGAGGTATTATCTATCCTTAGGAGAGCACACTATAGGGAGAGGCTGGCCTGACACCCTGGGGATGATAATGAGGAGGAGGAGGAGGAGGAGGAGGAGGCTGGGCAGACTGTTAAGAACTTGCAGCCTGGAGTCAGCTAGTTTCCCCTGCTCACTTACTGGTGATTCTGGGAAAAGTCAGTTTCTTTTTCTTTCTTTTTTCTTTCTTTTTTTTTGAGATGGTGTCTCGCTCTTTCGCCCAGGCTGGAGTGCAGTGCTGCGATCCAGCTGCGATCCACAGAACAGCTGGGATTACAGGCCCGTGCCACCACACCCGGCTAATTTTTGTATTTTTAGTAAAGACAAGGTTTCACCATGTTGGCCAGGCTGGTCTTGAACTCCTGACCTCAAGTGATCTGCCTGCCTCAGCCTCCCAAAGTGCTAGGATTACAGGCAAGAGCCACCGTGCCCGGCCATGAGCCACTATGCCCAGCCAGGTCAGTTTCATAATCTAAAATATGATAATACTATAGTATCTTCCTGATTGGGTGATTGTGAGGATTAAAAGAAAGTGCATGGCCCGGCGCAGTGGCTCATGCCTGTAATCCCAGCACTTTGGGAGGCTGAGGCGCGTGGATCACAAGGTCAGGAGATCCAGACCACCCTGGCTAACACGGTGAAACCCTGTCTCTACTAAAAATACAAAATATTAGCCGGGCGTGGTGGCAGGCGGGCGCCTGTAGTCCCAGCTACTCAGGAGGCTGAGGCAGGAGAATGGCGTGAACCTGGGAGGTGTAGCTTTCAGTGAGCCAAGATAGCGCCACTGCACTCCAGCCTGGGTGACAGAGTGAGACTCTGTCTCAAAAAAAAAAAAAAAAAAGAAAAAGAAAGGGCACCACCGGACTCGGTGGCTTACGCCTGTAATCCCAGCACTTTGTGAGGCAGAGGCGGGAGGATCACCTGAAGTTGGGAGTTCGAGACCAGCCTGACCAACATGAAGAAACCCCGTCTCTACTAAAAAATACAGATTAGCCGGGCGTGGTGGCACATGTCTGTAATCCCAGTGACTCGGGAGGCTGAGACGGGGCATCGCTTGAACCTGGGAGGCAGAGGTTGCAGTGAGCTGAGATCACACCACTGCGCTTCAGCCTGGGCAACAAGAGCAAAACTCCGTCTCAAAAAAAAAAAAAAAAAAGAAAGTGCACCTATTAAGAAGATGCTAAATTTCAAAAGTATTTCATTGGTATTTAGGCCTCTGACCACATATAAGTATAGATATTATCAATTACTATACCTATTCATTTTTTATTTTTATTTCATTTATTTTTTTGAGACAGAGTTTCATTCTTGTTGCCCAGGCTGGAGTGCAACAGTGTGATCTCTCGGCTCACTGCAACCTCCGCCTCCCGGGTTCAAGCGATTCTCCTGTCTCGCCCTCCCGAGTAGCTGGGATTACAGGCATGCGACATCACGCCCAGCTAATCTTTGTATTTTTAGTAGAGGCAGGGTTTCACTATGTTAGTCAGGCTGGTCTCAAATTCCTGACCTCAGGTGATCCACCTGACTCGGCCTCCCAAAGTGCTGGGATTACAGGTGTGAGCCACCACGCCCAACCTATACCTATTCATGAGCTCTTATATATTAATTTTAACCATAAACCTATTTTCATTTCCCATTTTCCTTTCTATTATGGGAGTTTCCAGTCTGTATGTGGATTTACAGTATTTTTAAACTCTCCTCTCCTCTTCCCATTTATTCCATCCTTTTCTTTCTTTCTTTCTTTTCTTTTTTTTAGATGGAGCTCTGTCACCCAGGCTGGAGTGCATGGTGCGATCTCTGCTCACTGCAGCCTCCACCTCCTGGTTCAAGCAATTCTCCTGCCTCAGCCTCCCGAGTAGCTGGGATTATAGGCGTCCACCACCATGCCCGGCTAATTTTTGTATTTTTAGTAGAGACGAGCTTTCACCATGTTGGCCAGGCTGATCTCGAACTCCTGACCTCAGGTGATCCACCTTCCTCGGCCTCCCAAAGTGCTGGAATTACAGGTGTGTGCTACTGCACCCAGCCCCTTTCCTTTCTTTCTTTTTTTTCTTTTTGAGACAGGGTCTCACTCCGTCACCCAGACTGGAGTGCAGTGGCGTGATCTTGGCTCATGACAACCTCCACCTCCCAGGCTCAAGTGATTCTCCTGCCTCACCTGGGATTACAGGTGCGTACCACTACCGCCTGGCTAATTTTTGTGTATATATATACACATATATGTGTGTGTATATATATATATATATATATTTTTTTTTTTTTTTGAGATGGAGTCTCACTCTGTCTCCAGGCTGGAGTGCAGTGGCACGATCTCGGCTCATTGCAACCTCTGCCTCCTGGGTTCAAGTGATTCTCGTGCCTCAGCCTCCCAAGTAGCTGGGATTACAGGCATCTGCACCATACCCAGCTAATTTTTTTAGTAGAGATGGGGTTTCACCATGTTAGCCAGGATGATCTCCATCTCCTGACCTCGTGATCTGCCTGCCTTGGCCTCCCAAAGTGCTGGGATTACAGGCGTGAGCCACTGTGCCTGGCCTAATTTTTGTATTTTTAGTAGAGACAGGGTTTCACCATGTTGGCCAGACTGGTCTTGAACTCCTGACCTCAAATGATCCACCCGCCTTGGCTTCCCAAAGTGTTGGTATTACAGGTGTGAGCCACTGCGCCTGGCCTTCTTTTCTATTTTAATTAGAAAATTTTTTTTGATACAGGGTCTTTCTCCGTTGGCCACGCTGGAATGCAGTGGCACGATCATGGCTCACTGCAGCCTCCACTTCCTGACTCAGGTGATTCTCTCTTCTCAGCCTTCTGAGTACCTGCAACTACAGGTGCATGCCACCACACTGGCTAATTTTTGTATTTTTTGTAGAGATGGGTTTCGCCATGTTGCCCAGGCTGGTCTCGAACTCCTAGGCAAAGCAATCCACCCACCTCAACCTTCCAAAGTACTGAGATTATAGGCGTGAGCCACCATGCCCAGCCTTCCATCCTCTACTTTCTGGTATTCACATTTTAAAATATTTGTTTATGGGAGGCCAGGTGAGGTGGCTCATGCCTGTAATCCCAGCACTTTGGGAGGCTGAGGTGGGCGGATCACTTGAGGTCAGGAGTTCATAACCAATCTGGCCAACATGGCAAAACCCCGCTTCTACTAAAAAAAAAAAAAAAAAAAAGCTGGGCGTGGTGGTATGTGCCTGTAATCCCAGCTACTCAGGAGGCTGAGGTGGGAGAATTGCTTGAATCTAAGAGGCAGAAGTTGCAGTGAGCTGAGATCATGCCACTGCACTCTAGCCTGGGTGACAGAGCAAGACTCTGTCTGAATTTAAAAAAAAAAAATTATTTATGGGGAGTTGTCTCACTATGTTGCCCAGACTGGAGAGCACTTTAGCACTGGTCATTCACAGGTGTGATCCCACTACTGATCAGCATGGGAGTTTTGACCTGCTCTGTTTCTGACCTAGGTTGGTTCACTCCTCCTTAGGTAACCTGGTGGTCCCCTGCTCCTGGGAGGTCACCATATTGATGCTGAACTTAGTGTAGACACCTCTTGGGCATAGCACACTATAGCCCAGAACTCCTGGGCATAAGCGATCCTACTCCTCAGCCTCCTGAGTAGCTGAGCTTACAGGTGGGCCTCCACCGCCTGGCTGGTATTCACATTTTAATCATGGTCCTTCTATGACCCTTTTACCCTCCATATTGATTGGTTTCTTGTCCTGGCTTTAAATTTCTCTCTCTCTCTCTTTTGCTAAGTAGTCAGTGTCACCAGCAGATATGGAAAGTCTACTCAAACTTAATGTGGCAGACAAGAAGGGAAGCAGGGAGAGCAGGATACAGAAGCCACAGGCTGGAGTAGAGGGAATTAGTTGGCATCTACTAGTGAAGGGAATGTCTGGAGAGTGGGATATAAGGAACATGGTCAGAAGCACCCAAGCACTTTGGCAGTGCCTGGCATGTTAGGCAGAACATAAAGGCCAAACACACCTGGCATGGTGGCTCATGCCTGTACTTTGGGAGGCCAAGGTGGGAAGATCACTTGAGCCCAGGAGTTCAGGATCAGCCTGGGCAACATGGCAAAACCCTGTCTCTACAAAAAATACAAAAATTAGTTGGGCATGGTGGCAGGCACCTGTGGTCCCAGCTACTTGGGAGACTGAGGTGAGAGGATCACCTGAGGCCGGGAAGCCGAGGGTGCGGTGAACTGTGATTGCACCACTGCACTGCAGCCTGGGTGACAGACAGACCCTTCTCAAGGGAAAAAAAAAAAAGCCAAACAGGTGAGTCAGAATAAGAGGTGACAGCAGCCCCCTATAAATTTGGGGGAATAGGACAAGAGGTGAAACAGAGAGCAATGCTTTTCATTCTCTATGTTTGGACATGAACAGTTGGAACAGGACTGCCCTACATGTGTCCAAAAAACACTTTAGGCTGGGTGCCATACTTCACACCTGTAATCCCAGCACTTTGGGAGGATGAGGCAGGAAGATTTTTTGAAGCCATGAGTTTGACTACCAGCCTGGGCAACGTGGCAAGATCCTGTCTCTAAAATAAATAAATACATACATACATACAAATTAGCTGGGCATGATGACCTGTAGTCTCAGCCACTCTGGAGGGTGAAGCCAGTGCACTCCAGCATGGGCAACAGAGATAGGCCCTATCTAAAAAAAAAAAAAAAAAAAAGAAAGAAAAAGAAAAGAAAATGAAAACAGTATTTTAATAATATGCTGTATTAGTGGTTAAGAGTACAGGTTCTGGAGATGGATTCAATATCCAACCCTGCCACCTACTGTATAACTTTGAACAAGTGACTTAACCTCTCTTAGTTTCAGCATCAACTATGAAATGGTGATAATACTCACAAGATGAATAAACACAGAAAACCTAGCAGTATATGAATAGAGGTCAATATTATTGTGTTACTGTCATTATTATTTACTCTTATTAAAATAATGCTACCTACAGTAGTTAGCTGACAAACAGGAAAAACCCCCAGAAAAGAAAGCAAATAAATAATGGGAAAGCCTTTTGGTTTTTCTTTTTTTTAGGGTGATCTGAAAGTGAATGGAAAGACACATTTCTATTAACTCATTTTAACTTAGAAGCATGGGAGAGTCAGGGTTAAATGCCTTTATTTATTTATTAATTTTTTTTTTTTTTTGAGACCGAGTTTCTCTCTGTCGCCCAGGCTGAAGTACAATGGCACGATCTTGGCTCACTGCAACCTCTGCCTCCCGGGTTCAAGCAATTCTCTTGCCTCAGCTGCCCGAGTAACTGGGATTACAGGCACCCGCCACCGTGCCTGGCTAATTTTTGTATTTTTAGTAGAGGCGGAGTTTCATCACGTTGGCCAGACTGGTCTCAAACTCTTGACCTCAGGTGATCCGCCTGCCTCCGCCTCCCAAAGTGCTGGGATTACAGGTGTGAGCCACTGCACCCGGCCAGTTAAATGCCTTTAAAAATTATGCGGCACAAATATGAAAGTTTGTTTCAAGTAGTTTCCCACGGAAGATATTTATATTTGTGCTTTAATGAGCTAATATAGCATTTATCCTGAATTTTATTAAGTAAACTATTCAGAAACTGTAAAGATTAATCTGATTGGCCAGGCGCGGTGACTCACGCCTGTAATCCCAGCACTTTGGGATGCCGAGGCAGGCAGATCACGAGGTCAGGAGTTCGAGACCAGCCTGGCCAACATAGTGAAACCCCGTCTCTACTAAAAATACAAAAATTATCCAGGCGTGGAGGCAGGCACCTTAATCCCAGCTACTCGGGAGACTGAGGCAGGAGAACTGCTTGAACTCAGGAGGCAGAGGTTGCAGTTAGCCGAGATTGTGCCACTGCACTCCAGCCTGGGTGACAAGAGCAAAGCTCTGTCTGGAAAAAAAAAATTAACATGATCTTAAATCACTAATAAAATGTCTTGATGTTCATTTAATTTTGACTTTTAAACTTATAATAAAGATATGAAAGTGAAATCTGCTAACAAAAGTTGGTTTTAACATAAAAAACATTAAAAATTCTAACTAGAATAAAGTGTAATTCATCTTAAACATTTCAAATATTTTAATAAAGCAATAAAATATTCTTTAAAAGTAATTAATTTGTAGACAGAATTAATAGAATTCTTCCAACTAAAGCACTATTTTAAAGAGAAGGTTGCTTTTAAAATATATCAAGAACTGAAATTATGAAATGGTTTTAAGTACTTATTTTACTAGAAAACATTACAGGATGAAGTTATAGGTGCAACTCATGAGGATTTAACTTCCTTCTATATTCAAAAGTTTATACTTTCTGCTTATTTATCTGATTGCATTTGATGGTACAAATTTCTATTTATTTTTTGGATGCTTCAAATTTCATCCTCAAAATTACTTCATTGGATTCTGGAAACTTAACCCACGCCCTCCAAATTATTTTGGGTTTGGTTATTCTAAGGCAGCCCTCTTATAACTTATTTAATATACAATGTTTAAAAGATTCTGATTTCTAAAAGGCAAAACAATACCTAAAACAAAAAGTGAGTTTGGGGGACTAGATTACTTTGCAGACCCATAGCATGGGAGAGGTATGAATAATCTTTGTATGGTGGGTTGGATATAGTTGTTCACAAATAAGATAGGTTAACAACAGAATATTGCTGTTGGATAGCTGTCCAGAACTTCTCTTTCCTTAAGGAGAGGCAAAGAAGAGATTTTTCTGGCTGTTCTTGTAAAATCTACCTAGTAGTTGTCAACCAGGGACTCTGTTGACCTGTGACGAGGGAATCTGTTTAAAGATTGGGTCAGTCACTCAAAATTCACTACTGAGTGAATGCCCTTGTGGCTGCCAGCTTCCAACATGGCCCTCAATGATCCTCATCTCCTGGTATGAATGTCCTTGTGTAGTACTCTCCCACACTGAATTAGGATCAATCTGTGTGACCAAGAGAATACAACAGAAGTGATGGTATGTGACTCCAGAAGTTAGGTCAGAAAAGGCAGCATAGCTTCCACTATATTCTCTTGGACTTGGAATGTCATAAGGGACAATTACCTCATTTAATCAAACATAACTCGTACTTCCAAGGATTTGCCTGAGAATGTGAAGTTGAAAGGTTGGGAGAGGGAAATGACTTACTGGCCACTACTCAGAATTTTGTCTTCTCTTCTGTTCCTCATGTTGATTGTCACTGCCACCCCCATACTGAGCCCTAAAGTGTCATCCTACCATTTAATATTCTGATATAAAAGCAGGAAAATCTCTTCCTTTGGTTAGTCTATTATACTGAAGGCAGAATGAAATTTTATTTGTTTTATTTTGTTTATTTATTTTTGAGACAGGATCTCACTCTGTCACCCAGGCTGCAGTGGGGTGGTGAGAGCACAGCACGCTGCAACCTCAAACTCCTGGGCTCATGTGATCCTTCTGCCTCAGCCTCCCCAGTAGCTGGGACTACATATCCATACCACCACACCTGGCTAACTTTATTTTATTTTCTTTGTAGAGATGGGGTCTCAAACTATGTGATCCTCCTGCCCATGCTGGTCTTGAACTTCTGGGCTCAATGATCCTCCCACCTTGGCCTCTCAAAGTGCTGGGATTACAGATGTAGCCACAGCACCCAGCCAAGGATGAAATAATTTTAAAAAAAATCACTTTCCTATATATTGAAGAAAACAAAGGGAGAAATAACACAGAGAAAAGAAGTATAAAAGCATTATACCTAATATGCATATAATCATTTATATTTAGTATATAAATATATGTATATGTATATACATGCACAGAAAAAGGCCTAGAAGCTTAAAGGCTAAATTTTCATTTATGGTTATCTGTGGAAAAGTAGAGGTAGGGGATGGCTGCGTAAGTGTGAAGGGTAAGTGAGAAGTGGGAAGGGAAATGGAGAGGGAAGGTGAACTTGGGTTTTAAAAAGTTTATTTTGAATTATTTGAAAATTGATGATGAGAATGTATTAATGAATCATTGTATAATTAAAAAATAAACTATAATAAAAATAATTAAATAAAATATAAAAATAATTAAAAAATAAACTATATAACATAAAAAACTATATAACATAAAAAACAGCAAAAGCAATCCAGTTACAACAGAGATTTCCTATTCCATGATCATTAGCTTGCTACTAGGACTACTGGTCACACTAGACTTTTCCTTCTGACCCCTGTTCTCTAGAATGCTTTACTGTAAACCAGGGGTGTCCAATCTTTTGGCTTTCCAGGGCCACACTGGAAGAATTATTATCTTGGGCCACACATTAAATACACTAACACTAATGATAGCTGATGAGCTTAAAAAAAAAATCGCAAAAAAGTATTTTAAGAAAGTTTACAAATTTGTGTTGGGCTGCATTCAAAGCGGTCCAGGGCCGCATGCAGCCTGCAGGCCCTGGGTTGGACAAGCTTGCTGTAAAATTTCTGGGTTCCTTACTCCGCTGGCCTCCATAAGGGATGTGTTTAAGAACCATAGCCAAAGAGCTGCCTGAGACACACCAAGTTAGGCACCTTGCAGGCCAATATGAAGGAAGCAGATTGCTCTTTCTGCTGTTGTTTCAGTCAGCTATCACAACACTAATTCCAGGAACCAACTACTCCAAAACACTATTACTCCAAAACGCTATTACTCCAAAACACGGCTTGAAACAACAATCCTTTATTCTCTAGGTTGCTGACCCCAAGCTGGGACTGGCTTCAGACCTGCTTCATATTTCTTTGACCAGCAAACTAGCCAGGTATGTTCTTCACATTGTGAAAAACAAGAGTGCCAGAGAGGGAAGGAGAAACATGAAATACCTCTTGAGGCCAGGCTCAGAACTGTCACACTCACTTCTGCCTATCTTCCTTTGACCAAAAGCAAATGGACTGATCTAAGCTCAACATGAACAGGATGGAGAAACATCCTATCTCTACTGAGAGGAACTACAAAGCCGTATTTCAAATGGCATGCATGCATGGAGTAGTGAAAAATTGGGAACAATAATGTTATCTACCACTGTTATCCACCTGGGACTTTCCAGCTTACTGCCAATCGGCAGTGGGAGAGAATTTCTTCTCAACGTGGCTGACAACAGAAATTATGTGACTTGGCAGGTGATATCTGTCCCTAACAACAGGAATCAGTCTTTGTCTTTGCCGGCTCCTTAGTATGCTATGTTATGTTATGAAGATGCAATATTATTGATTATTAATTAATTCCTTACAAATATCAAATTGGGCAATGGTTCCCATAAGTGATAAGTTATTTACAAGAAGTGAGATAAAAAGACTCCCTTAGAAAGGGTGCTCTGTTTGCAGAATCCTGTTTATTGTGTATTAAAGATTTGAATGTTACCAAATTGTTACAAATTCTTTAGTTCAAAAGGGTGTCAACAGTCCCATGATTTAGAACTCAGGAATCCAGAAAACTTTGTCAAGAGTTAAGAGGATCTTTGATTAACAGTCACGGTCTCCAGGTTTCCTCTGTGTTCAAGAGTAAAAATTTCTTAAATAAGAATAAGAGCCCTCGGACTTGCTTTTTTTTGAGACGGAGTTTCGCTCTCGTTGCCCAGGCTAGAGTGCAATGGTGCGATCTGGGCTCACTGCAACCTCCGCCTCTCGGGTTCAAGCGATTCTCCTGCCTCAGCCTCCCGAGTAGCTGGAATTACAGGCACACACCACCACACCCGGCTAATTTTTTGTATTTTTAGTAGAGACGGGGTTTCACCGTGTTAGCCAGGATGGTCTTGAACTTCTGACCTCAGGTGATCCGCCCGCCTCGGCCTTCTAGAGTGCTGGGATTACAGGAGTGAGCCACCGCGCCCGGCCTTTTTTTTTTTTTTTTTTTTTTTTTGAGAAGGAGTCTTGCTCTGTCGCCCAGGCTGGAGTGTAGTGTTGCGATCTCGGCTCACTGCAACCTCTACCTCCGGGGTTCAAGCGATTCTCCTGCCTCCCGAGGAGCTGGGACTACAGGCGTGTGCCACCACGCCCAGCTAATTTTTGTATTTTTAGTGGAGACGGGGTTTCACCATGTTAGGCAGGCTGGTCTCGAACTCCTGACCTCAGGCAATCCACCCTCCAGGGCCTCCCAAAGTGCTGGGATTACAGGCGTGAGCCACTGCGCCCGGCCCAGAGTTGCTTTTTAAGAAAGGAAGAGAAGACTCACCCCCAAGAAAATAGAGGCAACAGCAGTATTAACAAAAGAAAGAGATCATTACATTCTTAGGCTCTTCAGGGATTTAAATCTGGAGCCTCCTGCAGCTTTCTGACATTTGAGCCTTACTCTAGGGTGATTTCCACGGTTCCCACGTCCCTTTCAAGAGAACAGCTATCACTTATATTCCTCAGTGTTTCTTCTTTGCTCCAGACTGGTTGTGAAGCCGTAAAAAGGGTAACGCTGGAGCCCAGAAATCAGCTGGTGAATACCGCGCCAGGTGCCAGGTCCATCGCGGCGAGGCTGCAGGAGCCCTGGAGGGGAGCAAAAGGAGCCCCGCGCGCACCGGACAGGCTGTGCTCTTTGTTAAAGAAACAAATACAGAAAACGCCGCGGCGGGGAATGGTGGTGGTGAAGAAATAGACTGAGGCGTTTGTATGCATTAACTGTGCCTACAAAGCCCATTAAAGAGACGCTCCTACACAGGGCAACCCACGGCACCGTGTCATTGGCTTTTGTGCACTTGAAGGCGCGTGAGAGTGCCCCGCTCGAAGGCTCCCCTTTGTGTGAAAGTGTGGAAACCAGAAGCGTGCAGCCACTGCTGGGTTTTCGTTTTCGAATTCGCAGGCACTTGGGCCAAAATACTCCCACACCAGAACACTCTCTCATTCTCGCACCAACAACACTCAGACTTGAGTTACTTCTCCGTTGCGGACCGCGCAAGGAGCGACAATGGCTAGGTGCGAGTGCCCGCAGCTCCCCGGGCAGCTCCAAGGGGCCGCCCGCCGCGCTCCGCAGCTGCGCGCTGGGCCCAGCCACCCGACAGCCAGCAAACGCCGGCACCAACCGCCGCGCGGCCGGGCTGTTGGGCGGGTGGTAATTTCTGGGAATGGGGCGGGGTCGCGGGTGTACTACGCCCGGCTTTTGCTAGCGGGGAGGAGGAGCTGGCGGCGCCGAGGGGCGCGAGGCTGGCGGGGCGGTGCGCCACGTGCGTCACCGGCCGGGGCGGGGCCGGCGTCGCGCTCCTGCCCGAACCCCCACCTTTCACTAAGCCAAGGCTGAGGAGTGGGAACTGGAAAGACCGGGCTAGGAGTTTTTGCAAAACCTCGCCCCCCTGTAACTGTCAGACTGCCCGACTGTGGGGCCGTCTCCGGAGAAGGGCGAGAGTCCTGAGTTGGGGATGCGGTGACGGCGGGGCCTGCGGGGGCCCTGAGTGGCGAGGGTGTGTGCGTGCGGTCCCGGCCGGCGGGGGAAAGCCGGCGGGCGCTGCAGGTGCACGCGCGGCCCCATCGGCCTCACACGCCTGCCCCGTGCGGCAGAGCCCCCTGCACCAATCCGGGGCTGGAGTGGAGAGCGAGATCGGGGAGCCCTGGGCAAGGAGCCGGACAAGTGACGAGCGTCTTTACCTGGGAAGGCGGGTTTGGGAGAAGTTGGGCGAGGAGAAGAGGGCGGGATTCAAGACAGCAAAAGAAGCAGGTTCGGCGGGCTGGTGGGGGCCCGAGGGCGGCGGGGCCCCGCGGGGTATAAATAGCCGGCCCGCGTTTGACAGGCGCTGCGGTGACTGGCGGTGCCGCCCCCGCCCCCCCGCCGCGTGGGGAGGGGAGGAGCACTCTGAGCTGGCGGGGAGGGGGAGGCGGACTCCAGTGTCCTGGTGGAGGCGGCAGGAGGCCGAGGGGGAGGAGCCGAGGCGGGGGGTGGAGGGAGGGGGCCGGGAGCGGAGCGGGGCGGGGGCAACCATTGCTCCCAGCGCCAAGCTCTGTGTCGCCGCCGTCGCCTAGGCGGTTGGGGGTCGGTGGGGCGGCGCGGGCGGGGGTCGCTGCGCGGGGCGGCGAGCCTCTGTTTTGTCTCCTTCTCTCCCTGTGGAGCGGCTCGGGCTGCTGGGGAGGCCCCGGCTCCCTCCGGACGCTCGGCCAACGGCGGCGGCTAGTCCGCGGCCCTGCTGAGAGGGAAAAGGACGCCGCGGTCTTCCCAGGCGTCGCGGAGAGCAGGTAAGAGCGCGGGCAGCCGAGGCTGGTGAGAGGGAGCGCGAAGGGCGCGGCGATAAAGCCTGGCTGTCCCGACTGCCGCCGCCTCCCTCCGCGCCCCCGCCCCGCGCTTGTGTTGTTTGCTTCGGGGTTTGCGGAGGGGTTTTCCGGCGGCTGCGGCGGTGACACCGGCCGGGGGCTGGGGGAAGGGGGCTGAGTGTCCCCAGGCAACGGTCGCGGAGCGGGACTTGGAGAAAGGGGAAGGCGCGCTGCGCGCCTGCCCGCGGGGAGCGCGGGGCGCGGGGCAGGGCTGAGGGAAGAGGTTACAGACCCCGGCGGGGGGGATGGGCCGAGCGCAGCTGGTCTCTCCGTGTTTACATCTCTGCGCGAGTCACCTCTGCCGAGAAGCGGACTGAACTGACCCGCCTCATCCCGCGGGGAGGCCAGGGCGGGGGTCCGGCTCCGGAGGAAGCGCGTCCTGGGAGGGTTTGTGTAGGGCGGG
Source organism: Homo sapiens (assembly GCF_000001405.40). Taxonomy (NCBI): domain Eukaryota; kingdom Metazoa; phylum Chordata; class Mammalia; order Primates; family Hominidae; genus Homo; species Homo sapiens. The sequence continues at coordinate 139,176,488 of NC_000004.12, read as the reverse complement.
AGTCTGCGGCCGGCGCCGGGGCTGGGCGGCGAGCTCGGGGCGGGACCTGGGAGGCTCCGGCCGCTCTGGGTGGCGGGCAGGCGGGGGGGGGCGCTGGACACCAGTTTCCTTCCCTGTCGTGCCTTATCGCCGCCGCTTACCTTTCCTTCCCGGCGCTGCTAGCTTGCACGACAGGTTGTACTCGGCAGTTCTTTTATTCTCGCTCTCCACGCCGGCACCGTGCTGCCATCTCCCCCTATTCCCCGGGAGGTAGGGAGGCTTTGCTCGGATCGGAATCTGTTTCTTAAGCAAAACAAAAACGGGCTCGTAACAGGCACGTCCAGTGACCGCCTTCTGGATCCTCGCGAAGCTGGTCCTCAGGGACCGCGCGACGGGATGGTCTAGGGGCGCGGAAGGAGGACAGGGAGGGCTCTGCCAGGGCTGGATGCTGACTCTACCCCAGGAGCTTTGTGATCAGGGTAGCCGAGCCCTCTCTTCTGCTCCATTTGGGCATTTTTATTCCATGTCCATAAAGGACTCAAAAAATATTCCGTGACACCAAGAATAATCCAGATCGCACAGTTTCTAATCTTTTTCCCTCTGCCAGCATCCTGGATGGACTCTTTCTAGGAGGCAGATTCGCTGCAGAATAGCCTTTAAGTTTAGTACTTCATTAAATGAGGAAGAGGGGGACACGTCATTGTAAAACTGTTAAAAATTCCCCCCTTTCTTGTGTTCATGAACATTTACTTCAGCTTAATGGTTTAAATTGTAATCCGGTGATGAGAGAATAGTAATCGTGTGTTTGATAATCAGATTTGTTTTCCTTTTTATCTGTGATTCTCTATCCTGAAGTAAATTATGCACTTTCTTTGGTGCCAGAATCACGGAAGGATGTATGCTTTACTAAGAAAGGATTGGATATTTGTGTTTCAGAGTTTCTTCAAAAGGTAGAATGACTTATATAGGACTGGAAACCATTAAATTACATTTAAGGGAATTTAGGAATAATAAAACTTTTTATAGAGCATTACAGTTTACAGAGTACATTCATGTAAATATTATTGAGACGATATCTAGTAGTTAAACACATGAAATAGAAAATTGGAATATCCTGGGCATTTGAAGTTTGAATATTTATGTCAACCTATTTTTAAGTTTAGTGATTTAACTCATTGGATTTATCATTGCCTTTCATTTCAGACATAAATACTCATTTACAAAATAGTCAGCTTGAGTATGGTTGGAAAGAATTTGTAACTTTGGGATTTTTCTGTCCTAAGTAAACAGATTGGTACCTGTGGCCTGTAGGGTCTGCTAATGTTAGTGGCTTTACCTGCTCATGTTGTATACCATTTTTGGAGGAGTAACAGCTTCACGATGATATAATTCACATACTAGTCAGTTCAGTTTAAAGTGTACAGTTTGGTGGGTTTATTAATTTTTTAAAAAATTACTCCATTTTGCAGGTGAACAATTCAGTGGTTTTTACTACAATTGTCCATCGGTATCTGTTGGGGATTTGTTCTAGGGCCTTCCTCAGACACCAGAATCTATGGATGCTCAGGTCCCTAAAATAAAATGGCATAGTTGCTGGGTGCAGTGGCTTGTGCCTGTAATCCCAGTTATTCAGGAGGCTGAGGTGGGAGGATCTCTTGAGGCCAGAGTTTGGACACCAACCTGGGTGACAGAGCAAAATCCTGTCTCCTAGGAAAAATGAATAAAACTGACATAGTATTTGCATATAAACTCTGCATATTCTCTTGTATGCTTTAAATCATCTCCACATCACTCATACTACCTAATACAATGTGGATGCTATGTAAATAGTTGTTATACTGTGTATTGTTTAGGGAATAATGACCAGAAAAAAGTCTGTACATGTTCATTTACAGACATAATTTTTTTTTGAGTAGTTTCTGTACCTCATTGATTGAATCCATGTATTCAGAACTCATGGATATGGAGGGCCGACTGTATATTCAGAGTTGTGCAGCCATCACTATACTCAATTTTACAGCATTTTAATCATCCCCCAAAAGAGCCCCATATCCATTAACAGTCGCTTTTCATTTTCCCTCAGCACTCCCAGTCCTATGCAACCACTGATCGACTTTCTATCATTATAGATTAGACTGTTGTGGACATTTTATGTAAATGAAACCATAAATGCGGTCTTTTGTGACTGGCTTCTTTCGTTTAGCATAATGCTTTCAAAGTATATCCATGTTGTAATATGTGTCAGTACTTCATTTCTTTTTTTTTTAAAATCTATTTTCTTTCTTTCTTTTTTTTTTTTTTTTAAGATGGAGTCTCGCTCTGTCGCCTAGGCTGGAGTGCAGTGGTGTGATCTGGCTCACTGCAACCTCTGCCACCCGGTTCAAGCGATTCTCCTGCCACAGGCGCATGCCACAACACCTGGCTAATTTTTTTTTTTTTTTTGTATTTTTAGTAGAGATGGGGTTTCACCGTGTTAGCCAGGATGGTCTCGATCTCCTGACCTCGTGATCCGCCCGCCTTGGCCTCCCAAAGTGCTGGGATTACAGGGGTGAGCCACCGCGTCCGGCTAATCTATTTTCTTTTTTATAGAGATGGGGTTTCACCATATTACCCAGGGTAGTCTTGAACTCCTGGGCTTGAGCAATCCTCTCTCTTTGGCCTCTCAAAGTGCTGGGATTTCAGGCTTGAGCCACTGCACCTGATCCTTTTTAATTAAAAAAATTTTTTATAGTCTTTTTTTTTTTTTTTTTTTGAGACGGAGTCTCGCTGTGTTGCCCAGGCTGGAGTGCAGTGGCACGATCTCAGCTCATTGCAACCTCCGCCTCTCGGGTTCAAGCGATTCTCTTGCCTCAGCCTCCCAAGTAGCTGGGACTACGGGCGCGTGCCACCACGCCCGGCTAATTTTTTGTATTTTTAGTAGAGATGGGATTTCACTGTGTTAGCCAGGATGGTCTTGATCTCCTGACCTCATGATCCGCCTGCCTCGGCCTCCCAAAGTGCTGGGATTACAGGTGTGAGCCACTGCACCCACCCTGTAATCATTTTTTTTATTGATGAGTAATATTCTATTTATGGACATATTACATTTTATTTATCTGTGCATCAGTTGATGGACATTTAAGTTTCTATTTTTTTGGGCTATTATGCTGCTATGAATATTCATGTTTTTGTGTAGATGTGTTGTCATTTCTTTGGGTATGTACACTTTTTAATAAATTAGCTTTTGACTTACCTGATACCAAAAAAATTATCCATTTTGAGTATATAATTCAATAATTTTTAGTAAATATATAGATCGTGAAACTATCTATCACCTTGAGCTAGTTTTCGAACATTTCCATTGCCTCCAAAATTCCCTCCAGCCTGTTTGCAGTTAACCCTTATTCCCACCCCCAGCCTCAGGCAATCACTGATTGGTTTTGTCTTAATCCATTTGCTTTTACTGGATATTTTGTATAAGTGGAATTGTACAATATGTAGTCTTTTGTATCTGGCTTCTTTCACTTAGCATAATGTTTTTGGGATTCATTCATATTGTAGCGTTTATCAGTTTTTTGTCCCTTTTTACTTTGGAATAGTATTTCTTTGTATAGGTATATGATAGCCCCCCCCCCCCCCCCCCCCCCCGTTATCTGTGTGGGATACATTCCAAGACCCCCAGTGGATGCCTGAAATCTCAGGTAGTATTGAACCATATATTATTTTTTTCTGTATCTGTATACCTAGGATAAAGTTTAACTTGTTAATCAGACATAATAAGAGATTAAAAACAATACAATAGAATAGTTACAACAATATGCTATTCACAATTTCATAGAAGATTTCTTACTGTAGGTGTTAGCAAACAGCATAAAGTTTTTTTCTTGTTAAATTGAGAACTTTCACTTTTTCACTTAAAATAAGTATTTTACAGCTTCTTTTTGGCATATCCAGTTGTCATCCTCATTACTCTTGAGTGTTTGAGCCATTGTTAAGTAAAATAAGGGTTACTAGCACTAAGATACTAGTTGATCTGATAGCTGAGATGGCCACTAAGTGACTAATGAGCAGGTAGTGTAGACAGCGTGAATATGGTGGATAAAGGGATGATTCATGGCCGAGGCAGAGGGGCATGGTATGAGGTTTCATCATGCTGCTCAGAATGGCACTCAATTTAAAACGTAGATTATTTCTGAAATTTTCCATTTATCATTTTCAGACCATGTTTGACTGTGGGTAACTGAAACTGCAAAGTAAAGCTGTAGGTAAGGGGAGATTACTGTAACACACTTTAGCTGTTGACCAGTATATATAGGTGTTTCGATTATTTCCAGTTGTTGACTCTTTAAATAATACTCAAACATTTGAGTACAAGTCTTTATGTGGACATATGGTTTTGTTTCTCTTGGTTAGCTATCTAGGAGTAGAATTACAGCATCATACGTTTAGCTTTTTAGGACACTGCCAAACTGTTTTCCCAAAGTGGCCATAACGTCTTATATTGCTAACAGCAATGTTTGAGAGTTCTAGTTTTCTTCACATCTTTGCCAACACTTATTATTGTATTTCTTTTTTAATTATAGCTGTTCTAATGGATATGAATTTGTTTGTTTTTGAGTCACTCTGTCGCCCAGGCTGGAGTGCAGTAGTGCAATCTCAGCTCACTGCAACCTCTCTCTCCTGGGTTCAAGCAATTCTTCTGCCTCAGCCTCCCGAGTAGCTGGGATTACAGCCGAGCACAACTATGCCCAGCTGATTTTTTGTCTTTTTAGTGGAGACGGGGTTTCACCATGTTGCCCAGGCTGGTCTCGAATCCTGAGCTCAGGCAGTCCTCCTGCCTTGGCCTCCCAAAGTGCTAGGATTACAGGCGTGAGCCACCATGCCCGGCCTGATTTTGTTAATTTGTTGTGTTTTTTTTTTTGTTTTTTTCTCTGTGTACTGTTTAGTGGAGTCATTGTGATTTTAATTTTAATTTTCCTTATGACTCATAGTATTGAGCATCTTTTCATGTATCTTTTTTCTTAACCCATTTATGCCCGAAGTTGCAATTTTTTTTTGTGAAAAAGCAGACCTTGGCGATGACCTTGAGCAGTAGGATATTAATAATTCCCACAAGCTTAGCATTCCAAAAATGGAACACTTGGCATAAATGGGCTGGCTGGAGTGCAGTGGTGCGACCAGAGCTCACTGTAGCCTTGACCTCCTGGGCTCAAGCAGTCCCCCTACCTCAGCCTCCTGAGTAGTTGGGAATGGGGAATGCAGGTGCATACCACCATGCCCGGTTAATTTTTTATTTTTATTTTTTGTAGCGATGGGGGTCTCACTGCATTGCCCAGGCTACTCTTGAACCCCTGGGCTCAAGCAATCCTCCTGCGTTGGCCTGCCAAAGTGCTGGGATTACAAGCATGAGCCACCGTGTCTGACCCATCTTTTTTGATGACATCACTATTCAGATCTTTTGCTCCTTTTAAAATTGGGTTGTTTGGGCTGGGTGCGGTGGCTCATGCCTGTAACCCCAGCACTTTGGGAGGCTGAGGTGGGTGGATCACCTGAGGTCAGGAGTTCGAGACCAGCCTGGTCAGCATGGTAAAACCCTGTCTCTACTAAAAATACAAAAATTAGCCGGAGGTGGTGGCGCATGCCTGTAATCTCAGCTACTCAGAAGGCTGAGGTAGGAGAACTGCATAAACCTGGGAGGCGGAGGTTGCAGTGAGCTGAGATTGCAACACTGCACTGCAGCCTGGGCAACAGAGCAAGGCTCTGTCTCAAAAAAATATAATATAATATAATTAATATAATATAATATAATATAATGTAATGTAATATAATTGGGTTGTTTGACTTATTGAGTTATAAGAAGTTTTTTTTTTTAGAAATATATTCTGGATGTAAGTTTTTTAGTAGATACATGATCTGCCAATATTTCTTTACAGTCTGTTGCTGGTCTTTTCATTGCTTAAAAAATTGGTGGCTGGGCGTGGTGGCTCACACCTGTAATCCCAGCACTTTGGGACACTGAGGCTGGTGGATCATGAGGTCAGGCATTCGAGACCAGCCTGGCCAACATGGTGAAACCCCATCTCTACTAAAAATACAAAAATTAGCCGGGTGTGGTGGTGTGCACCTGTAGCCCCAGCTACTTAGGAGGCTGAGACAGAGAATCGCTTGAACCCGGGAGGCAGAGATTGCAGTGAGCCGAGATCGCACCACTGCACTCCAGCCTGGGCAACAGAGCGAGACTCTGTCTCAAAAAAAAAAAAAAAAAAAAAAAGGCGATTAAGATCTTTTAAAGTGTAATTAGTTTAAATTTTGATGAAGTGTGGTTTCTAAATTTTTTCTTTTATAGATTATACTTTTGTTGTCTTATGTAAGAACTCTGCCTAATCCAAGATCTTGAGATTTTTCTGCTTTCTAGAAGTTTTATAGTTTTAACTCTAACAGTTAGATTTTATCATCTATTTTGAATTAATTTCTGTGTATGGTGAGAAATAAGGTTCTAAATTCATCTTTTACATACAGATGGTTCTGTCAACCTAAGTAAAAGACAGTCCCTCTGAAAGAAAGCAGTATTTATTCAGGAATGGGCATTATAATGGGAATATGCATACCGTAGTAAACTATGTGCATATTCAGGGAGGTAAAGGAAGACATAGCTTTTTTTTTTTTTTTTTTTAAGACAAGAGTCTCGCTCTGTCGCGCAGGCTGGAGTGCAGTGGCGAGATCTCAGTTTATGGCAAGCTCCGCCTCCCGGGTTCACGCCATTCTCCTGCCTCAGCCTCCCGAGTAGCTGGGACTATAGGCGCCCGCCACCATGCCCAGCTAATTTTTTGTATTTTTAGTAGAGACAGGGTTTCACCGTGTTAGCCAGGATGGTCTCGATCTCCTGACCTCGTGATCCTCCCACCTGGGCCTCCCAAAGTGCTGGGATTACAGGCATGAGCCACCGCGCCCGGCCAAGACAGATTTTTAAAGGAAAAATGAGGAAGATTACATCATTGTTTTAAATCAATTATGTTTGGCTATAAAGATCAGTGACAAGAGTGATGCCAGTCTGAGGTTGGACATGAAGTTACTGGGCAGATGTCCTTGCAGAAGTATTTTTTTGTGTAAGGTTGCAGTTGCCTTTGTGCAGGGTTGTGGCCTTTATGAGTTTTTTTGTGATAGTTTTTTTTTTTTTTTTTTTTAAATGTAGTCCCGCTCTGTAGCCCAGGTTGGAGTGCAGTGGTGCGATCTCGGCTTGCCGCAACCTCTGCCTCCCGGGTTCAAGTGATTCTCCTGCCTCAACTTTCCACGTACCTGGGACTACAGGCCTGCGCCACCATGCCTGGCTAATTTTTGTATTTTTAGTAGGAATGGGGTTTCACCATTTTGGCCAGGTTGGTCTTAAACTCCTGACCTCAAGTGATCTGCCTGCCCTGGCCTCCCAAAGTGCTGGGATTACAAGCGTGATCTGCCTGTCTCGGCCTCCCAAAGTGCTGGGATTACTGGCGTGAGCCACCATGCCCGGGCAATAGTTATTTTTTTTTAATCAGGTATTCATGCATGAGAACCCTCCTTTCATGGCCTTCCCTGGCTCCATTTGTCAGGGCTTTTAACACAAATGACTCAATTTTAATTCTAACAACTTTCACTTTTCCCCCTTTTGATCAAAATCTTTCTTTGGACCCAGGCACAGTGGCTCATGCCTGTAATCCTGGCGCTTTGGGAGGCAGAGGCAGGAGGATTGCTTGAGCCCAGGAGTTTGAGACCCACCTGGGCAACATGGTGAGACCCTGTCTCTAAAAAAACAAATAAAACAAAAGGGATCTTTCTTTGGAAGCATCACTGATCAATCATCTTGTAGTTAGGTTTTAATTATCTTTAGGTGCCAGGATGGACCTGTCCTGGGTTGTTGGTATGGTCCCATGTTGGAGGGAGTGCTTGTCAAACTAGGAGTCAGTGTCAGGACCCTTTCAGTCACATTTGAGCACACAAGGGAAGTTTGGAGGGAGTGATTCTCAGGCTAAGTCTGCCGGGAATCCATTATTAAGATCAGTTTTTGTCTGTTCCTTAAATGTAGGCTATCATCTCAGGGTTTAGGGCCAGCCCAGTATAATTCTGTTGGGTCAGTATAATTCTGTACTACTACAGAAATGTAACAAATAACATGTACAAAGTTTAAAAAGGAAAATACAAAGTAAAATTAATAGTAATATAATACCAGTTTACATAATGGTTTTGAGCCATGAAGCTAGACCTAAAGGCAGTCAGTTGAAGAAACCAAGTGACCATGGAGAACTAGATGAGACCTGTTGTAACCATGTGATCTGTTTTCTTATTTTGCGTATGAGTCTCAACTTCCTCAAAGGAATTTATCCAGGTAAATCATGTAGTATTAGTAATAGCACAGACATTTCTTTACTTAACCAATAGCTAATGCAGAGCATTGTTATCATTCGGCATTCCATAACTGGGTTGAATTAAAGCAGAGTGTGAATAATTTTTTTAGGGATGTTGCCAGAGTCACCCACTAGGTGGACTGAAGGATCTCTTAGGTCAAGTTCTGTCAAGTTACCAGCAGAAGCTACTGATTGTGAAATTTCAGTTACAACATTATCTTGCCAAGTGAAAAAGCTACGCCTTAAGAGGGGTAAGAGTCTCCCCTTGTTCAATTATCTTGGGAAAACCTGTCTACAGTGCGGAACCATCGACTTCTCATCCTGGTTTGCAGTTTGAATGTCTCTGGTTAAGGCATTGGGCAGTTTGGTGAACTTTTCTGTGTGGCTCAGACTTCGAGTACCAGACTTGTCCCTTAAAATTCATCGAGTTTCAGCTTATAGGGCTTCAGGAACAGAGCAATTTCTGTTTTAATAATTCTGTGGAAGAAAGTTGGATTGGAGGAACCTAGAAGAATTTAGGATCTAGGCCAGTTTGCAGGTAGATAATAAAAACTCAAATACAGTGTACAGGGCTACAGTCTAATAATAGATACAGTAGTTTTTCTTTAGAAGCATAACTTTTTATAGTCATCCCAGTTTCTACCAATCAGAATAAGACAAATTTGTTTATAAAATAGTTTTATTAGTTTTTTGTCTGATTATTTACATAAATGCAGCAAGAATAGCTGTTGACCACAAAGAAATCTCAGATTTATAAACCCTTCAAGACTAGGAAGCCAAACCAAGGGAGACATTAGATTTCACCTACAGCCTTAAGGTTCCTGGGCTGGCCAAGAAGTGACAGATTATATTCTCTCACTGTAGGAATGGGAACACCTGAACCCAGACATTGTGTGCACATTCTTAAATAAGATATTCCAGTCAAAGTCTTGGTAATATAACTAACGTTTCTAATTGTATCCTGTTATAAAGAGAGCAAACTTTTATGAACTTATGCCAACAACCCTATATTATCATAAAAATAAGAATACTCATGAATAGTTTCTGAATTTTACTTAACCAATATCTAATGCAGAGGGATCAAGTAGGGAGAAAAAGTAAATGCTTTCACTTTTGTTGAGATAAGTATTATCTTACCAAATTACTGTAAATGATTGATACTTTAAGAGAAAAATTTTCTTAAATCTGGAAAACTGAACATTTAAGTAAAGAACCAACAGTGTTTCAAATAAAAGTCATAAAAACATCATTGATTATTTAATCTCTTATTTTATTTTATTTTTTTGAGACGGAGTCTCACACTCTCGCCCAGGCTGGAGTGCAGTGGCACCATCTCGGCTCACTGCAAGCTCTGCCTCCTGGGTTCACGCCATTCTCCTGCCTCAGCCTCCTGAGTAGCTGGGATTACAGGTGCCCACCACCACGCCCAGCTAATTTTTTGTATTTTTAGTAGAGATGGGGTTTCACTATGTTAGCCAGGATGGTCTCGATCTCCTGACCTTGTGATCCGCCCACCTCGGCCTCCCAAAGTACTGGGATTACAGGCGTGAGCCACCGTGCCCGGCCTAATCTCATATTTTGTGTTGCTTAATCTTAATTAGCAGTTTTTCTAACTAATCAGTTTCTTCATTAGAATTCTGGAAAATTTTTAGTCCATTGAGCTTAAAGTTATTAGAAATGTATATTTAAGCGTACAAATCTTTTCCATGAACCTGATTGCAGATATTTTTATTTTTATTTATTTTTAAATTTTACTTATTTATTTTTTGAGACAGTTTGACTCTGTCACCCAGGCTGGAGTACAGTGGCCTGATGTCGGCTTACTGCAACCTCCACTTCCTGGGTTCAAGTGATTCTTCTGTCTCAGCTTCCCAAGCAGCTGGGATTACAGGTGCACACTACTACCTTGGCTAATTTTTGTATTTTTAGTAGAGACTAAAGACTAAAATTAGTAAAGACCAGAGACTAAAGACTAAAATTTTTTATTTTTAGTAGCCATATTGGCCAGGCTGGTCTCGAACACCTGACCTCAGGTGATCCGCCCGTCTCGGCCTTCCAAAGTGCTGGGATTACAGGCGTGAGCCACCATGCCCAGCCTGTTTTTAGAGAAGAATCAAAACTGTGAATGATGAAGATTTAGAATAGCCATGGTTAAAAATCTGATGAAGTTTATTATAATCAGCAATTGACAAAGAAATTCAGTTATTTTTGTGGCATGTAATATATACTAGAATTATGACTGATGACATATTAGATTTCTAAGAGTTTTATATACTTTTGGAATATTCATATTAATATCATATCAATAAATGTAACTGCAAGAAGATCTAGAATCACTTATTTGTCAGTGCTTTCCATATAATTCAGCATATCAAGCCTGATTTAGTTCAGTGTCTCTGTTTCAGAAATCTTTGAGAAGGTCCAGTGCCTTGTGGAACATCCTAAAGTTAGTTTGAGGTCAAGAAAGACTTATTTATTTTTTATTTTTTTAAGACGGAGTGTTGCTCTGTTGCCCAGGCTGGAGTGCAGTGGTGCGATCTCAGCTTACTGTAACCTCTGCCTCTGGGATTCAAGTGGTTCTCCTGCCTCAGCCTCCCGGGTAGCTGGGATTACAGGCGTGAGCCGTTGTGCCTGGCCTAATTTTGTATTTTAAGTAGAGATGGGGTTTCTCCATGTTGGTCAGGTTGGTCTCGAACTCTGACCTCAGGTGATCCATCCACCTCGGCCTCCCAGAGTGCTGGGATTACAGGCATGAGCCACCGCTCCAAGCCAAAAGACTTAATTTAGAACTTGATCCTGGGGAAGTTTACCAAAGATGTCAAAAGGTTTAAAACACCTGATCAAAACAGAATCATAGGTCATTGTGAAATAATAGTCATTAATTTAACCACAGTAATAATCAAAAGATTTCAAAAGCAATACAGAAAGTTACATGGATGGGAAACAAACAAACAAAAACCCCAAACCCTTAACCCTTCTAAAGCCCAGTTTTCCTAAGTAACCAAAAACCCTAATAAAGACAGCATGAAATACAGGGATTATCTTCATAAGATGCAGTCTTTGTTTCTTGGGCCAGTTAACAAAAAGGCAAAGAAAACTTCCTGCAATGAGATTGCTTCTGCTAATGGGAAACCCATTTAGATAATCTGGAAGTTGGACCTGATGAAAAATTACTTGACACAGGAAGAGTGTGTGTCCAAGGTTATGAGCGTACACCATATTATAGAGAAATGTAAACAGGAAAACTAGTACCTTGAGCAGGAAATACATGGCTCTTAGTAAAATCATGGGAAATTCTGGGTTAAGTGGAGCAATTCAGACACATCAGTAAAAGCCAATACAGAACTGCTGTAAACTGTAAAGCTGCAGTTCAGAAGATGTTTAAAAACTTAAAGAAACAGATTTCTGAAATAAACATAAAAACCTCTTGCAATTTTTACTAAGAACAGATCAAGACTTCAAGAAAAGCTTGTTCTAACACAGGGGACCAAAATTTTAGATATTTGTTGTTGTTTTGAGCCAGGGTCTCATTCTGTCACCTAGGCTAGAGTGCAGTGGCATAGTCTTGGCTCACGGCAATCTCTACTTCCCAGGTTCAAGTGATTCTCCTGACTGAGCCTCCAGAGTAGCTGGGACTACAGGTGCATGCCACCACGCCCACCTAATTTTTGTATTTTTTAGTAGAGATGGTGTTTCTCCATGTTGTCCAGGCTGGTCTCGAACTCCTGACCTCAGGTGATCCACCCGCCTCCGCCTCCCAAAGTGCTGGGACTACAGGCGTGAGCCACCGTGCCTGACCAAAGCTAAACTTTTAGAAAGACTTGTAACTAATTTTCTTTTATTTATAGCCAACTTAATCGTATGAAAAAATCTTCCTTCCTTCCTCCCTCCCTTCCTTCTTTTCTTCCTTCCTTCTCTATCTCTTTCCCTCCCTCCCTCCTCCCCGCTTTCTCTTTCTTTTCATCTCCCTCTCTTTCTTTCTTTCTTTTCCTTCTTTCTTTCTTTCTCTCTCTTCTTTCTCTTTCTCTCTCTCCCTTCCTCCCTCTTTCTCTCTCTCCCTCTCTCCCTCCCTCTTTCTCTCTCACCCCCACTCTTTCTCTCTCACCCCTGCCTCCCTTCCTTCTCTTTCTCTTTCTCTTGCCCTTGCCCCTTTCCTTTCCTTCTTTCTTTCCTTTCCTTTCCTTTCTTTCTTTTCTCTTTCTCACCCCTCCCTCTGTCTCTCCCTCCCTCCTTCCTTCCTACTTCCTTTTTTTTTGATAGAGGGACTCATTCTGTCTCCACTGCGATCATACCTCACTGTAGGCTTAACTTGGCGGGCTCAAGTGATCCTCCCATCTCAGCCTCCTGAGTAGCTGAGACTACAGGCACATGCCAGTGTGTCTGGCTAGTTTTTGTATTTTTTGTAGAGACGGGGTTTCATTGTGTTGAACAGGCTGGTCTTGAACTCCTGGGCTCAAGTGGTCTGGCTGCTTCGGCCTCCCAAAGTGCTGGGATTACAGCCATGAGCCTCTGTGTCTGGCCCACACACAAAATTTCTTTAATAAATTCATCCTTCACAAACTTTCCACAGCTTAATCAGATCTTCCACAACATTCTTGGTCCTTTAGCTTTGTCCTATACTTTCTCTTTCTTAAATAACCTGTCATTTTACTTTAGGACACAGTTTACTTTCTTTTTTCCTTATCATTGTGAAAAGTTATTCTCCTTTTAACCCTCTTTGCCAAAATTACATCCTTATAACTTTCTTTATATTTCTCTCTCCTGCTTACTGAGTCCTTTTTATATTATTTCCTTCCTAAATATTACTTTTCAAAATAACCTTAAATAACCTCTGAATTTACAGTTATTCTTTTTTCTCAATGAATAATACATTCTTATGCTTTTCTCATAATTTTTCTCATCAAAGCCACATGATGTTTTTTGTTACACTTCATATACAGAATTATATACATTAGTTAGAATTTCTAACTTAGTAATCTTGATTTTTAATGAAAACCTAGGAAGCAAGAAATTTTGAACTATCATATATCAGTATTTTATATATTTTTTTATTTTTTGAGTTAGGGTCTCTCACTGTTGCCCAGCCTAGAGTGCAGTGGCATGATCATAGCGTACTATAACTTGAACTCTGGGGTCAAGGGATCCTCCTGTCTTAGCCCCTGGAGTAGCTGGGATTACAGGAGCATGCTACCATGCCTGGCTAGTGTAAAATTTTTTTTGTAGAGACAGAGTCTTGCCGTGTTGCTCAGGCTGGTCTTGGACTCCTGGCCTTAAGTAATCCTCCTGTTTCAGCCTTTGAAAGTGCTGGGATTGCAGGTGTGAGCCACTATGCCTAGACTTTTAAATATTTTTTACAAACATTCTCCGTAACATAATTTTGTGTGTATTAATAGACTGAAATATATTCAGTCTTTCTATAAGATTTAACAAGGCAAGAACAAATGTATTTATGTTCAGCAATTGGTGTTTCAGTATTTTTCCTTATTTGGAAACGATCTGGACATTTAATGAGTATTTATCACTTAATTTAACATAATTTTAATATTTCAAATTATGTGAAAAGTTCATTTATAAACATTTATTCCATTTGTATTTACATTATTTATTTATTTATTTATTTCTGAGACGGAGTCTTGCTTTGTTGCCCAGGCTGGAATGCAGTGGCACCATTTTGGCTCACTGCAACCTCCACTTCCCGGGTTCAAGCAGTTCTCCTTCCTCAACCTCCGGAGTAGCTGGGATTACAGGCACCCATCACCACACCAGCTATTTTTTGTATGTTTAGTAGAGACGGGGTTTCACCGTGTTGGCCAGGCTGGTCTCAAACTGGCTGGTCTTGAACTCCTGACCTTGTGATCTGCCCTCCTCGGCCTCCCAAAGTGCTGGGATTTCAGGCGTGAGCCACCGTGCCTGGCCCATAATTTGTTATTTTTTTAATTTTTATTATTTTTTTGAGACAGAGTTTTGCTCTTATTGCCCAGGCTGGAGTGCAATGGCACGATCTCAGCTCACCACAGGATTCCAGGCATGCTCCACCATGCCCAGCTAATTTTGTTTTTGAGACGGAGTCTCGCTCTGTCGCCCCAGCTAGAGTGCAGTGGCGCAATCTCAGCTCACTGCAACCTCCGCCTCCCGGGTTCAAGCGATTCTCCTGCCTCAGCCTCTTGAGTAGCTGGGACTACAGGCGTCCACCACCACACCCAGCTAATTTATTGTAATTTTAGTAGAGTTAGGGTTTCACCGTGTTAGCCAGGATGATCTCGATCTCCTGACCTTGTGATCCACCCGTCTTGGCCTCCCAAAGTGCTGGGATTACACTGCGCCTGGCCTAATTTTGTATTTTTAGTAGAGACGGGGTTTCTCCATGTTGGGCAGGCTGGTCTTGAACTCCTGACCTCAGGTGATTCGCCCGTCTCAGCCTCCCAAAGTGCTGGGTTTACAGGCCTGAGCCACCGCGCCCGGCCTACTCAGAGTTTTTTTTTTTTTTTTTTTTTTTTTTTAAACAGTTTTACGTAGACTATTTGTGAGAACTGAGATATTAGACAAAGCTAGTCGTCATTCAGGTTACTTTCCTGTTCGCCCTTTTCATAGCCTAAGAATATCAGATGTTAACCTAAAAAAGAACCTTAAAGTTAAATGTATGGAGATTTTGTTGATAACTCAGAAGATACAGCTGTTTTCATTAAATCAACACTATTAAATTAGTCTTATCAAAGAGCTTCACAAATAAAAGACTATTCTGTTTTTAGGCTGGTTTTATAGTTTTATAACCTGTGTCAATCATGACACCCTAAAACATTTAGCAGAAACAAATTCTAACTAGTAAAACCAGGCAAAAATGTATGCTAACAGTTCTGAAGATGTTCCTATTTTTATTTCATCAATAAATTTAAAACCAGCTTATTTATCAAAGATTTACTTAAATTATGTGAATTAAAAAGGCATTTGGGTTGATTCCTATATATTTTAACAATTTATGTAAGCACTCACTTATCTAAACCAATCTGAATAGAATTCCTCAAGGAATTTCTGGCTGTATACACAATACGCAACATAATATATGTACATAGGTATAAAACACTCCTAAACATATCTAGGCACACGTGTGTGTATACACACATGGAGACACACACAGAGAGATCTTACTGCATTCATTTTAGAATTTTATTTTTCTTTTATTTATTTATTTTGAGATGGAGTCTCACTCTGTTGCCGAAGCTGGACTGCAGTGGCACTGTCTCAGCTCACTGCAACCTCCACCTCCCGGGTTCAAGACATTCTTCTGTCTCAGCTTCTGGAGCAGCTGGGATTACAGGTGTGAGCCACTATGCCCGGCTAATTTTTGTATTTTTAGTAGAGTCGGGGTTTCAGCATGTTGACCAGGCTTGTCTCAAACTCCCGATCTCAAGTGATCCACCCGCCTCGGCCTCCCAAAATACTAGAATTACAGGTGTGAGCCACCACCCCTGGCCAATATGATAAAATATTTTAAATCTCCCGTATATTTTGTGAGTGAAAGACAGGGTCAGTGTTTCTTCCACTGACCCTTTTTCAAGATCATTCCTGATAATTATGGTTTTATTGTCCTCTAAAAGTTGCTGTGGGGTTGAAATTTATGTTTTGAGTTGTTTTACCTTGTCTATAACTTTCTGTAATCTTCCTCATCACTACCATCGACTGATCTTTAGGTCATGAAGTCTTGTCATCATACAGGATTACATATTACTTGTACTATGGTCTCCATGAAATAGTTTCTATTATTATTATTCACTTTTTACACATGACTCTGAGATCTGGAGAAGATAAATAACTTGCTGTGCAGAAAAGAGTTAACATAGTAGGTCTGAGATAGCTATTCTTAGAAAGGTCTGCTTGCAAGATTGGCCATTGGCTGGCATCTGAGAACTTGGCTCTCACAGTGTTCCCAGTAACTGACTACAGGCGCCCACCACCACGCCCAGCTAATTTTTTGTACTTTTAGTAGAGACAGGGTTTCACCGTGTTAGCCAGGATGGTCTCAATCTCCTGACCTCGTGATCTGCCCGCCTTGGCCTCCCAAAGTGCTGGGATTACAGGCGTGAGCCACTGCGCCTGGCCTGCAGGCTATGCTATAGTATCTTCCACATCTATCATTGAGGCTACCGCTCCGCCCCCCTCCACTACCTCTCAGTAAGCCAAAGTCATTGCCTTAACTTGAGCCCTCACTCTTGCAAAGGGACTACACGCGTCAATATTTATACTGACTCTAAATACGCCTTCCATATCTTGCACCACCATGCTGTTATATGGGCAGAAAGAGGATTCCTCACTACACAAGGGTCCTCTTTCATTAATGCCACTTTAATAAAAACTCTTCTCAAGGCTGCTTTATTTCCAAAGGAAGCTGGAGTCATTCACTGCAAAGGCCATCAAAAGGCATCAGATCTCATCGCTCAGGTCAAGGCTTACGCTGATAAGGTAGCTAAAAAAGCAGCCATCAAAAGGCATCAGATCCCATCATTTCAGGACAATGCTTATGCTGATAAGGTAGCTAAAAAAGCAGCCATCAAAAGGCATCAGATCCCATGGCTCAGGACAATGCTTATGCTGATAAGGTAGCTAAAAAAGCAGCTAGAGTTCCAACTTCTATCCCTCAGGGCAGTTTTTCTCCTTCTCATCTGGCCACTCCCACCTACTCCTCCATTGAAACTTCACCTATCAATCTCTTCCCACACAAGGCAAATGGTTCTTGGACCAAGGATCTCCTTCCAGCCTCACAGGCCCATTCTATTCTGTCATCATTTCATAACCTCTTCCATGTAGGTTACAAGCTGCTAGCCCATCTCTTAAAACGTCTCATTTCCTTTCTGTCGTGGAAATCTATCCTCAAGGAAATCATTGTTCAGTGTTCCATCTGCTATTCTACTACTCCTCAGGAATTTCTTAGGCCCCTTCCCTTCCCTACACATCAAGCTCGGGGGTTTGCCCCTGCCCAGGACTGGCAAATTGACTTTACTCACATGCCTCTTGGTCTAGGTGGACACTTTCACTGGATGGATAGAGACCTTTCCCACAGGGTCTGAGAAGGCCACCATGGTCATTTCTTCCCTTCTGTCAGACATAATTCCTCGGTTTGGCCTTCCCACCTCTCTGCAGTCCGATAACGGACCGGCCTTTATTAGTCAAATCACCCAAGCAGTTTCTCAGGCTCTTGGTATTCAGTGAAACTTTTGTACCTCTTACGGTCCTCAATCTTCAGGAAAGGTGAAACGACTAATTGTCTTTTAAAAACACACCTCACCAAGCTCAGCCTCCAACTTAAAAAAAAGGACTCTGTCAAGAATAGAGCCCAAAGACTTGCCAACCAAGCAAGTAATTACGCTAAACCCCCTTGGACTCCCTTGGAAACTCTCTAATTAGATGTCCTGAGTCCTCCCAATTCTTAGTCCTTTAATACCTGCTTTTTTCCTTCTCTTATTCCGTTTAGTTTTTCAATTCATACAAAACCGTATCCAGGCCATCACCAATAGTTCTGTACAATAAATGTTTCCATCACCAATCATTCTATATGACAAATGTTCCCTTTAACAACCCCACAATATCGCCCCTTACCACAAAATCTTCTTTCAGCTTAATCTCTCCCACTCTAGGTTCCCACGTCGCCCCTAATCCCGCTTGAAGCAGCCCTGAGAAACATTGCCCACTATCTCTCCATACCACCTCCAAAAATTTTCGCTGCCCCAACACTTTACCACTATTTTGTTTTATGTTATTTTTCTTATTAATATAAGAAGACAGGAATGTCAGGCCTCTGAGTCCAAGCTAAGCCATCATATCTCCTGTGACCTGCACGTATACATCCAGATGGCCTGAAGTAACTGAAGAATCACAAAAGAAGTGAAAATGGCCTGTTCCTGCCTTAATCGATGACATTACCTTGTGAAGTTCCTTCTTCTGGCTCATCCTGGCTCAAAAGCTCCCCCACTGAGCACCTGGTGACCCCCACCCCTGCCCGCCAGAGAACTACCGCCTTTGACTGTAATTTTCCATTACCTACCCAAATCCTATAAAACGTTCCCACCCCTATCTCCCTTCTCTGACTCTTTCTTCGGACTCAGCCCGCCTGCACCCAGGTGAAATAAACAGCCTTGTTGCTCACACAAAGCCTGTTTGGTGGTCTCTTCACACGGATGCGAGTTAAAGTTTTAACCTGTATTTCTATCCAGAGTATATTTAGAATCTTCTGATCCGTAGTCAGACGCGTTATCCATTGCGCCACTGGCCCCGAGTTTATCCAGAGTATATTTAGATGATACTTTGCTGTTCAATTTTCACCATCATAAAACAGGTTGAACAAATCGTCGTTGATTAGGTTATGCCTGGGAACCTGACTAGTCTAGTTCTTTGGTTGAAGATTTCTAGAAGTGTCAAAACGTGCCTGATAAAGGAAGCATCAAAATATCTCCAAAGCCCTGGGTACTGTGGCTCATGCCTGTAATTCCAGCACTTTGGGAGGCTGAGATGGGAGGATTGCTTGAAGCCAGGAGTTTCAGACCTGCCTGGGCAACAAATGAGACCCTATCTCTGCAAAAAATGAAAAAAACCTTAGTTGGGTTTGGTGGCATGTGCCTATAGTCCTAGCTACTCAGGAGCCTGAGGCAGGAGGATTGCTTGAGCCCAGGAGGTTGAGGCTGCAGTGAGCTGTAATGTGATGCCACTGCACTCCAGCCTGGTTGACAGAGTGAGACCCAGTATAAAAAAAAAAAATTATACAGAATTTTGATGATGTCACAAGTTATCTAAGTTCATTTCTTACCTCCGTGTGTGTGTATAAGAGAGAGAGATTAATGATATTTTAGTCAGTGATGGATCAGATACACAACAGTAGTCCTGTAAGATTATAATACCTTAGTTTTACTGTACCTTTTCTATATTCAAATATGTTTAGATACACAAATACTTTCCATTGTGTTAGAGTTGTCTATAGTATTCAGTATAGTAACATGCTGTACAGGTTTGGAGACTGGGAGCAATAAGCCATATTGTGTAGCCTAGGTGTGTAGGCAGGCTACACCATCTATGTCTGTGTAAGTACGCTCTATAAGGTTTGCACAATGACAAAATCCTTATGTCCAAAATTGCCTAAGGACCTAAGGATGCCTTTCTTAGGATATATTTCTGCCATTAAGCAATGCATCACTGTATGTGTATAGTACATAAGAATATATGTGTAAGATTAAGGCTGGGTGTGGTGGCTCATGCCTGAAATCCCAGCGCTTTGGGAGGCTGAAGAGGGTGGATCATTTGAGGTCAGGAGTTCGAGACCAGCCTGGCCAACATGGTGAAACCCCATCTCTACTAAAAATACAAAAATTAGCTGGGCATGGTATGTGCCTGTAATCCCAGCTACTTGGGAAGCTGAGGCAGAATTGCTTTAACACGTGAGGTGGAGGTTGCAGTGAGCTGAGATGGCACCACTGCACTCCAGCCTGGGTGATGGAGTGAGACTCTGTCTTTAACAACAACAGCAACAACAACAACAACAACAACAAAACAACAAATATATATATATATATCTATGAATGAACATGTATGTTAATTGGATTACTCAGTGTCAAGGCCGTGAATATTTAAGCTGTTATTAGTCATGGTATGAGACCATGTGTATACCACACAAGAATATATGTATAAGTTTGGCCGGGCATGGTGGCTAACGCCTGTAATCCCAGCACTTTGGGAGGCCAAGGTGGGTGGATCACGAGGTCAGGAGATTGAGACCATCCTGGCTAACACGGTGAAACCCAGTCTCTACTAAAAATACAAAAACAAAATTAGCCAGGCATGGTGGCGGGTGCCTGTAGTCCCAGCTACTCGGGAGGCTGAGGCAGGAGAATGGCGTGAACCCGGGAGGCGGAGCTTGCGGTGAGCTGAGATCGCGCCACTGCACTCCAGCCTGAGCAACAGAGCGAGACTCCGTCCCCCGACGACTCCCCCGCCAAAAAAAAAAGAATATATGTATAAAATTAATAACATGTTAACTGGATAACTCAGTGTCAAGGCCATGAGTAAATAAGGATTTTGAGATATTGTTAGTTATGGTATGAGACTCTTGAAATGAAAAGTTATTTTTATGATTGGCAAGTTATATCACTTTCCAATTAGCCTCTTCAATTTTTTCTTGTAAAATGAGCTGTAAGTTCTCTTCCAGATTAAAGAGCTTTCTTGCAACTTTTCTTATCCTGTTAATTTCTAGCATCATTTTTAAACATCTGGATTAATTATTTATTCCTAAAGTAAGTCTCATGATATGAGTGCTTGTTGCCAAAATTATTTATCTTCAGTTCTGGCTTATGAGCCTAAATTGTTAAAAACTATATAGTCCTTACACTTGGTTTTCCTCAAAACGACCTCATTCTCATTTTCAAAAGCGAATTCTTTCTTTAAACAATTCATTAGTTTACTTTCTATCCTTGTAAAATGCTGTGTTAATGTTTGTCTTAACAAATAAGAATGACATCTAAATTTTTCATGAGTTGTAATTAGATTATATTGCTTTTATCTTTTTCATTATTATTATTTATTATTATTATTTGTAGAGATGCAGTCTCACTATGTTGTCCAGGTTAGTCTCGAACTCCTGGACTCAAGTGATCCTCTTGCCTTGGCCTCCCCAAAGTCTTGGCCCTACAGGTGTGATACACCATCCTGGCCTTCTTAATTATTGTTTTCCGAGATGGGGACTTGCTGAATTGCTCAGGCTGGAGTGCAAGGGCTGTTCTGAGGCATGATTCCACTACTGATCAGCATAAGAGTTTTGACCTGCTCAGTTTCTGACCTGAGCTGGTTTACCTCTTCTTAGGCGACCTGGTGATCCCCCTCTCCTTGGAGGTCACCATACTGATGGTGAACTTTGTGTTGATATATGATTGGCGTAGTGAACTACAGCTTAGAACTCCTGGACTCAAGCAATCCTCCTGCCTCAGTATCTGTAGTAGCTGAGACTGCATGGGTGTGCCACCACATCTGGTACTATATTCTCATCTGAAGCTTTAGCAGTGTAATACAGCTCTGATGCTGCCCCTATACCATGTGAACCAAGAAGTATCTGAGACAGGTCTCAATCAATTTAGAAAGTTTATTTTGCCCAGATGAAGGATGCACATCTGGGAGGTAGGTTTGTGCCTTTCTCCGAAGATGATTTTGAGAGCTTCAATATTTGAAGGGGAAAGAGGAAGAAATTTTTAAAAGGTGTGGGTAGATAAGAGACAAGCAGTTGTATTCTTTTGAGTCTTTGATCAGCCTTTCACTGAATACACAATATACCTGTGAGAGGGGAGTAGAGGAATAGCCACTTAAGCCTTGTCTAGCTCAGCGAATCTGCATTTTTACATCAGAGGAAAAGTCACATGTGCATTGGTGTCAGGTTAGCAGAGGGATGACTTAGAACTCTTTTGTCCTGCACTCATGAAGATAAGCTATCAAAATACATTATCAGGGTAAAGTTCAACATAACCATTTTAGTGTAAAGATCTTGAGGCCCACAAGGAATTTCCTAGTAGGCAAATTGTGAGGGAAGTATGTAGCTTTTTTTTTTTTTTAATTGTTGTAGCTATCTTATTTGGGAATAAAATGGGAGGCAAGTTTGCCTGACACAGTTGCCAGCTTAGTTTTTCCTTTTGGCTTAGTGATTTGGAGGTCCTGAGATTTATTTTCCCTTTCACAACTAATATCTTAGGGTCTTGTATTATTAAAAAGATAATAACAGATCAAATGACATTCATTTAATGCTTATAGTGTGTCAGGTAGTTTATGTAAAGAATGAAAAGAACTAGATACGTCTACTTCTCAGAGTTGTTTTATACTATCTTATGGATAAGAAAATTTAAGTTAAAGGAGATTAAGTAACTGCCCAACATCAGGTAATTACTCAGCATTAAAGCCAAAACATAAAAAATATTTATTGAGCACCTATTGTGTTCTGAAGATACAGTGGCCGATAGACTTTTAACTCTTAAATCATACTAGCTCTTCAGTATTGTAACACAAAGAAAATGACTGAGGCAAGTTTGAATTTAGAGGTTTATTTTGCCAAGGTTGAGGATGTACCCAGGCAAAAGGAACACAAAAATCACAGAACAGCTGTGACATGTGCTTTTTCCAAAGAGGGTTTTGAGGGCTTCAACCTTTAAAGGGGAAAAAGGGGACAGTAGGGAAAGGGGAAAGAAAAAATAAAGAGGGGGAGAGTATGGTCACATTCCTGTGAGCTCACTAAATCCACATGTTGCATGTGAAAAGGAGGGGGTAGACTGAAAGTCAACTATGCATTCTTCTGGCACTCTATGAATCTGCATTTTACATAAGATAAAGTAAACAGAGGAATCAGTCAAGTATGCCTTTGTTTTGGGTGAGTGGAGGAATGACTTCTAGTCTTGTGTTTGTCCTGTACCTGTGAAGATAAGCTTTTAATTTATATTGTCAGGGTGAAATTAAACAGAATTCTGTTTTAGGGTAAAGATCTTGGGCCCAGAAGGCATTTACCTGTGAGCAAATTGTGAAAGAGGCCCCCTGGTGAGGTATCTGGCCTTTTATCTTTGCAGCTATCTATTTAGGAACAAAGTGGGAGGCAGTTTTGCGTGACTCAGTTTCTAAGCTTAACTTTTCCCTTTGGGATAGTGAGTTTGGAGGTCCCAAGATTTTTTTCCCTTTATTTATTTATTTATTTATTTATTTTTATTTTTTGAGACAGGGTCTCCCTCTGTTACTCAGGCTGGAGTGCAGTGGCACAATCTCAGCTCACAGCAACCTCTGCCTCCCAGGCTCAAGCGATCCTCCCACCTCAGCCTCCTGAGTAGCTGGGACTACAGACGTGTGCCACCGTGTCTGACTAATTTTTGTATTTTTAGTAGAGATGGGGTCTCCCCATGTTGCCCACGCTGGCCTTGAATTCTTGGGGTCAAGCAATCTGCCTTCCTTGACCTCCTAAAGTGCTGGGATTACAGGCGTGAGCCACTGTGCCTGGCCTTTTCTTCTCATTTTATTATCCTTTCATAGTATATAGAGTATTGTCAAAATAGTCTTTATGTAATAAAGGGGATAATTATGCCTATTTTACAGGGCTGTTGTAAGGATGGAAAGAATGCACAAAACTGCTTGTTTCAATAACTACAAAAATGTAT
The DNA here is from genome assembly GCF_000001405.40 of Homo sapiens. Taxonomy (NCBI): domain Eukaryota; kingdom Metazoa; phylum Chordata; class Mammalia; order Primates; family Hominidae; genus Homo; species Homo sapiens. The sequence continues at coordinate 139,152,997 of NC_000004.12, read as the reverse complement.
GAGACTTTTGAGGCAGGAGAATGGCAGTGAGCAGAGATTGCACCACTGCACTTCAGCCTGGGCGACAGACCAAGACTCTGTCTCAAAAAAAAAAAAAAAAAAAAAAGTATGACACTATTGTTATTGATGCTGTATTTATATTAATATTACAACTATATATATATATATAAAATTCCTGTTGGACTTGATAATTTCAAAAGGGAAACAGGACAACTAAAATGTGAATTAGAAGTACTTAAAGCATTGATTTCATTATTAAAAATATTTAATTTCATCAGTTAAATGACTAAGGGTAATGGAGCTTTTTCATTGATCCTGTAGGCAGGAACCAGCTGTGAATTAAACTATACATAAGTGTAAATTACAAGGCTCTGCCTGGTGGCTCACACCTGTAATCCCAGCACTTTGGCTGGCTGAGGCAGGAGAATTGTTTGGGCCCAGGAGTTCAAGACCAACCTGGGCAACATAGGGAGACCCCATCTCTATAGAATAAAAAAAATTAGCTGGGCATGGTGGTGTATGCCTGTGGTCCCAGCTACTTGTGCAGAGGTGGGAGGATCACTTGAGCTTGGGAGGTTAAGGCTGCAGTGAGCCGTGATTGAGCCATTGCATTCCAGCCTGGGCAACAGAGTGAGATCCCATTTCAAAAAAAAAAAAATGGTGTAGACTACAAATTACAATTCTTCTCATTCAGTGTCACGATAATACTGTTAATATTTGAATACAGATGTCTCCTTAATTCTAATTTTGTACATTGTCCTTTTTAAAGTCAAGTTTACTGAAGTTTAATTTACATGTAGTAAAATTCACTCTTATATTTTTATGAGTGGCAAATTTATACTATTTTGCAGTCACCACCACAATGAAGATAATACAATATTTCTTTCACCCCAGAGAGTTTCCTTGTACCCTTTTGAGATTAAATCCTTCCAACTGATTTATTTTCTATTTCTATAATTTTATCTTTTCTTGAATGTCATATAAATAGAGTCACCCTTTCTGTTTCTGATCTGTTAGGTGTTTCAGATATGATTGGTGTAATAGCAAGTAAGATAATTGACCCTCATGCTGATACAGCTTGCTCACAAATTAGGACTTGTATTAAGAAGCAGTTAAATCAGAAAAAAGGACAACCTGTTGGAAAATTATAAAAAGAGAATTTGTCAAAGGGTTAGTAAATAGTATTTAATTTTCATATTTTTATGACAAACTATTCAGTTTTCATGACAAACTTTGAAGAACCTATTCACGTGATCAGTTTTCACATATTGGGTGGGAAATTAATAAAATCAGTACCCTTTTTAACCTCCTCTTTGGACCCTAGTTATATAAAATTAGGTACTTTTAAATCCTTGATTCATGACACAAATAATAGCTCAAGGATGGCAGTTGCCTATTTTTAATAATATAACAAACACATATGAATCCATCATTCTGCGTGAGAACTAGAACCTTGACAAGAACTCGCATCAGATTTACCCATGTGGGCCTTAATATAAAACAGAATTTGCATTGCCTATGTTTCTTATTAATTAGTAGGAATCCCCCAATCCCCACCTTTTTGGGGGTGGGAGAGGCAAATAACTTTTGCCAGTCTCTTGATTTTCAGCCTTGTTTTGGTTTATGTTGTTATAAACCAAACAATAAAATTTAAACAGTTTTGATATAGTCAAAACTAATTCTTTGCTTTTTGCTTTCGGTGTCTCATCTAATAATTTTTTCTTAATTGTGAGTTCATGAAGATATTCTATATTTTCTTCTGATTTTTAGGAATATTTCATATATTTAGGTCTCTTCTGTATCTGTAATTTATTTTGTGATTGATGAGAGGCAGTAATTAAAAATTTTAAATCTTGTATGGCTGATCATTTGTACCAGCACAATTTATTAAATAGCTCTCTTTTTCTTTCTTTCTTTCTTTCTTTCTTTCTTTCTTTCTTTCTTTCTTTCTTTCTTTCTTTCTTTTTTTTTTTTGAGATGGAGCCTCGTTCCGTCACCTAAGCTGGAGTGCAGTGGTGCGATCTCGGCTCACTGCAAGCTCGCCTCCCGGGTTCACGCCATTCTCCTGCCTCAGTCTCCTGAGTAGCTGGGACTACAGGCGCCCGCCACCAAGCCCGGCTAATTTTTTTGTGTTTTATTTAGTAGAGACGGGTTTCACCGTGTTAGCGAGGATGGTCTCAATCTCCTGACCTTGTGATCCACACGCCTCAGCCTCCCAAAGTGCTGGGATTACAGGCATGAGCCACCACACCCAGCTAGCTCTCTTTTTCATTGATTTTAATTTACCTCTTTCCTGTATTAAGTTTTCAATTTGCATGGGTCTTTTTCTGGCCTCTATATTGTGTTCCATTGGTATATTTGAGTATATCTACACCATTACCTTATTGCCTAGTTAGTATAGACTACAGCAGTTCTTGAGGAGGGTCTTGGCTGACTTTTGCCCTTTGCTCATTCACATATTTTTTTTTTTTTTTTTTTTGAGACAGGGTCTCACTCTGTCACCCAGGGAGGACTACACTGGTGTGATCACGGCTTACTGCAGCCTCAATCTCCTGGGCTCAAGTGGTTCTCCCACCTCAGCCGGGACTACAGGTGTGCACCACCATGCCCAGCTAATTTTTTTTTTTTTTGAGATGCAGTTTTGCTGTTGTTGCCCAGGCTGGAATGCAGTGGTGTGATCTCGGCTTACTGCAACCTCTGCCACCCGGGTTCAAGCAATTCTCTTGCCTCAGCCTCCTGAGTAGCTGGGATTACAGGCACCTGCCACCATGCTGGGCTAATTTTTTGTATTTTTAGTAGAGACATTTTGTATTTTTATTAGTATTTTTAGGGGTTTTGCCATGTTGGCCAGGCTGGTCTCGAATGCCTGACCTCAGGTGAGCCACCTGCTTCGGCCTCCCAAAGTATTGGGATTACAGGCGTGAGCCACTGTGCCTGGCCACGCCCAGCTAATTTTTATATTTTTTATAGAGATGGGGTTTCACCATGTTGCCCAGACTGGGCTCAAGCTCCTGGCCTGAAATGATCCACCCACCTCGGCCTTCGTAAGTGCTGTGACTAGAGGTGTGAGCTACTGTGCCTGACCCACATAGATTGTTTACTATCTTTGTCAAGATTTTTCTAAAACCCTCTTGGGATTTTTAACTGGAAATACATTGAATTTTTTGATAGATTAATTTGGTGAGAATTGACATCCTTAAGACAGTGAGTATACCTACCTATGAACATGGTATTTGCCCATGTAGAATTTTTTTCAAGGAATTTTATGATTTTCTTTATAAAAATCATATACACCCTTTCGGTTAGATTTATTCTTAGGTTTGTAGTTTTTATGGTTATGGTAAATGACACTGTTTAGTTTTTTATTTTTATTTGTATTTTTTTGAGACGGAGTCTTGCTCTGTCGCCCAGGCTGGAGTGCAGTGGTGCAATCTTGGCTCACTGCAACCTCTGCCTCCTGGATTCAAGTGATTTGCCTGCCTCAGCCTCTCAAGTAGCTGGGACCACAAGCTCATGCCACCACGCCTAGCTATAGCATTTTTGTATTTTTAGTGGAGGTGGGGTTTCACCATGTTGGCCAGGCTGGTCTCAAACTCCTGACCTCACAATCCACCTGCCTCGGCATCCCAAAGTGATGGGATTACAGGCGTGAGCCACCATGCCCAGAGATAAATGATATTCTTTTAAAAAATTATACTCTGTTGCTGGCCTATAGAAAAACAGCTGATTTTCATCTATTGATTTATGTCCAGAGACTTAGCAAACCCTCTTTTTTCTTCTAATATCTGAAGACTATTTTAAATTTCCTATGAGTATATTTTACGTGATACATCATTTCTTCCTTTCCAATTCCTATGCCGTTTATTTGCTTTTCTTACCGAATTGGTTAGGATTGTCAGTACAAGTGTTGAATTAAGGTGGTAATTGTAGGTAAATGTGTTTGTTCTCAATACTGGGAGAAAGTTTAAAATATCTTGTTTTTGAGTCTTGGTTGAATTTTTTTCTTAAATTTTAAAAGGATGTTGAATTTTATGAAGACATTTGTACCGCATCTACCAAAATGATGTATTAGTTACCTATTGCTGCATAACAAATTACCTAAACATTTTGTTGGTGAGGATATGAAGAACTGGGTATCTTCAAATGCTGCTGGTAGGAATGTGAAATGGTGTAGCCACTTTGGAAAAGCTTGTCATTTCCTCAAAATGTTAAACATACAGTTACTGTGTTCTAGCACTTCTTCTCCTGGCTATATATGCGAAAGAAATGAAAACATTCATATAGAACATATGTCTTGTACATGAATTTTCAGAATAGCATTCACAATGGTAAAAAAAAAAAAGTAGAAACATCTCAAATGTGCATCGGTGGATGAATAGAGAAATGTGATATGTCTATACAATAGGATATTACTCAGCAATAAAAAGAAATTAAATACTAACAGATGTTACATGTAAATGAAAGGAACCTTGAAAACTTTATTGTAAGTGAAAGAAGCCAGTCACAAAAGACCACATAGTAGGCTGGGTATGATGGCTCAGGCCTGCAATCACAGCACTTTGGGAGGCCAAGGCAGGAGGAGCCCAGGTGTTCACTTGAGCCCAGGAATTTGAGATCAGCCTGGGCAACATAATGAAGCCCTGTCTCTACAAAAAAAAAAAAAAAAAAAAAAAAAAAAAAATTAGCCAGGTATGACTTCACCTGTCTGTAGTCCTAGCTACTGTAGAGGCCCTGAGGTAGGAGGATCACTTGAGCCCAGGAGGTCAAGGCTGCAGTGGGCAGCCTTGTCTCCCCACCCCCCCAAAAAAATCACATATTATATAATTATATTCATATGAAATGGCCAGAACAGACAGCTCTCTGGAGATAGAAAGTACATTAATTTTTTTTTTTTTTTAAGGTACAGGGTCTTGGCTGGGCACGGTGGCTCATGCCTGTAATCCCTGCATTTTGGGAGGCTGAGGCAGGCGGATCACCTGAAGTCAAGAGTTTGCGACCAGCCTGATCAACATGGAGAAACCCTGTCTCTACTAAAAATACAAAATTAGCTGGGCCTGGTGGCGCATGCCTGTAATCCCAGCTACTCGGGAGGCTGAGACAGGAGAATCGCTTGAACCTGGGAGGCGGAGGTTGCGGTGAGCCGAGATCGTGCCATTGCACTCCAGCCTGGGCAACAAGAGTGAAACTCCATCTCAGGAAAAAAAAAAAAAAAAAAAAAATCTCTGGCTGGGTGCCGTGGCTGACGCCTGTAATCCCAGCACTTTGGGAGGCCGAGGCAGGTAACTCATGAGGTCAGGAGTTCAAGACCAGCCTGGTCAAGATGGTGAAACCCCGTCTCTACTAAAAATACAAAAAAAAATTAGCTGGGCGCAGTGGCAGGTGCCTGTAATCCCAGCTACTTGGGAGGCTGAGGCAAGAGAATGGCTTGAAGCCAGGGGAAGGAGGTTGCCGTGAGCCGAGATCGCGCCACTGCTCTCCAGCCTAGGCGACAGAGTGAGACACTGTCTTAACAAAAAAAAATCTCCATACTGTTTTGCATAGAGGTTGCACTAATTTACATTTCCACTAGCAGTGCATAAGTGTTCCCTTTTCACCAAGTCCATGCCAATATCTATTGTCTTTTGTCTTAATAATGGCCATTCTTGCAGGAGTAAGATGGTGTGTCATTGTGGTTTTAATTTGCATTTCCCTGAATGATTAGTGATATTGAGCACTTTTTCATTTATGTGTTGGCCAGTTGTATATCTTCTTTTGAGAAATGTTTGTTCATGTCATTTTCCCACTTTTTCATGAGATTATTTTTTTTCTTGCTGATTTGTTTGAGCTCCCTGTGGATTCTGGACGTTGGTCCTTTGTTGGATGCATAGTTGGCGAATATTTTCTCCCATTCTGTGGGTTGTCTCTTTACTCTGATGATGATGCTGATTATTATTTTTTGCTGTACAGAAGCCTTTTAGTTTAATTAGGTCCCATTTATTTATTTTTGTTTTAGTTGCATTTGCTTTTGGGGTCTTAGTCATGAATTCTTTGCCTAGGCCAATGTCCAGAAGAATTTTTTTCTAGGTTATCTTCTAGGACTTTTATGGTTTTAGGTCTTATATTTAAATCTTTGATCTATCTTGAGTTGATGTTTGTATAAGATGAGAGACAGGGATCCAGTTTCATTTTTCTACTTGTGGCTAGCCAGTTTTCTCAGCACCATTTATTAAATAAATAGGGTGTCCTTTCCCCAATTTATGTTTTTCATGCTTTGTTGAAGAGAGTTGGTTGTGGATATTTGGTTTTATTTCTGGATTCTTTAATCTGTTCCATTGGTCAATGTGTCTATTTTTATACCAGTACCATGCTGTTTTGTTAACTATAGCCTGGTATAATTTGAAGTCCAATAATGTGATGCCTTCAGATTTGTTGTTTTTGTTTAGGATTGCTTTGGCTATTCAGCCTCTTTTTTGGTTTCATAGGAATTTTAGGATTTTCTTTCTCTAAATCTGTGAAAAAGGATGTTGCTGTTTTGATCAGATTTGTATTGAATCTGTAGATTGCTTTAGATGGTATGGTCATTTTCATGATATTGATTCTTCCAATCCATGAGCATGGGATGTGTTTCCATTTGTTTGTGTTATCTATGGTTTCTTTCATCAGTGTTTGTAGTTCTTCTTGTAGAGATCTTTCACCCCCTTGGTTAAGTATATTCCTAGGTATTTTATATATATTTTTGCAGCTGTTATAAAATGGATTGAGTTCTTAATTTGATTCTCAGCTTGGTCGTTGTTGTATAGCAGTGCTACTGGATTTGTGTTCATTGACTTTGTAACCTAAGATTTTACTAAATTCACTTATCAAATCTAATAGTCTTTGGAGGAATCTTCAGCATTTTGTAGGTATACGATCATATCATCAGCAAACAGCGATAGTTTGACTTCCTGTTTTCCAATTTGGATGCCCTTTATTTCTTTCTCATGCCTGATTGCTCTGGCCAGGACTTAAAGTACTATGTTGAAAAGAAGTGATTAAAGTGAGCATCCTTGTCTTATTCCAGTTCTCAGGGGGAATGCTTGCAACTTTTTCCCATTCAGTATGCTTTGTCGTATATGACTTTTATTATTTTGAGATAATTCCCTTCTGTGCCTTGTTTTTTGGGTGTTTTTATCATAAAGGGATACTTGATTTTATTGAATGTTTTTTCTGCATCTATTGAAACAATCATGTGGTTTTTGTTTTTAATTGTTTATGTGATATATCACATTTGTTGACTTGCATATGTTAAACCATCCCTGCATTCCTGGGATTAAACCCACTTGATCATGGTGTATTATCTTTTTGATGTGCCATTTGATTTGGTTAGCTAGTATTTTGTTGAGGATTTTTACATCTATGTTCATCAGGGATATTGGTCTGTAGTTTTCTTTCTTTTTGTTACATCCTTTCCTGGCTTTGGTATCAGGGTGATACTGACTTCATAGAATGAAGAAGAACAGGTTGCTTCCTTGATGTGGTGCTGTCCCCCTTGCCCTAGGAGTAGGAGTCCCTGAGAGCCAGACTACTGTGAGTACTGCTGCTCCTCTGGGTCTAGCTGCCCAGTGGGGTTACCACATTCCAGGCTGATTCTGGGGAATGTCTGCAAGGGATCCAGTGATGTTATCTGTCCTCAAGTCTCCCAGCAATGTGTACCAGCACCAGCTCTCATAGGGGTAACAGGGGAATGACATACGTTGTGAGATTCCTTGGTTGTAAATAGCCGTAGTGCGTTGGCTTTCTTAAATGCTGGTTGTAGTATTAATAAACTGGTCATGTGGACAGACTCAGGACATCCTGGTTAGCCAGGGTACTGCAGACAGTGCTGATAACTGGGTCATGCATAAGTTTTCTCCTTCTTGGGTGCAATGTTATTTTACCTGTAGTTGCTGTAGTAAACTGTGTCTGTTGGCCTCCAGCCAGGAGGTGGTGCTTGCAAAAGAGTGCCAGCTGTGGTTGAAGTGGTGGGATATGTGCTTGTCTTATGTTACCCATGGGAGGTATTTTGGTTTATCAGATGATGGGTGAGGCCATAGGGCTCCCCAAAGTTTCTGTCTTTTGTGTTAACCTACCAGGGCAGGTGGAGGGTCAAAGCCAGGTGGGGGGCTTGGTCAGGCAGGCCTGCTCTTTGGCTCTGCATGTGTGGTGTAAGCACAGATCCATGTTGGGCTTTTGGAGCCATTCCCTGGCCACTGGGGTAATGTTCCAGGAAAAAGCTTAGCTGCCTCTGCTTCACAGAAGAGTTCATGCAGGGAGTGGGGAGTAGCAGGTGGGAGTAAGTCTCATCCAGCTCCTACACACTTGGCAAGGCAAGTCTCTCACTCAGAGTGTTCACTAGCAGCAGCTAGCTAAATTCCAAGCTGTTTACATACAGGAACCTCAGCTTTCAGGCCACGCCCCTTTTCATCCACTGGCAATGCCAGAGCACCCAACTTCTGTGTCTGTGGTTACAGCTTACTTCCCAGTCATCCGCCCAGTTCAGCCAAGGCAGTTCATCCCCACTTGAGATTATATTTTGAATTTCAAATTGGGAGCTTCTTTCAACCTGCAACCACTGCCTCAGTTGGTTGGCAGAACTTTGTGAACTCTCCTGTGACACAGAATCAGGAATAGCTTCCCTTGGTTTGCGTTGGAGACCGGGAATACGCACAAGGCTCTTCCCGCCCCTGGTGCTTCTTGTATATTCTCCACTGCTCCCTATATTAGTTTTAGCACTGGGTGGGGTTAAGGCCTTCCTCTGTGGGCCGGATTTCTAGTTTTCATAGTGGGGGTGTATACTCTGGAGGTAATCTCTCTCCCTCTCACACTCTGGGGACTTACAGTTTTTTACCTGGCTCATGGTGTAGACTGCAGCCTGCCCCTTCTTTCAAAGGATCTGTGGTTTCCGTTTTTCCATTAAGTTCCTGCATTGCTTCTTTGAAAAAAGTTCACAGTTTGAGTCTTTACCCACTATTTTTTCTTTCCAAGTGGAAGAGGCATGCCAATACTACCTCCAATCTGCCATCTTGAGGAGGGTGGGAATTTTTTTTTTAATTAAAATTTAAATTTTTGTAGGCTGATTTTGTGGCAAGGATCAGGCTAAGGTGTATTTAAGGTCTTCTCAGGTCTTTTCTGAGCCTGGGCATGTGTGGTCACTTTCCACATTTTTTCATATATATAGTTTTTGAATGTTCTAGTCTTTATTTTAGTTTATTTTTTATTTTGAGGCAGAGTCTTGCTCTGTTGCCCGGGCTGGATTGCAGTGGCTCGATCTTGGCTCACTGCAACCTCCGCCTCCCGAGCTCGAGCTCCTGCCTCAGCCTCCCGAGTAACTGGGATTACAGGCGCCTGCCACCACGCTGGGCTATTTTTTGTATTTTTAGTAGAGACGGGGTTTCACTGTGTTGGCCAGGCTGGCCTTGAACTCCTAACCTCAAGTGATCTTGGCCCACCTTGGCCTCCCAAAGTGCAGGGATTACAGATGTGAGCCACTGTGCCCAGCCAAATGTCCTGGTCTTTAATGTGTGGCTCTCAAAAGGGGAAAAAGAGTAAAATGGGGTTTGCTGGCCTTTTAAGTCCCCTAGAAGTGACTTCAGCCAGAGGGGGAGAAGCTTGCAACAGTGAAGGGAGGCATAACAATAATATCTACTCATTTCTTTGTGTGCTCCTCTGTGATCAGAAGCAATAATCAGTGATCAGAGCACAGATCTCTGATATTTGGAAAATAGTCCTTTTTGCTTACCATGGCCCTCACAAGTTGCATGCAGACTGTTCCAGGAACACATGCACAGCTGTCTACCCTCGAGTTGGGGGATGGGTGGTAGCTGATACTGTGCTGAGAGCTAGAATGACCGAAATTAACCACAGTTTATTGTTCAAGCCTTCCCTTGGAGGTTGTAAGCCTTTAGCCAGGGTTCCAAAATAGTTACATTAGGTAGATTCTGCCAGTGCAATTGTCTAGATAGGGATACAGATTCCTGGTGCATCCTACTCCATCATCTGAGAATCCTCCAGCCTGGATTCATTCTTGACTTCTTTCTTTCTCTCATAGCAGTCAATCCACATCAATTTTGCTTGCAAATGTCATCCTTTTATCTGCAAAATACATCTAAAGATTGATCACTTTTTTTTTTTTTTGAGACAAGGTCTCACTCTGTCGCCCAAACTGGAGTGCAGTAGAGAGATCTTGGATCACTGCAGCTTCAACCTGCCCAGCGTCCCGAGTAGCTGGGACAAAGGGGTGTGCCATCATGCTTGGCTATGATCACTTTTTCACTACCTCCAGAACTACCACTCTGGTCCCAGCCTGTATCACTTCTCATCTCATTATGGGTTTGTGCAAAAGTAGTTTGCATTACATTAAAAGTAATGGCAAAACTGCAATTACTTTTGCACAACATATATTATTGCAGCCTGCTAACTGACCCCCGTTTCTGCTGTTGTCCCCTTGTCTGTTCTCAACCCAGCATCTGAATGATCCTTATAATAATCAGATCATCTTTTTGTGTAAAACCTTTCTTCTCTCTGAAGTCAAAGTCCTTACAGGGGACCTACTTGGCTCCCTTCCCTTACCTTTCTGTCCTCTTCTTCAACTATTCTTTCTTCCTCTTGCTCACTTCACTTCAGCTGTATTGGGTCCCCTTGCCGGTCCTTTAACTAGTCAGGCATACATCCTCTTGAGGGTGTTGAATTTCTTTTGACTAGAAGGCTCTTGTGCCAGGCATTGCCACAACTCACTTCTACTTTTGGGTTTTTACTCATATGTCACTTTTTTAGTGAGTCCTTATCTGACCACTCAATCTGAATTGGCAGCTCTCCCTGCCAAATAATCCCTATCTCTTTGGTTAATTTAACTCCTTAGCCTTCATCACCATCTACAGGTATGGTGTACTATTTTATTTTTTTCTCTCTCCTCTGCAGTGTAAGATCCATAAAAACAGGGACTTTGCCTTTATTCACTACTGGACCCGGGCACCTAAAATTGTGCTATCATATAATAGTGCTCATTTAGTGTTTGTGTGATTGAATTAATGAATGGAGTGCTTGGGTTATCCTGGCATCAGTGCTTAGTATTTATGTATACCTTATCTAATTTCAATGAAGTAGAGGCAATAAAACATCTAGTAGACAAATCTGGAAGAGAGAGTTGAGTGAAGCTGTAGGAGTAGATTTCATAGCTTAGAAAGAGTGTAAAGAATCTGAAGAGAAAAGGACTAGGGATGGGATCCTGGAAACACCCGCCTGTAAGGGTTGACCAGAGAGCAGCACTGTCCTAAGACTTCACCAACTGGCAACAAAAGACCTGTGCTTTAAAGGTCCTCATATGGCCTTCCTCCAGCAGCTACAACCCTACCCATAGAGTGAAGACTTTGTGGGGGGCCAAGGTGACTAGACTAGTCTACCTGGTCTCTTTCTAGATCAGTCTTTGAATATTTGATCCTAGAATTTCCTGCCCATGTGTCCCTTCACAACTGTCTTCTCTGATTCTTTCCTCTCTTGACTGTACAACACATATGGGATCCCCTGTGTTTAAGGGATGGCCAAGGAGCAGCTGTTTGCAGTCATGTGACCAGAGCTTGGACCTGTAGGCTTTATATATGTGTGCATATGAAGTCCTTCGTATAAAGTGGAGCTAAAAGTGGGAAGAGAAAAGGAGTTGGCTGCAGACAAGGGGAAGGGGTATGGATTTTCCTTCCTATGTCCCTACGTAACATGAAGGGAACCTGAGAACTCAAAAATAGAACTTGGCCTTTCAGGTTATTATTAGTCAAGATAGAAGGATGGAATAATAATTTAACAGCTTGATTTAGAACTTTTAAAAATATTTAGACACATGGTATGTAGGCTTCCATTTGTATTCTTGTCCCAGGCCCCTTGAAAATGAGGGTTGAGCCTGCAAGGGGGAATTGAAAGGGAGTAGCCAGAGAGGGAAAAGATAAATTCAAGGTAGAGTTTCAAGAAGGGAGTGATTAACAGTGTCAGATGCTTCAGAGGCAGCAAGTCCTATGAAGACAGAAATGTATCCATTGGATTCTACAAGCAGAATTTAGTAAAAGTTTCAGTTGAGTGGGGATGGATGCCAAACTTTGATAGAAGGAGGAGTGCTTGAGAAATTAGAAAGTGGAGACAAGAGTATAAAATATAAAAGATTTCTTATCTAGAAACTTACCTGAGAAAGGAAGGAACTGGAGCAGTAGCTGGAAGGGTATGCAGGATAATGGAAGAGGACTTTTCCTTTTTTTTTTTTTTTGAGACAGGGTCTTGCTCTGTCACCCAGGCTTGAGTGCAGTGGCAGGATCACAGCTCACTGTGGCCTCAACCTCCTGGGCTCAAGCGGTCCTCCCACCTCAGCCTACCAAGTAGCTGGGACTACAGGTTTGCACTACCAGGCCCAGCTAAGTTTTTTATTTTTTGTAGAGACAGGGGTTTCCCTATGTTGGCCAGGCTGGTGTGGAGCTCCTGGGCTCAAGTGATCTTCTGCCTTCCTCTCCCAAAGTGTTGGGATTACAGGCCTGAGCCACCTTGCCCAGCCAACTTTTCTACTTTTAAGATGAGAGGATCTTGCAAATGCTTATATGTTGAGGGAAAGAAGTCCAATGGTAGTATGAGAAGGTTAAGGAAAAAGGGAATAATTGATGGAACAAGGCCTACGATCAAGTGCTTAAGTCAATACATTAGCCTTTGAAAGAAGGCGGACTATTTGAGGAGGCTTGGGAGTTAGAAGTAGGGCTTGGGATGTTTGGATGGGTGCTGATGCTAAGTTGGTGGGGTGACATAGCAGGAACATGTCTAATAGTGACTCAGGAGGCTGAGGTGGCAGAATCACCTGAGGCCAGGAGTTCCAGATCAGACTGGGTAACATAGCAATATCTTATATTTAAAAATAAAAGTAAAAAGTAAGAAATACTGACCTGAGCATGGTGGCATATGCCTATAGTCCCAGCTCCTCAGGAGGTTGAGGCAGAAGGATAGCTTGAGCCCAGGAATTTGAGGCTGCAGTGAGCCGTGATCTCACCACTGCGATCCAGCCTTGGTGACAAGAGTGAGACCCCAACTCTAAAAAATTTTTTTTCCTTAAACATTGTTTTATAGTAGTTTTTTGGGCTAGTCCTATTTTTCAAACTTGATTTTATACTCCTGGGGAGCAGGGGTTATACCTGTAGCCACTTACTAAGAACCTGTTATTAGAACTTGCCCAATGGAGAAAAAAAAAAGAACCTGTTTGAAATGCAGCCCATAATATGGAGCATAGGCTTCATACGTTGATTCTGTCCTCACTCAATATTTGTTATGTAGTGGTGAATTAAAATTTTAAGTTTGATAAAAACTTCTGATTTCTCAAAAACCTAGAAATAATTTATTATATTCCTTATGTGAATGTGCGACATATGGCTTTGGAAGTGATTTGTTTTATTAAGTATTTACTATCTCAATCACATCTGTTTGAGCATAGTGCTTTTTAATATAATTATATTAATATTATCTTTTTTCCCCTCCCGCTGGCAGTTCCAAAGAACTACTGGTTCAGATTTTAGCTCTTCCCAAGTTGTGAAAATAGTGAAGGATGCTTAGACTACTTAACATACAAACTGTAAGTAAAATTTATTTCTGCTATTATTATATATATTGGGAATAGTACCTTATATGGTGATAGTATGATGGGACTGTGGAATTTTATTATTTTTTCTTCTTAAGATACAAAGACTTTCTGTTCCATTTTATGTTTATAAGATCAAAAGGGAGGCTAATAGTACTGATCAGTAAGATGAAATTTCTGCTTTTTTTCAGGTATTTCATTCTATTCTAGAAGTTTCTGGAAATTCTTTATTATTTTATTTCCATATCTGTATATTGCCAGCAGGCAAACATAATACAAGGGCATAATATTAATGGAATGATTTATGGGAACTATATACTTTCTCTTCAGATATGCTTGATTTTTCTGCATTCTTTTTGACATGAAAAAATTCTGTTAGTAATAAATCTCTGTACTTCCTCTGTATGAAAATTTTTGTATACATGAAATCAAAAAAATTTTTTAGGAGTAATTTAATTCATAAATTCAGATCATATAGGAAGGGGAAAAAATGTGAGAGGTTAAGAAATTACTTGAAACCATTTGCTATATTGCATCTTGAACTAATATCAAAACAATTGAGGAAAGTATGATAGAACTAATATCAAAAAATTGAGGAAAGTATGATAAAATAATATTGAAGGCATTCCAAGTGGTAACTACTTTATTTTTAAACTACTTTATTTGAAAATATAAGCAATTCAAATAAATCTCTCTTACATACAGTTCCTGTATTCAAAGTGTGAATACAAAATGAGATTGCTGCCATAAGCAAAAGACAGTTCTGATTGTTCAGACAAACCAGATGAGGCAAAGAAGAAGAATGAAATATTTAAGGATCAATAATCTTTTGATTTGTTAAATAGGCAAATAGTTTTAAAAGTTTTCTCAGTCTGGCACATTTTATATATTAAATGAATAAGAGATCTTTAACATTTATAGAAACTAACATATTTCAGGAATAAAACAGCATCTTTATAAAGGGAGAAAGTTATAACTTTTTTTTTTTTTTGAGGTGGAATCTCACTCTGTCGCCAGGCTGGAGTGCAGTGGCGCCATCTTGGCTTACTGCAACCTCCACCTCCTGGGTTCAAGTGATTCTCCTGCCTCAGCCTCCCGAGTAGCTGGGACTACAGGCACGCTTCACCATGCCCAGCTAATTTTTGTATTTTTAGTAAAGGTGGGGTTTCACCATGTTGGCCAGGGTGGTCTCGATCTCTTGACCTCGTGATCCGCCTGCCTCGGCCTCCCAAAGTGCTGGAATATACAGGCGTGAGCCACCGCACCTGGCACAGTTATATTTATCTCCTAGAATATGAATATCATAATACTACCTATGTACAATTGCTTGTTAAGAACTTAATTCAGTATGTTCATGAACTTGATTACTAACTCTTAAGAAGCAGAATGTTCATTACTGCCCTCTTTTGACACGGGGATGTTAAGCCTGTCTTCTTTTTCTTAGTTAAGTGTTAAAATTAGATTGCACAATAAGTTATGCTTTATTTATGTCCTTCCTGTAATTTTTAAAATAACTTTTCAAATTCTTCCTCTTTTTAGGCTTTCTGGTTAATCATCTTTAGAAGACTGGATTTCTGGATATCTACTCCACTCCATCTCTATTGACTTTTAAAACATGATAATGCAAACCTATAACACTGGCAACCATCAGTGAACCTTTAATTTCATTGATTAATAGCGTTTGAAGCTTCCTCAGGGAATAACAATGACATCAGCAGTGGTTGACAGTGGAGGTACTATTTTGGAGCTTTCCAGCAATGGAGTAGAAAATCAAGAGGTTAGGCATTCAATGAATTACATTTCTATTTTCTTCATAGAAATTTGTGCATGAACTAATTTTGAAATTAATAGGAAACATATTTGAGAGTAAAAATGTACAAAGCATGAAATTATACATGTACATGTCGTGTATCCTTATATAATTTAGGTAATAGAAGGTCAAGGAAGGTATTGCAGGGCTTACGTGAATTGTTGGAACATACATATATTAGAATGAACTTGGAGGGAGGAAAGGAATGGAAAGAACACTATAGTATTAGTTGAGAGTTAAATTTAAATCCCTCATAAAACCCATTGTCTTGGATTATACTGTAGGTATATACTATGCCCAAATACCTAAATTAGATTCATTCTAAGTTAGAATTTTGTATGTGCTTTACTTATTATCTTTGTTTCTTGATTATTTTATATCTAAATCGGTGTGGAGATCCATTGTATTTTAATCTCATTTAAACACGAATTTAGATAATTAGTAAGTCAGAAAATGAATTCAGATTTTGAAATTTTATGCGTGTAGGATTTTGAATCA
Organism: Homo sapiens; assembly: GCF_000001405.40. Classification (NCBI taxonomy): domain Eukaryota; kingdom Metazoa; phylum Chordata; class Mammalia; order Primates; family Hominidae; genus Homo; species Homo sapiens. The sequence goes on along the minus strand of NC_000004.12, from coordinate 139,137,098 downwards.
TTAGCATATTTGGTTATTTTGTTATTGATAACATTGAAGAATTAGATGAGAATAAAAAAATAACAGTAGTAGAAATACCGGGGCTTCTAGGTCCTGGCTTCTGTTCTTAGCATTCAGTAAAGAGTGAATATTGGGGCCAGTCGCGGTGGCTCACGCCTGTAATCCCAGCACTTTGGGAGGCCCAGGTGGGCGGATCACCAGGTCAGGCATTTGAGACCATCCTGGCTAACATGGCGAAACCCTGCCTCTACTAAAAATACAAAAAAATTAGCCAGGCGTGGTGGCGGGCGCCTGTAGTCCCAGCTACTCGGGAGGCTGAGGCAGGAGAATGGTGTGAACCCGAGAGGCGGAGCTTGCAGTGAGCCGAGATCATGCCACTGCACTCCAGCCTGTGCGACAGAGCGAGACTCCGTCTCAAAAAAAAAAAAAAAAAAGAGTGAATATTGGAAGGGATCTAATTATAATTCAATAGCCGTCATAATAATGGACAATATTTGTTCAGAGCTGAGGTGGGAAAATGGAGAGTTTTCTATATTAAAAAAAAATCTGTTTTCTCTATTTTCTTTGAAAGATGCTGCATTACTCGTGCTTCCTACCAGTATAACGGTATAATGGCATGTTTGAGAAACAAGTTAGGACATCAGTCTGTGCGTTCTGTAGTCTGGATTCTTTTTTTTTTGCTCCTTGGTGTCTGCTCATTTTTCTAAGATCCGGATCAGCTATGGGCAAATTCACTGGGAATAGGATAAAGTGAAGGTCTTCTTTTTCTTTTCTCAGTGGACTCAAAAACTCTTAAGTGTTTCTTTTGTATTCAAATCCAAAACAGGTACAAAGTCCATTAAGAGAAGCCACAGCTGCAGAACATACTTTCTTCCCATCGTCAATGTCTTATTTCTTCCCTCAAGATTCACTTTCTGTATGATCACCTCCAGGAATGACTCACCGAAGACATTAGGGATTGGGGAACTGCCATCCCCTCCTAGATTACCCAGACCAAATACTGCTTTTTCCTCAAATGCTTTCTCCTGCCATATAGTTTTGCTCTGTTTTAACCTTATGAGGGGAGCCACCAAAAACAATAGGCAGAATATCTTTACCTTGTGTGGATTAAAAGGTATCATTAATATGGGGAAAATGAGGACAACAGTTTGTTTCTGGAATACTCCTTATATTTTTCTTCCTTTACATGGAACTTCAGTGTTCACGGCCAGGAGAACTTATTATCGTGGAAGAAAGAATCTCATAAATGAAATGACTTTACCAAATTATTATTGACTAGTGATTTATGTGGTAGTCTTATAGGGTGATCACATTTTATAAAGGAAGTCAGAAGAAGACTATATCCTTAATGAGCATGTCAGGTAGTGTGGCCCCAGAGTAGGGCAAACTATTCTGGGGAGTTTTTTGTTTATGCTACGTAAGTGGCCACTTATTTTCATTCATTTTTTCCTTTGACTAATATTAATTCACCACTTAACTATCTATGAAGTACTTTTCTAGGCACTGGGGATAAATATTTCAGAAATGTTATGAAAAATAATTCAGGACTGGAGCTGGATAGAGAAGTTAGTAGGGAGTACTTCAATTAGGGCAGCCAAGGAAGGCTTCACCAAAGTGGTGACATTTTAGTTTAGAGCTAAATGAGGTGAGGGGTGGGGCAATATAAATATCTAGGGGAAGAGAATTGCAGGAAGAGAGAAAAGCCACTAATACTGGAAACATGGTTTGATTTTACAAAGGGAGATTTGAGAATGGTGGTATTTGAAAGATAGATTTTTGTCTTAGGAGCAGTTTTTCAGGAATGTTTCATTCATATATACACACACACACACACACACACACACACACACACACACACACATATATATAGTAGTATATGTATAATAGAATATATATTCTAAAATGTAGAATGGGATGAAAACTGACCTGTCAAAATTTTGTAATCAGAGTCCCAGAACCTGAAGAAAAAATAAATATTTAAAAAGTGGTAGGTATCTGGAGTTTTATTATCACTATTTTTAGGCTTTCTTTGTAATGTTTCCCCTGATTATAAAAGTAATACATTTAATACAATTAGGATTATTCTATTTCTGAAAATGATGTCCCAAAATAGTAAACTATAATGAGTATAGTTGCAAAAATTATTTTTCAAAATAGTAATAAATATATAAAATGTAGTCATATATTTAAAAATTCAAAGTACCAAATATGACTTAAATATATAGGAATAATTTAATACTAAGAGAAGTATTGGGCCTAGTGTGGTGGCTCATACCTGTAACCCCTACACTTTGGGAGGCCAAGGCAGGATGATCACTTGAGGACAGGAGTTCAAGACCAGCCTAAGCCACCCAGGAGACCCCCATTTCTATATTGGGGAGACTAAGGCAGGTGGATTTCTTGAGCTCAGGACTTCAAGACCAGCCTGGGCACCATGGCAAAACCCTGTCTCAAAATAAAATAAAATAAAATAAAATAAATAAAATAAAATAAAATAAAATAAAATAAAATAAATATAACATAAAATAAAATAACATAAAATAAAACAATACAATACAATACAATACAATAAATACTAGCCAGGCATGGTAGCATGCACCTGGAGTCCCAGGTACTTGGGAGGCTGAAGTGGGAGGATTGCTTGAGCCTGGGAGGTAGAGGTTGCAGTGAGCCATAATGGTGCCACTGCACTCCAGCCTGGGTGACAAACAAACAAAAACAATGAAAACACAAAAAAGCAAAACCAAAAAACTAACAGTCAAATCTAGCAGTGTATAAATGGTAGAATGCCATAATCAATTTTTTTTTTAATCCCAGGAAGGTAAGTTTAATGAATCAAGTGATTCACCATATCAACAGGAGTGAAAGAGAAAAATTAGGTGATTATATCAGCAGTTACAGAAAACCCATTTGCCAAAAATTAACACCTATTCATTATACAAACTTTCTAAACTAGCAATAAAGGGCAATTTTCTCAGCCTGGTAAAGTGAATCTGTGAAAAACCCACAGCCAACATCATACTTAATGGTTGAGAGCAAGGCAAGGTTGTCTGCCCTAACCACCTTTATTCAACATTGCACTGGCAACATTACTACAAGGCAGCAAGAAAAATAAAAGACTCACACGTTTGAGAAGTAGTAAAACTGTCTTTATTTCTAGATGATATAACTGTGTACCTAGAAATGCCTAAGAAATCCACACTATTAGAACTAATAAATTTAGAATAGCCAGAGGATATGAGGTGAGTGTATACAAAGCAATTATTTATATATACTAGCAATATACAATTGGAAACTGAAGCAGTACTATTCAATAGAGCATCAAAAAGCAGGTGGGTGCACTGGCACGTGCATATAGTCCCAGCTACACTAAAGGCTGAGGTGAGGGGCTTACTTGAGCCCAGGAGTTCAGGTGCAGCTCAGGCAACATAGTGAACCCCGTATCTTAAAAAAAAAAAAAAAGGTAGGGAAAAGTTTAATGAAATATATAAAAGACTTCTATACAGTGAACTATAAATACTGTTGAGACACATTAAAGACCTGAATAGAGAGATGTACCAAGTTTATGGATTGGAAGACATACTGTGGTTAAGAACAGAGTTGAAGGCCTTACACATCTGATTTAAAGACTTTCTATAAAGCTGCACTAATTGAGGCAGTGTGGTTATTGGTGTGCCAACAGACATGTAGATCAATGGAACGTTAAATACATGTAAAAATGCTCAATATTATTAACTATCAGGGAAATGTAAATTAAAACCACAAGGCGATCCTACTAAATAAACAGAATGAGGAAAATTGATGAGAGTGATACCACATGTTGGAAAGGATAAGGAGCAGCTAAACCTCTCCTTATCCTTATTGCTTATAAGAATGTAGGCTGGGCGTGGTGGCTCACGCCTGTAATCCCAGCATTTTCGGAAGCCGAGGCGGGCGGATCACGAGGTCAGGAGATTGAGAACATCCTGGCTATCGCAGTGAAACCCCGTCTGTACTAAAAATACAAAAAATTAGCCGGGCATGGTGGCGGGTGCCTGTAGTCCCAGCTACTTGGGAGGGTGAGGCAGGAGTGGAGTGAACCCGGGAGGCTGAGCTTGCAGTGAGCCGAGATTGGGGGAGGCGGAGCTTACAGTGAGCAGAGATTGCGCCACTGCACTCCAGCCTGGGGACAGAGCAAGACTTCGTCTCTCCCTCACCCCCACCAAAAAAAAAAATTACATATTTTATATATATATATATATATATATATATATATATGTAAAGTAATATAACCACTTTGGAAAATTGAGTACTTGCAAAATTAAATGTACAATTGCCATGTGATCTGATAATTTGACTCTTAGGTAAATATGTAATGGAACGGAAAGGAAGGGGAGGAAAGACCAGGATGTTCATAGGAGCATTACCGCCATATGAAGACAGGCAAATGGATAAGCAATTGACATATCTACAATAGAATTTTCAGCAATGAAGGGAGATGAAGTATTGATACATGCAGCAATATGTATAAATATCAGCAGTAAAGAAGTTGGACACAAAAGAGAACTGTTGATTTCAATGTAAAATTTGAGAAAAGGCAGATCTATAGGGATAGAAATCTATAGGGATAGATCAGTGGTTGCCTAGGTCTGCGTGTATGTGTGTGTGTGCATGCACATGTGGTGGGGATTGACGGGTAAAGTTAGGTATGAGGGAACTTTCTGGGGTGATGGAAATGTTCTATTTCTTGACTGTGATGGTAGTTACAGGGATGTTTACATTTGTGAAAATTCATAAGAAAAATAAAAAGATTTTCATCTGGTGAGGCATATTCTTCCACAAGTTTTATATTTTGCAAATGGATTCCTTTTTAAAGTTGTCAAATTACCTGTTACTGGCTTTATTTATTTTATTTTTTTGGTTTTTGTACCAATTGTTATTTTTAAATGAAAAAAGTATTTTGATATTTCTTAATTACCAGGATCATTGTAAAAAACAATAAACTCAGACATACTGAGAAAATGAAAATCCATCTTTTGTCTGCTCACCTCTCTTTCACCAGGTTAATAATTTGAGGTGTATTTTTTCCAGACTTTTAAATGTATATGCTAAATAAATATATAAATGGAATCAGACAACAGTACTATTCTATGGCTCATTTTCCTCCTCCTTCCACCCCCTCTTGTTTGTATCATGGATATTTTTCCATGCCAGTATATAGCTCTAACTGCCTTAATTGCTTAATTGATATTGAATAGTCTCTCATTGTATGGATGTTTGTTAGTATGGGTGTATGTTTTCTATCTCTTTTTTTTTTTTTTGGCATTATGAACATCTAGCTTAGGGGACTTGTCTTAAAACTGGGTTTGCATAGCAAGTGCACCATTATTTATTCTAGTGACGTATTTATTTGGAGTGGTTTCTGGGGTTAAACCATGAGAGGTAGGGGAGATGAGTCCTCCCTAAAGCCTGCCAAACGGCATTTTTCAGTTTTGATAAGATTTTTTAAGGTAACCTTACTCTACCTCGAAAGAGAAAATGTGGAACAAATTTATGTACTTTTCACATACTCCTGAATTTTATTATCTTTCTATATATTCCTAAAGTACATTGAGAAAAGGATTACAATACCACTGCTTTCAGCCATTTCATTGTACTTGTCTTTGGAAACTTCTGATACCTGGAGAGCAATGACTGAGTGCATATAAAAGCACTTTCTAGGTAAACACTGCAGCATTGCACTTGTCTTGCCTCTTTAAACTAAGAATCTCTCTCCTTAAATGGAAGTTTTTGAGATCACTGTTAATACTTACAGTAGGGTTGCCAGATAAAATACAGGATGTCTAGTTAAATTTGAATTTCAGATAAACAACAAATGACTTTTTACTTTAAGTATGTCCCAAATATTGCATGGGACATTCTTACAGTTATTATTCAGTGTTTCTCTGAAATTCAAATTTAACTGGGTATCCTGTATTTTTTTATTTGCACCCTAGCTTGTAGGGAATTAGACAGCTTGTGCCAAGACCCATGGTGACTTGAGCAAAGTAATGCTAAGTAAAATAACCTTGTACATGTGTTATTTTTTGCTATTTTATTTTTAAGCAAAGACTCCTGGTTTCTTCTCTTCCATCCCCTTTCTCCCATAAAAATAGCTACTCTTCTACACAGTACAAGGCAATAATTATCTGAATAGCTGCATGCAGTGTCCTCTGGTCTGTATCATATGGCAGAAAAAAGGCTCATGAAGTTACTTGCCTCCATAGATGAGCAAATGTTGAACTTATAAATACCTGTTAATATTAAAATTTGTTGACTTTATTATTCTTTGAGCCAAGCTACAAATATCTGTACTTAAATGCCACTTTAGTTTATATGAAGCATGTGTTATTAAGGAGGATATAAAAATTGACTACGATATAACTCTTGCTCTCAAATATCCTACTAACCAGTCAAGGAGTTGTATATGTAAACACATAATTATAATATGGGACAATGAACAGTGGTAATATTAGGCAAACAACTTGTTCTATAAATACGTAGGATAGAAAAATTAATTCAGATTGGAGGATTATAGAAGATTCCCTGGAACTTGATGAAAAGCCTTCAGTAGATGAAAAGGATTTGGACAGATGTGAAGGCTACAAAATAACATGAGCAAAAGTCTTGGAAATGTTCACATTTAGGAATTAGAAGCAATGCCACTAATCAATTTATGTTAAGTAATGTAGGGAAATAAGATATAAAGGTGGTATATTAGTTTCTTGGGGTTGCTGTAACAAAGTACTGTAAACTAGGTTGCTTAAACAACAGAAATTTATTGTGTTACAGTTCTGGAGGTCAGAATTTAGGAATCAAGGTGTTGATAGATTTTTTTTTTATTGTTGTTTGTTTTTTTTTGAGGGCTAGGAGGGAGAATCTCTTTAATGCCTCTCTCCTAGCTTCTGGTAGCCTCAGGCACTCCTTGGCTTGTAGATGGTGTTCTCCCTGTGTCTTTCCATGGTTTTCCTTCCCATTTGTGTGTCTCAGAGTCCAAATTTCCCTTTTGTAAGGACATAGTCAGATTGGGTGAGGGCTCATCTTAATTATCTTGTCTTAACTTGATCATCTGCAAAGACCTTATTTCCAGATAAGGTCACATTCACAGAAGCTAGGGGTTAAAACTTCATCTTTTTGGGGGACACAATTCAGCCCATGACAGGTGGGTTGGGGTTATATTTCAGAGTGTTAAAGCCATTGTTTAATTTGTTAAACTTTCCTTTTAGACCAAAGGGGAGTCATTAATGCTTTTTATGCAAGGAAGTAACACAAACAGTTCTGATTGTGATGTGAAAAGGTGCCCTCTAAAGTTGAGGGCAAATAGTAGATTTGAAGACTATTTCTATTGTTAAAATATAATATCAGCTGTCACTAATTGAATAACTTACTCTGTGCTTTGTACTTATACTATGCTAAGAACTTTGTGCATATAAAGTCATGGGACTTTAAAGGACAGAAATATTAAAATCTCTTTTTTAAATATGAAGAAACCAAGATTTAAAGAACACAGAATGGGGAAACAGGGACAGATGTAGATAATTTGTGCCATTTAGACATGTTAAGCTTGAAGTGTTGACTGAGTATTCCTGTAGTGATGTTAAAGTTGGTAGTTTAAAATTTGGTTTTGGAATTCAGAAGATGAGTCAGAGTAGAGGACAAATACTTAGTCATTATCAGCATAGAGGTGCTATTTGAAACCATAAGAATGGGTGGGCTTACTTGAGAAGGTAGTATAGGGCAAAAAGAAAGGAGACACTGAGGATAGAACCTCACTAAGTTGGCTAGACTTGAGTCTATGGAGATGAAAGAAGAGTCAGAGGAGACGCTTGAAAGTAGAGTGGTAGGCCGGGGGTAGTCGCTCATGCCTGTCATCCCAGCACTTTGGGAGGCTGAGGCGGGCGGATCACCTGAGGTCAGGAGTTTGAGACTAGCCTGACCACCATGAAGAAACCCTGTCTCTACTAAAAATACAAAATTAGCTGGACATGGTGGCACATGCCTGTAATCCCAGCTACTCAGGGGGCTGAGGCAGGAGAATCACTTGAACCTGGGAGGCAGAGGTTGCGGTGTGTCAAGATTGCGCCATTGCACTCCAGCCTGGGCAACGAGCGAAACTCCATTTCAAAAAAGAAAGTAGAGTGGTAGAGAAAGTTGGAAGAATGAATTTTTTAAATGAGGGTAATAATAAATGTATGAGTCTGCGGGGAGGCAGTAGAGATTGAAAACTGAAATAGAATTTGGTCGTTATTAACATTTTGAGGCTGGGTATGGTGGCCCATGCTTGTAATGCCAGCACTTTGGGAGGCTGAGGCAAGTGGATTGCTCGAGTCCAGGAGTTCAAGACCAGCCTGGGCAACATGGTGAAACCCTGTCTCTACCAAAAATACACAAATTAGCTGGGAGTGGTGGCACATGCCTGTAGTCCCAGCTACTCAGGAGGCTGAGGTGGGAGGATGGTTTGAGCCTGGGAGGCAGAGGTTGCGGTGAGCCATGATTGTGCCACTGCACTCCAACCTGGGCGACAGAGCTAGACCCTGTCTCAAAAAAAAAAAAAAAGCAAAAAAATATTTTTAGAGAATAGCTTCAGTGAGGTGGTGGAACATAGATTACAAGGAATATATAGATAAGTCAAGGAGTTAGACTATTTTTTTGAGAAATGTATACAAGTATACGTCTCGATCGATCAGTTAAAGTTCAGTTAAAGAACTTCTTTAATTGGACTTGTTGCCTTTTAACTTCAGTTAAAGATCAGTTAAAAGTTCAGTTAAAAGAAATGAGAGTTTAATATTTTTCTTTTTTTTTTTAATTTTTGAGACTTGTTCTCAGTTGCCAGGCTGGAGTGCAAAGGCATGATTATGGCTCACTGCAGCCTTCACCTACTGGGTTCAAGCAATCCTCTTGCCTCAGCCTCCCAAGTAGCTAGGACTATAGGCAAGAGCCACAACGCCCGGCTGATATTTATTTTTTATTTTTTCTAGAGATAGGGTCTCCCTATGTTGCCCAGGCTGGTCTTGAACTCCTGGGCTCAAGCAGTCCTCCTGCCTTGGCCTCCCAAAGTTTTGGGATTACAGGTGTGAGCCGCTGAACCTGGTCTGAATTTTTTTTTTTTTTTTTTTGAGACCGAGTCTCATTCTGTCAGCCAGGCTGGAATGCAGTGGTGTGATCCTGTCTCACTGCAACCTTTGCCTCCCGGGTTCAAGCAATTCTCATGCCTCAGCCTCCCAAGTAGCTGGGATTACAGGCGCATGCAACCATGCCTGGCTAATTTTCGTATTTTTAGTAGGGATGGGGTTTTACTGTATTGGCCAGGTTGGTCTCGAACACCTGACCTCAGGTGATCTGCCCACCTCAGCCTCCAAAAGTGCTGGGATTACAGGCATGAACCCTGAATTTTTTAATGCAAAATGATTTTAGCTTTTTTATGGTCAAAGAGAAGGAATCACTGAAATATTAAAACCCGGCTGGGCGCTGTTTCCAGAGGTGCTATTGTTTTGACTTATGTATTATAATTTCTTTACTTTTCTTTATAGTTTTGCCACCTATGAAAATAGTCCTAAACAATATTTTATTTTGAAAAAATAGTTTACCAAGCTAATTGAGTTAGGAAAGGGCAATATTATCATAGATAGATGAAGGCTTCCAGGAGAAGATAGCTGAATAGTCAGGTTCACTGAGTGTCATGAGCTTGTCTTCAAGTAGTCAGTGAGCAATGCCATGAGTTTTTAGAAATGTAAGGCACATCCTGCTCTGGTATCTGGCAGTGCTACAGTATGGTATGGGCTGGGTATTGCATATTTGTTCAGGAGGTATATGGTCACATGAAGAACGCTGTTCTGTATCTTTTATTTTAAGCCCATGGTAATCTTCCTCCAACACATAGTAGATCAAAGCAGAACACATCTGGGGGGTGAAATGTGTTCTTAGCTGATCCAGGCAGCAGGGCAGGTGGAGTGAGTAGGTACATGAAGGTAAGCCAAATGTCAATAAAAATCTAGAACAGACTGATCTGGACATTCTGTCCTTAGGAACAAGGTCAATGGTTATCGTAGTAATGACAGTTCATCATGCTATCTCAGGAGTCACACTGCTATATTTTGGACTGGTTGCCCTTTAAATCTGGTGCATAGCTAGCATCGTGGAATCTCTCTTCACAGTCTTCCTGAAGATTCCCATTGTTTCTCTCCTATGTTGATCTCTTCTATCCTGTATTTGCAATAGTTCTCTTTTTTAAAAAATTCACTCTCTCTTATTGATGGGATACATTCTCCAGTATCTTCTTGAGAAAGGAAACATGAAAGGTAAATGTTTGAGATCTTTCATGTCTGAGAAGATACCTTTATTCTACTTCTATAAGATGATTTGACTGGGTGAAGAATCCTAGATTGGAAGTAATTTTTCTTCATAATTTTGAAGAAATTGCTCAACTGTCATCTTCCTTCTAGTATGACTGTTGAGAAGACTGAAGTCTGTGTCCTGATTCTTTGTAGTAACCTGTGTTTTCTTTCTAGAAGCTTGTAGAATCTTTTCTGTTCCCAATATTATGATATTTCACAGTGATATGCCTCAATGTATGTGTTCCTTAATTTTTTGTACTAGACACTTGGTGGGTCCTTTCAAATGGGTGGCTTATATCCTTCAGTCTTAGAAAATTTTATTGATTTACTTCTTTCTTGTTGATTTCTTTCCAAACCTTTTTTTTTTTTCCTTTCTATTTCTTGTTTTTTCCTTATGATTTATTTTTTTGGAACTCTGTTATTCAGATAGTGGACCTCCTGGACTGGTTGGTCATCTAATATTGCCATCTTTTCTCTCCTGTTTTCTATTGCTTTATCTTTTTTCCTCTGGTTCCTGGAGATTGCCTCAATTTTATCTTCCAAGCCTGTATTCATTTCAGCTATTGTATCTTTAATTTCCAAAAATTCTTTTACTTGTATTTTAAAATGTTCTTTACTGAATTGTGATCTGTTCTTACTTTATAATATCTTCTCTGTGTGTGGAATATGAATATTTGGCTTTTTGTTCATGACTAAAAGTGATGGACTAAAAAGCTAGTTGGACACTCCATTTTGGGTAGAGTATGATGCTAACAACTGTGCCTATTATGCCTCAAAGATGCTATTGTTGTTCCTCTCTGGAAAGTAACCTGTCTTCTGCTGAGGTGGAGGAGGTCTGGTTGCTTAGCATCATGAAGGAGAGAGAAGGTCTAGGAATCAAAAGTGCATGTAATTGGTGTTGCTTTCTGTAGATTCTCTACACTGTACAGTGTGTTGTTTCTCAGATTTTTTTTTTTTTTTTTTTTTTGCTGCCAGACTGATTTGGCTTTGCTGGGTCTGCTAACCCACTCCATACTCATCCAGACACTTTCAGTCTTCCAGGATTTTGTTGTTCTTACCTCTTCTTGTTTGTTGCTCTCACCTCTTGTCCTTGTGGGTTTAGGTATAAAAGAGTCTTTTACTGTTGTTTTAGTCAGCTTTCATAATTAAGTGAAATTATATGCATGTTTTTAATCTGCCAACTTAATCCTAAAGCACAGATTATTTAAAATGTTTAATCTATGTCTTACCTCTTGAGACTTGAAAGGATTATTAAAGTTAGCCCTTTTCATCTCTTGTTTTGGCTTTTACATTCATATTTATAATATTTGAAACTCATTATGTGGACTGCTCGAGACTGTATTAGTTCAAGGATTTATAAGTGAATTCAGAATTTGTAAATACAAAGGTTGATTGTTCTTTAAATTTGCTCTTATAGGAAAGTGAAAAGGTTTCTGAATATCCAGCAGTGATTGTGGAGCCAGTTCCAAGTGCCAGATTAGAGCAGGGCTATGCAGCCCAGGTTCTGGTTTATGATGATGAGACTTATATGATGCAAGATGTGGCAGAAGAACAAGAAGTTGAGACCGAGAATGTGGAAACAGGTAGACATCTCATAAAATGTTCATTATTTATAACTTTCTCATTTTGTAAGCTTCAACAATACTATTGCCAGATGAAAAATATACTGAAAAACCTTTTTAATGCTATTTAGTATAGCTTGGAAACCAGTGAAACATCTATGTTTAAGGGAATTTGTGTAGATATAAAACTTCTATTGTATAATTCTATGAGGTGTAACAGTCTCATATCATGGACTCTATGCACAAAATTACAGCTTCACATAATGATAAAGTTATTTTATTATTTTTTTTCTGAGAGTATAAATCCTAGCTGTTATTTATACAAGTCAATAGGCTAGTATTATGAGGACAGCTTTTTAAATTAAAAAAAATGGTATTCTATCATTGTCTAATTGATTATGAGTTTCTTTGAGTTAATATTGATGGAGCAATAAGATTTCTTTTCATTAATATCAGAAGCATCATTGTAGTGTTCTATCAGTTTCCTCTTTGCTTTTTGTCGTCTTAGAGATCTTAGTATTTCAGTCTATTTCTGGTGAGATAGCTATATGTTTAATTGGAGATTAGTATCTATAATTCTTAGAGAAATCTTTTAGTTTTTGCCATTGATTATGAAGAAAATAGAGTATTTTATCAGAAGGATTGTAGTGACTCTTACATAATAATAAACATGCAAATGTATCATCTTTAGCTGTTAATGGAGAAAAAGAATCATTATACTTGTTGTTTAATCCTAGTAAAAATTCTTTACTATTTTGATACATTTTTATAAATGTAGGAAACTTTCATGATTAAAATTTTGAGTATGTGATGTATTTCTTCTTATGAGGTCCAGTAGTACCCCTTAGGGCTACTAGCCTCTTCCAGCATAAAACTGTTCTTCCTCTAATTTTATTTTTTGTGGAGCTAAGGGATTGAAAGTTACCTTGCTTTTCAGAGCACTGATGATTGCAGTGCTAGCAAACCTCAGGTATAATGGAAAATTCATTTATCAAAATAGGCAGCCAAGCTGGGTGTGGTGGTGTGCATCTGTACTCCCAGCTACTTGGGAGACTGGGGCAGGTGGCTCGCTCAAGGTCAGGAGCTCAAGTTCAGCCTGGGCAACATAGCAAGACCCCATTTCTAAACAAATAAACAAAAAACCAGGCATCCAAGGACTTCATATGGGCTTCGTGACTGTAGTCTGGAGTGGTATCTGATTTACAGTATATAGTGCATATCTTTTTATGAGAGTTTGGAGAATTTTCCAGTCTGAAGCTAGAAGTATAGTGGCAGAGTTGAATTTTCTTCTTGAGGAAAAGGATAGGTAGAACAGTTAAAAGTATTTTGTAGGATGATGTTTTGGATTATATATTGTAACTGATTTTATTACAAGAGCATAACTAAACAGAACACTAATAGCAGAAGAAAAAAGTATGGTAGCTTAAGTTGAATGGAAAAAAGTAGAACCTGTTTGAAATTTCTGGATGGTGTTTTGGTCAAAAAATAAGGAAAACTATGATTTTGATAGCAAGTTGGAAACTTTAAAAAAGATAAAAACTATAGCACCAAATTTGCATAAGTTAGTAAATTAGGATGTTTATCACATTAAAATACCAGAGCAGATTGGTTGAATCTTATTATTGGTATAATTGACTGTAAATGTTTTATTAATTTAGATTAATTCAAGTAAAACCAATTCAGAATAGGAAGCGAATGTAATCTACTTAAGGGATTTTATTTTCTTAGTCTTCTTGAACTCTGAGGGTAATGATATCATTTGCTGGGCAGAGATATTAGTGATTGTGAAAAGGAGGATATGGGAAGTCTAGGTAAAATAAGTTACTTTTGTGATTTGTTTTTTTTGTAAGTGGTTTTTGAATATTTGATAATTTTAAAATTTACTTCAACACAAAAAGAAAATGTAAGCATATTACTTATATCATTCTAAAATGGTATAAAAGCACCTCAAAAATTCATTGTACATGTTCCATCCTGGCTCACGGATTTTTTTTTTTTTTTTGAGACAGAGTCTCGCTCTGTCGCCAGGCTGAAGTGCAGTGGTGCAATCTCGGCTCACTGTAACCCCTGCCTCCCGGGTTCAAATGATTCTCCTGCCTCAGCCTCCCCAGTAGCTGGGACTACAGGTGCACACCACCACGCCCAGCTAATTTTTGTATTTTTTAGTAGAGACAGGGTTTCACCATGTTGGCCAGGATGGTCTCGATTTCTTGACTTCGTGATCTGCCCGCCTCGGCCTCCCAAAGTGCTGGGATTATAGGCACAAGCCAGCGTGCCCAGCCTGGCTCATGGATTTTAATGTAACTTTATAAAGATTGTTAATATTCATAGATTAGTTTTCAAGTCAGCTAATCTGAGCTTAATATTGTTTCTATTAAGAATCAGGCCGAGCGTGGTAGCTCACACCTGTGATCCCAGCACTTTGGGAGGCCGAGGTGGGTGGATCACGAAGTCAAGAGATCGAGACCATCCTGGCTAACACGGCGAAATCCCATCTCTACTAAAAATACAAAAAATTAGCTGGGCGTGGTGGCATGCGTCTGTAGTCCCAGATACTTGGGAGGCTGAGGCAGGAGACTCGCTTGAACTCAGGAGGTGGAGGTTGTGGTGAACCAAGATAGTGCTACTGCACTCCAGGCTGGGGGACATAGCGAGACTCTGTCTCAAACAAAACAAAACAAAACAAAAACTAAAAAAAGAATCAAATGCATTTTTAAATGAGTTAAAATCTGAATAAGTTTTCATTCTTCTGATATCTAGGGCATATACAAATGAATAAAGATTGGTATGCATATTTCCTTTTAGGTAGTGAATTAGGATTAGGTTCATTTCTTATAATGTAAAATTGAAACTCAGATTACAGATACATGTAGGTTTTAAAGAAGAAGCTGACTGGGAAGAAAAGGAATGCTTATAAGATGGCAGATTTTATTTGGTGAATTGGGGGAATTGAGATCTGTATAGAATACTTCCCTGTGTATGTCTAGGAAAACTTCACAGAATGCTCCTACATTATAATTTAGATTATGTCAGTCTAAAAGATGTTATATTTATTGGCTTGTTCTGACAGTTCTCTGCATGTTCTCATTGGAGTGTTTTTACCCTTTTATTCCTAAATACCCATATGTATGTGTCCATATCATAAACAGTGTTCTATTGTCATTTGTGTTGGAGTACTAAAATCATATTATGATTTGCATGTAGCCATCTTTATTATTTTGCATATAAAAGAATTTCTCTTTTGTTAGTAGGAATTACGAGCTGTTTGTTTCTCCTTTTTGTAGATTAACAGTCTACGTTTCCCTCACAGAGGTTATGTGTAATACTGATGTTCTCTTAAATTGTATAGGAGAAACCAATTCTATTTTGAAACTTTAAAAATAGGCATATTCATCTAAACATATAGTAAATTGCTTGTGATAACAATGGCAGATTAGTAATTATAAAGAGACTTTGAGGAAGAGTGATGAAATATAGGTGAAGGGTGGTCTTGACTCTGGCAGGTATAACATATCTTCCCCAGTGGCTGCAGACTCCATCAGTTCTAGGGGCCTGCTGGATAGACTGGTATGGTGAATGAGGGGAGGGAAGGAGTTTTTTGGATTCACTACAGGAGTTTGAAAGTACAGTTTTTATGTTCACTTTAAAAAATTATAAAAATTATATATAATATAAATTTAAAAGGTTGTTACAAATTACCATTTAACAAGCACCACGTTTATACCAATGAACTCAATAATAAATAAGTGTTGATAGAAATCTTTTAAGACCAGACTAGGCTGGGCATGGTGGTTCACACCTGTAATCCCAGCACTTTCGGAGGCCAAGGCGGGTGAATCACGAGGTCAGGAGATCGAGACCATCCTGGCTAACACGGTGAAACCCCGTCTCTACTAAAAATACAAAAAATTAGCCGGGCGTGGTAGCGGGCGCCTGTAGTCCCAGCTACTCGGGAGGCTGAGGCAGGAGAATGGCGTGAACCCGGGAGGCGGAGCTTGCAGTGAGCCGAGATCGCGCCACTGCACTCCAGCCTGGGCGACAGAGCAAGACTCCGTCTCAAAAAAAAAAAAAAAAAAAAAAAAAAAAAAATCTGTGTTATATTCAAAATACAAAGCAGTCAATAGCCAAATGAGCGTTATTTACAAATTCAAAGGAATTTTCTGAAGAGGGAAGTTCAATTTACAGGATTAGGGAATGTTTTAGAGAAAGTAAAGGACACATGATAGGATCTAGGTGGACAAATAGGAGGTAGGTGAAATGCATTGTAAACTGAGGGAAATATAATTAATAAATGGGTAGACTATTGAAATTCAATACTTGTTCAGAAGATCTTGAGTAAATAAGACATTGGCAGGAGATTTCATTAAGTGCTATGACTAGGTTGTGAATTAAATCTCAAGAGTTAGTAATTAGGCTCATAAGGAAGCAGAAAGATTTGGAAGGTTTTAAGTAGGAAATACTAGGGGGCCAGTACCTTGGGAGGCAGAGGCAGAGGTGGGAGGATCTCTTGAGGCCAGGAATTCAAGACCAGCCTGGGCAACATAGTGAGACTCCATCTCTTAAAAAAAAAATTTAAAAATTAGCTGGGTATGGTGGCGTGCACCTGTAGTCCTAGCTACTTGAGAGTCTGAGGCCAGAGAATCCTTTGAGATTAGAGTTTGAGGTTACAGGTGAGCTATGATTGTAGTACCACTGCGCTCCAGCCCGAGTGACAGAGTGAGCCATGTCTCTAAAAAGAAAGTACCATGCAATTAGTATTTCAGTTGGATATAGGATTAATTGTAGGGGGAAAGATGAGACAGGAAGACTAGCTATTGTAGTATGAGTTGAAGGATGGCTTGAGAAATATTAAAACAAGGTAGTAGCAACAGGAACAGAAAGGGCTTGTATAAACCATATTACTATATATTATCTTACATGACATATAAGGGGAGAGGCACAGTTAGGTAAAATATTCTGCTTTTTGACGCTTGTTCATGGTGATGGTAGCACATATGATTTGAGGAAGGCAAGACTGATGAAGCAGATAAGTTTGGTAATAGTCATGATGATTTTGAGTTGAAGCAGAACTTTAAAGATGAATATTTAGGTATTTAAAGATGCACAAATGTGGCCGAGTGCAGTGGCTCATGCCTGTAATCCCAGCACTTTGGGAGGCCAAGGCAGGCGGATCACTTAAGGTCAGAAGTTCGAGAGCAGCCTGCCCAATGTGGTGAAACCCCATCTCTACTAAAAATACAAAAATTAGCTGGGTGTGGTGGTGCACGCCTGTAATCCCAGCTACTCAGGAGGCTGAGGCAAGAGAATTGCCTGAACCGGGAGGTGGAGGTTGCAGTGAGCTGAGATCATGCCACTGCACTCCAGCCTGGGCAACAGAAACTCCATCTCAAAAACAAACAATCAGATAAACAAAAAAGATGCACAAATGTGTAGTCAAGATCCCATCACAAAAGAGATGGCATGCTAAAATTAGGATAATTTAAGGAATGTTTTAATAAAGGGCTAGTTACAAACATGTAGGCAAATATAAGGTACCCGTAAGAGACAGGGCAGTACTGCAGACCTAGCAATAATTGCTGTTTCTGTCCTTTGGCTCATGGGCCAAGGGGAAGGAAGGGTGACCAGAATCCTGAAGAATAGAGCCCTGAACAGGGAGTCACCTTGGGAGATTCTGAAACCTTTGATCAAAGGACACAGCTAGCTGGAGGGCAATACCTCTTCCCAATAATATCCTGCTAAGGTACGCCATTGACCAAACTCAGTCTGAAGCCATAGGAATCCCGTTGATGAAGTCAGTCTCCAGGGACAGAGAGCAAGGTGAAGAAGGGTGGAGAATAAATCTGGAGGGGCAAATGGAAGATATCTAGTACAACTAAAGCTTAGTAAAGAAAGGTCAGGGAGAAACTGATTTGGGAATCATCCTCATTTAAAGCCGTGGAAATAAATTTCCGAGGGGAAACGTATTTCATAGATTTTTCCCAAGGAAGGAGATACGTAAATTCTATATTTGTCTCTCTGTGATGGAGAACAAAGGACATAGAATTAAGGAATTAACCTTAGAGAATGTTTACATTTTAAAGAGTGGAGAAGAATCAAAGAGTAGTCAAATATGATAGAAAATCCTGGGCGACTATTTCTGAGTTTTGTTTTGTTTTGTTTTTTTGCCCTTTAAGTAGCTCTCTTTAGTAGGAAAGGGAAGAATATTGACTTGGGTTAGTTAGTTCTGATTTTCAAATTTCCCCTTTATCACTTACTTGGCAGTATTTAACCTTTTCAGAGTGTTTCACTGTCAGAAAATAGGAATTCAGGGTTGTGAAGATTACATAAAATAAATACATAAAGCACAGTGCTTGTGACAGAGTTTCTTTAACTTCATTAGCACCTTCCCTGTGACTTCAAGTATAGACAGGACTTTTATACATTAGAATGGAATATTTGTTTAACTTTGTTTATGTCTCTTGTTTTCTCCTTCCTTTTGCTTCCACTTAAAAAAAAAAAAACAAATGCTTTATACCTTCAGTTTATACTTTTTCCTTGTCATTCCTTCCTTGATTATTGTGCTCTGGCATCTCCATTTATCATTCTACTGAAGCTCTTTATCAGATTTCGGTGGCCACTCTTCTGTCAAATTCAGTGACCCATAGAATCATCCAGAAGTAATCCTTCATAATCTGGCTGCCTTATCTGCTGAAACACTGTATTCTCCTAGTTATTTTTCTTGTTGACCTTTGCATGGATTGTACTATTTATGCTTCTGAGTGTTTGCTCAAAGACAGTTTCCTCCTATCTATAATGTGCTCAGGTAGGTATTAGCCATCTTTTAAGGCCCAACTACATGAAGATTTCCACAATGATTGTGGTCTACAATAAACATCCCCTTACCTGATCTGTTATACCATCTGGATATAGGTACTTTCTTGTATTATTTTATTATTTTTATCTATTATTGCTTATATTATTTTTGTTGTATATACTCCTATTGTTTTCCCAGTGAGTGTATAAGCACCTTGAAGACGGAGACCATACTTTTTTCTTTTGTTAAATATACTGTTGAACATATAATAACTAGCTGGAAAATACAAATGGAAACAGATTGAGTTCTGAGTTAGTATTGTAGTATAATCAAGAACCATCTATGTAAAGTCATACTTAAGTCTCATTTTAAAAATCACAGTTGGTATCCATCATTCTTGCTTATATCTAATAATTTGATTTTTCTTTTTTTTTTTTTGAGGTGGAATCTCACTCTGTCACCCAGGCTGGAGTGCGGTGGTGTGATCTCGGCTCACTGCAACCTCCGCCTCCCGGGTTCAAGTGATTCTCCTGCCTCAGCCTCCCAAGTGGCTGGGACTACAGGTGTGTGCCACTATGCCCAGCTAATTTTTGTATTTTTAGTAGAGACGGGGTTTTACCATGTTGGTTGGCCAGGATGGTCTTGATCTCTTGACCTTGTGATCTGCCTGCTTCGGCCTCCCAAAGTGCTGGGATTACAGGCGTGAGCCACTGTGCCCGGCTCACTCTCTTGCCTAGGCTAGAGTGCAGTGGCACTGCAACCTCTGCCTCTTGGGTTCAAGCAATTCTTGTGCCTCAGTCTCCTCAGTAGCTGGGATTACAGGCACTCACCACACCTATGTGGCTAATTTTTGTGTTTTTGATAGAGACGGGGTTTCTCCTTGTTGTACAGGCTGATCTCGAACTCCTGGCCTCATGCGATCTGCCTGCCTCAGCCTCCCAAAGTGCTGGGATTACAGGCCTGATTTTTTTCTTAAAAGCAATACATGCTTAATGGAAAAAATTGGAAAGTATTGCAAAGAATAAGCAAACTGAAAATCATCACCCCTAATCTTACCAACAAGGAGACAATGATTGTTGCTTTTTAAAAAAACATTTCCTTTTAGTCTTTTAAAAAATGCATTTTAATCGTAAAATATTATATAATACAAGCAGACTGATTAATCTTTGCTAATTTTAATAAACATTGGCTGTCAAGTGGTCTGGTTGGTAGCTTCCTACTTCTGTCTTCTGACCACTGGGGACAGGACTTTGCTCCTTAACCACGTATCAAGACATTAACATTTAGTCTTATTAGTTAATTATCAAGAAAACTTAAACCATTTTTAGTGATCAACAAAATTGTGTTTAAACATTAGTTGAAAAGATGGATGATGATGAGAATTTTTATATAATTCAACGAGAAAGCAGTGCTTTTTAAAAATAAAAATGAAAGTTTAGGTTTTTAAAATGCAGTTTAAAAAATAAAACCAGATTTCCTTCATGAAAAATAAGATAAGGAGCCAAATTTCTTTCTTGAAGAATCTCAGGACTAATTTGACTTCATGATGAGCTGTCATAACTTTTGTATTTGTTATACCATCAGAAATCCTCCCTGTGGCACAAAAGGACTCCTTTAATTAGAAAATATTGTTGCCACAGGGAGGTAGAAGATCGACATGAAAAACTGGGGATCTGAAAACGAGCCCCTATCCTAGGATTACCTGAAGGTGAAACAGATTGAGCCAGAAGGAAGACAATGCTGGTAGGTTGGTTTTTAATTTATTAAGAATGTTTGTAATTTTATATTTCATTAAAATTATTTCATCTACCTTTACCATATTTTTGTTTAAAGGGTGACAATGATTCCTCCTTAAGGAAGGAGAAGTAATACGATAATATTTTTCCTCCAAGATAGTTTGCTGAATTATCCCTTGCCATATTCTTAATATTTGTTTCTTTTTATAGATAAAGCTCTGGGGCTATTTCATGCCTCTACTTCCTTGGAAGCTACTATTGACTGAACGTCTTTAAGTCATTTTTTTTTTTTGTCATTTCTGTTGGTTTTGCTTCTAATCTACATCTTTTCCTAAATTTTTAATAAGTGTTTTTTTCCCCCAATTATTTATTTTCTTGAGGTTAGCCTAGCCCTAAGTTTTCTAAAATGGTAAAATGTGAATCTTAAGTTCATTTAGCTTTTACTCTAGAATTGTTTGAATTGTAATTGTACTGTGATTTAGATCAGACAGTATTATTAGATAAAAGATTTTAATACTTTAATAACTATCAGCCAGGTATAGTGGCTCAAGCCTGTAATCCCAGCACTTTGGGAAGCCGAGGTCAGGAGTCCAAGACCAGCCTGGCCAACTTGGCAAAACCCCATCTGTACTAAAAAATACAAGAAATTAGCCAGGCGTGGTGGTGGACGCCTGTAATCCCAGCAACTGGGGAGGCTGAGGCAAGAGAATCGCTTGAACCCAGGAGGTGGAGGTTGCAGTGAACTGAGATGGCGCCACTGCACTCCAGCCTGGACAACAGACAGACTCCGTCTCAAAAAACAAAACAAAACAAAACAAAAACAACAACAAAAAACTATTCCATTTAGCCTGAGATGCTATCAATGGTAAGAAACATTATTTTTATACCACTAAAGGAAAAAATGCTGCCAAATATAAACTTTTAAGAGACTATCAACTTTAAGATAGGTACTGATTTCAGAGATGTCAAATGTGAAAAAATGTGTATCTTGGGATTAATGAAATATGATTTGCAATTATGAATCTTTCCTGAAACTCTCATTTACTGGGAATTAAACATTAAAATATGAGGCCTGTGAAAAATGGAGGTGAGTTGTGGTATAGAAATCCATGTCAGGGGGCGCGGCCAGGCCAGGCCCGGGGGCTCCGCATGCTGCAGCTGCCCTCGGGCACCCCCGCCGCTGCCCTCGCCGCGGCGAGCTAACCCCAGCCAGCCGGGGGCGTCCCGGAGGCGGTGGCGCAGGGAGGGGCCCGATGCGCGCACGTGGCCCCGGCGGCCGCCATGGCGGACAGCGGCACCGCGGGGGGCGCGGCGTTGGCGACCCCGGCCCCCGGGCCGGGCAGTGGCGGCCCAGGACCACGCGTCTACTTTCAGAGCCCCCCCCGGGACCGCAGGAGAGGGCCCGGGCGGCGCGGACGATGAGGGCCCAGTGAGGCGCCAAGGGAAGGTCACCGTCAAGTATGACCGCAAGGAGCTACGGAAGCGCCTCAACCTAGAGGAGTGGATCCTGGAGCAGCTCACGCGCCTCTACGACTGCCAGGAAGAGGAGATCCCAGAACTGGAGATTGACGTGGATGAGCTCCTGGACATGGAGAGTGACGATGCCCGGGCTGCCACGGTCAAGGAGCTGCTGGTTGACTGTTACAAACCCACAGAGGCCTTCATTTCTGGTCTGCTGGACAAGATCCGGGGCATGCAGAAGCTGAGCACACCCCAGAAGAAGTGAGGGTCCCCGACCCAGGAGAACGGTGGTTCCCACAGGACAATCGCTGCCCCCCAACCTCGTAGCAACAGCAATACCGGGGGACCCTGCGGCCAGGCCTGGTGCCATGAGCAGGGCTCCTCGTGCCCCTGGCCCAGGGGTCTCTTCCCCTGCCCCCTCAGTTTTCCACTTTTGGGTTTTTTTATTGTTATTAAACTGATGGGACTTTTTGTGTTTTTATATTGACTCCGTGGCGCGGGCCCTTTAATAAAGCTAGGATACGCCTTTGGTGCAAAAAAAAAAAAAAAAAAGAAAGAAAAAAAAAATCCATGTCAGTGCTGAGCATGCTCCTAAATTGTGTGTGTGTGTGTGTGTGTGTGTGTGTGTGTGTGAGACTGAAGTCTCGCTCTGTTGCCAGGCTGGAGTGCAGTGGCGCGATCTCAGCTCACTGCAACCTCCCGGGTTCAAGCGATTCTCCTGCCTCAGCCTCCTGAGTAACTGAGATTACAGGCGCGCACCACCACACCTGGCTAATTTTTGTATTTTTAGTAGAGATGGGGTTTCACCATGTTGGCCAGAATGGTCTCGATCTCCTGACCTCATGATCTGCCTGCCTTGGCCTCCCAAAGTGCTGGGATTACAGGCGTGAGCAACCATGCCCCGGCCTCTAAATTCTTTGATGTCTTTTAAGAGAGGACATTTAAGTAAAAAAATCATATAACCATATTGTTTAAAATTATACAAAATAACCATAAGGTATCAAATTATGGAGTATATAGAAAAAGAAAATCTATTTTAATATGACATATTTACTTCAATAGAGTGTTATCCTAATTGAATATCACTTAATTAGTATAACTTTGAGATCTAAAAAGAAAATGAAATGAAGCTTCTGCTTTTTAAGCTGTCATTTAAAAACAGGATCCTTTAAGGGCTCGTTAAAATAGCACGATTTTTAGTGCACTTGAATATATGTTTTACAGATTATTAATTATGTGAAGGAGAAAATAGTGGCCAAAAGCAAAGACCTACTCTGTCAATTAATAAAGCAGAAATGAAAAGGAATGATTTTATTTACTTTTAATTTTTTTTTTTTTTTGAGACATGGTCTTTCTCTGTTGTCCAGGCTGGAGTGTAGTGGCGCAGTCTTGGCTCACTGCAACCTCTGCCTCCCGGGTTCAAGCGATTCTCCTGCCTCAGCATCCTGAGTAGCTGGGATTACAGGTGCCCACCACCAGGCCTGGCTGATTTTTGTATTTTTAGTAGAGACGGGCTTTCACCATGTTGGCCAGGCTGGTCTCAAACTCCTGACATCAAGTGACTCGATCTGTCCTCCTTGGTCTCCCAAGGTACTGGGATTACAGGCATGAGCCATTGCGCTCGGCCAATTTTTTTTTGAGACAGGGTCTCTGTCACCAAGACTGGAGTGCAGTGGCACGATCTTGGCTCACTGCAAACTCTGCCTCCCAGATTCAAGTGATTCTCCTGTCTCAGCCTCCCTAGTAGTTGGGATTACAGGCACCCACCACCGCGCCCTCCCAGAGTGCTGGGATTACAGGCGTGAGCCACTGCACTCAGCCAATTTTATTTTATTTTGAGACAGGGTCTCTCTTTGTCACCCAGGCTGGAGTGCAGTGGTATGATCATGGCTCACTGGAGCCTTGACTGTCCCGGCTGTAGTGCTCCTCCCACCTTAGCCTCCCTAGTAGCTGGGACTACAGGCAAATGCCACGACACTCAGCTAACTTTTTTATTATTTGCAGAGACAAGATCTCAGTATGTTGCCCAGGCTGGTCTCATACTACTGGGCTCAAGCAATTCTCCCACCTTGGCCTCCCACAGTGCTGGGATTATAGGCATGAGCTACCTTGCCTAGATGAAAAGGAATGATTTTAGATGATGTTTGTATACCAAGAAACATCTGTTTTATGTAAAAGGAAAGAAAAGTATATCTAGACGATAGATCATTAAAAGATATTTGTTTGACTTTGGAAACTAGTAGCCATTCATTCCTTTGTATTCAGAGAGACTTAAAAAATTTTTTTTATTTATCTTTTTTGATACGGAGTCTTGTTCCGTCACTCAGGCTGGAGTGCAGTGGTGCAATTCTGGCTCCCTGAAACTTCCGCCTCCTGGTTCAAGTGATTCAGAGAGACTTTTTAAAGAAACACTAGTTAACTTTTAATTTTGCTATACATCTCCGAGAAACACCCAAGAATGATCAATAAATACTAAAAAAATTAAAAAAAAATTTTTGCTATACAACAGTGTATCTAAATAATACAGTTTTATTAATTCAGACTGAGGAGAAGGCTAACTGTGGATTATATAGAATTTTAAATGAGTAGCAAACAAGGTTACAAGTGTTGCCAAGTAGAGATAGTTTTTAAGATTTTCTTAGATGTACAAATACGAATGCTTTAACACATATCCCTAGGCAAATCCATACCTCCATTCAGCCATCTGTCAGTGCTTACTGAGGACCTGCAATGTCCCAGCCTCAGAGCTGAATATCTTGTGGTAAACAAGACCCTCTCTTTGCCCTCACCAGGCTTTCAGCTATGTGTAGAAGATGAACAATTTATTAAACATGTTATTATGATAAAATGTGATGAGAATTATGATAGGATTAATTAAAAGTTTATGGGAGTAAACAGCAGGAGAATGCCTTCCTGAGGATGTGACATCTGAAGTAATTATTCAGGCAGAGAATAGCAAGGTTGAAAGTCTGGAGGAAGAAAAACAAGGCTATCTGAGTTGCTGAAAGAGATTCAGTAGGGCTAGATATGAATTATGAGAAAGAAAGGGGATTAAAATGAGGTGTAAGAGGCAAAATAGAAAAAAATCTTATTGCTGAGGGCTTTTAAAGCTTTGTATCTGTTTCTTGGATCAGATAAGTCTAAAGGGCAGTGAGGAGCCTTTTAAAAGTTTTGAGCAGTTTTGAAAAATACAAATTTAGTTTTTTTCAAAATAGTAAGTGCTGTAAATGAAAAAAGGAATAGGACAGTCAAAGAATTACTTAAAGTCTGAACTCCTTGGTTTCTCATTCATAGCTCCCTGATATCTAGCTAACTGTTCTTTTTCACCTTCCACTAAGTTGTCTACCTCTCCAGATTTGGGGTATAGGTGTGCTCATTGCCTACACTAAGTTAAAAGTAGTAGAGATTAAAATAGTTGCTCAGCCAGCCTTTCTTTTTGGAGTTAACAAGGTAGATGCTTTGTACGGTGTTGTTTCAGGAGGAGGAATCATTGTCTCTTATCCATTGTCCATGCCCATTTGTATAAACTTTTGGGTTTTTCCAGGACCTGGGCGAGACTCAAAACAGCGAGTCCTGATTGAATGCCATGCCTATTTGTTGAATTTGTTAGGTATTTATCTAGGCTGGTGGCCTTTAAGTCAATTGTGTAATAGGAATATTATTTTATATTGAGACCTTGTCTGTACAAAAAAAAAAAAAAAAAGGTTGGTATGGTGGCATGGACCTGTAGTCCCAGCTACTCCTTGCAGTCCCAGGAGTTCAAGGTTGCATTGAGCTGTGATGGCGCCACTGCTCCAGCCTGGGCAAACAAGCAAGACCCTGTCTCCAAAAAAAAAAAGTATATCATTTTGATCATTTGGACTAGACAGCGTAAGTTAATATATTTCTTTTGGTCTTGATGTCTTTGAGGACTAACTTGTAAGTAAAAGTTATCTTGAAACTCTATCTGTATTTTCAGCGCTGCATACAAACAACTGCTGGTTTTTATTTCCACTGGCATCATCGACAGTGTTCTAGGCCTTAGGTGTCATAGTAGATACCATAAAGAGAATTATATACAGAAGAGCTATGATTTGAGCCTTTGCAACTAAATATATATCAAAGGGCTTTATAATGGATTTTTTTTCTTTTTAAAAAATGTAATACACAATATTTAGAATATTCTAAAAAACTGAAAAATTCAACTAATAAGTATGTACTACTAAAATTAATAAAATATTGGCAGCAGTGTTAATTTAAATACATCTTATGTTCCCGAATTTAATTTTCCCCTTTCCTTCTTCCTTAAGATAATTACTATCCTGTTTATTAATGATATAATGGAATATTTACAATAGAAGTATGGAAGATTCCGGATATGTGTGTTTTTTAATTGCCAAAAAGAAGTGATCTTTTAGTTTAACAACAATTGTTTTGGAGTAGGTTGGCCTATTAGTGACAAGTTCTCATTTTTATAGGGATTTAGATAAAGATTCAAATCATAGCTCCTAAGCAGTGCAGTTGTTTAAGATGGAATGAGAGGTTGTGAGTATCTTTACAACTGGAGATTTTAAAGCAAGAACTAGAATGCCACTTAGGGATATTGTAAAGAGAATTCAAGTGTCAGGTAGGTGTTCAAACCAGATTTCTTTATAATTTTCAATTCTGAGATGCTGTTTTTTAATAACTTCATTCTGTAAAAGCATGAAAAAATATGATTGTCTATGATATGGTTGTCAGTTCAGTCTCCGGATTAGAAAGGTGTTTCATGAAACAAAGATTAGTTTTTTTTTAGTACCCAGGTTTTATCTTTAGTTAGTTTTATTCCATGGCCATTCTCAAACATTTTGTCCCTGGATAGCTGCCTTACAGATGTCTGTCTTTGGTCACAACAGGAACTGGGCAAGAAAATGTGACGTAAGCCCATCATATTGTTTTGGGGGAAGGACCAGGACCCCAGAGCATGTGCTCTGCTATGGTCAGCAGCTTTATCTTATTTTGCCACTTTAAGAGTCTTAATCTTGTTATTGTGATTAGGTAGTTTTTTCTTCTTTTACACCAATAGCACAGACATAGCTTTGAGTGTAAATTTCTTAAAAGTTTTTCTGATTAGTTGATATGGCTAGTACTTAGAAGATGCTTACATCAAAAAATAGCGTTCTTTTTCAAAGCGATTTCTAATATACAATATTAATTATAACACAAAAATATTTTTTAACGTTTCTTTTTATTTTAGATTCAGGGGGTACATGTGCAGGTTTGTTACGAGAGTATACTGCATGATGCTGAGGTTTGGGCTTCTATTGATCCCATCACCCAGATAGTGAACACAGTACACGTGGGAAGTTTTAAAAATATCCTTGCTCCTTTCTCCCTCCCTCTGTTCCTCCCTCCCTCCTTTTGGAATCCCCAGTGACTGTTATTCCCATCTTTATGTATTTTGTGAACCCAAAATTTAGCTCCCACTTGTAAGTGTGATATTTGGGTTTTTGTCTGTGCGTTAGCCTCCGGCTGTTCCATGTTGCTACAAAGGACACGATTTCATTCCTTTTTATGGCTGTGAAAAATGGGTTTTTCATTAAATAAGTTTAGAAAATGCTGGGTGAAGGAAAATTAAACAGATTTATTTACAGGAAGACTTCTCAGATGTTTTAATATGCAAATGTGATTCTAAAGAAGAGGTATCTCTTTTAAGAGATTATCTCTTAAGACTAAATGTCTTATAGAACAGCCTTATACCTTTAGAGCAGGACCACCTGGCTTGTTAGTACTACTTTGGCACAGTCATAAATAGCCAAGGGACTAAAATTCTCATTTAATAAACTGTATTATATTTAGCCTTTTACCTCATTAAGTCTGCTGCTTCTTAATGCTGCTCGTCTCATGCCGTGGTAGTGCATTTTTCTCAACTAGGTTTTAATTTTTTAATTTTGTAAATCAGACAGTTAAATACTGTGGGTTAGGAGTACTGGCCAGACCCCAAGTTGTCTTACATTAGTGACCAGAAATAATTGTTGGACCAAGAAACTAAAATGTTGTTAGCTTTACTTTTTGAAATTATTGAAGCATCTTCCTGAAAAAAAAAATAAAGTTAGATTTATACCAGCAGGTTATTTGTGGCAATGATGCTTGTTTACTATGCTCTCCTTAAGGTATATGAGGGCTTTTTCAGGGAGATAACATAGTATCTTTGGCAGAAGATACTTTCCATGATGTTTTTCTTTAAATAAAGAAGAGTTGCTATGATGCCTCCTCATTCGATCATTGCATCAGAGTTACTCTTAACAGTTCTAGACACGGGGCAGGAAGCATACTTATTTGGGCCCCGGATCTTAAAATGTTCAGATGTGTGAGTTTGAAGGTTGTTCTGTTCCCCTCGTTTGAGAGTCTTCTGTGACCTTCCTTAACAACCAGTTCTTCGATTCTTTTATTTTTTTTTCTACCCACGGACATTTACCTGTTTAATAAAGACAAGTCTGTTCTCAGAGCAGGGTATGTTTTGTTGCCTTCTTATCCATTAACCACCTCCCCACAACCCTAGTCTGCTATTTTGAGTGTGCTTTTTAGTCATTCTGTGGCATTTTTAGAAAGCACAGAATTTTTTTTTTTTTTAGAATATGAATGGATTTTAGGGTAATCTAGTCCACCTCTTCAAAAGAGCTAGTTAGCAATGGAGCAGGTCCAGAAACCCTGGTCTCCTGATTGCTAGGATGGGACTGTTTCTGTTCTAGAGTGCTGCTTTGGGGCCTGAGAGATTCTGTAGTTTTTGTTTTTTAATAAGCTTCCATAACATAGTTATTAATAAAATGTTCTGAATTTCCATTTTGCTACCATAAATCAAAAGAGAATTGTGTCTCCCTTCTATCGTTAATTTAATCTGTATAACCTTGAGGAAGCCACTTACTTTCTGTTAGTACGAGTTTCCTCATCTGCAAAATGAAGAATACAGTAGTTATCTCTCACTGTTCTGAAAACTAATAATAAGGTATTCCCAGTGTTAAGCATGGTGCCTGGCATGAAGAAAGCTCAATACATTCTTCATACTGCTGCTAGTATAAGTTTTCTAAAATGTACTTTGTCATTTCTTTTTTAAAAAATTTAATGACAGCCTATCATCGACAAATTGATTGTCATTTTCTTTCATAAAGCCCTTGTATTAATTATCATGACATTCTGGATAAAATCAAATGCCTTAAAGATACACATTCTCACCTTTTCAGTTTTAGCTCTTACCATGCCTTTTTTTTTTTCTCTTCTCCTGGCTCTCTAGCTTCCACAACTTGGTAAGGTTTACACTTTGCCTAAAAACTCAGCCCCTCTGTTTTTATCTGTGATCAGACATTTCTCTAGGAAGGATTTCTTGATCTTTCCGGTATTTATCAGTTTTATCATGTGGTGCTATCCCATACTTGTGAGAGTTGTTATGTTATATTTGGTATGTGTATCATATTACCTTTCCAACATTCACATGTTTCTAAATCTAGAATACCCAAATGTTTAGTACAAGAAGATTAAGGGAGTTACTAATAGAAGTCTGTTTAGCTATTGAGAGGTGCTTTTTTTTGATTCCCCTAAAATGTGAAAATTCCCTGATTGCATGGTAAAGATGCCTCTCTGTCTCTTTTAACTATAGTTATTAGCTGTTGATTGTTATTACCCTTGGTGTTGTGTTTTAGTTTGATTTTTTTGTATTTTTAAAATTGGTTTATAATCGTACATATTTTGGGGTACGTATGATATTTTGATACATATATATAATGTGTGATGATAAAGTCAGAGTAATTGGGATATCCATCACCTCAAACATTTATTGTTTTGTTTTAACAAGAGGTTTTTAACACAAATATGTTTCAAGGAGGTGGTAGTAGTGGTGAAGAGGGTAGTTGTCTGTGAATGTCTATTTATAAAGAGGCCTATCACTCAGAGGGGGTCAACAGAACTTTTAATAGCTCTTACCTGTTAAATTTTGTAAGGTTTTCCTTTGTTTTTTTCCTTTTTTAAATTCAGTGGTCAGTTCTTAGATTGTAAGGTTTTTCAACCTTTTTGTGTCATGAACCTTTTTGGCCATAGGGTGAAGCCCATGAACTTTCTCTCGGAGCATTGTTTTAAAATATAAAGTAAAATATCTAGGATTAAAAAGGAACCATATATATTGAAATATAGTTATCAAGGCTGGGCATGGTGGCACACGCCTGTAATCCCAGCACTTTGGGAGGCCGAAGCAGGTGAAACACCTGAGGTCAGGAGTTTGCAACCAGCCTGAGTAACGTGGTGAAACCCCTTCTCTGCTAAATACAAAAAAAAAATAGCCAGGCATGGTGGCGCATGCCTGTAATCTGAGCCGCTTGGGAGGCTGAGACAGGAGAATCACTTGTACCTGGCAGGCGGAGGTTGCAGTGAGCCGAGATCAAGCCATTGCACTCCAGCCTGGGCAACAAGAGCGAAACTCTATCTCAAAAAAAAAAAAAAAAAAAAGAAATATAGTTATCAAACTATTTTAAATTGTGATATATATCAATGCATGTGTTTCTGTATTAATATATTAAATAATGAGATCTAGTGACAGATATAATTTACTGCTATAATTTCAAAGTAGTGACAACCATAAATTATATAGAGCGAGACCCTGTCTCAAAGAAAAAAAAAACCGTAATATGATATGAAAATATCTGTGATTTATATTGGTCATGAAGTCACAGATACTACTAAAACAACTGTGGTTTGTGCTTTTATTTAAAACGAAAGAGCTAAATTTTAGTTAGAAGCTAAAAAACTATTGTTCCCAGGTCTCACCCATGTATTATTTTAACTGTCATCTACCTTTTTTTTCATCATCCTTTCTTCCTCTATGTTCTGCCCTACTTCCATTCTCTTTTCTCTAATAATCCATACTAGGGATCTGAAAGCCAGTTTAAATATGTCACATTTTAAGTACAGTTTTATGATCCCTGCTGTATTCTTTTTTTAAAGGAAAAAAAGCCTCTCAGTCATGTAGTGGTAATTTTTCATATTCGTTAATGGAGTGAGAATTTAATTTCTTTGGCTGAACATTTAATATATTTCTTTAAATGTTTATTAAATATTTTAATGACCTCTTTGTTGGTTTAAGATCCCTTCTATCTCCATGACAAAAATTTCCATGGCCAATGGTTCTTAAACTTAAGCATACATAAGAATTATCAGAAGGGCTTGTTAAAATACAGATTGTTGGACCCATCCCCAGGACTTCTGATTCAGTGGATCTGTGGTAGAACTGGAGAATTTGCATTTCTAACAAGTCCCTAGGTGATAAGGCTGCTGTTGGCCAGGGATCGTTATTATTTTGAGGCAGGGTTTTACTCTGTTGCCCAAGATGGAGTGCAGTGGTGTCATTATACCTCACTGCTACCTTGAACTCCTGGGATTAAGCAGTCCTCCCACCTCAGCCTCCCAAGTAGCTGGGACTACAGGTGTGAGCCACCACACTCAGCAATTTTTTTATCATTTCTTTTTTGGTAGGGATGGAATCTCTGTATGTTGCCCAGGGTGGTCTCAAACTCCTGGCCTCAAGTGATCCTCCCACATTGGCCTCCCAAAGTGCTGAGATTACAGGCATGAGCCACAGTGCCTGGCCAGGATCATTTTTTGACAATCATTATCCCTAGAGTGTTGGAAATGACAGCACAGAAAGGGAGTTTCTGCCATTGTTAAAATTCAGTTAACTCTGTAGTTTCTTACTATATTATACCCATCATAAAAAATTGTTTTGGGGAGTAAAAGGATGGTAAAGTCCTTTCAGGTGTATGAAATAGTGTAACACATCATTACTATTCATCATTAAGCATTCATTGAGCACCTAGTAAATGCAAGGCATTATTTTAAGGCACGGGGCTACAATGTAGACAAGAAAGGCAAAGTCTCTACATTTATGGTACTTAGAATCTAGTGGACAAAACATGTAAGTTTGCACTACAGTAAAATTACTTTGTCACAAATCAAATTATATAACTTGAAATTGTTCTTTAAAGTAAATATATGGAATTAAGCTAAAATAATAAACTCATGAATTATTCTTTTCAAGCAGTTAAAGCAGTGGATAGTTTTTTTCCTCTCCCTTTCCATATGACAGTTATTAGGTACAATTGAGATAGTTAATTGGTAATCTTAACATTTATCATGTACACATTACCTATATTACTGCCATGGCTCCTAGAAAGTGAACAATTCGTTGTTGAATAACACATGCTTTCTAGCCTCAAAGAAGCTTACTAAGTTGCGAAAAATGAGCATTCAGGCAAATAATAGTATTATAGAGTAGATAGGGTTGGGGAAAGGTGAGGGAAAGAATTGCCAAGTATGGTAGTGAATTCAAATGTTCCAGATTACATTATTGCTATTGTGGTAGGTCCCATTTAAATGTCATCATGAGAGTTGACAGTGAAGGCCTCTGGTTAGAGGCAGAGGAACAAGTCAAATGGAATTAAGTATTCCTAAATCTCATTATTTTTAATTTTTTATGTGTGTAACAATACCATAAAAAATCAGAAAGATTTTCCTGTCCTCATTGATGGAAAAATCAGGGAACAATGCTAAGAACTCAGCCTGTTTGCAGTAATTGGTTATGATTTGGGAGTGGAATTAGGAGGTGAAGTAGGACTAACTATGACTTTTTAAATTTTTTACATTCCTATATTTTTTCTTTTCTTTTCTTTTTTTTTTTTTTTTTTTGAGACAGAGTCTCACTGTGTCTTCCAGGCTGGGGTGCAGTGGCACGATCTCAGCTCACGGCAACCTCGCCTTTCGGGCTCAAGTTATTCTCCTGCCTCAGCCTCCTGAGTAGCTGGGACTACAGGTGGGCACCACCACGCCTGGCTAATTTTTGTGTTTTTAATAGAGACAGGGTTTCACCATGTTGACCAGGGTGGTCTCGAACTCCTGACCTCAAGTGATCTGCCCACCTCGGCCTCCCAAAATGCTGGGATTACAGGCATGAGCCACCGTGCCCAGCCAACATTCCTGTATATTTTTTTCATTGAGTATATCAAGAGACAAATGTAGCTTTATAGCCTTTATTTTCATTAGAATAACAGTTTTTTGTTGTTGTTTGTTTTTGTTTTTAAATGAAAGAAGTCCTATGCTGTTTTCTCCTGGTTTAAAGTCAGTGTTTGGTCATAATTGGGTGTTTGATTTCTTTTCACTTTGTAAATATGCCAAAATATATACACTACTTGAAGGGAATGAGCAATTACTTTTTTTATTTAACTAAAATACTTTTCATATGTTTTATATTAAACTGGGTGGTGATAATATGCAATTATTTTTCAGGACTTAAGAATATCTTTAAACAATTATTTGTTAGTGAGTAGAAAAGCAAACTCTTTGTCTCACTATGCTCTCAACAGTTAACACAGAAGACCTCTGGGACATCTGATTACCATGAAGTGTGTGGGATTTCTCCCGACCAATAAACTAGTCAGTCAGTTCTGTAGTGGACACCAGCTGGGTGTCCTCTAATTCAATTCAGTTCTGACACTGTCTACTTGGAGATAGCATCAGATCCTCTGAGAAACACATTTACCAGTTTATCATAAAGGATATTTAAAGGATACAGATGAAGAAATGCATAGGGCGTGAAGTATTGGGGAAGGGTCATGGAGGTCCCATGCCCTTGCTGGGCATGCCACACTCCAGGAACCTCCACATGTTCAGCTATCAGGAAAGTCTCTGAACTCATTCGTTTTGGGTTTTTATGGAAGCTTGATTAAGTAGGCATGATTGATTAAGTCATTGGCTATTGGTGGTTGACTTAACCTTCAGCCCTGTTTCCCGAGGCCCAGAGGTTGGGAGTGGGGCTGAAAGTCCCAACCCTATAATCCTGCCTTGGTCTTTCTGGTGACTAGCCCCCATCCTGAAGATACCTAGGGGCTGCCAGCCATTACTCAATCTTTAGCACACAAAAGAACACTTACTACTTTGGAGATTCCAAGGATTTTAGGACTTGTATGCCAGGAAATGGGGAGCAAGACTAAATATATATATTTCACACATATTTCACAATATCACAGCTAGAACTTGGGAGATTTTCTTATCAGTAGATGAACTTGCAAAAGATCATGAGAAAGTTTTACATCAAAAAGAAAAGGTTAGCCTGGGCAATATGGCAAAACCCCATCTGTACAAAAAATACAAAAATTAGTCGGGCATAGTGGCAGGTGCCTGAAGTCCCAGCCACTTGGAGGCTGAGGTGGGCAGATTGCTTGCACTTGGTAGGTCAAGGCTGCAGTGAGCTGTGATCCTGACACTGCATTCTGACAGAGCGAGACCCTGTCTCAGGGGGGAAAAAAAAAAACATTTATGTCTCCGATCTAGTTAGCAAAAAGATACTTCTTTTTTTTGGAGATGGAGTCTTGCTCTGTCGCCCAGGCTGGAGTGCAGTGGCATGATCTCAGCTCACTGCAACCTCCGCCTCCTGGGTTCAAGCAATTCTGCTGCCTCAGCCTCCCGAGTAGCTGGGATTACAGGTGCCCGCCACCACGCCTGGCTAATTTTTTTATTTTTAGTAGAGATGGGGTTTCACCATCTCGGCCAGGCTGGTCTAAAACTCCTGACCTCAGATGATCCGCTTGCCTCAGCCTCCCAAAGTGCTGGGAATTCTGGCGTGAGCCAGCATGCCCGGCCGATACTTCCTTTTTTTTTTGAGACGGAGTCTCCCTCTGTCTCCCAGGCTGGAGTGCAGTGGTGCTATCTCCGCTCACTGCAACCTCCGCCTCCTGGGTTCAAACAATTCTCCTGCCTCAGCCTCCCGAGTAGCTGGGACTACAGGCGCCCGCCACCACCCACCACGCCCGGCTAATTTTTTGTATTTTTTTTTTTTTTTTCGTAG
Organism: Homo sapiens; assembly: GCF_000001405.40. Taxonomy (NCBI): domain Eukaryota; kingdom Metazoa; phylum Chordata; class Mammalia; order Primates; family Hominidae; genus Homo; species Homo sapiens. Next base: position 139,102,353 of record NC_000004.12, on the reverse strand, counting down.
AGACCGGGTTTCACTGTGTTAGCCAGGATGGTCTCGATGTCTTGACCTCGTGATCCACCCACCTCGGCCTCCCAAAGTGCTGGGATGACAGGCGTGAGCCACTGCGCCCGGCCCTGATACTTCTTATATATGGTGTTTGACAAGTCTTTCAGGAAAATCTGAATTTTTTTCCCCATATGACCTTTTTTCTGATGTGTAATAGTTGGAAAATAAAGGCAGGATTTAGAATAATTACTGAGAATGAAAAACTTCTTTTGAAGAGGAAACCAAGAACTTGGTTCAAGAGGAGAAAGAAATTAAAAGGTGGTAATTTCTTTTTGAGACATTTACTTTCTTGAATAAACTTGACATCCCCCCCTTTTTTTTTTTTATCTTTTTCTTTAGGGACATTGGTCTATAGTTAGTATCTAGGTTTACAACATTAAGCTTTTTTCATTTTGTTTGGAAAAACAAGGCTGGCAGAATTACATTTGTTTTTAATTCCATTGCTAATATTACATACTTAGGAGGCTATCAGGTGCAAGTTATTTACTTGAGACAAGAAGCACTGATTATTTTGGCTAGGCTTCATCTGAAGGCCTATGTTCTGGGAAGGGAGGCCTCCATAAAAAAGGAAGAACCTTTAGTGACCTTTATCCTTGGGAATAAAAGTAAAGATCAGAAGCCAGTGCATTCAGTTTACCGTCTTACAAAAGGAGTCAAGTATTGTATAGGTCAGAGACCACTATTGTAAGATCATATAAATCCTGTGTCTAATTTTGTTATCCTCTGTTTCTCCATAATAATTAGTACCAAGCACTTTACAAAAAGAATCCCCATATATTTGTTTTTGGAGGCCACAAGAAATGGGAAGGGCTAATGAGAGACTGCAGTTAATTCTGCAGCTAGTCTTAGGGAAAACAGAACTCCAAAAAATAGAAGAGCTGAAAGGAGAAGAAAGCAGACTGAATTCTTGTGCTTATCAAAGGAAGAACAAAAGAATAAGGAGTTGTCCTGGATCTGAGACCATTAGTGGGGTTACCTGAGATGACCTGTGATGTGTGTGGCACTGTGTTTTTTTTATGTGAACTAGAGCAAGAAATTAGATATGGCCCCTCCTGTAAAGAAACTCACTCATTTGTGGGGAAAATATATAAGGAAACAACTCTTCATAACCTAAGGTTTAATAATATTAGTGTTATAATAGTGAAGGAGACAGATCTTAGCTATTCTGATGGGAAGTTTACATTTTAGTTGAGTTTGGGAGGATAAATAAAATTTCATTGGGAAGAAAAGAATTTTCTAGTTGAGAAGTCATTTATTTATACCTTTTCCTACCTTCTCCCAGTCCATTACCAAATCATGTTAATTTTGCCTCCAAAGTATATCTCGAGTCTTCCTATCTTCATTGCTACTAGGCTAGTTCACTCTGTAGTTTTTTTACATGAGCTATGTTGATGGCCTTTGGCCTTCTAATCAGCCTGTTTTCATTATTGCCTCCTCCTCCTACCCCCAGCAATCTATGCTCACCATAGTAGCCAAAGTGATTTAAAATATAAATTTGTAAGTGGAATAGTGATACTCCCTCCCTAAAATCTTTCAGTGGATTCTAATTGCACTTAAGATAAAATTCAGAGTATTTTTAAATTGTTTTCACTTAATTTTTATTTTTTTTCTGTATTTCAATGGATGCAGTTAAAAAAATGTTTTTTTTAAAGAGTTATGGTCTTGTTATGATGCCCAAGCTGGAGTACAGTGGTTATGCACAGGTGCAGTCCCACTACTCATCAGGACAGGAGTTTTGACTTGCTCTGTTTCCAGGCTGGTCTGGTTCACCTCTCCTTAGGCAACCTTGTGGTCCCTCACGTTTATGCCGAACTTAGTGCAGATACCCAATTGACTTAGTGCACTATAGCCCAGCATTTCTGGACTCAGGCGATCCTTCTGCCTCAGCCTCCCAAGTAGTTGGGATCACGGGCATGTGCTGCTGCGCCTGGCAGGAGTTTTTAATATGGTCTTTAAGACACTGAATAATTTGGCTTCTCACATTCATCTAGAAACAATAACAATAATAGCAACCCCCCAAAAAGGAAAAAAAAAGACAGCTCTAACATTTAAAGTTTCTTTACTATGTTGCCAGGAATTGTTTTTAGGGTTTTACATATTAACATTACATATTTCACACTCTCAACCCTAGGCCGAATAACTTTTCCAAGGCTAGATAGCTATTTAAGTGGTGGAAGCAAGGATTTAACCCAGAGCCCAAGCTCAAGCATTGTACTCTGATGCATTATATAATATCCCTTCCCCTCACAATACAAATTATTGTAATCACAGTGCTCCTTTCATCCTTCCATTAATCCAAACTCTTGACCTCCACAGGGTGTTCACGCATGCCATTTTCTGTCTGGAGTAGATTATTTTCTAGTTTTCAATTTCTAACTCCTGGTTGTCCTTTAGATTATAGTTTAAATGTCACTTTCTCACAGAGAAAGAGGCCTTGGCTGATATTCTTAAATCTCAATTAGGACTGTTCTGTTATTTTTTATCATAGCCCTCCATTATTTAATGTGTTTTGTTTTTAGCACCTACAACTTGTCATGCATTCAGTTCCCACCATTAGGTAGTAAATACCTTCCAAGAAGTTCAAATCACATAAAATCTGGCATTAATGTGAGGTTAATGAAATGGCCTGGGTCAGTCTGGGTATAGGAGGAAGAGGTGTGTGTATGAAATGGGTTCCAGAATTCAGACTAAGGTATCCAAAATCAGTCTAAGGTCCAGCTGTGGTTTGGTGCCACCTGGTGGTAGTTGTGTACTTCTGTGACTGCTTTTTGAGGATAGGATGGAAGACGGGAGCCAATTATCAGTTGACTTACCTGAATTCATGTATTTAGGAAGTTTTACTTGACTATATTTATATTTGTGCTCGTTTGCTTAATGTTTCCACACTGTGCTCCATAAAGTCAGAGACTGTATCCATTGTGCTTACTGGAATTGCTCAGGGCCAGGAACCCAGTAGGTTTTCAATAAAATATTTGTTTATTAATGAGAACACATCATGAACCAGAAAGGATTGCCAAGAACTTTGTATTTTATTTAGACACTGCCCGTCAATGTAGTTTACTGCTCGTTAGTGTAGTTTAACTAGAGTTTAGGCTATATAGACAGGTATGGTTGAGAGATAAGGCTAGACAGGTAAAGGTACAGTGGGACCAGATTGTGATGGCCCTTGAATAAAATAGTGAGGAACTGTATGAAACATTATTTGGAAAAGATGAGAAGTGAAAAGAGGGACATTTATTTTAAACATCCAGAACATAGAAGACGTAGCTTTCAAAATACTAACTTTGGGATAGGTTAGGGAATAAACTAAACTTGACCAATTTAACAAAAGGCAACAAAGGAGAATAAAATGATGGAATAGAAATAATAAATCAAGATAGTAGAAGTAAGTACAAAATATATCAGAAATTATATTAAAGTTATCTATTGTGATCACAAGACAAGAACCTGTGTTATTTATAATAGATGCATAAAGCAAAATTAAATGAATGGAAACAGCTAATATATAACAGATAAACCAAAATTAAGTTTTAAAAATATCGGCCGGGCACGGTGGCTCATGCCTGTAATCCCAGCACTTTGGGAGGCCGAGGCGGGTGGATCACGAGGTCAGGAGTTCAAGAGCAGCCTGGCCAAGATGGTGAAACCCCATCTCTACCAAAAATACAAAAAATTAGCCGGGCGCGGTGGCAGGCGCCTGTAGTCCCAGCTACTCAGGAGGCTGAGGAAGGAGAATCATTTGAACCTGGAGGGTGGAGGTTGCAGTGAGCCGAGATCGTGCCACTGCACTCCAGCCTGGGTGACAGAGTGAAGCTCTGTCTCAAAAAAAAAAAAAAAAAGTTTTAAAAATAGAGAAATCTGTTTACCAGAAAAGTACTAATCAAAGGGAGCTGGTATAATAAAATAGAATTTAGGGTGAACATTTTTCATTGGGACAGAGAGATACTCTTTATACTGCTAAAAGGAACAATCTAGAAAACAAAATCATCATAAACTTACATGCATCTAGCAACACAGCCTTGAAATACCACTTAAAACAAAAATTTTTAGGAAAACTAGACATATCTACAAAATAGTGGGACATCTTTGTCAAAGTGTAAAAAAGCATATATGAAATTAAAAATAGTATCAAAGAATTCAACTACAAAGGGCTTAACAAACTTCGTAAATTGGAGATATATAGGACATTGTACCTAACCTAATAGAAACTTAAACATTTTTTAGTTATGTATGTCAGTTTTTAACCATGTTCCATAGAGGAATGTTAACAATGTCTAGAAAATCAGTGTCATACAAAATACGTTATTTCAGCCAGGCATGGCAGCTCATGCCGGTAATCCTAGTGCTTTGGGAGGCTGAGGCAGGAGGATCACTTGAAGCCAGGCAAGACCATATAGTGAGACTCTGTCTCTGCAAAAAATAAATTAGCTGGGCATGGTGGCACTCACCTATAGGCCACATTGTACTCCAGCCTGGGTGACAGCTAGACCTTCTCTCTAAAAAGAAAATCAAACAAAATATTTTGTCATGATGTAAGAATATTAGAAAACAATGAAAAAGACAATCAAAATAATAATATTGGAAACTAAAAATTAGTGGATCAAAAAAGAAATGAAAATGTTAAAATACTTATAGCTAAATAACATTGAAAGCATTGCATATTTTTTTTTCTTTACTTTTTTTTTTTTTTTTGAGACAGAGTCTTGCTCCGTCACCCAGGCTGGAGTGCAGTGGCATGATCTTGGCTCATTGAAACCTCTGCCTTCTGGGTTCAAGTGATTCTCCTGCCTCAGCCTCCCGAGTAGCTGGGATTACGGGCATATGCTACCATACCCGGCTAATTTTTGTATTTTTAGTAGAGACGGGGTTTCACCCATATTTGCCAGGCTGGTCTTAAACTCCTGACCTCAAGTGATCTGCCCGCCTTGGCCTCCCAAAGTGCCACCGCGTCTGGCCGAAAATATTGCACATTAAAACTTGGAATGTAGCTGGGTGTGGGTGCACACCTGTAATCCCACTTGGGAGGCTGAGATGGGAGAACCACCTGAGCCCGGGAGTTCAAGGCTGCAGTGAGCCATGATTGTGCCACTGTACTCTCCAGCCTCTGCGACAGAGGCTACAAACAAACAAAAAAACCAAAAACTTGGAATTTCGCTTAAGCAGAACTCACTATGAAATATAATAGCTTTGAATGTATTTACTGGAAAATAAGAAAGATTGATATAATGAGCATATACCTAAATCTACATGTTAATATAGGACCAACAGAATAAATCCAAGTAAAGTAGAGGTAAGTTAAAAATAAAGATGAAAGTCAATAAATAGAAAATAAAACAGTACTAGATTATTAATAAAACCAGAAACTAATAAAATGGAAGAACCTCTGTAAAGACAGATTAAAGAAAAATGAGCACTCTGAAGAACAAAAATATGGCCAACGGAATAAAAAGTTTAAAAACCATGAAAGAATACTATGAAAAACCTGTTGCCAAGGAATTTAAAAACCTGTGAAAGGATAATGTTAAAATTTTATAGTTTAGGCCAAGCACTGTTGCTTACACCTGTAATCCTAGCACTTTGGGAGGCTGAGGTGGGCAGATTGCTTGAGTCCAGGAGTTCGAGACCAGCCTGCAACATGGTGAGACCTCCTGGCTACAAAGAATTAAAAAAAAAAAAAAAAAAAGCTTGGTATGGTGGTGTACACCTGTAGTCTCAGCCACCCAGGAAGCTGAGGCAGGAGAATCGCTTGAACCTGGGAGGTGGAGGTTGCAGTGAGTCGAGATCACACCACTACACTAGAGCCTAGGCAGAGTGAGAGCCTGTCTCAAAAAACAAAACTAATTTATAAGTGACTCAAGAAGAAATAGAAAGCCCAGACAAATTAATAACCATTCAATTTCTTTAATCTTACATATGCATCTTCCTTATATACACATTTAAATAAAGTCCATTATAACGTGGAAGTATTAAAAAAAAAGTCCATCAGACCCAGATTTATTACTAAAATTTCAGAGGATACATAATGCTTGTCATATATAAACTATCACAAAAGAATAGTAAAAGAGGGAAAGCTTTCCAACTCATTTTATGAAGTTAGTATAACCTTAACCTTGAAACTTATCCAATATAATAACAGAATTTTTTTTTTGGGTCAAACTCATATATGCGCATAGCTACAAATGTTCTTTTTTTGTATGTATGACAGAGTCTTGTTCTGTTGCCCAGGCTGGAGTGCAGTGGCGTGATCTCGGCTCACTGCAACCTCCACCTCCCGGGTTTAAGCGATTCTCCTGCCTCAGCCTCCCGAGTAGCTGGGATTACGGGCATATGCCACCACACCTGGCTAATTTTTGTATTTTTAGTAGAGACGGGGTTTCACTGTTTCTACAGGCGTGTGCCACCGTGCCCAGCTAATTTTTGTACTTCAGTAGAGATGGGGTTTCACCATGTTGGCCAGGCTGATCTTGAACTCCTGACCTCAAGTGATCCACCCGCCTTGGCCTCCCAAAGTGCTGGGATTACAGGCATGAGCCACTGTGCCTGGCCAATCATAGCTACAAATATTCTAAATAAAGAATAGCAAATGAAATCCATCATTGATTTAAAAATACATAATGACTAAATTCATAATAGGAAGGCAAAGATGGCTATATATTAAAAAGTTAATTATTGTAGTAGCCATGTGACTAGATTAAAGGAGAATACTCATGTAATCATCTGTATAGATTTAAAAAAAATTTGTTAAAATTTAAAATCTGCTGAGGATAAAATACTCTTAATCTGGATTGGAACCTGATAAAGAGTATATATTAAAAATCTATAGCAGGCTGGCACAGTGGCTCATGCCTGTAATCCCAGCACTTTGGGAGGCTGAGGTGGGCAGATCAGTTGAGGTCAGGAGTTTGATACCAGCCTGGCCAACATGGCGAAACTCTGTCTCTATTGAAAATACAAAAATTAGCTGGGCGTGATGTTGCATACCTGTAATCCCAGCTACTTGGGAGGCTGAGGTGCGAGAATTGCTTGAATCTGGGAGGTGGAGGTTGCAGTGAGCTGAGATTGTGCCACTGCACTCTAGCCTGGGCAACAGAATGAGACTCTGTCTCAAAAAAAAAAAAAAAAATCTATAGCAAATATCATGCTTAATGGAGAAAGAAGATGCCAGCTATCAACTTTACTAACTAGAATTATTATTGGAGGTCCTAGCCAATGCAATGAGACGGGGAAAAAAAGGCATAAAGATCAGAAGAGAAGAAACAAAATTGTTATTATTTACAGATGACTTAATTAACACATAAAATTTAAGAGATGATCCAGATAAACTGTTAACATTGTTAAGAAGTTTCATCAGGTTTGCCGTATGCAAGAGCAATAATCAATAAGAAAATGAAACAAAAAAGATCCCATTGATAATAGTAAAAAAACAAAAACAAAACAAAACACCCTTTACTAGGGACCTAAAAATAACTCTAAGATATATAAAGATAAATAAATAAATCTAAAATTAGATGCCTATTTCATATCTCCTCATTTTACTCATTTTTTAAAATGACATTACTTTAATCTTTTTTACACAAGTCTTATCTTTCTCCCTCAGAAATAAGCATCACATTTAAATTGATTAATGTATATTTTCTTAGTTTGTTGAGGTTGTATGTCCTGTTGTATATAATTAAAATTTATATAAATGGTGTTATGTATCTTACTCTGTTTCCTACTTTTTTAAAGTAAGCACTGTTCCTAATATCCTTGCATGTTGCTTTGTATATATCTTATTTGTTGCTCAAACTGCTGCAGAGTACCCCTTTTAAACATCCACCACGTTACCTTTCTACTTACTCAGTAATAAATAACCTTCAGTTCCTACTTTTATCCTCGTGCTGCAAACCACTCCAAAATTTATTGACTTGAAACAAGAACCAGTTATTGTTTCCCTCAGACTTACGGGCTGGTTATGTGGCTCTGCTGTGATGGCTTTGGTCCTGTATCTATGGTCATCTGTGGATCAGCTGGGAACTAACTGGTCTAGGAGGGCCTTAGCTAGGACAACTCAGCCCTCCTTTTGTCTTTCCAGTTATCTTATTTCTTTTTCGTTTCTTAAGATGTTAGTTGCCGGGCGTGGTGGCTCACGCCTGTAATCCCAGCACTTTGGGAGGCCGAGGTGGTGGATCACCTGAGGTTGGGAGGTTGAGACCAGCCTGACCAACATGGAGAAACCCCGTCTCTACTAAAAATACAAAAAATTAGCCAGGCATGGTGGCACATGCCCGTAATCCCAGCTACTCAGGAGGCTGAGGCAGAAGAATCGCTCGAACCCGAGAGGCGGAGGTTGCAGTGAGCGGAGATCACGCCATTGCACTCCAGCCTGGGCAATGAGTTAAACTCCGTCTCAAAAAAAAAAAAAAAAAAAAAGATGTTAGTCAAGAACTCCAGTATTATGTGAAAGTGATATTTTAAAAAGAGTAGTAATATTAATGGCCATCCCTGTTTTGTTCCTAATCTTGAAGGGAATGTATCTGAAGTTTCAACTTGAAATTGTTATAGGCTTTAGTATATAATGTATACCACGTTAAGCAATTGTCTTCTATTCCTTTTGTGTTAATTATGAGTCCTATCAAGTGCTTTTTTGGCATTTGATAAGTCATTTTTCTCTTTTACTCTATTAATATGGTCAGTTGATGGATTTTCAGATGTTGAAGTCTTGTCGTTTGAGGATAAATGTTACTCATCATTTTGCTTCGCGTTGCTTTAAGTTAAGGAGTCTTGGAATCTATTCATAAGTGAAGTGGAACCATAATTTTACTTTCCTGTCTTTATCTGCTTTTGGAATCGAGATTACACTAGACTCATAAAATAATCCAGGTAGCTTTCACTGATTTTTCTCTTCTATCTTCTGCAAACAGCTTGCATAAGTTAAGAATTAATTTTGAAATTTGCTAGAATTTGCATAAAAAATATTCAAGCCTGGGTTTTTGTTGGTTTGTTTGTTTGTTTTTTGTGGAGGGAAGGTTTTGTATTATGTTTTAATTTCTTCAGTATTTACTGGCCGGGCGCGGTGGCTCACGCCTGTAATCCCAGCACTTTGGGAGGCCGAGGTGGGCGGATCACGAGGTCAGGAGATCGAAACCATCCTGGCTAACACGGTGAAACCCCGTCTCTACTAAAAATACAAAAAATTAGCCGGGCGTGGTGGCAGGCGCCTGTAGTCCCAGCTACTCAGAAGGCTGAGCCAGGAGGATGGCGTGAACCCGGGAGGCGGAGCTTGCAGTGAGCCGAGATTGCGCCACTGCACTCCAACCTGGGCGACAGAGCGAGACTCTTTCTCAAAAAAAAAAAAAAAAAATTATTTACTATTCTATTCAATTTTGTATGTGTATGCGTATGCCTACTGGGAATTTTATATACTTCTAGTAGTTTATATGTTTCATTCAGATGTCAGCTTTAGTAGCATATAATTGTTCATAATACTATTTTTTAATTATTATTATTTTTATTTATTTATTTATTTTTGAGACGGAGTCTCTCTGTCGCCCAGGCTGTAGTGCAGTGGCGTGATCTGGGCTCACTGCAAGCTCCGCCTCCCAGGTTCACGCCATTCTTCTGCCTCAGCCTCCCGAGTAGCTGGGACTACAGGCGGCCACCGCCATGTCTGGCTAAGTTTTTGTATTTTTTAGTAGAGACGTGGTTTCACCCTGTTAGCCAGGATGGTCTCGATCCAGGATGGGGTTTCATCACGTTGCCCAGGCTGGTCTCAAGCTCCTGACCTCAGCTGATCCACCCGCCTCCGCCTCTCAAAGTGGTGGGATTAGAGGTGTGAGCCACCGCGCCCGGCCCTATGTTATGTTATGTTATGTTATGTTATGTTATGTTATGTTATGTTATGTTATGTTATGTATGTTATGTTATGTTATGTTATGTTATGTTATGTTATGTTACGTTATGATTTCTGAGATGGAGTGTCACTCTGTTGCCCAGGCTGGAGTACAGTGGCATGATCTCGGCTTACTTCAACCTCTGCCTCCCGGGTTCAAAAGATTCTCCTGCCTCTGCCTCCCAAATAGCTGGGATTAAGTCGCCTGCCACCACGCCCAGCTAATTTTTGTATTTTTAGTAGAGACGAGGTTTCACCATGTTTGCCAGGCTGGTCTTGAACTCCTGACCTCGGGTGATCCAACCGCCTCGCCCTCCCAAAGTGCTGGGATTACAGGGGTGAGCCACCACACCCGGCCTATTTTATTATTTTTAAATATCAATTGTATCTGTGGTTATTTCCCCCTTTTTGTTCCATGTTTATATATATATATGTATATATATAGTGTATATATGTATATATGTAGTGTATATATGTATATATATGTGTGTATATATATGTGTATATATATGTGTGTATATATATTCTCTATATATAAATAATATGTATATTCTATTTTCTTGACAACCTTTGCCAAAGTGTGTTTATTTTATTAATCTTTTCAATGTCATCTTCTGGTTTTGTGAATCTTCTGTATTTTTGAAAAGTATTATTTTCTGGCTAGGTACAGTGGCTCATGCCTGTAGTCCCAACACTGTGGGAGGCCAAGATGGGAGGATCGGTTGTATCCAGCAATTCGAGACCATCCTGGGCAAGTAATCCTCCCACCTCTACAAAAAAATAAAAAATAGCCGGGTGCAATGGTACACACCTGGAGTCCCAGCTACTTGGGAGGCTGAAGTGAGAGGTTCACTTGAGCCCAGGAGGTTGAGGCTGCACTGAGTTGTGATAGCAGCGCTGCACTCAGCCTGGGCAACAGAGTGAGACCCTGTCTCAAAAAAAATTACTATTTTCTATTTCATTTTTCTTGCTTTTTATTATTTATTCCTTCTAGTTTCTTTAGGTTTGCTATGTTGCTTTTTCCATCTGTGAATCAAATGCTGAGCTTGTTTATTTTTAAACCTTTTATTTCTTTACTAAGTACTGTTTTAATTAAATCACACAGTTTGACATGTTGCATTTTTTATTGTAATTCGTTTCTAGATATTTCTTAGTTTCTTTATGATTTCCTTTTTATTCCAAGGGTTCTTTAACATATACTATAAGAAGGTCGGGTGAGGTGGCTCACGCCTTTAATCCCAATATTTTGGGAGGCCGAGCCAGGCGGATCACGAGGTCAGATCGAGACCATCCTGGCTAACATGGTGAAAACCTGTCTCTACTAGAAGTACAAAAAATTAGCCGGGCATGGTGGCGGGCATCTGTAGTCCCAGCTACTTGGGAGGCTGAGGCAGGAGAATGGCGTGAACCCGGAAGGTGGAGCTTGCAGTGAGCCCAGATTGCGCCACTGCACTCCAGCCTGGGCGACAGAGTGAGACTCCATCTCAAAACAAAACAAAACAAAACAAAACAAAACAAAACAAACCATATACTATAAGGGAAAACATTAATTTGACTACATCAAAACTGGATGTTTTTCCCAGCACTTTGGGAGGCAGGCGGATCACTTGAGGCTGGGAGTTTGAGACCAGCCTGGCCAACGTGGCAAAATCCCAGCTCCACTAAAAATACAAAAATTAACTGGGTATGGTGGCATGTGCTTGTAATCCCAGCTACTCGGGTGGCAGAGGCACGAGAATCGTTTGAGCCTGGGAGGCGGAGGTTGCATTGAGCCAAGATGATACCACTATACTCCCGCATGGATGACAGAGCCAGACCCTGTCTCAAGAATAAAAAAGGCAAACAGCAGGCTGGCAGAAGATACTTGCAAGATAAATCTGAATTGTTATTTAGAATATATTAACATTCTATAGATCAATAAGACAAAAAATGCCTTTATAGAAAAATGGCCAAGGACATGAATAGTCTATTCACAGGGGAAATGTTAATGGCCAGTAAGTATTTGAAAAAATATTTATCCTTAATACTTAAATACATGCATATTAATACAACAATGAAAAATTTTTTGTTACTCAACACATGGCAGAAATTTAAAAAGTCAGCTTATATCTTGAATTGACAAGCATGTGAGAAAAATCGTAACTCTGCCAAACCACTGGACTTGCATAGCCACTTTGGACAGAATTACATCAAATTAAAATTGTACTGATAAGCTGGGTGTGGTGGTGTGTGCCTATAGTCTTAGCTACTCAGGAGACAAATGGGAGGATATCTTGAGACCAGGAGTTCAAGACTACCTTGGGCAAGATGGCTGGACCCTTGTCTCTAAAATTATTTTAAAAAATTAGCCAGGCATGGAATATGACTGTAGTCCTAGCTAACTTAAGAGGCTGAGGTGGAGGGTCTCTTGAGCCCAGAAGTTCAAGGCTGCAGTGAATTATGGTCATGCCACTATTCTCTAGCCTCAGTGACAGAGTGAGACCCATACCAAAAAGCAAAAGACAAAATACTTTATGACCTAGAAACTGTTTGTTGGTATATGATGTGGAAAGACTCTAGCATACATGTTTAAGAAAATGTAATTTTTTTTGCAGAAATATTTCTAAAAGTGAGAAATGGAAACTATTTGCTAATGTGATGAATAACTTTATTAGATAATGTGATGAATAACTTAGATAATGTGATGAATAAAATGGGGTAAATGCATACACTGGAATACTTTGTAGCATTTAAAAAGAATAGCTATATTTACGTATACTGACATGGATAGAATGTAAATCTTGAATGATTAAAAAATACATTTTAGAATGGCATATATAGTTTAATGACATTTATGTACCTAGAGCATGTAAAATAATACTGTATGTCATTCAGGGATACATACACAAACACATACGTATGTAAATATATACACATGTGAAAGTATAAAAAGTAGAATGGAAGAATATACACCAAACTCATGATAGCAGTTTCTCTGGGGGTTGTATTCAAAAATGCTATCTTCATCTGTTATATGTTATTTCTTGGGGGAAAACAATTTTACAGCATAAATGAGTAGTTGCAGGTTCTGGTTGAGAAGGGGATATGACTATGTTACATTATTTTTAGCAATTCCTGTGTGGTTTAAATCCCCCTAAAAATGTGTGAGATGGGTTCTTAAACTAGGAACATAGATGACTAAGATTTCTAACCTGGTAAGATGATGGTTATTGATAAATAAATGAAATCTGTAGATAAAGGATCTTTAGGTATCAGTTGGTTATTCAAGTAGAGATGTTTATTATACAATTGGAAATTAGGACCTATATATTTTTTAAAAAGTAAATCAAGACTTGATATGCTGATTTTTGAATCAGTATAGAAATAGTATTGAAAGTCCTTGGCCAGGCACGGCGGCTCACGCCTGTAATCCCAGCACTTTGGGAGGCCGAGGTGGGCAGATCACCTGAGGTCAGGAGTTGGAGACCAGCTGAATAACATGGAGAAACCCTGTCTCTACTAAATCTACAAGATTAGCTGGGTGTGGTGGTGCATTCCTGTAATCCCAGCTACTCTGGAGGCTGAGGTAGGAGACTCGCTTGAACCTGGGAGGCGCAGGTTGCGGTGAGCCAAGATCACGCCATTGCACTCCAGCCTGGGCAACAAGAGTGAAACTCTGTCTCAGAAAAAAGAAAAAAGAAAAAAAAAAAGTCCTAGGTGGGGGACTTTTATCCCCCTAGTGGGGGGATAATACCATTCTGGAGAGAGTGGAGAATGGAGAGAGAAGGTGAGGCTAAGGATCATACTTTAGGCAAACAGTCACATTTAACGGTTGTGTAGAAGTGGGTGAAGACAACTGAAAAGAAATAGGAAGAAACAAAAGTCAGACAGTTTACTATCATGAAAATCAAACGAAGGGAAGGATTTCAATAAAGGGGTAGTCAACAATATTTGGAGAAGTAGTAAGATGGAGACTGAGAAGAGGTCACTGGATTTGGCAATTAAAAACTCAGTATTGACATTTGAAGAATTTTTCAGTGGGTAGAGTTCAGAAAGTATTGTAAGAAAGGAAGAAATTGGTTAATCTAAATATTCCTTTTGGAATTAAATGAGATTTGACTAGTATATTTTCAGTTAAAATTTTTATTGTAATTTTTTTTTTTTTTTTTTTTTTAGACAGAGTCTTGTTCTGCTCCCAGGCTGGAGTGCAGTGGCGTGATCTCAGCTCACTGCAACCTTCCTCTCCTGGGTTGAAATGATTCTCCTGCCTCAGTCTCCCAAGTAGCTGGGACTACAGGCATGCGCCACCACACCCAGCTAATTTTTGTATTTTTAGTAGAGACGGGCTGTCACCACCTTGGCCAGGCTGGTCTCAAATTCCCAACCTCAGGTGATCCACCCACCTAGGCTCCCCAAAGTGCTGGGATTACAGGCGTGAGCCACTGTGACCAGCCTAAAATTTTTCATAAACACGCTAAACAAGAATTATATATGGGTCCTTGTAAAGTTTCACAAGAATTGCAAATTTTTTTTCCCAGTGTATTCAAGATACTACATATTCTTTGATGATAATAAACAACTCAAACCCTTGAAATGAGTTGTCATAAATGTCGTTTAAACTATAGAGATCATTAACTATTCTAACTCATGTACATTTGGGTGCTTAATAGATGCTATTTTAAAAAGTTGTTTGTGGCCTGGCGTGGTGACTCACGCCTGTAATTCCAGCATTTTGGGAGGCCGGGGAGGGCGGATCACGAGGTCAGGATATCGAGACCATCCTGGCTAACACGGTCAAACCCCATCTCTACTAAAAATACAAAAAATTAGCCGGGCGTGGAGGCGGGCGCCTGTAGTCCCAGCTACTCGGGAGGCTGAGGCAGGAGAATGGCATGAACCCGGGAGGCGGAGCTTGCAGTGAGCCGAGATCGCGCCACTGTACTCCAGCCTGGGCAACAGAGCGAGACTCTGTCTCAAAACAAAAACAAAAACAAAAACAAAAAAACGTGTTTGTCTAACACCCATTAGAAGAGACTAGCTGCAGGGCTGGGCACAGCAGATCATGCCTGTAATCCCAACACTTTGGGATGCCAAGGACGGAGGATTGCTTGAGGCAAGGAGTTGATGACCAGCCTTGATAACATAGCGAGACCCTGTTTCTATAAATGAATGAATTACTGAATTAATTAATGACTAGCTGCAATACTTAGCTGACAGTCTTCTAAGAGTAGCTGCTAATAATTGGACAGAATGGTTTGTCTAGTATAAATCATAAAGTGAAGAATCAACAAGTCTCAAGGAGAGCCTGGCCCAGGGATAAGTTAAAATGCAAAAAACATGAACCTAAGTCAGATCACACCTAAGCTAAGTATGTATCAAAAACAGTAAATACTGGACCCTTGTCAGAAGATTTTCATGGTTCATGCCTCAAAATGAATGCTATTGTACATATGACAGAAGGACTTACAATAAAATTACTTTTAGGAGTTATGATCCTCCTAACTCCTAAAAGGAATCTAAAATTAGCCATAGTCCTTTTCCTCTGAAAAAATAAACATTTCATTAACAAAAATTTGCCTCTTTGAACCCCTATTAAAAATTTATGCCTTATGAAGGCTTTTATAATTATAAATAATTTAACATCCTTGGGTGGTAATTATACCCACTGTATATACACCCTATTATTTAATTTCATATATAAGCAGTCTTGTGTATCATATTGTCTCTAAGACTTTCACCCTTGGTGGGTGGGGAGTTCTATATGAATTGAGAAGGGTTAATTTCTTCCTTTTGTTATATAATTTAGTGCTACCAGCTTAATAAGCACCTATAACAGAAACTTGCTTAAAGTAAGTACTGGATAATAATTTGTTGAATAAGTGAATTAGTTTATGACGGTTCGAAGATCTTCATTTTAATAATATTTTATAAAACCTGACTATTAAATAAATCAGTAACATAAAAAGCTCAAATAGACATTTAAGCAGTAGTATAAAATATATGAAATAATTCATCTTTTTTCTTTGTACATCTGTAGACTGCACTTCTGTAACTATTGTCTATTTTCTGATGTTGACAGACCAAGCTTTACTTGGTGCTCCTAAACTATATGATTCCAGCTTGTTGTGCTTCACAGACATATTTTTCTTACGGTTTTCTTGACCCTGTTTTTTCCCTAAACATGCTCAAGGTACCAACTTTGAATTTCATTGTTTAGTTGTATGAGAAAAACTTGACAGCTTGGCCTCTTCCTATTCTCTCATTCACTTCTCAAAACTTTTTTCTTCCATTTTTCTCTTTTAACTTCCCATTGCTTTACCTTTGACATTAAAAAAAATCAACCATTTTGCAGTTTATCATACTATAAATATAATAGTAGTAAAATGGATTTAACTTTTTTTATAACTTCTAAATTTTATAGAAGACTGTTTTGTAAGAGTTTTGACCTTGAAGTAACAAGACACTTTGTAACCTTTGTTAAGTAACTTCTTGGGGCCTCAGTTTCCCAATGTGTAAAGTGAAGGAGTGGACTAACTGTGGTTCTCTAATAACTAGCTGGAGTGCAGTGGTGCGATCACAGCTCACTGCAACCCGAAACTCCTGGGCTCAAGAAAATGGCCTGCCTTAGACTTGAGTCGCTAGGTGCACAGGCCCACCACAATGCCCAGCTAAGGATGATGCTTACTTTAAATTGATTGGCAATAAAATATAAAAGCTACCATGTCCCATACATGGCAGGTTTACCTAATTCAAGAAAGAGATCCTTATTTAAAGAGGAGTTGTACTTTGGAAATAGCATGTAGGTTCTTTTTTTGGGAGAGTGAGGATCATGGTGATAGGGGTAGGGTAAAAGGACCAAGAGAATAAATGAATATTAGGAGAAATGAGAAAAAATAGTCATGGGCTATGTAAATCCATTCTGATGCTGCACTCATGTTGGGCAAGCTTTTATAAGATGATATCGCATTAATATTACCACTGAAAACATTTTTTTCTCTACACAGTTCAGTCAATTCGGATCATAAAAATTGTCACCTTGTTATTTTAAATTTGTAATGCCAGATCTTTTTGTTTATTCAGCAAATACTTATTGAGCACTTACTCTGTAGGAGGCACTGTTCCTTTATGTAAGTTTTGTGTGCAGACAACTTTAGCATAACCCTTTGTTTCAAACAATTTATGTATTATTAAATTCTGAAACCAGGGAAGCATTTTAATGAAGCGTTATTCGTCATTATATTGGTTTGATTTCCTGTGTTCAGTAAATTTATAGTCATTAAATTGGCGATTTATCTCCCTTGTCCATTGTATTTTAATATGTATTTGTAATTAGGTTAGTTTTCAGCAAGAATTACTTTTTTTTGAAGTAAATGACAATATAAATTTGTTTCCAAGTGAGCCAAACAGAAATGAAAGGGTACATGAATTTCATGATTAGCATATTGGGGGAGTCTCATCTCCAGAGGTTGGTGTGTTCTGTTTACTAAATACCCGTTTAATGTGCTCTTTGACACTTCTGTTAAGGGAAAAGGACGAAGTTGGTCTCAGAAAGTAGTTGGAAACTCCTTATTTTCCAAGTAATGCTTTCAGAATATGTTCTAGGTATGACTTTGTTGGTGTTCCTGTCTTAAAAGTGCAGATGTTTCAAGTGAACTGGTTACATGTTGCATAAGGTTTGAAAAAGCCAAAAGAAGTTAAATAGCCACCTTTATTTACAGCTGCAGGACTAGGTATTAGATTGCTTCCAGGAAGAAAATATGATTAATGGCTCTTTTCCAGAGGGGGGACAATTGCAGACTTTTCTTCCGCAGAGCGTGAAATGTGCCTCTTCCTGCCGAGGGGCTGTGTCCTCGCGCGGCTCCCGGAGCCGTTTCCCAGCCTCAGGTGTCTCTCGCCGCAGGCTGCGGCCGCTCTCTGGAGCAAGCGTCCGGGACTTCCTGTTTGGGCGCGGGGCGGAAGGATCGCGTTGCCAGCTGCGGCGGCCGCCACAGCCACAGCCGCCGCCGCCGCCGCCGCCGCCCCTGCCCCTGCCGCCCCTGCCCCTGCCGTTAGGTGGTGGGGTTTCTCAGCCCGGCGGCGGGAGGCGGGCCGGCCTCGGCTTCCTGTCGGAGGACGCGCAAGGATCCGGGCGTCGGAGTGTGTGCGAGTGCGTGAGTGTGTGTCGGTCGCACGGCGTGTGTCTCCGGCCGCGGGTTCCGCCTCCTCCCCTGCCGCCGCTGCTCACGGTGTAAGTCAATGTGAAGCAGCAGCTCCAGCCCCGGGATAAACATGGCGACGTCTCTGCATGAGGGACCCACGAACCAGCTGGATCTGCTCATCCGGGCCGGTAAGGACAGGGGAACTTTTCTCCCGTGCATCGGTGCAGCAGGAGAGGGGGTGCACAGAAGGCGGGGTGACTCCCCTGTAGCAGTCTGTGCTGGGGGTACAGTGTCCACCTCACAGTCACTGGGGCGGCTGGGGGAAAGGGGGGAGTGAATGAAGTAATGGAGGCGACGAATCAGGAAGTGATCACCTTGGAGAGTAACCTGCCTCGAATCCGGCGCTGTCGCTTCAGGGTGGGTTCGGCGAGCAGCAGCAGCAGCTGCCGGGCTGAGCGCTGGCAGCGGGTGCTGGAGAACGGAGCCGCGGTTAAGTTGGGCACTCGGGGGCGGACGAGTTGTGCGCTTCACCCCAGTTGCTGAGGAACCAGGAAGTGAGTGAGGCTGTTGTCTCTCGGCTGCGCCTGCCACGCTGTCTGGCCGGAGAGGCCGCTGCTGCCCGCGTTCGGGGGCGGCGGGCTTCTCCGGCGAACGCTCGCCACCCCCGCTCGGTTCTCCCTTCAGACTTCGTCCACAATTCCATGACTTCCGCATGGACCAGGCAGCCAGGGGCGATGTCCGGTGGACCGATACCCGCCAAAAAAAAATGCTCTGACCCTCCCTCCTCCGCACATTCCCACCTTATGCAGTCTCAGGAGTAACGGTCCTGGACAGGGTCACTTAATAATGTTGAGTAACCGGGATGATGTTTCAGGGGCCCGCCTCCCTTTGCTCATTTAACGGGTGGCTGCGAAGAAACTAGGTTTATGCCCCTTCCCTCGTGGGTTGTTTTTTTAGGGGGAGAATGGGAAGAACACGGAATATATTTGTACCCCTGACCTGGAGGGTTGCGGCGTCAGAGAAGAACATTTATTTTTGTAAACAGTGGGTGAATGTTAAGGAGCGAGGCGGGAGGGAGGGAGTCTTGGCCCTAGGGAAGTCTCAGCACGGAATTGCCCCCTTCCCCTCTACCCCCCCCCAAACCTCCCACCACAGCGGAAGCGCCTCGGAAAGGACAGAACGGACGGGATTGACAGGCCTCTGGTTCCAATCTGCTCTCTGAGGTGTTCCAAATTAGAACGTTGATTTCTGGGGGCGGGACTACGGGCCCGCGCTGGGCCAATGAAGATTGGGCGGGAGTGAAGCTGACAATGTACGCATGGAATTGGAGGGAAGAGGAGTGTAAACACGGAAGTGGCCGCAGGGGTGGGGGATGTGCGGCGCCACTGCTGCAGCGGAAGGGCACGGACTTAAGTTACATAGAAAAAGCAGCTTTGCTTAATAGCAGACAGCGCAGTGAGGGCCCTGGATCGATGTAGCACTGCTTGAATACTGTTTACTTACTGTAATAGTAAGCATACATGTTCCTCTTCCCGGTTCCTATTTCATATTGCCATGGATGGGAAGTGGACGATGAGAAATACTCAGGGAACAGTAATTCTGTAAAAGATCTTAACAGTCTTCCATCCATTGTTTTTAGGTAAGGGACTTGAAATTAGTAGTTTGCTTGGCAAAACTCTGTGACTCAGTTCGATGGGGGAAATCATGAACACATGTATCAAAATTTAACGGAAGCGCTCTAGGTTCAAAGTCTGAAATAATATGTATGTATTGAGTACAACACAGTGGTGACCAGTCTTTTATTCTATAAAATGTAAAAATATGTGTTTCAGAGGTTCCAAAGGAAAATGCAGTTTACTGAGTAGTGATTAAAACACATCTGTTTGACAGTTGCTTTCTGGTCAGAACAAGAACTTAAGTTTAGTAAGAGAGCACAATGAGAACTTGATTCCTTTGTATATATTGTCCATTACTACAATATGAATTAAGGGATGGAATTTTTGGCTTTATATTATTGGTACTAACGATACGTGAAGTTGTTGGGTCAATGATATTTCTGTGAATATTGAATATGTACAGTTCAAGAGATGTTGTTTCCAGTGGCTGCGAACACACGGAAAGAACCTTAGAATGCCTTTGCATCAAAACTTTGAAAAATACTGTAAAGGTAGGAGGGCTTCACTTTGCCATTGGAAACTATTTTTTCGTAAGCTTTTGGAATTACCGGTGAAACTGAATATGGCCTGTAGGTATTCTCCTTGGAGTATATATGTGTGTATATAAAAGACTGTCTTTGGTTTGAAAAGACAAAAGTTTTGTCTTTTGATAAGGGGTTTTAAAAAGTGCTGTTTTCCAGCTCTACTGCATTTCTGTACTATATACGAATCTTAAAGTTTATGATAATAATGTTCTGTAAAGAATATGTTTTACATACAGTTATTTTCAAGTTATGTCACCAATTATGTTCATGTAATCTGAAGCTCCCTTACAAGCCTTATTTTAGAAGGAAACTTGAGAGAGGTTTGCTCTTTTACCCAAGGTTTATTCAGTGTGTTAAAAGTTAGGGAGGAAAGATGGCCCAGAAGATTAGGAATCATGATTCTAAATTTTTATTGCTGCCAATTTTCAATAGCATTGGTAGGATAATGTTTCTAAAGTTTGTATTTGTGTAATGGACAGAATACCTTTTTATCTCCTTGAGGGAGGTCATCAGGTGTGACAGAGAATTCTTCCTCACAAAGATTTTACAGTCTGGGGAGACAGGTGAAAATCTATATAATGTATAAATGTAAAAAATAGTTCCAGTGATTGCTATAATGGGTTGATGATTAGTGTAGAATGATATTTATACAACTTCTAGAGGAGATAAGCTTTAGGTTAATATTTTCAGCATAACATGTTTCTAAGCAAGTATATAACACTTAATATTATCACTGTCGCTACATGTTAAGGTACATGTTAAGCTCGAATATACTTTTGCTTTTCTTCCTTTTGAGGTGTTAAGTATCACATGTGCATTCCTTTAGCTATAAACATTTATGCTGCCAGAGGAGTTTGAGTAAAGGATGAAATAAATAAGCTTATTTATTAAAACTCACTGTCATTTTACAAAGTATGTTTGTAGTAAAGACTCGACGTACTTTAAAATTTCATGGACAATATGATGTATGAGAACGAGCCTTGACCCTGAAGAGTTGAGGATCTATATCTAGCTGTCACTAAACTAGCTAGTGACTTAACATCTTTAGGGCTTCATTTTTCTCTAAGAAGACAGGGTTGACTAGATGATTGCTAATGACTTTTAAAGCTCTAAAATAAGTGGCTTGGAAATACTTAATGGAAAGGTAGGGCTTCTCCTTGGGTTTTTTTTTTTTTTTCTAATATTACACCATGTGAATGAATATGTCTATAAGTTCGTTATGTAATTGGTAGGTTAACTTCTTTTATCCAGTCTTTGAAAATAAAAATGTGTGCCAAATTGGAACTTGAGGCTCTTTATATGTTTAAGTCTGTAATATAGTCTAATTAATAATTTAGGCTCATTTCTAGTGTATATAGCTTAATATAGGAAAAACAAATGTCTAGCATTGTTACTTTCCTAATATTTATGTTAAAGTATTGTGTATGAACAGTCTGGATTTTCTGGAAGATTTCTGCCTTATTCTCAAGTATACCTTTCTTGACTTTTTCCTTTATTTGTCTTTTCTTATTTTATTTTATTTTTACATTTGCGAAATAAGGTAATCAGAAGTTTTGGTCAACAATGCAGTTATTAAATGAAGGTGAAATTTTTCTGGAAATTTAGCCTAAATATTTTCACTGACAGAAAACAAATCTATTTTATTAAAGTTCATTATGAAATTGAAAATCTCATTTCTGATTTACTATAAATTGGAATATGTAGTCTCAATCTTGAAAAGATCAAATTGAAAAAAAATTAGCAGTATGAAAAGAAGTTAAAAGCAGTATGTGAATAGATACATTAAAATGAAACTCAAGGAATGACACTAGTTTTCTTTTTAAAAAGCTCATTTGAAAATGAATTTAAGAAATTACCCTTCACAATTCATTGCAGCATTGGTACTAAAATTCATGTAAAAACTGAGTTACATGGTCACATCAGTCAGTGTGTAAATAGCCAATCAGAATCATTCAACATAAAACTATTTTAGAAACAAATTTGGTTGGTGGAGAAGGGCAGGCAGCAGAATGTTCTTGATAACTATTTAAAATAATTCCTCATGTTTGATAATTGTTTAAAATGATTCCTTGTGTCATCTATAGCAAAATGTTCAAAAGGATGCAAAGAAATGCTTAAGAAGAGCTTTTTAAAAACCATTTATCTGTGAGTAGACAAATACTGTTTTACTTACAGAATCATAATTTTTATTTTTTTTACATTTATTTTATTTTTTGAGATGGAGTCTCCCTCTGTCGCCCAGCCTGGAGTGCAGTGGCACAATCTTGGCTCACTTCTGCCTCCCAGGTTCAAGTGATTCTCCCACTTCAGCCTCCCAAGTAGCTGGGATTACAGGCGTGAGCCACCACTCCTGGCTAATTTTTGTATTTTTAGTAGAAATGGGGTTTTACCATGTTGGCCAGGCTGGTCTTGAAATCCTGACCTCAGGTGATCCACCTGCCTTGGCCTCCCAAAGTGCTGAGATTATAGGTGTGAGCCACAGCTCCTAGGCTAGAATCATAATTTGTCATCTACACCCTGATGTTTATGTTTAGAAGCTAAAACTTATATAAGCATGGGGATAGAATTTGGTTGTTATTAATTACAGTTGATGAATTACAGCTGCGCTTCTCAAAAACCAAACTCTCTGACCCGGATTCTGGGAGTCCCAAGAGCCTTTCACAGGATCTGTAAAGACAAAACTGTTTTGAAAATAATACTGGGACATTATTTGCCTTGTCACTTTCAAAAGTGTACAGAGGAGTTAGGAGCTATGTATAGATGGGTTATTCCAATAGATTGAAAGAGGAAGGAGAATTCAGCTGCCTTCTATTGAATCAAGTATAATAAGATTTGCAAAAATGTAAAAAACAAAGCTACTTACTTTTTGTTTTTTATTTTAAGTTATTTTTGGCCAGGCATGGTGATTTATGCCTGTAATCCCAGCACTTTGGGAGGCCAAGGCAGGAGGATCTCTTGAGTCTGGGAGTTTGAGACCAGCCTGGACAACATAGTGAGACCCTCGTCTCTAAAAAAAAAAATCAAAAAATTAGCTGGGTGTGCTGATGCGTGCCTGTGGTCTCATCTACTTGAGACGCTGAGGTAGGAGGATCACACCCCAGGAGATCTAAGCTACAGTGAACCATGATCATGCCACTGCATTCCAACCTGAGCAACAAAGCGAGACCTTGTCTCAAAAAACAGTTATTTTTCATAAAAAATGTTATTTATGGTTGCAGTAATGGGTGTATTATTTTAAATGAATTAATAATTTTGAAGTTTTCTTTGTAATTTCAAATATGATAAATACAGATAAAATCTCGAGGTCTTCAGTATTTTGAGTGTAAAAGTGTCCTCAGATAAAAAAGGTCGGAGGATAGCTGAATTACAGTGTTGTTTAGGTCTGTACTGTATGGTAGCCACTAGCCGCATGTATCTGAGTACTTAAAATGTAGCTAAGAAACTCAATTTTTAATTTTAATTAATTTAAACTTAATTTCTGGCTGATCTCATCTTGCAGAGGGCAGTTCGCTCTCCCCCTCCGAGAGTGTAAAAAAAAAAAAAAAAGAATTGCCATTCTTTTTCCTTTTTATACTTTATAATGCAAGTATATTGATTAAAAGGTCAAGGGGGAAAAGGTGAAGATGGAGTATTCCAGACCTTTAATTACCTTTTCCCCCTTTTTATTGCCTTCATTTGTATTCTTCATTTACCTATTACTGGTATAGCTTTGGGGCATTAGAGGATAAGTAGTGGTAAATCGGGTGCTGCAGTTGACTGAAGACCTTGTACTATTAGTTTATAGTGTTGCTTATAGGAGAATACCACTATCACCTAATGAAGTGTTTTCTAATTTTTTTTCACTGCTCTCAAACTAAATTGCTACTAAATTTTATTTTTGACTTGAGAACATTTTTATGAACTAGATCCATTGCCAGCATTCTTTTATGCAAAGCTGAGAGGTATGCCTCTTGTCAGACTTAATTACCAAGTTTGGTATTTTGTAACAGCTGTTGAGTGAGTCTGGAATAGTCTTCAGTACCATACAAACACCGGTTGATTAGAAAGATAGAAATGGAACAAGAAGATATTTACCAATATTAAATGAAGGTACAAGCAAATATTATTTTTGGTACTGTAATAAAAAGTAAAACAGTTCTTGAAATTTATTTCAAGGGGGATTGACCAGCAATAGCCACTACCAGTGGTAACTAGAAAATGATACCTGTCAGACTACTTTTAGCTTCATTGTTTCTATTTTTAAAATGAGTTATTTATTTTTCCTTCTATAAATTTCATAGATGTAGAAAGATACCAGTAAGTCAAGTTTTAAGTAAGATAAGGAATTCTACTTTTCAGCTCTTGCTTGTAGCTTGCTTACTTTGATTGCACAACACTGTTAAATTCATGCTTATTCTTAAATGTGCAAAATTATAGTTTAAATTTTATTTGAATTATTGATCTGAACAAAATAGTATTTTTTTTTTAATTACAGACACAAGTAGGAGAAATATTTCTTAAATTTCTGTTAAAAGTTACTTGACTTATGTAAACAAAAATAAAAAGATAGTGCTCACTTTTACAAAATGTGTTAAGTTTTGGAAACTGGCATTAGTACATTATTGTAAATTGATCTGAGAACAGCCTCTTAGATTTTTGTATTTTGCATTATTTTAGTTAGTAAATAAAAATGATGAGATAAAATTAGTAAGCAGTAAAAAAGTAATCAGTGTTCCTCTTAACATGCTTGTAACTTACAAAGTAAGTTTATTTTACATTTTTATTTAGTTTTGAAATATCTTCCATTTAATGCTCTCTGAACTGTAGATTGAGTGTTCTAAAATCTGAAACTGAGCACTGATGTGACACTCGAAGTGCTCATTAAAGCATTTTGGATTTTTAGATTTGGGATGTTCCACTGGAAATATATAGTGCAGATATATATTTTTTTAAATTCGAAATCTGAAACACTTCTGGTCCTAAGCATTTTGGATAAGGCATGCCCAACCTATAGTAGTATAAGCTTCATGAGGCCAGAAATCTGTTCACACTTGTGTCAGGTTTATAGCACAGGGTCTGGGCACATGGTAAATGTCAGCAACGATTTGTCAGTTGTACGTAGAGTATTAGATCTTCTGGCTGATAACTTCATAGGTAATTTATGCATATTTTATGTTGTCATCGTAAATTTAAAGTATGAATGAGTAAATTTTCTAAGTATGTATTTTACTCTGTAAATATAAAATATTTCTGAGATATAATATGTTGAATTTTAGGGGGGAAGGGGAAGTTGAGGTCAGAAATATGTGCAAGAATTACACCTTGAAGAAGTAATTTCCATTGACATAACAATTTTAATAACACAAAATCATGGTTTTGAAAATGTGCCTCAAACTATGTAAGAATTCAGGGCACGTAATATGTAACTGTTAGGCAAATTTCATTTTGTTTATAACTTGAAACATTAAAAAAACTGGTAAAATTCTCTTGCTGTATTATTATTGAATACTTGAAGCTCTGATTTTAATATGGTAAAGTTTTAGGGTGTGTCTTAATACAATTACATAAGGAATTAGTTTGCCCAGGATAGTTTATTAATAGCACCTAAGACAAGAGCTAAATTGCAACACAAGCAGACTTTAAAGAGAATGCTTGCTAGAATAAATTTTAAAAACTGGAGAATTGAAGGTTTTTTTTTTTTCTTAGTGTATGTGAGTATTGTAGGGAGGCACTTTGAAAACAATAATTGAGAATGATAATATGTCTTATACTTAATAATGCTAAGTTTTCTTAAAGTTGAGCTACACAGGCTGATTGAATCCTTTGCTTCAGTGAAGCTGCAGATAAGAGTAAGCAGGGTCACCTAAAGATAGATTTACTTAGAGGTTTGGCTGCCTCTCTGGAACCATTTAGCTTTGAACAGATTTCCATAAATGGAAAGAGCAACTGGAGAGACCCAGTACCTTGTGGATGATGTGCAACAGGTGGTAAAACAGTCATTGGATTTTTAAAATAAATGCTTTCCAAATGACTGTTGTTTAAGACTGAGGCTTTAGCATTTAGGGAACTTTGAGATGAACTGGATTTTTTCCCCCAATTAAAAGTTTCCTGGAAACAATTTTAAAAGATTCATATCGTTAGTGTATAGTGCTTATGAATTTGTAATATGACTTTATGAAATTTGTATAAACATTTACTTTTAGTTCCTTTAGGGGACATCTTAAAAAAAATCTGTCAAGTTAGAGACTCTTAAATATTCATGTTTCAGAACGTCTTACTAAGTTAACTGTTCAACATTTTAAGTCAGGATGTGAAATTAATATATTATTAAGATAATAAAATTTGTTCTTGAATTGCTGATTTTCTTGTAAGGTCAGTGGGTTGTCCTTAATTCAGTACATAAAATAAATACCTGCCTGGCGTGATGGCTCATGCCTGTAATCCCAGCACTTTGAGAGGCCGAGGCGGGTGTATCACCTGAGGTCAGGAGTTCAAAACCAGCCTGGCCAACATGGTGAAACCCCGTCTCTACTAAAATACAAAAATTAATCCGGTATGGTGGCATGTGCCTGTAATCCCAGCTACTCAGGAGGCTGAGGCAGAAGAATCGCTTGAACCTGAGAGGTGGAGGTTGCAGTGAGCTAGATCATGCCACTGCACTCCAGCCTGGGCAACAGAGCGAGACTCCGTCTCAAAAAAAATAAAAATAAAAATCCGCATGTCTGCTCCATGAAAAGTCTATGTTGGGAACCATGGCATATGTAAAGATGGGTTAAGCTAGCCCCCCAGACCTCAAGAAGTTTATAATCTTACAGGAATGATAAGAAATTATCATATTCTTGCTCTATGAGAGAGATTAAGTTGCTTACCTCAGGTAACAGAAATAAGTGGCAGAGACTGGAACCCAAGCTGTTGGACCTGAAAGCCCAAACCACTGACTGCTGTACACATTGTTTTACAAGTAACATAATCAGCAAAGCATAAAGGAAGTGCTAGAAGAGGAGAGATACAAAGCGTGGTAGAATTTGAAGGCCTCATGGGAAGAATAAACTCTAAGAAAAAGTCTTAGGTTAAAACCCACTGAGGCTCTGAAGAGAGCGAGGTTAATTATAAAGAAAGTTCTCAAGTACTCTGGCAGTAAATATAATGCATGTTGTTATCCATCTTTAGTCACCTCTGCCTGGAGAGTACAGTTGTCCCTCAGTATACCTGGGGTATTGGTTCCAGGATGTCTCCTCCACCTGGCAGATACCAAAATCCTAGAATGCTCAGTCAAGTCCCTTATACAAAATGCTGTAGTATTTACACTGTATTTTTAATTGTTGTATTTTTTTTATTGCCTCCCCCTCCCCTGCAATATTTTCTTTTTGTTTTTTTTTTTTGAGACAGTGTCTCACTCTGTCGCCCAGGCTGGAGTGCAATGGTGTGATCTTGGCTCACTGCAACCTCCGCCTCCCAGGTTCAAGCGATTCTCCTGCCTCAGCCTCCTGAGTAGCTGGGACTACAGGTGCCCGCCACCACGCCCGGCTAATTTTTATGTTTTTGATAGAGATGGAGTTTCACCATGTTTGTCAGGATGGTCTCGATCTCTTGACCTCGTGATCCGCACGCCTTGGCCTCTCAAAGTGCTTACAGGTGTGAGCCACCACACCCGGCCCCCCTGCAATATTTTCAATCTGAGGTTGTTTGACTCTGCTGATGCGGAACCCTTGGACACGGAGGGCTTACTCTACTCAGTCATTCAAGAGGGTCTGTAAGAATTGAATTAATTGATTAAATTAGCGCAGCATGGTTCTGTTAGGTGCCCTGGCTTTAATGGCAATACATCAAAATATATAATTGCCCTCACAGGGTTTTTAATCTACAACCAGCCTCTCCCTGACCCTTCCTCCCTTCCCACAAGTTAGTATTGGCCTAAAATTGATGCAGGGTTCAAATTTCAAGGATCTTTCTTTGTTTTCCTTTGAGTAAGATTCAGAAACTTCTCAGTAATTTCTTTTGTTGTTGTTGTTTTGAGACAGAGTCTCACTCTGTCGCCCAGGCTGGAGCGCAGTGGTGCGATCTCAGCTCACTGCAACCTCTACCTCCTGGGTTCAAGCGATTCTCCAGCCTCAGCCTCTTGAGTAGCTGGGATTACAGGCATGTGCCACCACGCTCAGCTAATTTTTCTATTTTTTGGTAGAGACGGGGTTTCACCATGTTGGTCAGGCTGGTCTTCAACTCCTGACCAAGGTCTACCCTCCTTGGCCTCCCAGAGTGCTGGGATTACAGGCATGAACCACCATGCCTGGCCAACTTCTCAGTAATTTCTAATCAATGTCATTGGTTACTTCATAATCAATATTCATTTTATATCAGTATTCATTTTATAAAATGTAGATATTAGCTTTTTAAAAATTATTTCTGTAATTTATATAGACGAATAGATATCAATGGCTTAGAGTTAGTCATGTTATTTTATATTTATTTATTTTTCATTTCTCTTTCAGGAGTGAATATGTTTATTTCTTAGTAATATGTTTTAGTCATGTGTTTAGTGTATTTTTAATTGAGTAGAACTTATTTTTCCTCCAGTGGAAGCATCAGTTCACAGCAGTAATGCACACTGTACAGATAAGACAATTGAAGCTGCTGAAGCCCTGCTTCATATGGAATCTCCTACCTGCTTGAGGGATTCAAGAAGTCCTGGTATGTAAACTGTTCATTCTTATGTTAAACGTGTCATACTACTTCATATGTCTAAAATAAAGTTTTTTGTTTTTTTAATCCAATGGAATTGTTGGGAATTCTCAAAGGTACATTACACATGAATACATGACAGCAGTAATTGAACTTTATTTGTCAAGGCCTCCAAGTCTTAAATACTTAATTTTCATAACAAATGATACAGAAAATACCCACTATAGATAGACAAATATTTATTAAATAGCTATTTGTACTGTCATGTCTATTTCCTTAACTCTGGGCAAGTTATAAGCCTTCATAGTCCTTCAGAGTATGATAGATGGGAGCAGTTGCCTGTTAGGACCACTTTCAATCCTTTATTCAATGATAAATAGGCAGTAACTCCAGAGAACCACACATGGTAGAGAGACAAGGGAGCTTTTGACATTTTTTTCACACATCCTTCAGTGTGAGTTTTTATTTTTTTGTGGTCCCTCTTAGTCTTTAAGAAAAACTTTGATAGTCATTTTGTCCAATCCTGATTTGTCCTAATTTTAATTTAATGCCCAAATGTTAATTTGACTTGATACAAAAATACTGGCTCACCTTCTCATTGGGATTCACAATAAGAGCAACCATACTTCTTAATTTGAATAGAATCCTGTGTATTACTCAGAGATATGAGAATAAATTTGTAGCATTTTTGGTCAGTCTATTAATCTAAGATAGTATGTATTAATTGTATCTCTTAATTGAAATAGAAATGTCATATCTTGGTTATTTGTGCACATTAGAAGGAAGCCAGAGCAACATTACTGTATGTACTAGAATACCAGATAACAATTTGTACCTACTGTTTTAGTGACTAAAACATCAGGACTGTTACATTAAATAAAACTTTAAATACCGAAAGGTAATATTTCTTGTCTGTAATGAGCAAGTTTTCCTTTTCATATTCTAAAATGAACTATAGGTGCTTATGTTTTACTGAGTACATATTTATAAATCTTTCACATTTTGAGCCACATGCATATATTACCTGTTAAAAAATAATGACGGATATGTGGATGGAAAGTAATTATTAACTAACTCACTATTATACTATTATTTTCAAATGTTTTCACAACTCTTAGAATAATTTAGAATTTTTCTACAATTAGTTTGAAAGTATAAGTGTGAAAGAGTGGAGTGACTACTCATGATCCTTGCCTTACCCAGAGGATTAACATTTTTCCTTTAAGTTGATTTTCCATGCATTTATTTTCCTTATGTAGTTTAAATCATATCGAATATTCAGCAAATTAACTTCTTCAGTATTAAGCTCTTATCCTGCTTTGATTAATTCTTAACACACCTCGCCTCTTCTAAATATTGAACTGTCCACATAAGAAACATTGATGGGGGTGGGAAATTTTAATTTTTCAACTTTTTTTTATAGTGGAAGTGTTTGTTCCTCCTTGTGTATCAACTCCAGAATTCATCCATGCTGCTATGAGGCCAGATGTCATTACAGAAACTGTAGTGGAGGTGTCAACTGAAGAGTCTGAACCCATGGATACCTCTCCTATTCCAACATCACCAGATAGCCATGAACCAATGAAAAAGAAAAAAGGTAGAGTATATTTATACATTTCTGAGAAGGCAGGTGAAAATTTTTCTCTTATCTTTTTCCTCATCAAGGGACATAGAAAGTAGTATATGCTGTAGATTTAAGATTGATGTTATCTTAACCAGATATTCTCAAAGAATCAACATTGAGATTTTAAATTTAGTATTTTAACGTACTCATACTGTTTAAAGGAGTTAGTATGTAAGGCTTGAGGATAATTGCCTGACAATGATATTTAACAGGTGTTCGACACACAGAAGGCAGATCAGAGATTCCCTGCACCTTGTCTTACTCCATCTTCTCCTTGTTGATCCTTTTATGGGTACTTGGTTACTTAAAAAAACACACACACACACGCACAACATTTTATTCTTTATTTTACAAAGTCTTGTCTTCCCTTGCTTTCATGGATATTTTT
Source organism: Homo sapiens (assembly GCF_000001405.40). NCBI lineage: Eukaryota > Metazoa > Chordata > Mammalia > Primates > Hominidae > Homo > Homo sapiens. Next base: position 139,071,450 of record NC_000004.12, on the reverse strand, counting down.
TAAAAAGCCAGGCACGCCTTTAGTCCCAGCTGCTCAGGAGGTGAGAGGATTTCGTGAGCGCAGGAGTTTGAGGCCAACCTGGGCAACATAGCAAGACCCTATCTCAAAAAACCTAAATAAACAGTGATATATATATGATATATATCATATTCATATATAGTCATACTAAATATATATATCATTTATATCATACTATATACAATATTCACATTTATTATATATCATGCTATTTTTACCTTATACCTTCTGCTTTGAAACACTAAGATTGCTGATAGAGACTTCTGATTGACCTAAACTCACCAGTGGGTAAAGAGCATTTCCACTTACTATTTGACTTCTGCTGAAATTTCTGCTCCCCCCATCCCACTACCACATTTTCAACATCATGAGGAAATGGGCAGTAAGTGGGTCTTTTTCTGTTGAAATCAAAGGTAAAATTGGAAAGACATGACATTCTAAGTAATTAGGTATTCATCTAATTCTCCTTTCTTCTCTAACTCTTCACATTTTAGAGTAAAATGCAAAAATAAAGGTGGGTTTGAAATAATGGTATTTTCTTTTCTTCATTAAATATAGTGTTTCAGATTGCCACAGTGTGTACCATTCTGTGGTCATTGTTGTAAGGGAGATGAGAATAAGACAGTGTCTTCCCACTTGTAATACATGTAGATTATATGCATCTCAAGAGAGGTATACATGAGAGAATTTAGGAGGAAGAGTTACTTCCTGATGTAAGCATTTAAAAACAAAAGGCATACATATAAATAGCCTTATTTACCCACTGCCTGCTATAGCACTTGGCTGGTTGCATCCAATGAGAGCTGTCACAAAATACTTAGGAAATGTTTGTTTAGATTTAATACCAGGCATGATGGCTCACGTCTGTAATCCCAGCACTTTGGGGGTCTGAGGTGGGTGGATCACTTGAGGTCAGGAGTTCAAGACCAGCCTGGTCAACATGATGAAACCCTGTCTCTACTAAAAATACAAAACTTAGCCAGCCGTGGTGTTGCATGCCTGTAGTCCCAGCTTTTCGGGAGGCTGAGGCAGGAGAATCGCTTGAACCCGAGAGGTGGAGGTTGTAGTGAGCCGAGATTGCACCAGTGTACTCCAGCCTGGGTGACAGAGTAAGACTCTGTCTCAAAAAAAAAAACACCACATTTAAAAGAAGATGGAAAACACCATGAAAAACAGGGGCCATGTAGGGAGCCAGGATGTGATATGATATAATCCAGGAAATACTTTGCCAATTTAATACAATTTTATTTATTTCTGTGAAAGCTCTTAGTGACCATTTAAAAATTACAAGGCTGGGTGTGGTGGCTCAGGCCTGTAATTCCAGCACTTTGGGAGGCTGAGGCAGGAGGATTGCTTGAGCTCAGGAGTTCAAGACCAGCCTGGGCCAACATAGTGAGACCTCATCTCGAGGAATAAAAAAAAAAATTAGCCAGGTATGGTGGCACATGCCTGTAGTCCTAGCTACTCGGGAGGCTGAGGCAGGAGGATCACTTAAGCCTGGGAGGCTACAATGAGCCATAATCGTGCCACTGCATTCCAGCCTGGGCGACAGAGTGAGACCCTGTCTCAAAGAAAAAAAAAAAATACATGTAACCATTCTGTCTGTACTTACTACCATAAGGGAGACAATGAAGAATAAGAGTATCGTTATTTATATTTTTGTGGTTAAGTACATTTGGGATATACAAACTTAGATAGGTTCTTTTTTAATAGCAGTACTTCTTTTTATTTTGAGAGCCTTTAATATACTAATGTGCATTGTGGATCTTGCTGTCTTCCAAGAGAAGATAGCATATGGTGTTCTAAAAGTTAATATGACTATAGAACCCATTTTCCTATGGAGGAAATTTATCAAGGAACATGACTTTGGACGTGCCGCTTTATGAGAAAATATATTAAGCCTTTTTGCACTAACTTTTCTACTAAGTTGGGCTTTTGTGCTAGAATTTAGGAGATGCTGAAGATGTTAGTTTTATTACTGTCTGATTCATATGTATAAATATTATTTACATTGAGTAATTAAGCTGTATTCTAACAGAGACCAGTGAACTTTCTGTTTTACTTTTTGTTAAAACAGACTTCTGATTACAATTACCAGAATTCTAAAGTATATCTGTGCATTTTGAAATACAGATGTTAAGATGCTTTAATTAGCTCTTTATATAATTAATCTAATGCTTCCTAATGAAGAATAGAGTGACATCAGAAATCTCAGATGTAGAACAGTCACCAAATCAGTAATAATATATTTGATCCTAAAATATGGCCGGGTGCTGTGGCTCGTGTCTGTAATCCCAGCACTTTGGGAGGCTGAGGCGGGCAGATTTCCTGATCTCAGGAGTTCAAGACCAGCCTGGGCAACATGGTAAAACCCATCTCTACAAAAAATACAAAAATTAGCTGGACGTGGTGGTGCACACCTGTAGTCCCAGCTACTTAGGGGGCTGAGGTGGGAGGATTGCTTGAGCCCAGGCTGTAGGGAGCTGTGTTCGCGTCACTGCGCTCCAGTCTGGGTGACAGAGTGAGACTCCATCTCTTAAAAAAAAAAAAAGTGTATGTATTTATGTGTGTGTATATATATGTATTTGATTTTAAAATACAACATACTTAAGTATTCCCAATTTATTTCTTGAGTCTGCCTCTCACCTGCCAGTGTTCATTTGTGCTCAGGATTGAATATAACTAATTTCAGGCTTAATCCTCTTTCGTGTAGAAAAGTATATAGCCCTTACTTTTTCTATTCATTGTGGATGCTAGTCTGTCTGAGAGAGCCTTATGGCAAAAATGAGGAGGAACAAAAGGGAAGGACACAAACCTTTATTAGACATATGAAATCACTTGGAAGTTTTTTTTAGCCTTGTGATGTATCTGCATGTGGAAGTGGGGAAATTGAAACACTTATGCTTGAATTCTGGTGAATTAACTGATCCAGAGCAGTAGAGAGTGTTTGATATTTTTTACTTTTCCTCATTTGAGTTCAAAGGGCTTTGCAAATTATCAGATCTTCTGCAATAAGTTGCTAAAGCTGTTTCTCACCATCCTGTAGAACAGAAAACAAATTAAGTTTTTACTAGGATTTGTTTCTATTGCTACACTAATATAAAAGATTGGCAAGGCCGGGTACAGTGGCTCACGCCTGTAATCCCAGCACTTTGGGAGGCCGAGGCGGACGGATCACGAGGTCAGGAGATCGAGACCATCTGGCTAATACGGTGAAACCCCGTCTCTACTAAAAATACAAAAAATTGACTGGGTGTGGTAGCAGGCGCCTGTAGTCCCAACTACTTGGGAGGCTGAGACAGGAGAATTGCTTGAACCCGGGAGGCAGAGGTTGCAGTGAGCGGAGATCGTGCACTCCAGCCTGGGCGACAGAGCAAGACTCTGTCTCAAAAAAAAAAAAGATTGGCAAATCAAGGCTCTGACCAATGTATATGGCAATCGAGGCTCTGCCAATGTGTATGACAGAGATTACTACTAACTGCTGTAATCTAAAATACAAAAGTGTTTGTAATACTCCTTTTAGAAGCAGCTTTTCATAGAGTATATTCATCTACAAATTAGTATCCATTTAAATGAATAATGTGTAATCAGAAAGTCTGCTAATCGTGCCTCTCATATTTTTCTTGTTTTCAACGTATGGTTTCAATATCTTATTTTTTCAGTTGGCCGTAAACCAAAGACCCAGCAATCACCAATTTCCAATGGGTCTCCTGAGTTAGGTATAAAGAAGAAACCAAGAGAAGGAAAAGGTAATTTGGGGAGGGTTGCTTTGGAAGTGAGATGATTTTTTTTCAGTTAGGTGACATTTTTGTATTTGTAAGAAAACTATTTCTAGTACATGCACATATGAGAATACTGTCGCTGGTAATAGTTCTTAATAAGGGATGTATCAGCATCACGTGGGGAGCTTTTTCAAAATATCTGTGCCCAGTTCCTACACCACAGAGATTCTGTAACCATAGTTGTATCATGGGGGATATAGGGACTTGGAAAAAGTCCAAAGGATGTCTGATACATATCCTCCTTAAGAACCATTGACTTACAGGATAATAGCACCCATCCTCATATATAGCTACCCATAATTCAAAGGGGTTTACAACTAAACCTTGTTTCTAATAATTTCTTTCTTTTCTTATTTTTGTGAGACAGTGTCTTGCTCTGTTGCCCAGGCTGGTGTGTGGTGGTGTGATCATGGCACATTGCAGCCTTGACCTCCTGGTCTTAAGTAATCTTTCCGCCTCAGCCTTCTGAGTTGCTGGGACCACAGGCACATGCCACCATGCCTGGCTAATTTCTTTCTTTCTTTTTTTTTTTTTAATTTTTTGTATAGATGAGGTCTCACTGTCATTCAGGCAGGTCTTAAACTCCTAGGCTCAAGTGATCCTTCTGCCTCAGCCTCTGAAAGTGCTGGGACTATAGGCATGAGCCACTGCAACTAGCCTGATACATAACTTCTTAACTGTTTAGAAGAATTCAAGGTGAGCTAAATTTAATTTTCCAATCAATAAATGTCAGTCACATCAGTCACAATTCAGAACAAAACCATGTTTTTGCTTATTTATTGACTTATTTTTACAGACAGGGCTAGAATGCAGTGGCATGACCATACCTCACTGCAGCCTTGCGCTACTGTGCTTGTAGCCTCCCAAGTAGCTGGGACTACACGCACACACCACCGCACCCAGCTAATTTGTTTTTTTTTTTTTTAAGAGATGGGGGTCTTGTGCTTTGTTGCCCAGGCGGATCTCGAATTCCTAGCTTCAAGAGATCCTCCGGCCTCACACTCCCAGAGTGCTGAGATTATAAGCGTGAGCCACTGCCCCTTGCCTATTTTTGCTTTAGAATTTGTGTATCCTGATTAAAAATGAAAACAGCACCAAACCTCCCCCATTCTGTGCTTTCCTAATTTGTGGAGTAAGATGATTTCAAGTAACATTTCTTTTTAAAATTATTTTTATTATCTTTTTTTTTTAATTTTAAAATCTTTTGTAGAAACAGAGTGCCCCTGTTTTGCCCAGGCTTGTCCCAAACCCCTCGCCTCAAGCGATCCTCCCATCTTGGCCTCCCAAAGTGTTGGGATTATAGACATGAGCCACCGTACCTGGCCTTTAATTTTCTTGTCACTCAGATTCTGACAGATAAAGTATCATTTCAGTAGTGGTTTTAGATGTGTTCTGTCTGCCCATCTGATAACCGAAAATTTATCACTTTCATGAATAAGTGTTTTCAGACCAATATTCAATAGTTGGATAAATTTTACATTAATATATTTAAATTTATTCTGTCCTTATCAGGTGGTTTGATTTAATAATTTTAAATAATTAAAACAGAAATTAAGTCTAGTTTAAAAAAAATTGTCTCCAGTAAGCCTACCAAGAAATTTGGTATTTCATTAGGTCAAAAAAAAAAAAAAAAAAAAAAAAGGTGACATTGAACACATTCAGGAACTGGTGACCCAATTTGGGAGAGGCTTAGGATACTTTTCTTATTTCCTTGTTTGTCTTTGGTTGTTGTACACTTCTAACATCTTAGGTTTCTTCTTTTAGTTTATATTGAAAACTTTAAAAGTTAACATAGTATGTATTAGAAAATTAAACTGTAAATATACAGTTATTACTGTTGTCTTTTTAAATAATTCTTATCCTCAGTGGTATCACTTATACTTGAATATCTTTTGCTTAACGCTGGAGAAAAACTGTGACCAGTTTTTACCAATTAAAATCACATCTCATTACAATTTCAGTCTTGTATTAAATTTGAGGCAGTGTGTTATAATGTAATTAATTGAAGCTGTTACAGTCAAACCTGTATTCAAAGTCCAGCCAGTGTTTTTTCTTCTGTAAAATTGTGATAATAGTCATAGGCAAATTCCTTATTACCTGGTAAAGAAAGCTTCTCTTTCTGAATCCTGTTTTCCCTAAAACCAGAAATATAATTTTTAATAATTTTTTTCTATAGAGACAGGGTCTCACTCTGTCACCTAGGCTGGAATACAGTGACAGGATCATAACTCATTGCAGCCTCAGCCTCCCAGGCTAAAGTATTCTTCTGCCTCAGCCTCCCAAGTAGCTGGGACCACAGGCACATACCACCGTGTCTGGCTAATTTTAAAATTTTTTGTAGAGACGGGTCCCCCTATGTTGCCTAGGCTATTCTCATACTCCTAGGCTCAAGTGATCCTTCAGCCTTGGCCTCCTTAGAATTGTTCATTTTAACTTGGGGATGGCAACATGGGTGCAGTGAGTGTTTAAAGATAATATGAGGGATTTTGATGAGTTTAATTCAAAACATGGAAACATTCAGATATCTTATGTACAGGGCATTGTCTATGTTATACAAACATTTCTTCCAGAGTAAAATCTTTGCTCACATTTACTACTATGTGAACAAAATAAAAATGCAAAAAAAAGAAAATAACTGAAGATTATACATGGTTTGTTTTAATAGTTTTTAGGTAGTGATGCTGGTGTAATAGGGTCCTAGAGATACAAATGTAACTTTGTAAAGTTAAAAGTCATTTTTTTTGTTTTGTTTTGTTTTGTTTTGTTTTTTGAGGTGGAGTTTCGCTCTTGTTGCCCAGGCTGGAGTGCAATGGCATGATCTCAGTTCACTGCAACCTCTGCCTCCCGGGTTCAAGCGATTCTCCTGCCTCAGCCTCCTGAGTAGCTGGGATTACAGACATGTGGCACCACGCCCGGCTAATTTTTATATTTTTAGTAGAGATGGGGTTTCTCCATGTCGGTCAGGTTGGTCTCAAACTCCCGACCTCAGGTGATCCGCCCGCCACGGCCTCCCAAAGTGCTGGGATTACACACATGAGCCAACACGCCCGGCCGAAGGTCAGCTTTTTCAGGTCAGTAGATGCATAATGGGTTGAACTCTGTGTTATTAATGAATTTACTGGATTTTCAGAGAAAGCCACAATGAAAGTGAAATGCCAGAGACAAAACATCAGTACTTTGACTGAAGGTGTTGGGGTAGTGCTGGCTTGTTTTGGAAGCTTCCCACATAGCCTGTATCTTAGAACTGGATTTAAGGATAGTAAACGAATAGTGCATGGAATCCTACAGATGACCTATCTTTTTCGTCTCAGGACTCTTTTCTGTTCTTTTTTTCTTGAGACGGAGTCTCGTTCTGTCGCTCAGGCAGTGCGGTGCAGTGCAGTGGCGTGATCTCTGCTCACTGCAACATCCGCCTCCTGGGTTCAAGGGATTCTCCTGCCTCTGCCTTGCGAGTAGCTGGGATTACAGGCACCCGCCATCATGCCTGGCTAATTTTTGTATTTTTGTAGAGATAGGGTTTTACCATGTTGGCCAGGCTGGTCATGAACTCCTGACCTCAGGTGATCCACCCACCTTGGCCTCCCAAAATGCTGGGATTACAGGCGTGAGCCACCTCGTCCAGCCTTCTGTTCTTCTATTAATAAGAACCTTGGCACCTAGAGGTTATGAAGGGAATAAAATAAAAACAATCTGAAAAGCGTCTTCTAATGACCGCTGCCTACTACTCTCTCCTCCATAATAAGGGAGAAAAAAGTGTGATACTTTCTTCCTTTTGGGATTAAGTTTTTTTTTTTTACTTGCCCAGATTCCTTTTTGTTCTTTTATGCACATCCTAGCCATCTTCCAAGACTTCATGATGGCCTCCCAGTCCACTTTATTTTCACTCTTGGAATCCCACAGACATATTTTCTAGATTATTTGGAATATAATTAATTATGCATTGCTTTGTGATAGATCTTATATTGTTTCAAATTGTTATTTATTTCTTGCATTGTTGTTTAACTTGTCATCTACTTTCTTTCCCCTTCTCAACTAAATTATAAATTCCTTGAGGCAGGGACCAGGTTTTAAATTCATCTCCTTAAGCATGGTATGCGATGAATAAGCATTTTATTCTGCAGAAATATTCTAATATTTCCTCATTTTAAAATTTTACTAGTAGTGTGATCCAGAGCTAATGTTACAGTTAACATTTGATGAATACTTGACTAATTTTAAGGAATTACCATATTTTTCCATTTTAGGACCTCAGAATTTAAGATATAAGTATATATAATGAAATCCTTTAAACATTATCTTCCGTCTATTGGGTGTAATCAGTAGAAAGCGATTAGAAAATTTTTTTAAATCTGTTTTTAGAGGCAGTAATGTTCTTTTTTCTTTCTTTTTTCCTGTGACAGGGTTTCACTCTGTCGCCCAGGCTGGAGTGCAGTGGTGCGATCTCAGCTCACTGTAACCTCTGCTTCCTGGGTTCAAGCGATTCTCATGCCTCAGCCTCCCAAGTAACTGGGATTACAGGTGCACGCCACCATGCGCAGCTAAATTTTATATTTTTAGTAGAGATGGGGTTTCACCATGTTGGCCAGGCTGGTCTCGAACTCCTGACCTCACGTGATATGCCCGCCTCCTGGCCTCCCAAAGTGCTGGGATTACAGGTGTGAGCCACCACACCCCGCCAACAGTAATGTTCTTTGCTATCAAGTCTTAATTGACTGGTAGTACAGAGGAAAATGATAAGAAAATCCTTAAAGGGTTGAGGGTAGTTTGCACTTAATAATACATATACCTCAGAGTTCATGCCTGTAGGTGAATCAAAGAAAAGTAAGTTTCTTACAAAAAGACCCTAGGTCTGATGCCTAAAAGTTTTACACATTTCGTTGTATTTTGCTTGTGTATCCAATAAAATTACTAAGTCCCTTTTGGTGAATTTTGATCATGGAATTTAGGCTTATCATATGATAAAGGTGTAAATAAATTTATTCAGTTTAAATCTGTATAAACTAATAAATTTGATTCTGTTTAATTCAGGTTAACTTTGCCTAAGCAATTATGCCTTTGCCTTTACTGAACTCAAAATCTAGGATAGTGTGATATGTAATAGTATAAAAGCCAGAACCTGTATTTTAGCATCATAACTGTAAGCATACATAGGGGATACCATTTTTTTAAAAGTAGAAACAGGCCGGACACAGTGGCTCACGCCTGTAATCCCAGCATTTTGGGAGGCTGAGGCAGGCGGATCACCTGAGGTCAGGAGTTCAAGACCAGCCTGGCCAACATGGTGAAACCCTGTCTCTACCAAAAATACAAAAATTAGCCGGGTGTGGTGGAATGTGCCTGTAATCCCAGCTACTCGGGAGGCCGAGGCAGGAGAATTGCTTGAACCTGGGAGGTGGAGGTTGCAGTGAGCCAAGATTGTGCCACTGCACTCCAGCCTGGGCGACAGAGCAAGACTCCGTCTCCAAAAAAAAAAAAAGTAGAAACAAGTATATTCAGGATTTTTATGATACAATGAAGGACACTTTATTTGCTTTTAATTATGTATTTAATTATGTTAATGAATTTTAATCAATGTCTGTCATTGTTTTTAAAGGAAACACAACCTATTTGTGGGAGTTTCTTTTAGATCTACTTCAAGATAAAAATACTTGTCCCAGGTATATTAAATGGACTCAGAGAGAAAAAGGCATATTCAAGCTGGTGGATTCAAAGGCTGTCTCTAAGCTTTGGGGAAAGCATAAGAACAAACCAGACATGAACTATGAAACCATGGGACGAGCTTTGAGGTAAAAACTCAAATGAGCTAGTATTCAAACAAAATTTATGTATTTCTTTATATGTCTATTAGCTGTTTAAAGAGAAGCTGAAAATCCTTTACAACTTTTAACTTTGGGGGATATTCTAGAGGAGCTTCTTAGATTTGGAAGTAGGTGGGGAGATAGGAGTTTGGTCTACGTGCTTATAATTTTAACATAATTGGAAAATTCATTTTTGCAGAAAATGTGCTTTTGTACTTAGGAGTGTTTCTTAATAGAAATTATGAAGTTGTAGGCTTAAAAAAAAATTAAACCTAAACAAATTATGGTTCCTAAAGTTAGTTTGTTTTTTAGTTTTTAGGGGTTTGTTATAAATGGATTTATGTTGATAGGAAAATTTATCTTAAGTTTTATCAGTTTGGCTGGGCATGGTGGCTCACGCCTATAATGCCAGAACTGTGGGAGGCTGAGTTGGGTGGATCACTTGAGGTCAGGAGTTTAAGACCAGCCTGGCCAACATGGGGAAATCCTGTCTCTACTAAAAATACAAAAATTAGCCGGGTCTGGTGGCGCTCGCCTGTAATCCCAGCTATTCGGGAGGCTGAGGTAAGAGAATCGCTTGAACCCAGGAAGCGGAGGTTGCAGTGAGCCAAGATTGTGCCATTGCACTGCAGCCTGGGTGACAGAGCGAGACTCTCAAAAAAAAAAAAAAAAAAATTATCAGTTTGATAAACCCACAAAATTCTTTCATTGTAAAGTACATGGCTTCTTCTAATTAAGGGTGTTTTTAAGTGAACACATTGTTTATGTGACAGTATTCACATATCTCTACTAAGTAAGTGTGGCTTAGGTAATTTTTCCAGTAATATCAGTTTGTTGTTACAACCTATGTAAATCAGAAAATAATTTCTACCATTGTCAGTATAGTAAAATAGTCAACGGTAAGGTAAATTATTTCTTTTAAGAAAAAGAATGAACTTTCAGCCAGTTTATAGACCTTAAGTTTGTAGGACCTTGGCCCCAGGTTCCAACTTGATTCCTACTCTAAATTTGTAACCTTTTGAGCAATCTAGGCAGTAAGAGTTTGTTTTTTTCTCATCTGTTATTAGAGATAAGGGAATGTTTCTGTTAGTATCCACTGTATGTGGTCTTTTTGGCGGGGGTGGAGTGGGGTGAAGAAATAATATACTTGATTCATTTGGTACATTTTCCCCTTACAGATACTACTACCAAAGGGGAATTCTTGCAAAGGTTGAAGGACAGAGGCTTGTATATCAGTTCAAGGATATGCCGAAAAACATAGTGGTCATAGATGATGACAAAAGTGAAACCTGTAATGAAGATTTAGCAGGAACTACTGATGAAAAATCATTAGAACGAGTGTCACTGTCTGCAGAAAGTCTCCTGAAAGCAGCATCCTCTGTTCGCAGTGGAAAAAATTCATCCCCTATAAACTGCTCCAGAGCAGAGAAGGGTGTAGCTAGAGTTGTGAATATCACTTCCCCTGGGCACGATGCTTCATCCAGGTCTCCTACTACCACTGCATCTGTGTCAGCAACAGCAGCTCCAAGGTAAGTGAAGCAAACCATTAGTTACAATGTATTTACTTTTTAAAAAAGTCTCCGTGGTGAAAACAAAATGTCCTTTTGCTTAATATTAGTGTTCTAAGAACCCAGTGTTGTCAGGACTTTGAAAAGTGCTTGATGTTTTAATTATATTTTTTATTGTTGTTAAAGTAGATGTCTTGCTGGGTTCAGTGGTTCACGCCTATAATCATAGCCCTTTGGGAGTCCAAGACAGGAGGATTGCTTGAGGACAGGAGGTCAACACAAGCTTTGGCAACGTAGTGAGACCTCCTCTCTATAAAATAAAAATAAAAAATTGCTGAGCATGGTGGCACACACCTGTAGTCCTAACTACTGAGGAAGCTAAGGCAGGAGAGTCACTTGAGCTTAGGAGTTGGAGGTTGTAGTGAGCTAAGATTGCACCACTATACTCCAGCCTAGGTGACAGACTGAGACCTTATCTCCAAAAAAAAAAAAAAAGTAGATGTCTTAAATAACCTGAATTGGTTTTTATGGTTTTATAGATGGAGCTTAATGTAGGCTTTAGTTTTTAAAATATATCATGGTATGTTTGTGTCAAACATCAGGGATTGCCAGTACCTCTGTAAAATTTGGGAGCACTAATTTTACACATTTTGGATTTGTATTAATCTTTTACTCAGGAGACCTATTTTCTCAGTTGGCATTAAATATAATCAGCTTTTTTCTTTCTAATGTACTAGGACAGTTCGTGTGGCAATGCAGGTACCTGTTGTAATGACATCATTGGGTCAGAAAATTTCAACTGTGGCAGTTCAGTCAGTTAATGCAGGTGCACCATTAATAACCAGCACTAGTCCAACAACAGCGACCTCTCCAAAGGTAGTCATTCAGACAATCCCTACTGTGATGCCAGCTTCTACTGAAAATGGAGACAAAATCACCATGCAGCCTGCCAAAATTATTACCATCCCAGCTACACAGCTTGCACAGTGTCAACTGCAGACAAAGTCAAATCTGACTGGATCAGGAAGCATTAACATTGTTGGAACCCCATTGGCTGTGAGAGCACTTACCCCTGTTTCAATAGCCCATGGTACACCTGTAATGAGACTATCAATGCCTACTCAGCAGGCATCTGGCCAGACTCCTCCTCGAGTTATCAGTGCAGTCATAAAGGGGCCAGAGGTTAAATCGGAAGCAGTGGCAAAAAAGCAAGAACATGATGTGAAAACTTTGCAGCTAGTAGAAGAAAAACCAGCAGATGGAAATAAGACAGTGACCCACGTAGTGGTTGTCAGTGCGCCTTCAGCTATTGCCCTTCCTGTAACTATGAAAACAGAAGGACTAGTGACATGTGAGAAATAAAATAGCAGCTCCACCATGGACTTCAGGCTGTTAGTGGCAGTACTGACATAAACATTTGCAAGGGAAGTCATCAAGAAAAGTCAAAGAAGACTTTAAAACATTTTTAATGCATATACAAAAACAATCAGACTTACTGGAAATAAATTACCTATCCCATGTTTCAGTGGGAAATGAACTACATATTGAGATGCTGACAGAAAACTGCCTCTTACAGTAGGAAACAACTGAACCCATCAATAAGAAAAAGGATCGAAAGGGACCAAGCAGCTCACTACGATATCAAGTTACACTAAGACTTGGAACACTAACATTCTGTAAGAGGTTATATAGTTTTCAGTGGGAGGGGTTGGGATGGGTAATCTCATTGTTACATATAGCAATTTTTGATGCATTTTATATGCATACCAGCAATTATTACTGTGTTCGCACAGTTCTCACTTAACTGGTGCTATGTGAAGACTCTGCTAATATAGGTATTTTAGAATGTGAATTGAAGAATGGATCCCAAAAACTTCAGAAAGAGGATAGCAAAAAAAGATCTAGTGCGATTTTATATATATATATATATATATATACATACATATATATATATCATATAGCTTAAGCTGATTTAAAACAAAGGCCTTAGACTAATTTTCGATTTTCTTTCTTGAAATAAGCTAATGGCTTGTTTGTGTAAAGCTTTTTTATTAAAAGAAAAATTTTAAAAATCTTGTACCTAGCACAGTATTGTTATAGAATATACATGTAACATTTTATATGGTAGTTTAAGTCTGTCAGTTTCTTAATTGTGGACAAATTAACAGTTGGCTCTGGCCTTTTGCTGTAACATGCCTGTGTCACTCACTTAGCCTTGGCATTTGTGCAGACATACCATTTTCAGTTCTGCTGTCACTTGGAAGTTCAGGCTCAGCATGAATTTTTGGCAGGTAGCTCTAATACCTGGAGTTTTCTTTGTTTTTTTTTCTTTTTTTTAGTTGAAGTTTATGAGGGAAATACCAGTGTTCAGTTTTGAACTATAATAGTTTGTATATTCAACATTTGAAGTATATTCTATTTTGTTGTACTCTTGTTTCAAAGTGTATTCAAGTAGGTTTTCTGAAATATAGAAATGAAATTTATCTTCTGTTTTGGTCTCTGGTGATATTTTAAACAATATTTAAAAGTCAGTATAGAAGTGTTTTAGTTAGGAAGTGATAAAACATCTCTCTTCTCCTTCCCAACTACTGCATGAAGAAATTCTACTTCCATTATATTAATATTTGGCAAATATCTGCATGTTGCCAGTTTCTTTCTAATTATGATGAACTATAATGTTCTGCTTAACGTAATGAATTTAGTATTTTAGTTGGCTGCACTTAAAGAATTTATATTTGTAAAACACTTTAAACCATTTGTTTCACAATCAGACCTTTTGTGGATTAAAAAGAACAATTACTCTTCTAGCCCTTTTACAGATTAGGAAGTTAAGGTATCTGAAGGATTACATAAACTATGTAATTTTACTACTGTCTGTCACTCCATATCTTAATGCTCTTTCTACTACAAAGAAAAGTTATCTATTTTTACATGTTTTAGAAATGTAGATGAACTCATACATAATATTTTTTGTCTTTTAATTGATCACATACTACTTAGGTCAGAAATTGTTTATAACAGTTCCCTTTGTAATCTTTTAAACTTTTCCATAAATATATTGATGATACTTTTATACAAAAGCTCAAAGAAAAACTCACTTGATTATTTTCCCATTTGGGAGTTACTCTCAAATTCTGTCTCCTTTTAAAACATTTCCAAAATATTTCAGCTTTGAAAATCAATATTAAGTGCTTTGGCACTTAATTGTATTATCTTGTTTATTGCACTGTGACTTCATTTGTTTGTCATGTCTTCCATAATACTCATTTAGAGCAACGATTATATTTTATGCCATACCTACCCCTCTCCCCAAGTGCTGAGCATATTAGACACTCAGGTCAGACATTTATTGATTTTGGGAACATTTGCTGAGAATATAAGTCACATGCTTAAATACTTTGCTTCTATGCTGGATTCTTAATCGGTTCTAACAGGGTTAAACCAGGGCTATCTAGCTACCTCTGCTACTCTACTGGAAATTTTTTTCTCTTTGAGAATAAGCACATCTAAAGTCTAGACTTGGAGCCAGGTGCGGTGGCTCACGCCTGTAATCCCAGAACTTTGGGAGCCAAGGTGGGTGGATTGCTTGAGGCCAAGAGTTTGAGACCAGCCTGGCCAACATGGTGAAACCCCGTCTCTACTAAAAATACAAAAATTATCCGGGAGTGGTGGTGCAATGTTTGTAATCCCAGCTCCTCAGGAGTCTGAGGCACAAGAATCTCTTGAATCTGGGAGGTGGAGGTTGCAGTGAGCCAAGATGATGCCACTGCACTCCCTTCAGCCTGGGTGACAGCGAGATTCTGTCTCAAAAAAAAAGTCTAGACTTGGAAACATACATGTTGACAGTATATACTGATCAGAATGTTGCAGATTGAAATTAATGATGTGCCTCACCCCCATCCTTCCTGCCCTTTTAATGCTATGGCTTTTAATCTCAGCCCTTCCAAACTATAAATCAATATAATTTATAGTTGCTTTTTTGTGTCCAGTGTATTAGAGGGAAAAAACCCCACATAACCTTGGCTTGATGCTACTACATTTTCCAGCCTCACTAGATCTTTAAATTATGATCAGTAGTCTATCAATTTATTCTTTAGGCCACTTTCCAGCATCAATTCCAGCCTTCACCACCCTTGTCACCAGATAACCAGTATACCTCTACAGAGAACATGGTCATGAGCTGTGAATTCTCTCCATTCCTGGACCCCTTGTTACAGATGATTTAGTTACTCCAACATCCATCCTTACCACCTGTCTCAGGAAGGAGGTGCCCTTCCTCCTGTGCCCAGCATCTCCCTTTCACACCTACTTGGTCTCCTTGCTCCAACAATTAATAGCCTATCTTTCTGTCCCTTCTTTTTCTTCAAATAGCCTGCAGTCTGAATTCTTGCTTAGAAACAGTTCTCCATGAGATCTCCAGTAACCCAACTGTCAAATTAAACGGACACTTTGGTTCACTTAATCTCATGGCCTACTTCTCAAAACTTACTTGGTTTCCCATGTTTACTTCCTGCCTAACCAACTTGTTTTTTCTTTGTTCTTTCTGCCTATGGGCTTCTTTCTTCTTTTCCTCATAGAATTGTTGTCAGGATTAAATGAGTTAATATATTAAGGATTTGTAACTAGTGTCTGGCACATAGAAAACACTCTTATTAGACGTTTACTATTATTTCACTAACATAATTGTTAGATAATCTCACCCATGCCTATGGTTTTTACTACCAAATCTATTGTTAAAGCCTAGACTTTTATGCTGTCATTTTTTTTCTCTGTTGGAATGCTTCATGAAATTGCGTGTCATCCTTGTGCAGGGGCTGTGTTAATCTGTGTATCGTTCCAGTATTAGGATATGTGCTGCTGAAGCAGGCACTACTGTATCTTAGGTGGGTTTATCTAATTGCCACTGGCTGTTTCTTCCTGAGTATCCATTTGAGCTCTCTTCCCTCCAAAATCTGTTTCTCTTAGCCCAATAAATAATACCAGCAACCCATTACTCATACTAGAAGCAACCTGGGGGCCATCCTAGATACTTTACCTCCTCTAATCATTAACCAAATTTCTACTCATAGTACCTTCTAAATACTTTCTTTTCCATCCTCCCTGTCTTTGTCTCACCAAGTCTCTCTCTAATCCATTCTCCAGGCTACCAGTTGAGAGCTTTCTAAATGCAGCTTTCATCACTCATGAACCTTTGTGATTGCTTCAGATTCTTCAATGGCATCTCTTGCTAAAAAGATATGCCTAAGCATAGCAATTAAAGTCCTTTGATCTGGGCTCCTCCTGTCTCCCCAAGCCTCATTCTCTTGCTACTCCTCTTTTAGACTTACTTGGGCTATATTTCATTTTTTCCCAAATATTCTAGGCATTCATACCTCATGAGTCATCCATTGATGGCTTCTTTCTGGACAACTCGTTCCTCCTTCACCTACATTGGAGTTCAGTTTTATTTACTGAGATATGAGGTGACAGACATCAAAATAAAAGTTTCTGAAATAGGTGTGGAAACCATTCAGGTTGGGGAGTGATCTGTGAGTTAGCTCAGAACTTAAAGAGTAGAAAGAGTAAAGTATATAAAGATAGGTTGGGGGAGAAGAAAAAGAATCAGCAACGGATGTCAAGGACTATTCATAGAGAATAAACAGGACAGAT
Organism: Homo sapiens; assembly: GCF_000001405.40. Taxonomy (NCBI): domain Eukaryota; kingdom Metazoa; phylum Chordata; class Mammalia; order Primates; family Hominidae; genus Homo; species Homo sapiens. Next base: position 139,054,695 of record NC_000004.12, on the reverse strand, counting down.
AAGGTAACATTTCAGGATATGGTGGCAACATTAAGTGGAGAAAGGCAAAGCAAATCAGGCTAAAGAAAAAGCCACTGAGCTTAACACTGACAATGAGAGGGCAGTTCCAGTGAGGTGTGGTGGTGAAGCCAGAATGTAAGGGATGGGGCACTTGGTACATTACTTAGTGGCCTGTCTGACACCGCATACACGCAGGAGTGTACATTTCTGATCACATTAACAAGTCATGTGTAATTACTAAGACAAACTAAAGAAAATTTTGGCCTTGGAGTTATTTATAAGGTCTCTTATGATCCTTTTGCTTTTAAGTCTCCTATCCTACTTTTATGAGGGTACTACAGAGCACTTTATTTTTGGCAGGCAAGAGTAACCCTTTAGTTCCACAGCTATCAAAGCAACTTTCCCTTTTATTGTAGCTTTTAACCATTCAAAGTACTGCAAGTCTTCAGTGGTTGTGATTCATCTAGTCTTCAGCCCCTTTGTTACAATCACTGTCCCCCATAATTAAAACATACTCTGTAGGAACTCAGTACACTGTGATGCCAGCCCTAATGGTAGAATAAGATACTGCTCACCCTTTACAAGGGCACTGATTTGCCTCCTATCTGTGTCACACCTCCAAACCTTTGAAACACTCACGTGCAGCAGGGAGACTTATTTGAGCACCCATAACTATCTTTCTGAACACTGCAACTCAGTAGTAATGCTTTGGGTTCAAGACTAAAAAACAATACATCACAGCTTCCAAAGGGAAAATATAATACAAGTAAAACATTGCTTGGCCATGCGTGTGGCTCATGCCTGTAATCCCAGCACTTTGGCAGGCCAAGGCGGGTGGATCATGAGTTCAGGAGATTGAGACCATCCTGGCTAACACAGTGAAAGCCCATCTCTACTAAAAATACAAAAAATTAGCAGGGTGTGGTGGCGCATGCCTATAATCCCAGCTACTCAGGAGGCTGAGGCAGGAGAATTACTTGAACCTGAGAGACAGAGGTTGCAATGAGCCGAGATGGCGTCACTGCACTCCAGCCTGGGCGACAGAGCGAGACTCTGTCTCAAAAAAAACCCAAAAAACCATAATTGCTTAATGCAAAATACTGCATATCAAAGACAAAACAAAGCTGTGAATTATAAATAGGCTGTAAACTAACAGCAGAGTTAACTTTCTCCCAAGATAATTGTTCACATCCATTGCACTGTAGAATCTTTATTTTTTGAGACAGAGTCTCTCTCTGTCACCCAGGCTGGAGTGCACTGGCGCCATCTTGGCTCACTGCAACCTCCGCCTCCTGGGTTCAAATGATTCTCCTGCTTCAGCCTCCTGAGTAGCTGGGATTACAGGCATGCACAACCATGCCTGGCTAATTTTTTATATTTTCAGTAGAGACGGGGTTTCACCATGTTGGCCAGGCTGGTCTCAAACTCCTGATCTCAGGTGATCCACCTGCCTCAGCTTCCCAAAGTGCTGGCATTATAGGCGTGAGCCATCACACCCGGCCTGCACTGTCTTAACTTTGAGAAACTTGTCTATTTCAGGTAAGTGATACTGTCACTGCCCAAAAAGGAAAAATACTAATCTATATAATCTGTAAATTATTTCTGAATTGTAGGACATTAATTCACTTGAATCCCGTGGTTACTTTGCCTCACATTAGAAATAGCTGGGAAGCTTTTCATAAGCCTGTGTCTTAGCTCCTACTCCATACCAATTAAGTCAGTGTTTGGGAAAGGGAGCCAGGCATCTTTATTTTTAAAATATCTCTAGGTGATTTCATTGTGCAGCAACATTTTAGAACCACTGCCTTATAGTTACAATAAAGAAAGCGTTAACATTTAGGGTTCTGTGTTCCAACCCAAGTGTTCCAAAAATGGAAAAAGGTAGTTTGAGATATAGTATTACAAATAGCTTTTTTAAAACCTACATACTGTGTATTTTATCGATTCTAAAGCCTTTTTCTTATATTTAACATGTCTTTAATTAGGATGACTTTGTAAGAGTCTTATGAAACAGTACACCAAGTTAATGTGCCTTGTCTCTTCAAAGAAATTACTCTGGAAAGCTATATGCTAATTCTAATAATGTTACCATTCAAAATACTTTTAAATGGCTTTTTAGAGGAGAATCTAAATTTTACATATATTTAACAGAGACAAATTTCCTGTTGAAGATTTTAGTTTTAAAAAGAGCTGTGTCATTTGAAGTTAATGTGATGTGAATCAAGCTAGGTAATGTCGTACTTGGTTCAAATGGAGATGTGGCTATGAGATTGACACAAGTTTTCTTAAGAGCTTCATCAAACATATGGAAGCAGTTCCAAAAAGTTTCCCAAATATTTTTGGGCAGTGGCAGCAGTAACTCAGAGTTTTAAAATTCAAATCAGAATTTTAAGAAACCTTAGAGATTATTCCTTTATTACAAATGAAGAACCTAAGGTTCAGGAAAACTTTTGACGCATCAGTTGGTTCAGATAGTCAGTGGCAGAACTGCAAAGAACTCGCCCTCTGACTCCCAGTTGAGTTTTAGCCTGAACCCCCATTCACTCCCATCCAAAAACAAGTGGGGGTGGGGGTTGCAGGGAGGGAAACAAGTTTCCCACAAACTGAATTTTAAAATATTGCAGAATTTTGCTGGGTGTTCTCTGCAGGTTTACCAGTCTGTGGAAACCAGAATCAGATGTCAGACATACATGTTCCTTATGTGCAGTCTTCCACCATCTTCCTTTTTTTTTTTTGGAGACAGTCTAGCTCTGTCATCCAGGCTGGAATGTAGTGGCACGATCTCAGCTCACTGCAACCTGTGCCTCCCAGGTTCAAGCAATAATACTCCCATCTCATCCCCTGGAATAGCTAGGATTAGGCGCCTGCCAACATGCCTGGCTAATTTTTGTGTTTTTAGTAGAGACAGGGTTTTGCCATATTGGCCAGGCTGGTCTTGAACTCCTGACCTCAGGTGATCCACCCACCTCGGCCTCCCAAAGTGCTGAGATTACAGGCGTGAGCCACCATGCCCGGCCCATTTCCACTTGTATGGTTTCCATTCCTGTATACAAGTTGTCTGGATCTTGAAGCCTGAACCTGTTTAATGTGGCAAGATATTTAATAAGTATCCTGCTTTATTGCTACAAGAGTTTCAGATAGTTTACATATATGAATAAATTGCTGGGCGTGGTGGCTCACGCCTGTAATCCCAGCACCTTGGGAGGCCGAGGTGGGCAGATCACTTGAGGTCAGGAGTTCGAGACCAGCCTGACCAACATGGAGAAACCCCGTCTCTACTAAAAACAGAAAAAAAATTAGCCAGGCATGGTGGCGCATGCCTGCAATCCCAGCTACTCGGGAGGCTGAGGCAGGAGAATTGCTTGAACCTGGGAGGCGGAGGTTGCGGTGAGCCGGAATTGCGCCATTGCACTCCAGCCTCGGCAACAAAAGCAAAACTCCGTCTCAAAAAAAAAAAAAAAAAAAAAAAAGCCGGGCGCGGTAGCTCAGCTCAAGCCTGTAATCCCAGCACTTTGGGAGGCCGAGGCGGGCAGATCACGTGGTCAGGAGATCAAGACCATCCTGGCTAACACGGTGAAACCCCCGTCTCTACTAAAAATACAAAAAAATTAGCCGGGCGTGGTGGCTGGCGCCTGTAGTCCCAGCTACTCGGGAGGCTGAGGCAGGAGAATGGCGTGAACCCGGGAGGAGGAGCTTGCAGTGAGCCAAGATCGCGCCACTGCAGTCCAGCCCGGGCGACAGAGCGAGACTCCGTCTCAAAAAAAAAAAAAAAAAAAGAATAAATGGAAGTCAACAAAAACAGGTACAAGAAATTTCAGTGAAGAAAAAAGGAATTTTAAATAAATTAACAAAAGAAAACTAATAGAATATATGCTGTAAAGTGTTACACAGTCATTAAAATGCAGCTATATACTGGCTTTGAATATATTGGCAGCCAATAAAGATAAATTAACCAGTTGAGATTCATACAGTCCAAGTTTACCAGATGCTTAGGAGACGCAAAGCTTTGCCTAGCATTCTGTCAAGAAAGGTTTTGCTGTCTGTGTGACTAATCTTACATGAATGTTTTCCCAGAATTGAGTTTTCCAAAGAAATATGGGAACAAGGGGCTGGAGTTGTGGGTATTCTGTTTTGTCATTCAAAGGCAGATCTTTCTACATTACAAATCAAAGTACAACTGACAACCTCTCGAAATTGAAGAACCTAAGCACTAGCCCACAACCTCACATCTGCCTAGAGGAACAACTGGGTAGAAAAGACCAACCAACCAATCTTTTGCCCTTCAGTCAGCCCTTCTGCCTATTTTGGGCTTAAATTTCTATAAACACTTAGTTCTGCCCTTTCAAATTGAAGGGTTATTCTCTTTGGTGAAAAAATTAGGAGTGGGTTGTTACGACATGAAATACAGAGGGCCCTTCCCTTTTTTGTTTTGAAACTTAGCCATTATTATTGTGTGACTTACAATATGTATTTTAAAATTTATATTATTTTACAGATCTCACAAATCTATGAGGTTGAGAGGGCAGATATACTCTATGGATGAGAAAACTTAGGCTCTACTCGTTCAGGGTCACACTGGTGACAGCTAAGTCTTTTCAGTTACAGCCTGTGCCCTTTGACATGTTGCTTTTTTCCTCTCCCCTTATTGTACATGCCCTAGTTCCAGGCCTTTGCCATTCTGGTGTTTGACCATGGCTCACAAATCTCTTGCTAATATCTATCCACTCCAGGTAAAAAGTCTGCCTGTCCTATATTTTTATACATGTCATTTTAAAGAAAGAGTTGATTAGAGCTCCTTATGCATGCACATTCATTTCTTGGATGTCTTTCCTTTTTTAAAACTGAAATCATGTTTTAGTTTTCTCTCTTTTTAGAATTTAATTCTTGGGAATCTTTCAAGTCTAACACACATGATAAATAATGCATATATATGTAACTATATGCAACATTCCCTTCATTATAAATCTTGACTGTTTTAAAAAATGGTTTGAATACAGAATATTTGCATCAGTTTTTTCCTTTAATTTGAAATACTAGAGTAGCTGTTCTTATTGCTTCCTTTAAAAACTACGATTGAAGTACACAAACAGTATCAAATGTTCTACTTTGGGCAAAACTAGACTTTACTGTATCAGAAAACTGGAAATCCAGGCCGGGTGTGGTGGCTCACGCCTGTAATTCCAGCTACTAGGGAGGCTGAGGCAGGAGAATCACTTGAACCTGGGAGGCGGAGGTCGCAGTGAGCTGACATCGCACCTCTGCACTCCAGCCCAGGCAACAGAGTGAGACTCCATCTTAAAAAAAAAAAAAAAAAAAAAAACCCACTGGAAATCCATTATATTCCAGTATTCAGCCACCATATCCTGCTTCTAGTCTAACACTGTATGTATGATAGTTCATGTGTATTTGACTTACATGTTTGACCATTTGACCATGTTTAACAAATCTCTTGCTACACTGCAATGTCTATTCTCCCCGTTTGTGTTCACTCAAAGCCAAAGAAATGGTGGTGGGGAAGAAGCAAGCACTTTGGAATCCAGACAGACCTGAGTTTGAATCCTGACTCAGCTACTATTTATTTGCTATCACTTTGCTCAAATTATTTGACCTTTTGAGCCCCCGTCTATAGTTTAGTTTTAAGATCGTATGTAAAGCTCTTGGAGTCAAAGGAACTCAAATGTTAATTTCATCATATGTATACACCATAATGCCTTATTTAAATAAACAATCCAGTCAGTCGTTACTACCACCATGTACTACGGTATCTACTGAAATGTGGCATGAAGGAAACCAAAACTCATGCCATTCCTACTCCCTCTTCAAATTTGCAATTTACCTTCTGAGACTCTGACAAAACAGTGTATGGGAAAATAGAAAAATAAAAACCAGAAACAATAGTATATAGGGTATAATAGGAAAAGCAGAATGAAAGGTACATATGGATGGAATAAGGGATCTATGCAAGGAACATGCAACTTAGGGTGGGGCACAGTGGCTCATGGCTGTAATCCCAGCACTTTGGGAGGTGGAGGTAGGAGGATCACTTGAACCCAGGAGTTTGGGACCAGCCTGGGCAATGTGATGAAACCCCATCTCTACAAAAAAGTAAAAAATTTTAGCTGGGCATGGTTTCACGTGCCTGTGGTCCCAGCAGCTCGGGAGACTGAGGTGGGAGGATCACTGGAGCCCGTGGGGTAGACTACAGTGAGCCATGATCACACCACTGCACTGCAGCCTGGGTGACAGAGCAATACCGTATCTCAAAAGAAAAGAAAAAAGCAACCTATTAAGATTTATATACTACTAAAAAATTATTAGAAGGCTCACATATGACTTTAAAAAAATTTTCTTTTTCAGTTCCTGATAATGCATCAGTGAAGGATCCAATCTCCTGCAGTGATAACTAGAAAGGATAACTCGAGAGTTTCACTGGATTTTTTCCAGTCCCCTTAACTCATAGTAACATACCAATCATATGTTGGTGTTTCCAAAACTGATTTCGTCTGGTGGCATGCCCATGCACCCATATGCCCACCCTCAACTCATACCCTGTTAATTTTGTTGGTAGACAACACTTGAAACTCAGACATTATTTTGGCCTTCATTCTTATCCAGATTTATTTATTTAAGGCTGCCATGGTTTCTCTTCCGGTTGAAGTATTTTGGGGTAGGTAAACAATGTACCTGCAATAATGAGTATTCTAATCAGTATTGTTCTCAACAACATATGACTAGCAATTAGTCATGCTAAAATCTGAACCAATTCTACATTTGGTAGATGTTCCCGTGCTTGTCATTCTTTCCAGTAGCCCCAAAATTCTGTGCATACTATGTTACTTCTGAAAACCTCATTTGTTTTAAAAGTGGTTCTATTAAAGAATGAGTGATCCATTTCAGTGGACGTTGTTGCAGCTACAGATCTATGTACGTTCACTTTTACAGTGAAGGCTCCATGTGTGAATGGATATATGTGGGTCATTATGATAAAACAGTATTAAAGGAGAAAATCTACTCCCAGATTCTTTTTGGACTACAAAGACATTAAAAGCACTAGGTTTAAAAGACCATTTATTAATCTTATGTATTTACAACTCACAAATTAAAATATCTATTACCAATAAGTTATTTTGTTTGGAAGAGGCTTTACCTGTAATTTTTACTTTTATTTCTGATGGAAGAGAATTCCAGGTTTTTTTGAGATGGAGTTTCACTCTTGTTGCCCAGGCTAGAGCGCAATGGTGCAGTCTGGGTTCACTGCAACCTCTACCTCCCAGGTTCAAGCGATTCTCCTGTTTCAGCCTCCCAAGTAGCTGGGATTACAGACACCTGCCACCATGCCCAGCTAATTTTTGTATTTTTAGTAGAGACGAGGTTTCACCATGTTGGCCAGGCTGGTTTCGAACTCCTGACCACAGTTGATCCGCCCACCTTGGCCTCCGAAAGTGCTGGGATTACAAGCATGAGCCACCACACCCGACCCAGGTTATCTAACTTTTTACATTCTTCTTTCTAGATATTTTGAATGACAGTATCTGGCTATCTTAGGAAATTTCAATGAAAGCCCATTAACAGGCTTTCTAGAAAGTTTCCTATCTCTGAAAAGAAGGTCCTACTGACTCTCTTGGCCACTGCCACATACAGCTTCTAAATAACCTATTGTGAATAGCACATTCCAATACAAATAATGATGACATCGAGTGACTAATATCAAACGCATACCAATATTATTCCAATGGTAAAGTTTAAATATAACAGCAATAATGAAAACTAATTGGTTAAATAATTGAAAACTAATTGGAATCTCTTCAAGAAACACAATAAGGCCGGGCGCTGTGGCTCACGCCTGTAATCCCAGCACTTTGGGAGGCCAAGGCGGGCAGATCACCAGGTCAGGAGATCGAGACTGAGACCATCCTGACTAACATGGTGAAACCCCGTCTCTACTAAAAATACAAAAAATTAGCCGGGCGTGGTGGCAGGCGCCTGTAGTCCCAGCTACTTGGGAGGCTGAGGCAGGAGAATGGTGTGAACCTGGGAGGCAGAGCTTGCAGTGAGCCGAGACTACACCACTGCACTCCAGCCTGGGCAACAGAGTGAGACTCTGTCTCCAAAAAAAAAAAAAAGAAACACAATAATGGAACATAGAGGCAGGACAAGGATTATTTTTGAAGAATGTATCAAAGAAATCTGACATTTAAATAACAAAAGCCCCTCCAGGCTAAATAGTTCCTTTGTACTCATTTTGTTATAGCCCAAATGAAAATATTTTAAAGCTTTATGAAAATCACCATAAATTACTTTCTCTATAACTTCTCTTGCATGGTTCTAAAATGTTCATAATGCTATAATTTACTTAATTTTATATGAAGATATAAAAAATAAATACTGCCATGCATTTTGTTGACATTTTAAAAACCCACAAATAAATAACTTAAAATGCTGTTTAGAGAAATTGCTCCTACATACTATTATGGAAGATTCAAGCAACAAGTCTAAGTTTTTATAGCATCCTCAAATTGAAAAAGCTTCAAAATAACCGAATTTATTATTATTTTAGAAATAGAGATGGGGTCTCGTGCCATGTTGCCCAGGCTGGACTCGAACTCCTGGGTTCAAGTGATTCTCCCACCTTGGCGTCCCAATGTGTTGGTATTACAGGCATGAGCAGCCACCACACCTGACCAAAACAAGCCAATTTAATGCCCTTAAATGATCAAAATGTAATATTAAGGAAAAGAAAACAACACAAGCCAAAATTGGAGTGCAAACGCCTTTTTCACCATAGGTTTTAATTGAAAAAGGGACTAAAGGGAGTCTTTTCCAAGGGCATGCTGGAAACGCAGAAAATGAAATGATAGAAACTTCCCATGTTTCTATCCTTCCTCTGGCATTGTCTTATCCTATTTGTTTCCTGAAACATTCCCTGTTAAGACTCTTGTGATTCAAGGTCAGGAGATCGAGACCATCCTGGCTAACACGGTGAAACCCCGTCTCTACTAAAAATACAAAAAATTAGCTGGGCGTGGTGACGGGCGCCTGTTGTCCCAGTTGCTCTGGAGGCTGAGGCAGGAGAATGCCATGAACCCGGGAGGCGGATCTTGCAGTGAGCCGAGATCAGGCCACTGTACTCCAGCCTAGGCAACAGAGCGAGACTCTGTCTCAAAAAAAAAAAAAAAAAAAAAAAAATAGACTCCTGTGATTAAAAAGACAAAAGCAAGTATTTATGAAAGTCCATCAGATTCCTCAGTAAAGCTGAAGTCACACACTAGAGACAGGTGGTCTGAAGGATAATTGAAGGAAGGTAACCTGTTGGGTCCAATCTGTTCTTCAGTGAGCAGATCGAGAGCTGACCTTACATTTAGAGCATGTTTAGAATACCAGATGTAATCCAGGGTGTGCCTGCACTCCCCTGAGGTCCGGATCTTCCAGGTAGTGTATGGGGGTTCTGACTGCCCATCAGCACTCAGCAGCTTGTAGGCGCTGTTCAGGTTGAGGCTGGAGGAAGCAAAGTGTTTGTAGACCTCTTCTGTTGGCTCTGCATTGAAGTCCCCACACACAATAAGGGGAATCTTGGCTCCTTGGGTGATGTTTTGCAGGTTCTGAAGGAGGTCACAGCCTTGAGCTGATCGAAACCGCTCCCAGCCAGTGCGTGCTTTTAGATGGGTAACAGCGATGCAGAACTGTCGGCCTGACTCCTTGCACTCCAGGGTCTGTGCAATGGCCACCTGGTTGGTTTTCAATGTCATGGCTGTCAGCCTAATATTGGCACTGTTGACTAGCTTGAATCGGTTTTGAAGAAAAAATAAGGCACAACCATCTGGTCCATTGTTGTGTTCTACATCTAGACAAGGTGACCAGGGTTTGGGGAAAAACGTGCCTTGATAGCCTAGTCTACTGAGGAGTGGCTGGAAGGTGTCAAAATAGTGGTCCACCTCTTGGAGGCACAATATATCAGGCTGGTAGGCCAGGATTTCTTCCAGGATGAGACATTTCCTTTCTTCCCATTTGAGTGCTTCAACAGGGCACTGTACAAAGTTGTCTTTGCCTTCTCCAAGAGCTGAAAAGAAAAAGCTAGTCAGTTGTCAGCTCTTACAAAACCGTGACTTCAAAGTACCCAGGAGGTTTGGCATCACTCAAGACCCTCAGAATGCTTCCTCTGCTTTAAATGCTTGGAGTGGCTCTCTGTCCAAACTGTATTACCCCATCCAAACTAAATCACCTCTCACTATGTGGATGAAGCAAACAACAGATCTTTTGTTTCGAAATGATTTCATGTTAACTATATTCCAGGATATTAAGATCTTACTTAAGGAAACTGCTTTGCAGTGCCAGGGATCTAAGCTATATAAAATGAAATAAATGCCAATTTTCTTTTAAAATTTTTTTGGTTTTTTTAAACACCAAATATTTAACACCAAGTATTAGTTTTAACCCTGACTATTATGGACACTACTCAGAATGAATGGAACTTATTTTAAATAGGCAGCTTTTCCTACTTAGGGAAAAAGAATCAAAGATTGGTAAGTCACGGAATCTCCCCTTATTTTCCAGGAAAAAAAAAAATCAGGCCCTTGTTTTTCTTAAAATCTCAACTGCTTACATAAAAGGCAATGCTACATAGAGTTGATTGACACATCTGTTTTTTAATTTGGCAGACCCAGGAAAGAAGTCCTTACTACTGTAACAAAGTGTATATATATATATATATATATATACATATTTTTTTGAGACAGTGTCTCACTCTGTTGCCCAGGCTGGAGTGCAGTGGCTCAATCTCAGCTCACTGCAACCTCGATCTTGTTGCCCAGGCTGCAGTGCAATGGCGCAATCTCAGCTCACTGCAACCACCACTTTCTGGGTTCAAGCGATTCTCCTGCCTCAGCCTCCCGAGTAGCTGGGATTACAGGCATGCGCCACCACACCCGGCTAATTTTGTATTTTTAGTAGAAACGGGGTTTCTCCATGTTGGTCAGGCTGGTCTCGAACTCCTGACCACAGGTGATCCACCCACCTCGGCCTCCCAAAGTGCTGGGATTACAGGTGTGAGCCACTGCACCTGACTTGGTTTTTACAATTAAAGCAAGTAACTCGTGGTTTATTCTTTACACCTTCCATGTTTGTAGACTATCCAAGAACAATTAAAGTGTCTTTTTTCTTTCTAAAAAAAAAAAAAAAGTGAAAACCAGATGATTCCCTGTCTTAACCTCTTCTAGGAGCTCTCCATGCTGCTGCAGTCACCTCCATCTGCCCACACCTCTTCCTTCCACATAAAACAGTGCACTGTGGATGTGCAGAAGCAGAAAGGCAGTCACAGCAAACTTGACTGCAGAGGCACAAAAGCATCCAGCATACCTTGGGCGAGGATGTTCCATTGCATAACCCTGATAGGTGGGTGGGTACTAGGGCAATCTGTCCTCAGATCCACAAAATCCCTCTGGAACCGGGGAGGTCGGGTGTGCAGGACGGCCCTGCATTCCTCAAGAAGCTCTTTAGGATCAATGGGCTCCAGATGCTCTGGGTCAGGTGACACCAAATACTCTGGGTGCTGGGAGGCAGCGCTGCTGTTCAGTGTCTTGGCGAGAGCACTATAGAGTCTGCTTGTACCGGTTCCCATGGAACACACTACGGAAAAGGAAATCACAGTTACACACTCAGCTCCTTTTCCTGACTTCTCGCCCAGCACAACTGTAAGATAAACATTTACTGTCCACCGAAACCAGGAGCTCAATTGTTGCCATAATAGTGTATAAAGCCATTTCTTTTTTCTTTTTTTTTTTTTTTGAGATGGAGTTTCGCTCTTGTTGCCCAGGCTGGAGTGCAATGGCACAATCTCGGCTCACCGCAACCTCCACCCCCAGGTTCAAGCAATTCTCCTGCCTCAGCCTCCCAAGTAGCTGGGATTACAGGCATGCACCTCTACCCGCTGCTAATTTTGTATTTTCAGTAGAGATGGGGTTTCCCCATGTTGGTCAGGCTAGTCTGGAACTCCCGACCTCAGGTGATCTGCCCGCCTCGGCCTCCCAAAGTGCTGGGATTACAAGCATGAGCCACCACGCCCGGCGTATAAAGCCATTTCTACAGAGGCAGAATAAAGGAGTTTCCAGGTTCCAGCTTTCTACTAGGACAGTTAATTTAAGTACTACCGTTAAAACTAGCCTCTGATTAACAATGAAAACTCATCCTTTTAAGGAAGAAATACTTTGATCTTGATGGCCTCTTCTAACCTAGGATTTGTCTTTGTAATTTATAAAACCAGTCTTAAAAAAAGAGCAAGGCTTAACAAAATCTACATTCCTTTTTCTATATATCTTAAGAACCTCAAGACTAGGCTGGGCATGGTGGCTCACACCTGTAATCCCAGTACTTTGGGAGGCTGAGGCAGGTGGATCACTTGAGGTCAGGAGTTCGAGACCAGCCTGGCCAACATGGAGAAACCCTGCCTCTACCAAAAACATAAAAAATTAGCCGGGTGTGGTGGTGTGCGCCTGTAATCCCAGCTACTCAGGAGGCTGAGGCAGGCGAATTGCTTGAACCAGGGAGATGGTGGTTGCAGTGAGCTGAGGTGACTCTATTGAGCTCCAGCCTGGGTGACACAGCGAGACTCAAAAAAAAAAAAAAAAAAAAGATCTTAAAGACTAGTTTGTAAAAAGTGAAATGTTAGAAAGCCCATGTTAATGTTAATCCTGGGTGAGAGATTAGGTAATAGCAGGCTGCTTGCTACGCTGGTCATCTCATCTATACAGATCCCTCTGTTGGGGAAAGTAATGGCTAGATTCTTTCCCATTTCTCCTAGATGTTAAGTGTAAATCAAGGCTTGGGCTTTCTGTAGTAGAACTCTGAACTTCACTGAGTGGTATACTCTATAATCTTGTATCAATTGCTGGATTTCTTAAAATCCAGAAAAGGGGCTGAGGCCAGAAGGGCTTAGAGTAAGCTGATTTTGTTCAGCTAACTTCCATCCAGGGCACTACCTTCTCATGAGTTGCCCACATTTCCTGGGATCCTAGAAAGACAAAGAACAAGGAAAAATGCAGGAAGCACCAGTTACTTTGTCTTCCCGAGTTAATTTTTAGTGTTTTGCTTTTTATAATTCATTAAGGAGAACAGAGCATAATCTTCAACTAATTAGCATTATGTGGCAGTTCACTTGAAAGCAGTTGATTGCTCTTTTAGAGGTCAACTATGTTTTATTTTCATTATAGTATAAATTAGGGGCACATTTTACTGGGAGTAACATCCAAGATTCTCTGTATGATAAATGCTGGTACCAGGCAATCTGGATTTCCCTCTCTTGAGAGATACAAAGTTTTCTTTATAAAACATAAACATTTTATAAATGTAAACATTATATAAAGTTTTCTTTATAAAATTTGGCAGGCTTATCAATCACATCTCAAACTAGCAGTCAATCAAATTCACTGTGGCAGGTTACAAAGGAAATTCAATTATTTACCACCAAATGTCCTTGAACATTAAGGTCAATGAGGATGCAAGCATGCTTTTTTTGTTCCTTCCTGTCTACTCAAAGTAGTTTTTCCCTCCAGTAAGAAAGCTAGACTACAGCAAATGAACACATACTAATTTTCCCAACAAACATAGCAGGTGTGTGTGCATCTGCAAGCAAGCATGCTCTCCCACAAATACACACATATACAACTGTTTCCAAACTGATTTCAATAATTTCATTTTAATTGATAAATACATGAGTACATGGGTCCAAAGGAAGAAATTTTCTTCATGGCTGGCAGTACAAGTTTTGAAAGTCTTTCTTCTTGTACTTTTTTTTTTTACTTCCTGTAGGTTTTTTGGGGAAAACAAACAAAAAACAGCCAAACATCCAAGTGTGGTCTCCTGATCAGCAATATCAGCATCACCTGGGATTGTGATCCCCAAATTGTGAGCTAACGTGTCCCAGGGAACCACAGCAAACTCACAGGGACACCATGGTATATTTTATATTTTAAATGTGAAATAAACAGTGACGTTTGACACCTGTCAGGCTCTGGGCTTGATGTAGAGCTCAGTTTCAATAGGACTGCCCTACATTCCTTTTGATGACATTTTATCTTTGCCAAGCTGAGTTTTAGGGTGGTTATATGAAAAAACTACCATGCAAAAATGAATGTGCAGAAGGAAGGATGTCCAATGGGAGTCAAACGTTTGAGGAGTACGTGAAATCAGAAAAGCAATCCTGAACCACACTTCCTTCTAAAAATTTAGAAAAATCAATTTCACATGAAGAGAATAAAGAATAGAACAATATCAGACAGTGAAAGCATGCCAGAAATGTGCCCAGGAAGCAAATCAAACTGCATCCTATTGCAGAGTGAGCTAAGTCTTTAAGAAAATGATACAAGGCTGGGCGCGGTGTCTCAAGCCTGTAATCCCAGCACTTTGGGAGGCCGAGGCGGGCGCATCATGAGGTCAGAAGATCGAGACCATCTTGGCTAACACAGTGAAACCCCGTCTCTACTAAAAAATACAAAAAAAAAAAAATTAGCTGGGCATGGTGGCGGGCGCCTGTAGTCCCAGCTGCTTCGGAGGCTGAGGCAGGAGGCTCCCGGGAGGCGGAGCTTGCAGTGAGCCGAGATCGCGCCACTGCACTCCAGCCTGGGCGACAGACCGAGACTCCGTCTCAAAAAAAAAAAAAAAAGAAAATGATACAAGAGGCCGGACGCGGTGGCTCATGCCTGTAATCCCAGCACTTTGGGAGGCTGAGGCGGGCGGATCACCTGAGGTCAGGAGTTCAACATCAGCCTGGCCTACGTAGCAAAGCCCCGTCTCTACTAAAAAGGCAAAAATTAGCCAGGCATGGTGTTGGGCGCCTGTAATCCCAGCTACTCGCGAGGGTGAGGCAGGAGAATCGCTTGAACTCGGGAGGAGGAGGTTGCAGGAAGCCGAGATGGCGCCATTCCACTCCAGCCTGGCAATAGAGCGATACTCCATCTCAAAACAAAACAAAACAAAAAGATACAAGACATGAAAGAATAACCTAAATCAGAATTAGAAAATTCAGAAATTAGACACCAAAAAGAATTAGCAATAAAAATTAAAAAGAAATGAGAAAAAGATCAGAGTCAAACCTAAGGATTGCTTTTTTTAAAAAAAAATAAAAGGGAGAAAGTGACAAATACTAAAAATGAGCAAAGACCCAAAATATGAGTAATAGCAGTTCTTATAGATGAAGACCAACGAAAGGGAACAAAAGAAATCAAGAAAACTTAAAAAAAAATACTTAAAAAGTAGATATTGAAAAAAAGACATTGCAAACTTGAGAGTATCAACCCAGAATGACCAACACCAAGTGGTCTAGTAAAAAAAAAAATCAGATTGTCATCAGACTTCAACTGCAATGTTTTATGTGAGAAGAAAATGAAGTAACATATTTAAAATACATAAAGTGTAAGCCAAGGATTTTATATCCAGCAAAACTGGAATATTGTCTCCATGAGCCCCTTATGAGGAATCTACTAAAGCAAGGATTGGCAGTCCTCAAGCTAAGAATGGCTTTTTTTTTTTTTTTTTGAAATGGAGTCTTCACTGTGTTGCCCAGGCTGGTCTCAAACTCCTGAGCTCAAGCAATCCTCCCATCTCAGCCATCTCAGTGCTGGGATTACAGGCATGAGCCACCACACCCAACAAGCTAAGAATGGCTTTTACATTTAAAAAATGTGTTGTTAAGTACACACACACTCACGAATACATTAACAGGACCATTTTTGGCCCACAGAGCCTAAATATTTAATATGTAGCCTTCTTCAAAAAAAAATTTGCCATATCTAGAACTAGAGAACAAGCTTCAGACCAAAACAACCAGAAACACTGGTGTAAGAACTGGAGCAAAGCACTAAACACAGAGCTACTTAGCAAATCAATTCTAAAGAAGACTTTCAGGGAGAATTCAATATGTAATGGCTATATGGCCCAACAGTGAACATGAAGATGTAGTACACCAAAAAAGGAGGGGGCAGGATGAGAAAAGCATCTTCAATTTAAAAATTTTAAACTTTTTTCATAAGTTTCATAGTAGCAATCATAATTAGTAATTATGTCTAAGTGATCATAATTAGTAGTGGTGGTACTGGCACTGCAACTCTGAGACTGCTGTGTATATATGAGATGAATCAAATGGGATAGTCTATCATTCCCTGTTGTCTTTTAGGGGGATCTAGTTTTTGCGATGCATTTAATAGGCTATTCATTCACTACAATTCTCAAGGAAAACATTCTTGTTAAAGCCAGTTCATTTTGGACTAATAGCAGATTATCAAATCTGGTCATCTACCTTATTTGGCCTGAGATCCTCTTGGTGGTTTTCAACAAATTCACCCTCAGAAGACAAAGCTTTTGAGATGCAGGATATACTGCAGCGTGACCAAATTCTAAGGCCTCAAAAGAGAATTCTAGTCCCAGTTCTATGACTATTTAGCTGTGCCACAACTCTCTAGACCTGCTTACCTAACTTTTTAAAATTTATTTATTTATTTATTTATTTATTTGAGACAGTCTCACTCTGTCACCAGGCTGGAATGCAGTGGCGTGATCTCGGCTCACTGCAACCTCCACCTCCCAGGCTCAAGCGACTCTCCTTCCTCAGCCTCCCGAGGAGTTGGGACTACAGGTTTGTTCTACCACGCCTGGCTAATTTTTGTATTTTTAGTACAGACAGTTTCACCATGTTGGCCAGGCTGGTCACAAACACCTGACCTCAAGTGATCCACCCACCTTGGCCTCCCAAAGTGCTGGGAATTATAGGCGTGAGCCACCACATCCAGCCTTTTTTTTTTTTTTCCCCAAAGGGCCTGTTTTTTGTAAGGGCCTCACTCTGTTACCAGGCTGGAGTGCAGTGGTATGATCATAACCCACTGTAGCCTCAAACTCCTGGGATCAAGCCATCCTCCCACCTCAGCCTCCTGAGTAGCTGAGACTACCGGTGCACACCACCGTACCAGCCAAGATCTGCTTACTTCTCTTTAAAATGAGGGCTTACGTGGTCTTAATTTCTCCAAGATCAGGTGGAAAAGGCATCTGGGTTAGAACGGGGGAAACTTTTCAAATCTATGTTCCTCATATAACAGCTCTACTGTTTGCAGTAGAGACACATATCTTCCTATTAATAAAACTTGGGCCAGGCGTGGTGGCTCACACCTGTAATCCTAGCATTTTCGGAGGCTGAGGCAGGAGGTTCCCTGGAGTCCAGGAGTTCGAGACCAGCCTGGGCAACATAGTGAGACCCTGTCTCTACAAAAATAAAAAAATAGTAATTATTAAAAAAGGATGTTTCATTCAGAATTTCTATACTCATATTTGAAAAACAATGAATAATTCTTGTCAGGTGTGATAACACTACTCATGTATGGAATAATACACTGCAATTTGCCTTTCAAGTTTTATTGGCATAGCCCTTTTGTACTTGTTTCACTGTAGATGAGCACGTCTGAGAAAGATATCATTGGGCTACATTTTGAATAAGAGACTAGGTAGAGGGGAATCATTAGGAAGTGTTTACTATAGTCTTGTCTCTGTCCCCTTAGACCTTACAGGAAACCCAAAGATATTCCCCAAGGTGGACTGGTGCAACACTGACTGCCAGAGTATTTAACCACAACATGACATAGGACAAGCCCTCTAATACTAAAGTACCTGGGAAACATTAGTCTGTTGCATAATGAGCATGAAGTTAGGACAGAGATACAGATGGTCCTGAAAGGCATTTCCACTTATCCACCCTCGTTCTAGACAGCTTACTGATGGACTCCCCTGTGCCAGGCTGTTCTGTGCTCCCTGCAATTTTACTCACCTTCTTTGCACTTTACTCTCTTAAACAGTGGGACCATCACTGGCAACACTCTAATCTTCTTAATTTAATCCAATCCCATAGTCCTTGGGATAATCTCTCTGCTGTATGTTAATTTTACATTTATTTCTCTATTCTCTGAGTTTTGTTAAGTCACTGAGTTATGCCAATGTAGTTTTATTGAGTTATGCCAATAAAATATGTGCTGATATTTCCCCTAAAAAAATTGGCAAGTATTTGGGGAAAGATTAATACTCATGAATTCATGAGAGAAAAACTGGGTGCTAACTATGCAGAATCACTAGGGTATAATAAGGGTTAAAACAATCAGGATGGATAAGAGTAACCAGAAAAGGACTTCGAAAAAATAGGATTTAGATATGAAGCTCTAATTTGTGACTATACCACTTGGTCCATCATGGGTAGCCACTCTCATCTTCTGCCCCATTCAAACCACAGACACATACGACTGTTCATTCATTTTTTGTCAAATCTTTGAGTTGGAGCCAGGCACAGTGGCTCACACTTATAATTCCAGCTACTCAGGAGGCTGAGGCAGGAGGCTCAATTGAGGCCAGGAGTTTGAGGCCAGCCTGGGCAAAATAGCAAGACTCTGTCTCTCTAGAGAAAAAAATTAAATATCTCTCTAGGAAAAAAAAGGTTTTAGTGCCTACCGTGTACCAGACACTACCCTGGAGATACATCACTGAGCAAAACAGATGAGTATCTGCCCTCATGGAGCTTCTGTTCTTTCTAGTGGGGAGAGACAAACAAGACCCTATATACAAACATATATATGTGTGTGTGTAGTCTGTCATATATGGAAAAGTGCTTTGGAGAAAAATAAACGGAAAAGGTAGAATAGGGAATGCTTGTGGGCAGGGAGCTATTATTGGATATGCGATGCTTAAGGAGGCCTCGCCAAAAGATGGAATTTGAGCAGAGACCGGGAGGTGGTAAGGAAATAGCCTCACTGGAGACTGATAAAACATTCCAAGCAGAGGGAACAGCAAGTGCAAAATCCCTGAGGAACATGCGTGGCAAGCTTGATAAACAGAGGGGATTATGGTGGTGTGAACAGTCTGAATAAAAGGAGATGAGGTCAGAGAAAAAGCAGTGAGAGGGAGCAGATCGGGTAGGGCCTTGCTGGTCTATCTAGACTTTGGCCTTTATCAGAGATGGGAAGCAGCTGGAGAATTCTACTCAAGAGGAGAATCTGATTGACATTTTGAAAATATCACTGGCTGATATATTTAAACTACACTATACTACAGGGACATAAGGGCAGACAGGAGGAAACTCATTTGAGGAAATGTACAATAATCTAGGCAAGAGACAGCAGGGGTGAACTGGGGGGCAGCAGTGAAAGTGGTTGGATTCTCAATCAATCTAAAGTTGGATCCAACAAGTTTTGATAACTTGGATGTGATTTGTGACAAACAGCAGTCAAAAAGGAGCCTTGAGGCTGGGTGTGGTGGCTCATGCCTGTAATCAAAACACTTTGGGAGGCCAAGGCAGGAGGATCGCTTAGGGTCAGGAGTTTGAGACCAGCCTGGGCAACACTGGGAGCCCCTATCTCTACAACAAAACAAAACAGAACAAAAACAAATTAACCAGGTGTAGTGGTGTGCACTGGTAGTCCCAGCTATTCGGGAGGCTGAACTGGGTTGCCTGAGCCCAGGAGATTGAGGCTGCAGTGAGCTGTGATCATGCCACTGCACTCCAGCCTGGGTGACAGCAAGACCCTATCTATCTCTTTAAAAAAAAAATGTCCACAGTTTCCAGCTGAGCGACCAGAAGGATGGAGGTGCCAACTACAGTGGTTAGGAAGACTTGACAGGGTTTACAGAAAATAGGAGTTCAACAATTAGATGACTGACATTCAGAAGAGAGTTACAAACTGGAAACAAACATTGGGAGATGTTAATGCACAGAAAAGACTGAATTGAGTTAGAGAGAAAGGAGATCAAAAGATTGAGATCTGGGAAATCTGCAAAAACAACATGAAATGACATGGCCAGAGAAGTAGGAGAACATGAGCCGGGCACAGTGGCTCACGCCTGTAATCCCAGCACTCTGGGAGGCTGAGGTGGGCAGATCACTTGAGCCAAGGAGTTTGAGATCAGCCTAAGCAACATGATGAACATAAAAACACAAAAATTAGCTGGGTGTGGTGGCGCATGCCTGTAGTCCCAGCTTCTTGAGGGGCTGAGGAGGGAGGATCACTTGAGCCCAGGTGTTTGAAGCTGCAGTGAACTGTGAGACACGCCACTGCACTCCAGCCTGGGTGACATAGCAAGACCCTTTCACCACCACCACCACAACAACACCACAGCAAACAAACCAGGGCTAGGGAATTAATAACAAAGTAAATACTAGATAGACTTTACGTATTATTTTTATACTTATAGCACAGTGCCAAGGCTTACTAAGAACCACCTAGGGACTATAATGTAGTAAGTCTATTTATTTAAATTTGTAAACTAAAGAAGACTGAAGACTGAGGGGCACCTTTCTCTTCTCACTTTATTATGGTTTGAATGCATGTCCCCCAAAGTTCATGTATTAGAAACTTGATCCCCAAAGCAGCAGTGTTGGGAGTTGGGCAATGGGAGGTGTTTGGGTCATGAGGGCATGGCTCTCATCAATGGATTAATACCAATAAGGTGGGGGGTGGGGAGACACAGTGCTGTTCCAGGGGTGGGTTCCTTATAAAAGGGCGAGTTCAGCCCTCTCTTGACCTTCCATCTTTGGCCATGGCATGACACAGCAACAAGGCCCTTACCAGATGCCAGCCCTTTGACTGGACTTCCCAGCCTCCTGAACTTTAACTATATTTTCAGTTCTCATCACAATCCTAGGAAGCAGATACGCTTATTATGCCAATTTCAAACGTGCTATAATCCTAGCATGTTGGGAGGCTGAGGTGGGTGGATCATTTAAATCCAGGAGTTTGAGAGTAGCCTGGGCAACACAGAGAGATCCGTATCTAGATGTAATTAAAAAAAGAAAAAATTAGCTGGGCATGGTGGCATGTGCCTGTGGCTAGGGCAGGAGGATCACCTAAGCCTGGGAGGTGGAAGTTGCAGTGAACCATGACTGCACCACTGCACCCCAGCTCTCAAAAAAAAAACAAAATGAGAGAATAACTGAGTTAACAAGTCTCATTGTTTCTCACCTACTTTAAAAAACAACTTTACATTCCCCCTTTTTTTTTTTTGGAGACAGGGTCTCACTCCATTGCCCAGGCTGGAGTTGGAGCACAATGGTGCCATCATAGCTCACTGCATCCTCTAACTTCTGGACTCAGGCAATCCTCCTGCCTCAGCCTAAGCAGCTGGGATGATGGGAATATGCCACCACCCTGGCTAATTAAAAGAATTTTTTTTTTGTAGAGACAGGGGTCTCACTTTGTTTCCAGGCTAGTCTTGAACTCCTGGCTTCAAGCAATCCTCTCAGCTCAGCCTCTCAAAGTGCTGGGATTACAGGCATTAGCCACCATACCCCACCTAACATTCAACTTTTTTTTTTTTTGAGATGGAGTCTCACTCTGTTGCCCAGGCTGGAGTGCAAAGGCACACTCTCAGCTCACTGCAACCTCCGCCCCCCCGGGTTCAAGCAATTCTCCTGCCTCAGCCTCCTGAGTAGCTGGTATTATGTCACACACCACCACACCTGTCTAATTTTTATATGTTTAGTAGAGACAGGGTTTTACCACGTTGGCTAGGCTGGTCTTGAACTCCTGACCTCAAGTGATCCACCCACCTTGGCCTCCCAAAGTACTGGGATTACAGGTGTGAGCCACTGCACTTGGCCACACTTACTTTTTTTTTGGAGATGGAGTCTCGCTCTGTTCCTCAGCCTGGAGTGCAGTGGCGCGATGTTGGCTCACTGCAGCCTCCGCCCCCCAGGGTCAAGCAATTCCCCTGCCTCAGCCTCCCAAGTAGCTGGGACTACAGGTGCACGCCGCCACCCTCGGCTAATTCACATTCACTTTTTAATTTTCGAGTATCAATCATTAAAAAAAATTCCTTTCATACATAAATACATGTTGATTTCCAGGATTTCAAACCATCTACTTAAGTTTTATGCCTTAATAGGAGTTGCTATTCAGGACTTTAAAAAGATTTTCGAACCTTCACAATAGCTCAATATTCAAAGCTTATTTCCTAAGGCTAAACAGCACAAATAATTTACCCATGTGGCAATTAAGATACTGAAAAGTACCAAATCTTGACAAAACCTCTGCTGAACTCTATTTGGCACTCAAATTGGCTTCAGGTCTAATTTTATGTGTTTGGAAATTTTGGATTTGATTCCACCCATATTTGGCTTCTGCTCACAATTCATTTTTCACAAACACAGTAATTCTCATTTTATTTTTTTATTAAATTTTTTTTTAAAAAAGTAGAGACGAGATCTCACTAAGCGTCCCAGGCTGGCTTCAAACTCCTGGCCTTCAGTGATCTTTCTACCTCAGCCTCCCTAGGTGTTGGGACTGGGCATGAGTCACGGCAATGGGCCAGCCATAACTCTCAATGCAACACACAAGTTACAGAATTCATATAGTTAACAGGCACATTAAATAGCTTTATCTCTTCTGCCTAGTGTCCATTTAGCAACATCACCCCATCCCCCTGCCACTGACTAATTCTATAAGCACATTTTTACATACATTTAAAACTGGATGTCTTAATTCCTTGTACCACTATTGCTAAGCCCTCACTGCTATTTTACTGTATAAGAATATAACTCTTCTTACTTTTATAAACAGCCTTTGAAGAACTGCCAGAGAATTCAGATTATTTAGATTTCTGAAACACAGTAGCAAGTATGTAAACTCCCATTTGGCAATACCTTTACTTTCCTAAAAACCACAAGTGGGAGGCTGGGCGTGGTAGCTCACCCCTGTAATCCCAGCACTTTGGGAGGCCAAGGTGGGTGGATCACCTGAAGTTAGGAGTTCGAGACGAGCCTGAACAACATGGTGAAACCCTATCTCTACTAAAAATACAAAAATTAGCCGGGCGTGGTGGCGGGCGCCTGTACTCCCAGCTACTTGGGAGGCTGAGGCAGGAGAATCTCTTGAACCTGGAAGGCAGAGGTTGCAGTGAGCTGAGGTCATGCCACTGCACTCCAGCCTGGGCAACAAGAGTGAGACTCCCTCTAAAACAAAACAAAACAAAACCCACAAGTGGGCTAATCACAAATATATTTGAATATATGTACACCCTTAATACTACCAATTACTACACACTACTAAAGCAATCTAGGCAGATCACAATTCAAGTTCCTAAGAATGCGACCATAAGGAAAATGGTCGGGCTGCAATGAAACACCTTCACATCAATAATTAGAATGCTGGATGACAACCCCAACAGTCGAGACCCAAACTGACTTGGCCCACCATTCCAAGCACTCCTAATAGCACTAAGGAATCACTCAGGGCAGGCCGGGCGTGGTGGCTCACACCTGTAAACCCAGCACTTTGGGAGGCCAAGACAGGTGGATCACGAGGTCAGGAGATCGAGACCATCCTGGCCAACATGGTGAAACCCCGTCTCTACTAAAAATACAAAAAATTAGCCAGGCATGGTGGTGGGTGCCTGTTGTCCCAGCTACTCAGGAGGCTGAGGCAGGAGAATGGCGTGAACCCCAGAGGCAGAGCCTGCCGTAAGCTGAGATCGCGCC
The DNA here is from genome assembly GCF_000001405.40 of Homo sapiens. Taxonomy (NCBI): domain Eukaryota; kingdom Metazoa; phylum Chordata; class Mammalia; order Primates; family Hominidae; genus Homo; species Homo sapiens. The sequence goes on along the minus strand of NC_000004.12, from coordinate 139,031,207 downwards.
ACTGCACTCCAGCTTGGGCAACAGAGCGAGACTCCATCTCAAAAAAAAAAAAAGAAAGCAGTCACTCAGGGCCGACCACTCTCCACAGCTCCACACAGGTTTCCTTCCTCTAGCTGCCCACCAATTGCCTGTTCTAGGCTTTGCCCAAACCATTCAGCGTCTAATTACTTCTCTCACAGTTTGCGTTTAGTATCTTGAAACGGTGGCCTGGCAAAAACGCTGATTAAAAACCAAGCAAAAGCCAGGATTATCTTGAGTACGCACCTGGGAAGCTATGGAAGCTGATCAACCTCCGCCCGAGGAAACCTAGAAGCACACACAACACACAAAAACTAAGCCATCAATGGCACAAGAAGGCATCTCTGAAACAGCAATCCAATGCTGCCATCTACTGGCCATGCGTGTTGAACACCTCACAAAAACTAAGCTAATTTAGCAGCTGATTTTCATTAGCCTTCTTAGAGTAGGTTCCAGAATACCTGGCCATCTTCAATACAAACGAGAATTCACACAAGATAACCACCAACATAAAGCAGCCTGGATGTTGGATATACAATATATTTATTTAATATATATTGAAGGAATCAATAAAGATTCATAGCAACCAGGCTTAGCTCTATGGATCAACCAATGGCTCTCCTTTTCTTATACCTGGCCCATTTCTCCTACTTAGGGTACCCTTGGATATTTGCACCACAATCTCTGTCCTTTACTCATGAGACTTTAAGCCTCCCAAGGGCAGGGACTGTTTCCCTTATTTACCATTTCCCCCAGGATCCAGCCCAGTGCTTTAAACAATGTTAATAAAAGATGGCAAGTGACAGCAAAGTACCAAGAAATTCTGTCAAACACTGATGGAGGACCACCTTTTATTGGTGGAGCATTTTATGGTATACCAAGCATTTTTACTTGCTGTAACCAGTTACCTGCTCAAGAACCTGTTGGCCATTATTTACACCACTTTATAGATAAGAACACTAAGGTTCAAAAGTGTAATGAGGTCCTAAGTCACCATTAAACGTAACTCTAGGCCAGGCGCGGTGGCTCACGCCTGTAGTCTCAGCACTTTGAGAGGGCAAGGCAGGTGGATCACCTGAGGTCAGTAGACCAGCCTGGCCAACAACCCTGTCTCTACTAAAAATACAAAAAAATTAGCTGGGCGTGGTGGCAGCCCTGTAATCCCAGCTACTCAGTAGGCTGAGGCATGAGAATCGCTTGAACCTGGAAGGCAGAGGTTGCAGTGAGCCAAGATTGCACCACTACACTCCAGCCTGGGTGACAGAGCAAGATTGTCTCAAAAAGAAAAAAAGTAACTCTTTCTAAATTTTTGTGAAACTGTGGTGTGCGCACCCATCAGCTAGAAAATCAAAACTCAAACAATGTGACACGTCCCCTGAAGGTCCATCTGGCAAATGAATGCAGCCACCTTCAAATTTTGCATGATGTGGGCTTATATGACATGAATTTCCAGATCCTAGAGACTGGATTCTAAGTGCCAATTTAGGCAGAAGGATCGCTTGAGCCCAGGAACTCGAGACCCGCCTGGGCAATGTAGTGAGACCCCATCTCTTATATTAAATTTAAAATAAAAATAAAAATAAACTAAGTGCCAAGTTAAGAAGGTATTACTTTCTGGCAGGAGTCAAATATTTTAGTTAGTGACCGACCAGTCTCCAAGTCTGTTATTGAGTGCCACTGACTGAATATGACAGGCCTGCCTCGAGTACTGAGCCTCATAGCTAAAGCCTCAGCTCTCTCCAGGAAGTTCGGCCTGCGGTTCCGCAGAGGCAAGAAAGTCTTAAAGCAAGGACTCAAGTTAGGCTGCCTGAATCCAAATCCTGGCTCCACTGTTTACTAATAGGATCCTGAATAACTTATTTACCTCTCTGCTTCTTCATTATCTTCTTCATATAGGTAAGTGTAATCTATTTTATTTGGTTACTGTGAGGATTAATTTAGTTAAACAAGAGGTACTTGGCACATCCTAAGTGATTAGCTAAATGTTAGCTATTCTGTTTCATTCTGTAAAACTCACTTTTTTCCTAGGCATAAAGAGAAGGCTATTATTCAGCTGGGCGTGGTGGCTCACGCCTGTAATCCCAGCACTTTGGGAGGCCAAGGTGGGTGGATCACTTGAGGTCAGGAGTTTGAGACCAGCCTGACCAACATGGTGAAACCACGTCTCTATTAAAAATACAAAAATTAGCTGGATGTGGTGGTGGGTGCCTGTAATCTCAGCTACTCGGGAGGCTGAGACAGGAGAATTGCTTGAACCTGGGAGGAGGTTGCAGTGAGCCGAGATCACGCCACTGCACTCCAGCCTGGGCGACAGAGCAAGACTCAGTCTCAAAACAAAACAAAACAAAACAAAAAGAGAAGGCTATTATTAACATTCGAGATAATGTGCCAGACTGCTTCCATGTATTTTCATTATTCTGTCCCAAATCTGGTGAAGTGGGTATCTGCACAGCTTTCTCTAGATTGAACAACTAGTAAGGGGGCTGGCCCTGGAGAAAGTTACCTGCACCTTGGACTGCTGCTCGTCAGCATCTCCAGCTGTGCTGATACTGCCTCAGGGCAACAGCGATGCAGCTGTCCTGCCTAGCCCCAGGCGCACACAGCAGCCCATTCTTCAGGCCAGAAAGAAACAGAGGTCGAGTTGCACCTCCTCCATCTGTCGACGTCACTGTCGTCACAGCACACACACACTGCCACAGCACAGAGTGTACAAAGCAGTGCCACGACCCGCTTGGCATTACCAGAGATATCAAGTGAAGGTCAGAACTCTCAACCTAACGTGTCTAAAAATACAAGCACCTAGACTGAGTGTGACAATCCAAACAACCTCTCTTTGCCAGGTGGCAGTCACAGACCAGACAAGAAAGCTGAAGCGTCATCCAGACAAGACTGAACCATACCTTCAGCCAGGACAGACTCATATGGAAAAGCTCTCTAAAGAGAAGGGAATCCCCTCCATGATAAATGCTTAGTTTAACATGTTCGACTGGTGCTCAATTGTCTATTGGCTGACAAATCATTTCCACAAGCTGGGCTTTTCTAGCACAATCCTCTGAAATAAAAATGTGAAAAAGCAAAACCTAAAAATCTGGTGATCTCCCATCACTAACATTTCTGGGACACTTGGAAAAATGACGTGTTTTTACAGTGTGAGTGGAAATATGAAACTATAAGGCGCCTTCTGCTGACTGTACAGAGTCCTCTCTAGATCAGGGATCTACCGACTGTGACCCATGAGCTAACTCTGGCAGCATCCTGTCTTTGTGCTGCCTGCAAGCTAAGAAAGGCTTTTATATTTTTAAATGGTAGGGGGAGGGGGGGAACCTTAAGAACAGTAATATTTCATGACATGTGAAAATGATATGAAATTCAAATTTTAATGTTCATAAATAGGCCAGGCGCGTTGGCTCAAGCCTGTAATCCCAGCACTTTGGGAGGCCGAGGCGGGCGGATCACGAGGTCAGGAGATCGAGATCATCCTGGCTAACACAGTGAAATGCTGTCTCTACTAAAAATACAAAAATTAGCCGGGCTTAGTGGTGGGCGCCTGTAGTCCCAGCTACTCGGGAGGCTGAGGCAGGAGAATGGAGTGAACCCGGGAGGCGGAGCTTGCAGTGAGCCAAGATTGCGCCACTGCACTCCAGCCTGGGCGACAGAGCCAGACTCGGTCTCAAAAAAAAAAGTCCATAAATAAAGTTTACATATTGTCTATAGCTGCTTTCACACTACAACAGCAGAGTTGAGTAGCTGCGACAGATATATGGCCCAGAAAGCCTAAAATATTTACTAGCTGGCTCTTTATGGAAAAAGTTTGCCAACCTCTGCTCTAGATATATTAAAATGAGCCTTTAGCCAGGCATGGTGGCATGCACCTGTGGTCCCAGCTACTTGGGAGGCTGGGGCAGGAGGATTGCGTGAGCCCAGGAGGCTGAGCCTGCAGTGAGCTGGCTCTGCGCCACTGCACTCCAGTCTGGGTGACAGAGGAAGACCCTGTCTCAAAAAAAAAAAGAGGCCGGGCGCGGTGGCTCACGCCTGTAATCCCAGCACTTTGGGAGGCCGAGGCGGGCGGATCACGAGGTCAGGAGATCGAGACCATCCTGGCTAACACGGTGAAACCCCGTCACTACTAAAAAAAAAATACAAAAAATTAGCCGGGCGTGGTAGCGGGCGCCTGTAGTCCCAGCTACTCGGGAGGCTGAGGCAGGAGAATGGCGTGAACCCGGGAGGCGAAGCTTGCAGTGAGCCGAGATCGCGCCACTGCACTCCAGCCTGGGCGACAGAGCGAGACTCCGTCTCAAAAAAAAAAAAAAAAAAAAAAAAAAAAAAAGAAAAAAAAAAGGCCAGGGATGGTGGCTCACACCTGTAATTCCAACACTTTGGGAGGCTGAGGCGAGCAGATCACCTGAGGTCAGGAATTCAAGACCAGCCTGGCCAACATGGCAAAAACCCCATCTCTACTAAAAATACAAAAATTAGTTGGGTGTGACGGTGGGCACCTGTAATCCCAGATACTTGGGAGGCTGAGGCAGGAGAATAACTTGAACCCAGCAGGTGGAGTTTGCAGTGAGCCGAGATCGTGCCACTGCACTCCAACCTGGGTGACAAGAGTGAAACTCTGTCTCAAAAAAAAAAAAAAGAAGTATGAAAAATTTTTAAATAATGAGCCAAACATGGTGACACATACCTATAGTCTCAGCTACTCGGGAGGCTGAGGCAGGAAGATCCCTTAAACCCAGGGGTTTGAGTTCAGCCTGGGCTATATAAAGAGACCCCCATCCCTAAAAGAATTGGCCAGGGGCGGTGGCTCATGCCTGTAATCCCAGCACTTTGGGAGGCTGGGATGGGTGGATCACCAGAGGTCAGGAGTTCGAGACCAGCCTGACTAACATGGTGAAACCCCGTCTCTACCAAAAACACAAAATTAGCTGGGCGTGGTAGCGCATGCCTGTAATCCCTGCTACTTGGGAGGCTAAGGCAGGAGAATCACTTGAACCCAGGAGGCAGAGGTTGCAGTCAGCAGAGATTGCGCCACTGCACTCCAGCCTGGGTGACAGAGCAAGACTCATCTAAAAAAATAAATAAAAAATAAAATTGTATAGTCCATTTGGAAGGCAGCTATGCTCACCACTAGTCTATTTGTATATATATCATAAAACCAATAAAAGATGTTTAGTCACTTAAAAAGGAGGGGAAACAATTTTCATATACAAATTCCCAGTGCATTGCTTGAATAGTTAAGGCACATATTAAAAAAAGAATATGTTGCATATCATTGGGCAGGTTGGTTCTAGGCCAAGACAGCAAAGTAGAAAATACATTTACTTTCTCTCCTTCCTAAGATCTTGAAGAAATAAAGTGCCTATATTTAAATTTTTTTTTTTTTTTTGAGACGGAGTCTCGCTCTGTTGCCTAGTCTGGAGTGCAATGGCGCCATCTCGGCTCACTGAAACCTCTGCCTCCCAGGTTCAAGCAATTCTCCTCCCTCAGCTTTCTGAGTCGCTGATGGGATTACAGGCACCCGCCACCACGCATGGCTAATTTTTGTATTTTTAGTAGAGACAGGGTTTCACTATGCTGGCCAGGTTGGTCTGGAACTCCCAATCTGCCCGCCTTGGCCTCCCAAAGTGCTGGGATTACAGGCGTGAGCCACCGCGCCTGGCCTCTTTAAAATTTTTTAAAGAATGCATCAATAACATTGGAAAACAAGAAGGGATGCATGACATCAATGGAGCAAATATTTGGAGGAATTCCAAGAAGACAGAAACAAGTTTGAATTAACAGAGAAACCAGAAGGAAAGGGCAGTACAAGTTACCAAAGGTAAATGTGGTTTTCCCAAGAGCACCTTGAAGAAACTCCAAGCTGAATCAAGAAATAGAAAGGGCAGGAGAAGCTGAGGGGGTAACTGTTAGGGCAATTCGTTCAAGAATGAAAGTGAACGGTGGCACTAGTTACATGTGTCCCCTCTCTCACAGACAAAGCCGGGAAGGGTGGCTTTTGGTTGCTCCATAGAACCAAAGAATACCCCAAAGAAAATGGGTGATAGCCTTAGAATGGCTTGCAAAGGTGAATGGACCTGAAAGAGAAGCAGACCAGATCAGGAGCTAACTCTGAAACTCAAGGATGGTTTTAAAAAGCGGGGAAGGGGTTGGACTGAAGAATATAGAAGGAAACCCTCCTTTCTTTGACAAAGGCGGTAGTTACCAGCCTGCTCCCTCTCACGCATTCAACAAGGAAGCCTGGCTGCCCGTTCTCCAGATTACCTTCCCACTCAGAACATGCAAAACTGGCTGGGCGCGGTGGCTCACACCTGTAATGCCAGTATTCTGGGATGCCGGGGTGGGCCGATCACTTGAGCTCAGCAGTTTGGGACCAGCCTGGCCAACACGGGGAAAACCTGTCTCTACTAAAAATACAGTAACTGTTGTATTACTGGGCCAGGCATGATGGTGCATGCCTGTGGTCCCAGCTACTTGGGAGGCTGAGGTGGGAGGAGTGCTTGAACCAGGTTGATGGAGGCTGCAGTGAGCTGAGATCACGCCACAGCACTCCAGCCTGAGTGACAGAGCGAGACCCCATCTCAAAAAACAAACAAACAAATAAAACAACATGCAAAACTCCCTTCCTCTCCAGGAAAGAGGCCTAAAGGAGAAACAGGCACACACACATCTTGATATATTTAAAGTACGAGAGACATTATAGACACAAAACAGGTTTCTATGAAAAAAGGAGCAATTAAACAACTAGAAATGTCTAGGAATTTAAAATGACTGCAGAACAAAAATTTTCAGAAAATCTCATGCAACAGAGAAGAGATAAAAACACTAAAATATGAATGGAGGCCTGGCTAGGTGCCTCATGCTTGTAATCCAGTACTTTGGGAGGCAGAAGCAGATGGACTGCTTGAGCCCAGGAGTTTGAGACCAGTCTGAGCTGAGACCCGTGTCTCTACAAAAAAATAAAAGTAGGTAGGCATGGTGGAGCACACCTATAGTCCCAGCTACTTCAGAGGCTGAAGTGGGAGGATCACTTCAGCCCAGGAGTTGGAGGTTACAGTGAGCTATGATCACACCAGTGCACTCCAGCCTGGGTGACAAAGTGGAGACTCTGTCTCTAAAATAATTTAAAAAAAAAAAAAAAAAAAAAGGATGAATAGACACGGAGGATAGATCCATATGGCCAACAATCTAACAGGAGTTCAAGAACATGAGAACAAGAGACAATACAGTAGACAACCGATACAAACTTTTAATGTGCTAAGGCATGTCTTTAGATTGGATGGGCGCATCAGATGCTGAGACATTCAACCTGATGGATCTTTTGAATACCAAAGATAAGGAAATCTTGTAAGCTTCTACAGATAATCAATACTCACAATGGTCTTTAAAAGTTCAGAGGCAAGGCCGGGCATGGTGCCTGTAATCCCAGCACTTTGAGAGGCCGAGGCGGGTGTATCACCTGAGGTCAGGAGTTCGAGAACAGCCTGACCAACATGGCAAAACCCCGTCTCTACTAAAAATACAAAAAATTAGCAGGGCATGGTGGCAGGGGCCTGTAATCCCCAGCTACTCGGGAGGCTGAGGCAGGAGAATCGCTTGAACCCGGGAGACGGAGGTTGCAGTGAGCTGACATCGCGCCATCGTACTCCAGCTTGAGGAACAGAGCAAGACTCCATCTCAAAAAAATAAAATATTAAACTAATTCTAGAACTAAGTCTCAGAGAGTCTATTTGACCTACAAGATTTGAAAGATAAACATTTTCCTTCAGCAGACCTTCAATGATAATTAGCATCCATAAAAGCAAAACACACAAGAGGAAATAGAAAAGTATTATATCCCAGGTATTATTAGAATCTGCAGTGTAACTTACTTTGCACCCTGTACTAGACAAGATATTTGCAGTCACAAGCATATTTGCAGATCGGCAAACAGAGCTGTTTAAGTACTGGAACCTCAGAGTTGGAGGAAAGATAGAAAAGGGAAAGGAAGACAGCTAGAAAGGATGCATCAAGACCAAGGAATTTCCCAGATATCCTTCCGGAACAATTCTTATTGTCACTTTGGATGCATCATAACTTCTTTTTTTTTTTTGAGATGGAGTCTTGCTGTGTTGCCCAGGCTGTAGTACAGTGGTACGATCTCAGCTAGCTGCAACCTCCACCTCCCTGGTTCAAGCAATTCTCCTGCCTCAGCCTCCCGAATAGCTGGGATTACAGGCACACACCACCAACACCCGGCTAATTTTTACATTTTTCATAAAGATGGGGTTTTTGCCATGCTGCCCAGGCTGGTCTCGAACTCCTAACCTCAAGTGATTCCCCCCACCTCCTTGGCCTCCCAAAGTGCTGGGATTACAGGCATGAGCCACGGTACCCGGGCAGCATCGTAACTTCTAAGCACTTATTTTCATGGACTTGCCAAGAGCTCAAGAGCAGCCTGGGCAACACAGTGAGACCCTGTCTCTACAATAAATAAAATAAATATTTTCCTTTCTGCACAACTCTCCACAATCCAACAGTGGTCTCTAACTTTTGGACAGGAGAATCACATCACTGAGAGACTTAGAATAGGCTTCTAAGCATTTAGTAAAACGAGCCTCCTCACAGGTGTCCGCCTGTGTTGTCAATATGTGGCTGTTGTCTACCCGGAGCCTATGTCAGAATCAGCAGATGCTCAGGCCCCACTTGGAGATATTAAAATCCAGAAGATCTGAATGGGACCCACGCATTTTTTTATATACTGGAAGGAGAAAAAAATTGTTATAAGGACATTCAAATTGGATGGTACCAATTTTGTTTAGCCTTCTTTCCCCTGGGCACTGTTGCCCACATACCTGACACTGAATTCTTGCTAAGTATTAATATATGATTCAAGTGTTGCTTTGAGGCCACATAGATACAGAGGACAGCTAAGGTTTTCACTTGAGGTCTCACTCCCTCCGTGGGAAGGCTGATTTTCTCCCATTCTAAGAATAACAATAAATAAAAAGTATCTTAGCTGCTTTCCGTGGAAGTCCAAACAGGTTTACTATGAGGCTAAACGCCCAGGCACACTGTCCTTCAAATTTCTAATTATCTACTGAAGTATAACCACCACTTAAGTGGCTATCAAAGCCCTATAAACTCTAATTAGTGGCCGGGCGTGGTGGCTCACACCTGTAATCCCAGCACTCTGGGAGGCCAAGGCGGGTGTATCACCTGAGGTCAGGAGTTCGAGAGGAGCCTGACCAACATGGTGAAACCCTGTCTCTACTAAATACAAAAAAATTAGCCGGGCATGGTGGCGCATGCCTGTAGTCCCAGCTACTTGGGAGGCTGAGGCAGGAGAATTGCTTGAACCCGGGAGGCACAGGTTGCAGTGAGCCAAGATTGCGCCACTGCACTCCAGCCTGGGCAACAAGAGCAAAACTGTCTAAAAAAAAAAAAAACCAGAAAAACTGTAATTAGTCACCAGTGACTCCTGACAGCAAATACAGACGCTGTATCTCCCTTCCTAACTCCAAGAAGCCAGAACACAATTACCTCACTTTTCTTTTAGTAAACATCATAGAAACCTCATTTTACTCTAAGTTGTGACTTAGAGTGACTACATGGATACACTCCCATTACAACCTCAGTCTCAAGTTTCCTCTCACTGAACTTTCATTAATATGCAAATTTCTTCCCTTTTTTTTTTCTTTGAGAGTAGCTGGGATTACAGGTGCGTGCCACCACGCCCAGCTCATTTTGTATTTTTAGTAGAAATGGGGTTTCTCCATGTTGGTCAGGCTGGTCTCGAACTCCCGACCTCAGGTGATCCGCCTGCCTTGGCCTCCCAAAGTGCTGGGATTACAGGCTTGAGCCACTGTGCCCGGCCCTGGAATTTCTTCCCTTTCTTAAAAGCTGCTTTTGGCGGGGCGTGATGGCTCATGCCTGTAATCTCAGCACTTTTGGATGGCTGAGGCGGGAGGATTGCTTGAGCCCAGGATTTCGAGACCAGCCTGGGCAACACGGCAAAACCCGTCTCGACAAAATATACAATTTTTTAAAGCTGCTTTTTTCGGGGGTCAATGTTCTTTCTCAGGGGTCTCTTGAACTGCCTTAGGCCCCAAGCTCAAAGATCCTTTTTTTTTTTTTTTTTTTGAGACAGAGTATTGCTCCTACTGTCGCCCAGGCTGGAGTGCAATGGCGCAATCTCGGCTCACTGATACCTCCGCCTCCTGGGTTCAAGTGATTCTCCTGCCTCAGTTTCCGAAGCAGCTGGGATGTACAGGTGTGCACCACCACACTTGGCTATTTTTTTTCTAATGTAAGTAGAGACAGGGTTTCACCATGTTGCCCAGGCTGGTCTTGAATGCCTCAGTTCAAGTGATCCGCACCTCGGCCTCCCAAAGTGCTGGGATTACAGGCGTGAACCACTGTGCCCGGCCAGACCAAAGGTCTTAAGGCTCTTCCAGAATCCTCTCCAGAGCTTCTCAAGCTTTCCAGGAATAAGTACCTTTGGGGAAAGGAGGGGCAGAGCTCATAAATACTCCCTAATCTTTTTGGAAGAATCCCCTGAGGCACTTGTTAAATATGCACTCCACCGGGCTTCTCCACAGGAAACTGATCAAGCAGAGGGCTGAAAGGCCAGAAATCTGCATTTTAACAACTGTCCCAAATGATTCTGCCTCTACCCCTTTTCCTAAGATGCTTGCCACAGCTCCTGCATGCGAGCGCCACCTTCTTCCAGGCATTGTGTGTGTGGTCTTCTCTGCCTGCCCCCACCACCCCGCAAACTGTCCCCTTCCAAAACACCCTCCTTTTTCACCTATTAGAAGCAAAGCATTTCTTGACAAATTCAGCCACACTGATTTCTTTCTTCTCAACTCCCACTGCAATTAGTCATGTCACCTTTTACATGTACTATTCAATAAAGCTTGTGGATAAATTGCTATCAATTGATCTTATTCATTTGTTCTAGGTAAAGTCTAGTGTTGAGACAGCAAGCAAGGTTAAATGATTTACAAATGTTAAGTGTGTGGAATGTGAATCTGGAGCCATGGTTATTAACCCCAAAGAACCCCAGTTCACCATGTTTAAACTGTTGCCATTGAATGCTAACAGAAAAATCATACATTAGTTTTCCCACAAGGAAAGCAATTTATTCCATAGCAGCTTGATAATGACAAGCTTTCCCGTTTCTTCTCTCTCATAAGCAGTTTACTCACATAGTTAAAGGACATATTAAATAAAGCTGCCTTCTCAAATGAGCTGGTGGCATTTGCCTATAAATTGTACCATGAAAAAAAGCAAATGTTCTAATGGTAGAGAACAGTAGTTCAGCCAGCTCTTCATTCTCTGAGGAGGAGGGATGTGGAGGATAGCATTTATAAATCCACAGATGACTTCCAACTGCGTTTCATCCAGTACAGTAACTGTGGCAACTGCTACTTCTTAGGGGGGCTGCTATCCTTGAGAAAAGAAAGCCAAACACCGAGATCATCCCTAGGGTCACCTTTTAATTCTAACAACCTGGAATCTGATAACTCCAAAGGGACTGTACTTATCTTCCCAATAACTACCAATTGCCAAGGGGCATAAGTTATGCAGGAACTGATTAGCAAATGTGGACAGCTGTCGGGACTCACTACTCCCCACCACAAGGCTCAGGAGTGGAGAGGAGCTTTTGGCCCCTTCAATGTCTCTCTCACATATGGGTGCCAGATGTCCAAATTTGAGGGCATAGAAGAACAATCTGGAGTTATTCTTTTTGTCATTTCATTTGGTTATGTGGAATCCAGGGCCCATCATGAATGACTCAGACTTAATAGGTCTACAGTAGGATCCAAGAATCTGCATTTTAAAAAAGCACTTCATAGGCTGGGCGCAGTGGCTCACACCTGTAATCCCAGCACTTTGGAAGGCCAAAGCAGGTGGATCACCAGAGCTGGGGAGTTTGAGACGAGCCCGGGCAACACGTTGAAATCCTGTCTCTACTAAATACAAAAATTAGCCCGGCACAGTGGCGTGTGCCTGTAGTCACAGCTGCTCAGGAGGCTGAGACAGGAGAACTGCTTGAGCCTGGGAGGTGGAGGTTGCAGTGAGCAGAGGTGGCGCCACTACACTCCATCCTGGGCAACAGTGCGAGAGAACCTTGTCTCAAAAAAAATAAAAATAAAAATTAAAATTAAAAAGCACTTAGTGCTGGGTCTGAGGCTCTTTGGAAAACAATGTCCATTTTTGCAAAGTGCCTCTTCTCTCACCCTTCCTCATCTGTGTGTGTCTCATGCCTTTCTGCATTTACTCCTGCTTTTTCCAAACAAAACGCTTTATAGTAATCTCTTCCAATCCTAACCATGCTTCAAGAGCCAGCTGAAATGCCACCCATTTCTAGAAGCCCAAAAGGGACTTCCTGCTTTCCTGCACCCTTGTGCCATTTCCAAGTCAAGAGAATAAAAGGTGTTTCATTTCATTAAACAGCCATTTCATTGTGCAAATCTCATCTCTTACTGGGCAGTAAACTCCTTAGGGACTGACTAAAGCTCATGTTTTTAACTCCCATAATAAAGCACCTACATTGTGTGAGACATTCTGTAAAGATCTGGAATGAGTGAACAAGCAATGAATGAATCAATGCAGGCATGTTTCTTCCAACAAGCTGCTGAAGCTAAAAATGCATGAACAGGAAAATTGTCTAGACTTTATAGTAACTGCCTACAAAAGTTTAAGTACCATAAAGTCCTTCAATTTCCTTATCTGTAAAACTAGGGGGTTTCAGGGGATTTCTTAAAAGAAGTTCATTAAACACTTTCTTGGGTCAAAAGCCCAACATTCCAATCTGACCTGATATTATTACTCAGATAACAGTAATTACTCAGATAACACAGCCATCTATGTTTTACACAAGCTAACAGTATTCCCATGAGGAGGTACCTACTAACCCTGCCTCTGAGACTTTGAGGGAATTTAAGATATAAGCTGGTACAGAAGACATCACCTGGTTTTCTTTTACTTTTCCTACCTCAAACCTCTAACAATGTTGTTCTTAAAATTTCCAGCAAGAAAAAAGTTATCAGGCAATATACTCATTCTGGCAGTTATTTCACAATGTACCACATTCCTACGAAATTGGGGGTGGGGGTGGGGAATCTAACTGTCAAGTTCACTCTAAGGAACAATATAGTTCAGAATCTCCAGCAACCAATTCAACATCCTAATTTTAAAATGACTAAGTTGGGCATGGTGGCTTCCACCTGCAAATCTCAACTGCTCCAGAGTCTGAGGATAACTCGAGGCCAGGAGTTTGATACTAGATTGGGAAATACCTAAATATCTGCCAACAATGCGAATAGTTTAAAGTCTTGGCTTCAATCACATTCCAGATGACCATTTTTAAAATATATACATTTTTTAAAATTTTTATTAATTTTGTTTTGAGACGGAGTTTTACTCTTGTCACCCAGGCTGGAGTGCAATGGTGCGATCTCGGCTCACTGCAACACTCCGCCTCCCAGGTTCAAGTGATTCTCCTGCCTCAGCCTCCAGAGTAGCTGGGATTACAGGCGAGTGCCACCACGCCCAAGCCCATTGGCCAGGATGGTCACGAACTCCTGACCTCGGGTGATCTACCCGCCTCCGCCTCCCACAGTGCTGGATTACAGGCGTGAGCCACCGCGCCCGGCCTATTTTTTTAAATTTTATAGGCCGGGGGGGCGGTGGCTCACGCCTGTAATCCCAGCACTTTGGGAGGCCAAAGCGGGAGGTTCACCTGAGCTAGGGAGTTCGAGGCCAGCCTGACCAACATGGAGAAACCCCATCTCTACTAAAAATACAAAAATCAGCCTGGCGCGGTGGCGCATGCCTGTAATCCCAGCTTCTCGGGAGGTTGAGGCAGGAGAATCGCTTGAACCCGGGAGGCAGAGGTTGCGGTGAGCCGAGATCGCGCCATTGCACTCCAGCCTGGGAAATAAGAGCAAAACTCCGTCTCAAAAAAAAAAAAAAAAAAAGTTATGTATTGCCTAGTTTTGAAAGAAAAAATTTATCAATTTTTAAAGTATAATTAATTTGTATGTAATTTGTGGCCATGGTAATGTGTGCCCAGGCAGAAACAGAGGTAGCAAAAAAGGAAAACTCAGGGTAGTTATTATGATGTATGAAAACAGCTCTTGGTGAAACTAAGGCCTCACTTTTACAAGATCTTAGATACACAGGACAAAAAATGATGTTAACTATAAAGAGTGGAAGCCTCCAAAAAAAAAAAATCCAAAGAAACGTAAAATGGCCGAGCGCGGTGGCTCACGCCTGTGATCCCAGCACTCTGGGAGGCTGAGGCGGGTGGATCACGAGGTCAGGAGTTCAAGACCAGCCTGGCCAAAATGGTGAAACCCCCGTCTCTACTAAATATACAAAAGTTAGCTAGGCGTGGTGACTGGCGCCTGTAATCCCAGCTACTCGGGAGGCTGAGGCAGGAGAATCGCTTGAACCCGGGAGCGGGAGGTTGCGGTAAGCCGATATCGTGCCACTGGACTCCAGCCTGGGTGACACAGTGAGACTCCATCTCAAAAAAAAAAAAAAAAAAAAAAAAAAAAAACAACGTAAAACGAATCAATGTGTTATTATCACGACTTAAAAAAAAAACTTAATATCTAGACCATGAAAGCTATATAAGCAAATAAGCATCATTTAGATTTTTTTTTCCATAAAAATTTCCGTTAAGTCGTGCAATAAAAAATGTAACCAACATAGTAACTCGCGGCCTCGGAAGGGGGAAATTTAACGGTCAAGAACAAGAAATTCTGAAAGCATGGCCTCTAAGGGTCAAGCGGGAACCTGAATACAGTCTCCCAGTTCTTACTAGCTTTGATGCAAGCCCCAGGCAAGTCGGGGAACAGGGAAAGAGGAAAAAGGGAACGCAGAAGGTTGCTCCGGTAAAGGACCCACTTTCAGGCCAGACTCCACGACCGGCAGCCCCGGGCTTCTCATTCATTCCGCGCGGTCTCCAGGTGGCGGCCGCGCGTTGGCGGCCGTGGCGTTCTCCGCCCGGAACTGGGGTGCACTCACCTGTTCGGGAACACGACCTCGCGGCGCCCGAGGCCGCCGAGGCCGCCGCCAGCAGCCGGGGGGATGCGGGCCTGGGAACAGCAGCCGGCGGGGACAACGGGCGGCGCAGCCCTGGGGCGGGCAGGCGGCGCAGGCCGGGCGCGTCCCTCTGCAGCAGGGCCGAGCAGAGCCGCCGCGGACTATGAAACATGCCGGGCGCCGCCGCCACCACGGCCCCTCGCGCGCCCGAGGAGCGGAGCCCGGCTGGGGCCGAGGGCACCGAGTCGAGCCGACTGTCCGGGCAGTGTGGGCGGATGCTCCCAGGCTCCTTCTCGCGCGGCGCAGGTTCTGGGGAAATCCCGGGCAGCAGAGCCGGAGAGGGAGGTGCAACACCGCTGCGTCGGCACCGTCTGCTGTGAGACCTGGCGAGACCTGCAGGGCGCCCGGCGAGCGCTGCGCGCTGACAAAGCGGGCGCTACCAAGCGGGAGCTGGAGGGGAATCCGCGGGACCCGGCCACTGCGCGGCCACGCCAGGCTCCCTCGACCCGGCGTAATCCTGTTTTAAAAGGAAGCGGGGCTTAGGCTGATTTATAGATAGAATCCGCAGGCGGTCTAAAATAAGAGGTATCCGTTGGAGCTGTTCTGAAGAAAAAAGCGTCCCCTTCCGCTGGCCAGCATGGAAGCGCCCACAGGCTGGGAATCCCGAGACAGTTCCAGGGCTGTGGCCCAGGGGACACGTGTCTGTCAGAGTGGCAGACGGCCTACGTGTGTGCCTGCGCGGGTCTGTGTGGATACAGCAAAAGGCGTCCGCCTCCGACCCCCTCGGCAGTGTGTGATGCGTTAAACGATATTAAGCACAATAAAGCACCGCCTGTGGGCGAGGCGACGATGATTAAAACAGCGTTCTTTTCCTCAAAAGTGTTATACTTAGGCAAAGGGAGCAGAAGGTGGCAAGGGAAGTCAGACCAGAAAGCTCTACAAGGTAGAATGAGATTATTGCCACAAGATGCCAAAGATTGGCTATAGAGATGACAACAGGCCCGGGCTCTCTAGAAGGTTCATTAGAAGGATTGGCATTTGAGTTGGCCTATGACGTGGAGGTCTAGAATTTACCCACGTGAAACTTTGGAGGGGGTGGTGGTGAGTTATAAATGAAAAAAGTAAATAAGGGTGTATTTGGGGAAACAACTCTTAGTCATGTAAGATGGAAGCTAAGGAGTAAGAGGACAGATGCGTGGATAGGTTGTAGTGTGGAAGGAAGGGGATTATAGTAGGCTTAATTCGGTGGATAGCTGCGAGCCGTTGACGTTTTGTAAGCTGAGCAAAGACATGGTCAGGGCTGTGCTTTAATTGGAAATCACATGTCTCTGGTTCATGAAAAGGCAGAAAGGAAATCAGCTGAGATAACAGATACTGTAGACCCGCACCAGGTTACTGTTACTGGAAAAGAAAGGATGGAAGAAACATCTCAGACAGGCTGGGCAGGAAATGATGACTAATCAGGAATAGAAATGGGATGAGGGGGAGGGAAAACCCAAGACTGGATTTTTCTCTGAATGATTCATGAGTTAGAAATGTATTCTATTGGTTTTCCCATGATTTTGCTGATTCCCCTGTGTTGTGGAATTGCAAGCTTTTCATCACAAGAATATTCTAAATATTTTTCAGACCTAGGTTACATATCTAACACCTGTGGATAGAGGGTGTGGACAGATCAGCTGGCACAAGTTGATTACAACTTCTGGCAGACAAGCTCCTTGGAAGTCATTAAAGCCTCAGTTTCAGTTTCCTTATCTATAAAACATAGAATCATACCTTAGTCATTAGGTGAAATAAAAAATGATAATAAGCTACTCTGGGCACACTGTCTATCGAGTAGTCCTGCTCCACAAGGAGCAGTACTTGTAAAAAGAATTTTTTTAAAAAGGTGATAATAAAATTAGCCTATGAAAAGTGTTTTGCAAATATAGCAAAATGTTGATTTTGAATCTAGGTAGTGGGTATATATGGGTATAGGGACCATGGGAAAAATGTTCCCTTTGCCCTCTGAAGTTTGCTGAAAAATCAACTCACAAAAGGCAGATTAATGGGAGAAAAGGCATATGCATTTATTAACATGTACATGGGGAGAATCACAGAGTGATTACACACCCCCAACGGGGTTCAGAAGCTTGTCTACCATCCTGGCCAACAGACTTGGGGAGAGGGGAGCAGAGGCATTCTGTTGAGGAGATGACTAGGGAAAGTGAATGGATCAGGGCACAGGGATGAACTTGCACATTATCTTGTGAAAGGGTCTGTTCAGGTGGTTACATTTTTGGTCTTACAAGGAGGGGAAGAAAAAACAATTGTTCCTTTTGGTGGGTTCGGATTGTAGCCAGATAAAGGAACTTCAACTTCATCCTGTGCTTTGGGAGAGATGGTGCTGGGCAGTGAGGTCAGAGAGACCTTGAGGCTTCCATTCAGCCGGTCAAAGCCCCATATTTTGGGCTATCAGTTTCTGAGTCCCGACACAAGTGTTCACTTACAATTATTTTTCCCCCATATATTTGGAGATTTTCATAATAAAATGTTGGGGAAAAGTGCTTTGAAAAATGAAAAAATAACTGTTCAAATATAAACTGTCACTATTTAAAGAGATTCAAAGAGCATGCTATCCTGAAAGTGCATCATATTATTTATTTTTTTTTTATTTATTTATTTGAGATGGAGTCTGTCGCTCTGTTGCCCAGGCTGGAGTACAGTGGCGTCATCTTGGCTCCCTGCAACCTCCGCCTCCCGGGTTCCAGCCATTCTCCTGCCTCAGCCTCTGGAGTAGCTCTGACTACAGGCGCACACCACCACGCCTGGCTAATTTTTGTATTTTTTAGTAGAGACAAGGTTTCATCATATTGTCCAGGCTGGTCTCAAACTCCTGACCTCAGGTGATCCCCTCGCCTCAGTCTCCCAAAGTGCTGGGATTACAGGCATGAGCCACCACGCTCGGCCTGAATCATATTTTTTATAATATATTAAACACTAAGCAATCAGAAAGATAGAAATTAAAACTTATTCCCTTGAAAATTTATTCAGTAAACATTTGTTGAATACACATTATGTGCCAGGCTCTATATTAGAGCATACAAAAATAAATTGAACAAAATCTATTGACAGTTTAGGGGGTAAGACATTGTATAAACAAAAATACTTGTAATTATCTGCTAATAAGTACAGAATCACTTATGGACAAAGTATTGTGGGACCAGAGAAGAGGAAATGTTACTGGAAAGGGGTCCCAATCCAGACCCCAAAAGAGGGTTCTTGAATATTACACAAGAAAGAATTCAGGACGAGCTCATAAAGTGAAACCAAATTTATTAGAGAAGTAAAGAAATAAAAGAATGGTTACTCCATAGGCAGAGCAGCACTGAGGGCTGCTTATGGCTTTTTCTTTTTCTTTTTTTTTTTTTTAATTGAGATGAAGTCTCGCTCTGTCACCCAGGCTGGAGTGCAACGGCACGATCTCGGCTCACTGCAACCTCCACCTCCCAGGTTCAAGTGATTCTCCTGCTGAGCCCACAGAGTAGCTGGGATTACAGATGCGTGCCACCTCACCCAGGTAATTTTTTTATTTCTATTTTTAGTAGAGATGGGGTTTCGCCATGTAGGCCAGGCTGGTCTCAAACTCATGATCTCAAGTGATCCACCTGCCTCCCAAAGTGCTGGGATTACAGGCGTGAGCCACTGCGCCCGGCCTTGTTGGCTATTTTTATGGCTATTTCTTGATTACATGCTAACTAGGGAGAGGGTTATTCGTGAATTTTCCAGGAAAGGGGCAAGGATTTCCCAGGACTGAGGATTTCTCTGCCTTTTAGACTATATAGGGTAACTTCTGGATGTTGCTGTGCCATTTATAAACTGTCACGGCACTGGTGGGAGTGTCTTTTATCATGTTAATGCATTATAATTAGCGTACAATAAACAGTGAGAACAACTAGAGGTCACCTTCATCACCATCTTGGTTGTTGTGGGTTTTGGCTGGTTTCTTTTTTTTTTTGAGATGGAGTCTCGCTCTGTCACCCAGGCTGGAGTGCAATGGCACGGTCTCGGCTCACTGTAACCTCCGCCTCCCGGGTTCCAGCAATTCTCCTGCCTCAGCCTCCCGAGTAGTTAGGCCTACAGGCGCATAGTAGTCCTACGCGCCTGGCTAAATTTGTATTTTTTTTTAGTAGAGACTGGGTTTCTCCATGTTGGCCAGGCTGGTCTTGAACTCCTGGCCTCCCGAGTAGTTAGGACTACAGGCGCGTAGTAGTCCAACACACCTGGCTAAATTTGTATTTTTTTTTAGTAGAGACTGGGTTTCTCCATGTTGGCCAGGCTGGTCTTGAACTCCTGGCCTCGTGATCCGTCTGCTGAGCCAATGCGCCCGGCCGGCTGGTTTCTTTTTCACATCCTGTTTCATCCGCTGAGTCTTTATGATCTATATCTTGTGCTGACCTCCTATCTCATCCTGTGACTAGGAATCCCTAACCTCCTGGCAATGCAGCCCAGTAGGTCTCAGCCTCTATTCAACATAGAGTTGCTCTGGCTCCAACACCTCTGACAGAAATAACTAATTGCCTAGAGAAGTCAGGAGAGGCGTTTTGAACAAAGTGACTACCAAGTGGAAAGGTATCACAGAGGATATCCACAGAGAAGAGAACACTAAGGCGAGGAAAGAAGGCGTGTTCCAGGAACAGCAAGTGCTGCAATCTGATAAGGGTTGAGTGCGGGATGTCCATAGGGAGTGGCCGCAGGTGAGGTGGAAGCTGTGGGCAAGAACCCAAGGTGACGGGTTTGAGAGGAGTTTGGACTTTCATCCTAGAGACCCAGTGAAAGGCTAAACAGACAGTTTGCATTTTTGAAGGATCATTGGATCTTTCTGCCAGCAGTGTTGAAAATGGGTAAGGACGGTGAAGATGAGGAAGAGTATATACAGGTTCAGAATCTCTGGAGATGGGGTAGGGTATGTAATGGTTGTTTGTTTATTTATTTATTTATTTATTTTTGAAGACGGAGTTTCACTCTTGTTGCCCTGGCTGGAGTGCAATGGCATGATCTCGGCTCACTGCAACCTCCGCCTCCCCGGTTCAAGCGATTCTCCTGCCTCAGCCTCCCAAGTAGCTGGGACTACAGACGTGCGCCACCACACCCAGCTAATTTTTTGTATTTTTAGTAGGGACGGGGTTTCACCATCTTGGCCAGGCTGGTCTCGAACTCCTGACCTCATGATCCACCCACCTCAGCCTCCCAAAGTGCTGGGATTACAGGCGTGAGCCACCGTGCCCGGCTGGTTGTTTGTTTATTATTTAATTTTTTGAGAGGTCTCACTTTGTAATCTAGGCTGGAGTGCAGTGGTGCGATGATAGTTCACTGTAACCTCAAACCCCTGGGCTCAAACGATTCTCCTGTCTCAGCCTCCCAAGCAGCTGGGACTACAGGCATGCACCATCATGCCCAAGTGATTTTTAAAATTTTGTGTAGAGATGGGGTCTTGCTGTGTTGCCCAGGCTGGTCTCAAACTCCTGGCCTCCAGCGATCATCCCACCTTTGCCTCCCAAAGCACTAGGATTACAGGTGTGAACCACCACGCTGGGCTTGTATGTTTTCTGGTTAACATTACACAGGTTGTTCTAATGCACATCCCTCTTCCTCCCTCGATGCCACCTCCCAGATAAATAAACTGGGGGCAGGATGGTGGAAAGGAGATGGATTTAAGAACTGCAAAGGAGACAGAAACCATAGGGTTGAGTGACATTGAATCTCGGGGCTGAGGCAGGAGATAATGGAATCTAGTGATGACTTTGGTAACTGATGGATAATGGAACCAAATGGGGATAACAAGTGGAGATGCTGCTCTCAGGGGAAGATAGTGAGTTGATATGTGAACATATAATTGTGATGTGTCCATGGAACATACAGGTGGAGTCACTTTGTAAACAATTGAAACTATGGGCCCGGCATGGTAGCTTATGCCTGTAATCCCAGCACTTTGGGAGATGAGGCTCAAGGATTACTTGAGGCCTGGAGTTTGAGACTAGCATGGGCAACATAGTGAGACCCTGTCTCAAAAAAAAAATTAGCCCAGTGTGGTGATGTGTGCCTGTAGCCCCAGCTACTCAGGAGGCTGAGGCAGGAAGATCCTTTGAGCCCAGGAGTTCCAGGCTGCAGTGAGCTACAATCATGCCATTGCACTCCAGCCTGGGTGACAGTGCCAGAACCAGTCTAATAAATAAACAAACAAACCAAACAAACAAACGAACAGACAAATACATAAGTAAAGAAGAATAAACCATTGCCCTAAAGTTCATAGCAGGGTCAGAGCCCAATTCTGTTGGGAGTTCAGTAATTGAAGCCATGACTAATGAGTTGACCCAGAAAAAGGTCTTTTAAGTGAAATAGAAAAAACCTTAGGGATAAAAATCCTATGAAACTTGTACCTTTAAGGAGTTGGCAGGAGGGAAAGAGACTTGAGACTTGGCCGGAGGAGAACAAGGAGTGATTGGTGTCTTGAGAGTACGAAAGGAAAATAAACTTGGGACCCTAGTTCACTCTGCCAAAAGAAAAAAATTAAGCTGAAAGCTAAGTCATGCAAGAAACTGGCTTGCTTTTGTTCCTAGGCAGATAGCTACTGATAAAAGGTTAAATATCTCCACAGGTAGCTACTGTATATTCACCTTATTTTTATTTATTTATTTATTTTATTTTTTTTTTGAGACAGAGTCTTGCTCTGTCACCCAGGCTGGAGTGCAGTGGCACGATCTCGGCTCACTGCAACCTCCACCTCCTAGGTTCAAGTGATTTTCCTGCCTCAGCCTCCCGAGTAGCTGGGATTACAGGAAACTGTCACCACACCTGGGTAATTTTGTATTTTCAGTAGAGATGGGGTTTCTCCATGTTGGTCAGGCTGGTCTCGAACTCCTGACCTCAGGTGATCCACCTGCCTCGGCCTTCCAAAGTGCTGGGATTGCAGGCATGAGCCACCACCCCAGGCCTCATCTTATGTAAAGTGCCCATTTACTGAGTGTGAGATGAATACATAATTGACCATTCCCCTCCCTGCTCCTTTTCTTTTGCAACGTGTAGATTATTGTACCCTCCCTCTGTCCCCTGCAGCCCACATTTCCCCTTTAAATATTGAAGCCTTCAAAATCATCTTTGGAGAAAGGCACAGGCCACCGACTATTTCTTTGATTCTGTTTTTATTTCTTTTGGATGTCCTTAACCTTGGCAAGATAAATTGATTGATAGCTGTCTCAGATACTTTTTGGTTTATAGGAGTAAGGAAACAACTTCTAGAAGGGTGTAACAGTGATGAATTATCCCAAGAGGTCAAGATGGGGACTGAATCCCTTGGATTTTGTCATTTATTTATTTATTGAGACAGAATCCGCTTTGTTGCCCAGGCTGGAGTGCAGAGACCTGATCTCGGCTCACTGCAGTCTCTGCCTCCCAGGCTCAAGTAATTCTCATGCCTCAGCCTCCTGAGTAGCTGATTTTTTTTTGTATTTTTAGTAGAGACAGGGTTTCGCCATGTTGTCTAGGCTGGTCACGAACTCCCAGCTTCAGGTGATCCATCCACCTTGGTATCCCAAAGTGCTGGGATTACAGGTATGAGCCACCATGCCTGGCTGGAAGGCCATTTTTTTTTTTTTTTTGAGACAGAGTTTCGCTCTTGTCGCCCAGGCTGTAGTGCAATGATGCAATCTCGGCTCACCACAACCTCCGCCTCCCAGGTTCAAACAATTGTCCTGCCTCAGCCTCTGAGTAACTGGGATTACAGGGATGTGCCACCACACCCAGCTAATTTTGTATTTTTAGTAGAGAGAGAGTTTCTCCACTTTGGTCAGGCTGGTCTCAAGCTCCTGACTTCAGGTGATCCGCCTGCCTCAGCCTCCCAAAGTGCTGGGCTTGCAGGTGTGAGCCACCACGCCCAGCCCTGAAGGCCATTTCAACCTCAGTATGAAATAGTTCCAGGTAGGGGCCCTGGTGGTGGAAATCAGACTGCATTGGTTAATGAGGTGGGAAGGAAGGACACCAATCAAAGAACAATGAGAGAAAGAACTAGGTAGTTTTCTTTTCTCTTAAGATTGAAGCAACCTTATAATCGTCGGAAGGGTTTGTCCTGCCTGCTGCACAGACAAAACCAATTTACTGGACGGCATTGTAGTAGAGCTTTTACTTGACACAAAGCCAGCCCATGAGGCTCAACTAAAGCTAATACTCAAATCAGTTTCCCTGAAGGCTCAGAGGTTCGGGTTTTTATGGACAATTTGTTGGGTGGGGCTAGGGAATGAGTGCTACTGACTGGTTGAGGATGAGATCATAGGGATGTGGAAAACAAGCCTCCTGCACTGAGTCCAGCTCTTATAGGGCCAAAGGATCAGTTGAGTCATGAGTCATGAGTCCAGGTGGGGTCAGTCTGAAAAAAATCTTTAAAAACCAATCTTAGTTTCCACAATAGTGATGTTATCTATGGAAGTCACAAATCTTGTGATCTCTGGCCACATGATTCCTGGGCAGTAAGAGATTATAGAAACTACTCCTGCATTTTAGCAGAACTCAGGTCCCTCCAATAATCCTATTTTTGTGGACTTCACAACAGTAATCCTAGCATTTTGTGAGGCTGAGGTGGGTGGATCACCTGAGGTCAGGAGTTCAAGACCACCCTGGCCAATATGGTGAAACCCTATCTCTACTACAAATACAAAAATTAGCCGGGAGTGGTGGCATTCACCTGTAATCCCAGCTACTCAAGGAGGCTGAGGCAGGAGAATCACATGAACTCAGGAGGTGGAGGCTGCAGTGAGCCGAGATTGTGCCACTGCACTCCAGCCTGGGCAATGGAGCAAGACTCTATCTCAAAAAAAAAAAAACAAAAAAAAAACCAAAGTCTTGCAAAGGCTGCTTTTGGTCCCTAAGCAAGGAGGGTGTTAGTTTTAGGGCGGGACTGTTATCATCCTTGCTTTCAAGTTAAATTATAAACTAAATTCTTCCCAAGGTTAGCTAGGCCTATGCACAGAAATGACCAAGGACAGCTTGGAGGTCTGAAGCAAGATGGACTCAACTATGTCAGATTTCTCTTATTGTCATAATTTTGCAAAGGCAATTTCAACCTCAAAATATTTATAAGTTGAGGAGAAGGAGCTAATAAACAGAAAAGGTATAGTTATTCTACTAATATTACAATTTTCAGCTTATTGCAGTGAGCTATTATCAGCTACTGCACTCCAGCCTGGGCGACTGAGTGAGATCTTGTCTCAAAAAAAGGAGGAGGATGGGGGGGTGGGGGTACAGGAAAAAATGAAAATTATAAACAGACATTATATGGATTGTTTTTTCTTCTCTTTTAATCTCAGCCCCTGGATTGTGATTTAATAGCTTTATTGACCATACAACTCACCCATTTAGAGTTTACAATTTAATAATGCTTAACATATTGGAAGAGTTCATAAGGACAGTTTTAAAACATTTTCATCACCCTAAAAAGAAACCCTATAGACATTAGGAGCCACTCTTTATTTCTTCCCAAACCCCCATGCCTGGGCAACCATAAATCTACTTTTTGACTCTATATACTTACCTTTTTTTTTTTTTTTTTTTTGAGACGTGGTCTTGCTCTGTTACCAGGCTGGAGTGCAGTGGTACGGTCTTGGCTCACTGCCACCTCCGCCTCCCTGGTTCAGGTGATTCACCCACTTCATATATTGTATGAATATACTATGTGTTTTTTTTTTTTGTTTTTTTTGTTTTTTTTTTCTGACAGAGTCTTGCTCTGTCGCCCAGGCTGGAGTGCAGTGGTGCTATCTCAGCTCACTGCAAGCTCCACCTCCCAGGTTCACGCCATCCTCCTGCCTCAGCCTCCTGAGTAGCTGGGACTACAGGCGCCCATCACCACGCCGGGCTAATTTTTTGTATTTTTAGTAGAGACAGGGTTTCACCATGTTAGCCAGGGTGGTCTCGATTTTCTGACCTCATGATCCACCTGCCTCGGCCTCCCAAAGTGCTGGGATTACAGGCATGATCCACCCCGCCTGGCCACCATGTGGTCTTTATCCATTAATCAGTTGATGAACATCTGAATTATTTCTATTTTTTGGCTATTATGAATAAAGCTGCCATAAACATTTGCATACAATTTTTTTTTTTTTGAGACGGAGCCTTGTTGTGTCACCCAGGCTGGAGTGCAGTGGTGCGGTCTTGGCTCACTGCCACCTCTGCCTCCCTGGCTCAGGTGATTCACCCACTTCAGCCTCCTGAGCAGCTGGAACTACAGGTGCCCGCCACCATGCCTGACTACTTTTTGCATTTTTCGTAGAAATGGGGTTTTACCATGTTGGCCAGGCTGGTCTCAAACTCCTGACCTCAGGTGATCCACCTGCCTCAGCCTCCCAAAGTGCTGGGATTAAAAGCGTGAGCCACCGTGCCTGTCCGCATACAAATTTTTGTGTAGTAATATGTTTTCATTTCCCTTGGGTGTATACAGGAGTGGAATTGCTGGGTCACATAGGAACTTTTTGTTTGGCTTTCTGAGAAACTGTTTTCCAACACAGCTATACCATTTTACATTCCTATCAACAGTATAGGAGGGTTCCCATTTCTCCCCTGCTCACCAGCACTTGTTATTATCAGTCTATTTGTTTATGGTCATCTTAGTTAGTGGATATGAAATGGTATCTCACTGTGCTTTTGATTTGCATTTCTCTAATGACTAGAGATGTCATCTTAAAAAAATGTTTTTCTTGGCCGGGCACAGTGGCTCACGCCTGTAATCCCAGCACTTGGGAGGCCGAGGTGGGCAGATTACGAGGTCAGCAGTTCAAGACCAGCATGGCCAACATGGTGAAACCCCATCTCTACTAAAAATACAAAAATTAGCCGGGCATGGTGACGGGCCCCTGTAATCCCAGCTACTCTGGAGGCTGAGGCAGGAGAATCGCTTGAACCCGGGAGGCGGAGGTTGCAGTGAGCCGAGACCACGCCATCGCACTCCAGCCTGGGCAACAGAGCAAGACTCCGTCTCAAAAAAAAAGAACAGTTTTTCTTTTGTATAGGTGAGGTCTTCCTACATTGACAAAACTGGTCTTGAACTCCTGGCCTGAAGCAATCCTCCTGCCTCGGCCTCCCAAAGTGCTGGGATTACAGGAGTGAGCCACCACGCCCGGCCTTTTTTTGTTTTTTGTTTTTTATTTTAAACTCAGCTCTTGTGATCATGTTTTTTGTTTGTTTGTTTTTTTCTTTGAGACGGAGTTTTGCTCTGTCACCCAGGCTGGAGTGCAGTGGCATGATTTTGCCTCACTGCAACCTTCACCTCCCAGGTTCAAGCAATTCTCCTGCGTCAGCCTCCGGAGTAGCTGGGATTACAGGCGTGCGCCACCATGCCCAGCTAATTTGAGTATTTTTAGTACAGACGGGGTTTCACCATGTTTGCCAGGCTGGTCCCAAACTCCTGACCTCAGGTGATCCACCCGCCTCCGCCTCCCAGAGTGCTGGGATTACAGGCGTGAGCCACCGTGCCCCGGCAGCTGGTAATTATGTTTTTACATGCATTTGTCTTTTCTTTCCAGGTTAAAGCAATGTGTTCCTCATTCCAGCCTTTATCTACCAAGCTGCCTGTCATTAATTCTAAGACTCATGTTTGTTTGTTTTCACATTTTAACATCTTGTAAATTAAAATGGTCTCTTAAATTAAACAAAATTTTAGAATTACATTCATCAAAGGTACAAATTATAGCTAGTCATTTTCTAATTCTTTTTCAAGATCTACTTTTCTTGACCTAATAATGACTAGGAAATTTGTGATTTCCCTGCCCTGTGCTGACCAGCCTAGGCTGTGTTAGTAACAGGCTCATGATAGAACCTGTTCTATGACAGTTCTTTAACTTTCAGGACGTTCTCACAGGTTTTTAACCTAGTGTCTAAATATTCTGTCCTCCAGTGTAGCAAGCGTGGTGGCCCCAGTCTTACTTTTTTGTTTGGTTTAAACATCATCAGGGCTGGTGCAGTGGCTCATGCCTGTAATCGCAGCACTTTGGGAGGCTGAGGTGGGTGCATCACCTGAGGTCAGGAGTTTGAGACCAGCCTGACTAACATGGTGAAACCCCATCTCTACGAAAAAGGAAAACATTAGCTGGGAGTGGTGACAGGCACCTGTAATCCCAGCTACTGGGAGGCTGAGGCAGGAGAATCACTTGATCCTGGGAGGCAGAGGTTGCAGTGAGCCGGGATCACGCCACTGCACTCCAGCCTGGGTGACAGACAGAGACCCTGTCTCAAAATAAATAAATAAATAAATAAATAAATAAATAAATAAATAAATAAATAAATAAAAATCATCATTTTGTAAGAGACCACGCTCTTAGAAAATGAAGTTCCTTGTGTCTAAGATTTCAGATCCCTGTTCCCTCCTTTTTGCTGTTCAGTCACCTAGCAAACTGTGTTAGTGTTAGGGCAAACTAACCACCCTGATTTTTGTTGATATTAGAGAGTCAGGCTCTGACCTACTTGTCCATGTAAATAATAGCCAATGTATCATGTATCTCATTATAATCAAATGTTGATACACCTTGATGATACTATATATATATGTATATCTGTAAACAAGGAAATATGGGCTGGGTGTGGTGGCTCAAGCCTGTAATCCCAGCACTTTGGGAGGCCCAGGCGGGCGGATAACCTGAGGTCGGGAGTTCAAGGCCAGCCTAACCAACATGGAGAAACCCCGTCTCTACTAAAAATACAAAAATTAGCCAGGCATGGTGGTGCATGACTGTAATCCTGGCTACTTGGGAGGCTGAGGCAGGAGAATGGCTTGAACTTGGGAGGCGGAGGTTGCAGTGAGCCGAGATCACGCCATTGCACTCCAGCCTGGGCAACAAGAGCAAAACTCGATCAAGAGATCGAGATCATCCTGGCCAACATGGTGAAATCCCGTCTCTACTAAAAATACAAAAATTACCTGGGCATGGTCGTGCGCCTATAGTCCCAGCTACTCGGGAGGCTGAGGCAGGAGAATCGCTTGAACCAGGAAGTTGGAGGTTGCAGTGAGCTGAGATTGCACCACTGCACTCCAGCCTGGTGACAGAGCAAGACTCTGTCTCAAAAAAAAGAAAAAGGAAATATGTTTTTCATGTATATCTCTAAATTGACTCATTTGCATACCCATCTATCAGATGTCTAGAACCAATTTGATAGTCCTCCAAATTGTGTTCTTAAACTTTTCATTAGCTGATAAAATAATTGTAGGGAGCAAACACTAAAATTGCTAGTAATTCTACTAAGGTTTTATTTAAAATTGAACCACAACCTTCAAGCAGACACCATAATAGGATCACATCAGTGACATGAAGCTGCACAATTAAGAGGTTCACCCTTGAATGATCTAGCTCAGAGAACTTTGTCTGGAAGGTTAGCACCAAAGGAACTGCTAGGCTGTACATGTAGCCATGAGTTAAAACTGTGTGGCTTTAGGGTGACATAGAATTATTTACATTGGAATTGAGACCCTTTCTTGCAAATCAGCAAATATTCTTAAACCTGTATGAACGGACTGGAAAACTAAATTTTCTAGTAGTAATAATATTA
Organism: Homo sapiens; assembly: GCF_000001405.40. NCBI lineage: Eukaryota > Metazoa > Chordata > Mammalia > Primates > Hominidae > Homo > Homo sapiens. Next base: position 139,002,590 of record NC_000004.12, on the reverse strand, counting down.
TTACATAGCAGCTCCATCCCAATAGGATCATTGGCCTTTTTCAAACTTTAACAGCATCAGGGCCGGGCACGGTGGCTCACACCTGTAATCCCACCTCTTTGGGAGGCTGAGGCAGGTGGATCACCTGAAGTCAGGAGTTTGAAACCAGCCTGATCAATTTGGTGAAATCCCATCTCTACTAAAATTAACAAAAATTAGCTGGGCGTGGTGCCGTGTGCCTGTAGTCCCAACTACTCAGGAGGCTGAGGCAGGAGAATCACTTGAACCTGGGAGGCGGAGGTTGTAGTGAGCTGAGATCATGTCACTGGACTCCAGCCTGGTGACAGTGCAAGACTCTGTCTAAAAAAAAAAACAAAAAACAAACAAACAAAAAAAATGCATCAGGGCCAGGCATGGTGGCTCAGACTTGTAATTCCAGCACTTTGGGAGGCTGAGGTGGGTGGATCACCTGAGGTCAGAAGTTTGATACCAGCCTGACCAACATGGCAAAACCCCATCTGTAATAAAAATACAAAATTAGCCGAGCGTGGTGGCAGTTGCCTGTAATCCCAGCTACTTGAGAGGCCGAGGCAGGAAAATTGCTTGAACCCAGGAGGCGGAGGTTGCAGTGAGCCGAGATTGTGCTATTGTACTCCAGCTTGGGCCACAAGAGTGAAACTCCGTCTCAAAAAAAAAAAAAAGAAAAGAAATCAGAATATTTCTGTTTAAAATATGATTTTTTAAATCAATTAGAAGGCTCTAAAATCAATACTAAGTCAGAAGTAAATACAGTTGAGGCTTAGACGGCTGTCGGTTCCAAATACAGTAAACTCTGCAATTGATAATAAGATCAGAAAATCATGAGGCCAGAGAATACACTGGAGACAATGCAGGCCATGAGGGGCTTCTCAAGCTGGGTTAGTCCACAGGAACTGACACATTGTAAAATTTATTTCAAGTTTCCTATTTCATCATAAAAATTAGTGCAACTTTTTTTTTTTATGTGGAGTCTTGCTCTGTCACCCAGGCTGGAGTGCAATGGTATAATCACCTAGGCTGGAGTGCAATGGCGCAATCTTGGCTCACTGCAACCTCCTTCTCCCGGGTTCAAGCGATTCTCCTGCCTCAGCCTCTGGAGTAGCTGGGATTACAGGCATGCACCACCACGCCCGGCTAATTTTTATATTTTTAGTAGAGATGGGGTTTCACCATGTTGGCCAGGCTGGTCTCGAACTCCTGACCTTAGGTGATCCGCCTGCCTCGGCCTCCCAAAGTGCTGGGATTACAGGCATAAGCCACCGTACACAGCTTCCTTTTTTTTTTTTTTTTTTTTTTTTTGAGACAGAGTCTTGCTCTGTTGCCCAGGCTAGAGTGCAGTGGCACGATCTTGGCTCACCACAACCTCCGCCTCCCAGGTTCAAGCGAGTCTCCTGCCTCAGCCTCCTGTGTAGCTGGGACTACAGGCACCCGCCACCATGCCCAGCTAATTTTTGTATTTTTAGTAGAGGTGGGGTTTTACCATATTGGCTAGGCTGGTCTCGAACTCGTGACCTCAAATGATCCACCCACCTCAGCCTCCCAAAGGGCTGGGATTACAGGCATGAGCCACTGTGCCCGGGCAAATTGGTGCAATTTTGGCCTTCTACATCATGACATATCTATGTTCATTTTAAATAAAATTATTTTATTCCCAATTCTTGGAGTAAAATGTGTATTTATTGTGTAGCTTCAAAGCATCTCCTGCCATATTACATTGTTTTTTTCTTTTTTAAGACAGAGGGTTTCGCTTTTTCACTCAGGCTGGAGTTTAGTGGCATGATCATGGCTCACTGCAGCTTCGAGCCCCTGGGTTCAAGTGATTCTCCTGCCTCAGCCTTCTGAGCCACTAGGACTATGGGCACATGCTGCCACACCTGGCTAATTTTATTATTATTTTTGTTATTTTTTGTAAAGATGGGGATCTCCCTATGTTGCCCAGCCTGGTTTCCAACTCCTGGCCTCCAGTGATCCTCTCACCTTGGCTCCCCAAAGAGCTGGGATTACAGGCATAAGCCACTGTGCCTGGCCAATTAAAAAAAAAAATCTCACCCCATCTCCCTACCACTCCATCTCCACCTCATCCTCAAGGCTCAAGCGATGACCTTGCCTCAGCCTCTGGAGTAGCTGGGATTATAGGCATGCACCACTACTGTCGGGCTAATTTTTTGTATTTTTAGTAGAAATGAGGTTTCACCATGTTGGCCAGGCTGGCCTTGAACTCCTGACCTCAAATGATTCACCCACCTTGGCCTCTCAAAGTGCTAGGATTACAGGCGTGAGCCACCGTGTCTGGCCCAAAGGTGCTTCACTTTCTTAACAGATCTTGCTGAATGGCCCTAACAGTGAGTTACATCCAAAACTTCATCTGGTGATTCCCAAAGGTTGCCTAGCTCCAGTACAGATTCTTCTGATAGTCATTTGAACCATCGAAGTCACCTCTGTGGAGCCATGTGGGGACTAGTCCGTTAGGGGTCCAAAGTGGTCCTGGGAAGTTGTAAGGGAGGAGGAGCTGGGCTTCCTGTGAATTCTGCAGGGCTGGCTGGGATTATTGCCATGATACTTGACTGAACTACTGTTCAGCCTGGGCTCTTGACCACCAAGTTCAAGATGACCTGCTCTCTCAGATGTCTGAAAGTTTCTTAGTAACCATGGAGTGTCAGTTCCCTGTTGTGGGCAAAAAGCTCTGAAAGTTTTACTTTAGGAAGCCAGGAGGAAACCTTGTGATGCAACTTTCCCAAAGGGGGAAATGCATAAATGGGTTCCATGAGTACGAGGCCACAGCATCTTCTACAAAGGACTCACAGTTTTCAAGAGTGCCACTAGGTCTTCTTCCAGCTGGCGACACCTGCAAAGACGACACGACCCGAACTCCTGGTTTGGCGCTTTGTGAAGCTCTGCTAGCCACTGTTTTCTCTGTAAGGTAGGCTCTCAGCCCTTCAGCCTTCTTAGGAGTGTTTTGCTGTCTCCTGAAGAGCAGTGTCCTCCCATCTTCAACAGTTATCTCCAAAGGGAAGCAACAATGATTCCCAAAACCGGGAGCACATTAACATCACTGGGGATATCATCCAAGACGGAGGTCCCTGGTCCACTCATGGAGGTGCGAGAGGTTTGTGGTAGAACCCAGGAACCTGCATTTTAACAGGCAGCCTCCATGGTCGTGGCCCAGTGCTGCAGGCCTCACACTCCAAGGATTACTGTCACGAAGACGCCACTTATCTGCTCACAGACATCCTTGGGAGCTAATGAACAGGCTGAAATGGAGTGAACCTAACAGGAATAGCTAAGCAGCACATAGAATATTAAATGTCTGTCTTTCTACTATCACTTTTAACTAATGCTTCTTCAGGAATCTCTTAAAATAATACCAGATCTGGCCGGGCACGGTGGCTCACACCTATAATCCCAGAACTTTGGGAGGCCGAGGCAGGCAGATCACCTGAGGTCAGGAGTTTGAGACCAGCCTGACCAACATGGTGAAACCCCATCTCTACTAAAACTACAAAAATTAGCTGGGTGTGGTGGCGCATGCCTTTAATCCCAGCTACTTGGGAAGCTGAGGCAGGAGAATTGCTTGAACCAGGGAGGCAGAGGTTGCAGTGAGCTGAGATTGCGTCACTGCACTCCAGCCTGGGTGGGTAACAGAGTGAAACTCAAACAAACAAGGCCGGGCGCGGTGGCTCACGCCTGTAATCCCAGCACTTTGGGAGGCCGAGACGGACGGATCACGAGGTCAGGAGATCAAGACGATCCTGGCTAAGACGGTGAAACCCCATCTCTACTAAAAATACAAAAAAATTAGCCGGGCGTGGTGGCAGGCGCCTGTAGTCCCAGCTACTTGGGAGGCTGAGGCAGGAGAATGGCGTGAACCCGGAAGGCGGAGCTTGCAGTGAGCCGAGATCGCGCCACTGCACTCCAGCCTGGGCGAGAGGGCGAGACTCTGTCTCAACAAACAAACAAACAAACAAACAAACAAAACCAAAATACAGATCTAGTAAATTGGCAACAAAAGGCTGCCAATTTGTTACGCTGTAAGCCAGTTTATTTGAACCACACATCTACTCCAGTATCCTCTATTTCAATTTCAGGTATGCTTTCCCCATTTACAAACATTAATTTAAAAAACCTTAAGGCTGGGTGCAGTGACTCATGCCTGTAATCCTAGCACTTTGGGAGGCCAAGGTGGATAGATCGCTTGAGCCCAGGTATTTGAGACCAGTCTGGACAACATGGTGAAACCCCATTTCTTTTTTTTTTTTTTTTTTTTTGAGGCAGAGTCTCGCTCTGTTGCCCAGGCTGGAGTACAGTGGCGCGATCTCGGCTCACTGCAAGCTCCGCCTCCCGGGTTCATGCCATTCTCCTGCCTCAGCCTCCCGAGTAGCTGGGACTACAGGCGCCCGCCTCCACGCCCGGCTAATTTTTTGTATTTTTAGTAGAGATGGGGTTTCACCATGTTAGCCAGGATGGTCTCGATATCCTGACCTCGTGATCCGCCTGCCTCGGCCTCCCAAAGTGGTGGGATTACAGGCGTGAGCCACCACGCCCGGTGGTGAAACCCCATTTCTACAAAAAAAAAAACAAAAAACAAAAAACAATAATTAGCTGGGCGTAGTGGCACGCACGTGTAGTCCCAGGTACTCAGGAGGCTGAGGTGGGAGGATCACCTGAGTTTCGGAGGTCAAGGCTAAAGTGAGCCGTAAGTGGCACCACTGTACTCCAGCCTGGGCAACAGAGTGAGTGTCTCAAAAACAAACAAAACAAAACAACGACAATCCCAAAAAACCTTAAGGCAAGAATTTCTGTTGGAAGCGACAACCCCAAGTCACCACAATGCTGCCTTTCCAAGACTAAGGCTCAGATTCTAGTTAAAGTCTTCGTTTAGGGGATCCTCAACATCAGTAAGGCAGTATCTTAACTAGAGAGGTGATCATGGACTGCCCAATCAGATCAATTAAATAGAAGCCCTAACAGGGAGCAAGGGGAGGGCTGGAGAGCAGAAAGTTTTATTTCTATATACTTTGAAAATGACAACCAGTCATGAGGGGAAAGTCCAATTACCAAAGCCAAATTTTCAAGAGTATATGTCTGCCATCCAGGAAGACCCTTGATTCCTGATCATTTCTTTTTTTTTTTTTTTTTTTTTTTTTGAGTTGGAGTCTCATTCTGTCACCCAGGATGGAGTGCAGTGGCGCGATCTCGGCTCACTGCAACCTCTGCCTCCCTGGTTTAAATGATTCTCCTACCTCTGCCTCCCAAGTAGCTGGGATTACAGGCGCCCGCCACCACGCCCGGCTAATTTTTTTGTGTTTTTAGTAGAGAAGGGGTTTCACTGTGTTAGCCAGGATGGTCTTGATCTCCTGACCTCATGATCCGCCTGCCTCGGTCTGCCAAAGTGCTGGGATTACAGGCATGAGCCATCGTGCCCAGCCAGATTCCTGATCATTTCAATTTGCCAAATGAGCAGCCTTAAACTGTCATACCTCGCAATTCAGTGATCTCAAAATTTGCCTCCATTTGTAAGTGCACAGTTCTCTGAGTTTTCACAAATATATATACTTATGCAATCACCACAACAATACAGATAAGAACATTTCCATCACCATAAAAAGTTCCCTCCCGGCCAGGCATGGTGGCTCACGCCTGTAATCCCAGCACTTTCGCAGGCTGAGGTGGGAGAATCACTTGAGGTCAGGAGTTTGAGACAAGCCTGACCAACATGGCAAAACCTCACCTCTACTAAAAATACAAAAATTAGCTGGGGATGATGGTGCATGCCTGTAATCCCAGCTACTTGGGAGGCTGAGGCAGGAGAATCACTTGAACCCAGGAGGCGGAGGTTGCAGTGAGCCGAGATCGTGGCACTGCACTCCATTCCGGGCGACAGAGCAAGACCCTGTCTAATATATATATATATATATATATATATATATATATATATATATATATATATATATATGTATGTAAAGAAAAAAAAAACTTACCAAATTGTTTTTCAAGTGGTTGTCAACCAGGAAGACAGAGAGTCTCATTCTGAGAAGGCAAGCTAGAGGTTTGTTTTTTAAGTAAAATTATGTTCTCTTATTATTTTAAAAAATTGATCTAAATAATAGATGAGTACAGTCTCACTTTAAGACATTCAATCATTCAAAAAAGAGAGAAAAAACCATCCTCACTTCCAGCACCCCACCTCCTGGGTAACTTACAGCTTCCTTGGAAGGAGCTTGTCTAGAACAACTGGGGAGAAGCTACCGCTGGCTGTAGTGCCTGGGTCAACAGGCTAGAAGGAAGAGCAGGAGGGGACTGCACGGGAGCCAGCTGGGCGTGTCACAGTTCCTATTGGTGTGCTCGCTATGAAAGGATTTCTTTTCGGCATTTGGGAATAATTATGTTTAAAGAAGGTTATTTAAAAACAGATATTCTTTCCCCTAGAGTGTACAGTGTTTGATACACACAGGTGGATTCTTGCTTCTCGTGTGCATTTTTCTAGACTCCATTCAAACCATGTCTCTGAGTACAACTCAAAAGAGGTTTATGCTTTACATCTCTACATTCCAGTTACATCTTCCTGAGGATAGAGCCTACATAGAAGTTCAGCAAATATCTGGTCTTTTCCACACCTGGGAAGATGTGGGTATAGGCCACTATGTGTTTTCCTTTCAAAATGGTAAGTTCATCTTGATTTTTTTTATCTGTTTTGGGGGTAGGACAGAGACACTCTTCTAGCACATTGACTATTTGTCTTTTTCTTTAAGAATGAACCTTAGATTATAAATTCTAGGATTGCAAGGTACTGGTTTTTCCACAAGTTCGTATGTATTGGGAAGCTCAGTTTTATGGACAATTATGCTGATTTGGGGTGGAGGGTATAGGGGTCATTCCACAAACACTCATGTTGCTCACTTAGCACATTCCAGGCACAGTGCTAGATGCTGGGGATGCAATACACAAGACAGACAAAGGTGTCTGTATGGAACTTACATTCTAATTGAGGGAGGAGAGACAGACAATAATCCAAAAAAATAAAAATAAACACGATAGATATAGAGTGTGGTCAGTGCTGTGAAGGAAGTAAATAAGACAATGTGATAGAGAGCGAGTGATATTTGAATTGGAACTGGAGGGTGAGAATGAGCCTACCTTTAGGAAGAGCTGGAGCTGGGAAAGCATTTGGTGACATTCCCTAGGACAGAAAGGGGAGTCAGTGTGGCAGGAGCCAGGTCACAGCTGTCATAGGAGTTTGGATTTCATTCTAAAAGCAATGGAAAGTCATTGGAGGGTAAGCAACACAGGAATGACTACACCTGATTTGTGTTTTTAAATATAAAGCAAATCAAGAAACATAAAATATGAAACATAAAACATTTGGCATGTGGGTGGAGAATGGGTTGTAAGGGGAGGTGGTCAGAATGGAATTGGACTCTGCTATCTCCTCAGCGACCTCTTACCTGAAGACCGTGGGTACCAGGCAAATAGCAGGAGCAGAAGACTCCACTTCCAACCCCCTTTCCATACCCCTAAGAATCCTTTCTTCCTGAGTCCCAGCACTGTAAGGAAGGTTCTGTGTATATGTGAAGAGAGCAGAGGTTCCACAGGAGAACTTGGGCATCAGAGCCCCCAAAGCAAGGGCAAGGTCTTCTCTTAGTCCTTTTCCAGACTTTTCCACAATTCAACTGTGGTTCCCTAGACTATTGGAAGGTCCTAGTTGCATGTGATGACTCAATGATCTGGCCACAGGACCTGTGTCACCAAGCCAGGTAGTCAGTCTCTAACAGAAGCTGGGGAAATATTAGTAGGTGTTAATGAAAATGACAGTCAATAATGAAATGTGATCAAATTACTGAATAACGTTACCGAAAAACATCAGCAAGTGGCAGGAAGAGGACCTCTAAGCCTTTTGAACTAGAACCGAAGCATAAAAGGAACTTTAAAAGCCATCAATCCCAGCACTTCGGGAGGCCGAGGCAGTCAGATCACCTGAGGCCAGGAGTTCAATACCAGCCTGACCAACATGGAGAAACTCTGTCTCTACTAAAACTACAAAATTAGCCAGGCGTGGTGGTGCATGCCTGTAATCCCAGATACTCGGGAGCTGAGGCAGGAGAATCACTTGAACCCGGGAGATGGAGGCTTCAGTAAGTTGAGATCACGCCGTTGCACTCCAGCCTGGGCAACAAAGAGTGAAACTCTGTCTCAAAAAAAAAAAAAAAAAAAGCCATCATCCCAGAAGATTTGATAAATTATTTTGTCTCAAACATAGTTTGATATATAAATGAACTTACATGTAGTATCATTATTTTTGGAAGTAAATTTGTGGCATATAAGCAAAGTATTTAAGATGAGGATATCATTTATTTATGTTTCTCTAATGTACCCGTTACTTATTAAGTTTATTGATGATATTATTTATTATTTTATACATCTCAAAATAAAACAAGGATAGATTTAAATTTTTAAGAAGCTCATATTTCTTAGTGTATGGAACATGAAAGTGGAATATTGGCCACGCTTTCTTTAATCTCATTTTTTTTCTTTTAAGGAGAGTAGACTGAGAGTCAATTCTTCTGTCATAAACTAATGAAGTCAAAGTTCTTGTTTGTATGCAAAAATATCTATATCTATCTTCCCCAACTGGGTTTAAAAAACTATGGTAAAATATATAAAACATAAAATTTACCTTTTTAACAACTTTTAAGTGTACAGTTAGTGGCATTAAATATATTCACATTGTCATGCAATCCATCATCACCCATCCATCCCCAACTAGGTTTTTATTTTATTCTTTTATATCAAGGATATAAGAATACTTTTCAGTAAAATTAGAAAACATGAGGGCTGGGCTTGGTGGCTCATGCCTGTAATCCTAGCAGTTTGGGAGGCCAAGGCAGGAGGATCACTTTAGCCCAGGAGTTCAAGACCAGCCTGGGCAACATAGTGAGACCTTGTCTCTACAAAAACAACAACAAAAAATTAGAAAAACATGAAACTACTTAAGCTGCCATGGTTTTTAGGAAAGGTATTAAAGCTGGATCTTATTTTCCAATAAGAGGGTTTCTTTAAGAGGGTTTCTTTTTTTTTTTTTTTTTTTTGAGACAAAATCTCACTCTGTTGCCCAGGCTAGAGTGCAGTGGCATCATCTCAGCTCAATGCAACCTCTGCCTCCCAGGTTCAAGCGATTCTGCTGCCTCAGCCTGCCGAGTGGCTGGGACTACTGATGCGCACCACCATGCCCGGCTAATTTTTGTGTTTTTAGTAGAGATAGAGTTTCACTATATTGGCCAGGCTGGTCTTGAACTCCTGACCTCATGATCCTCCTGCCTCAGCCTCCCAAAGTGTTTTAATTACAGGCATGAGCCACCATGCCTGGCCAAGAGGGCTTCTTAAATCAGCCCTCTATAGCTGCGATCCCCAACCTGTTTGGCACCAGGGACTGGTTTAATGGAAGACAATTTTTCCACGGACGGGGTGGGGGAATGGTTTGGGGATGAGACTGTTCCAACTCAGATCATCAGGCATTAGATTCTCATAAGGAGTATGCAACCTAGATCCCTTGCACATGCAGTTCACAATAGGGTTTGTGCTCCTATGAGAATCTAATGCTGCCACTGATCTGACAGGAGGCAGAGATCAGGCGGTAATGCTTAGTTGCCCATGCTCACCTCCTGCTGTGCCGCCTGGTTCCTAACAGGCCACAGACTGTATGGGTCTGCAGCCTGGGGGTTGGGGACATCCTCTCTAGAGTGCCTAATGAAACCTTCTGCTTCTAGGTAGTGCTTGAAGAGGAAACACAAATGACAAGACAAAAGAAAACAAAAAAACCCCATAAACACATCAATCTCATAAGTAATCAAAGAAAAGCAAAACAACAACTACAGTATTACCAAAAAAACCTGATTATTTTTCACAAATTATTTTGGCAAGGAGGGGAAAAAAAGTACAGTGTTTGCAAGGTGATGATAGGGTAATATATTTTTGTGGAATGTAGTTTGATCATATGTATCAGAGTTTTTCCTTCTCCTCCTCCTCCTCCTCCACCTCCTCCTCCTCCTTCTTCCTCCTCCTCCTCCCTCTTCTTCCTCTTCTTCTTCTCCTTCATCTCCTCCTCCCCTTCTTCCCCTTCTTTTCTTCTTCTTCTTTCTTCTTCTTTTTCCTACATAATATATCTATGTAACATTGATCAGAATTTTCAATGAACGTACCAGTAATCTTTCTCTTAGGAAATAATTCTAAAGAGTTAGCTACACATCTGTAGCTAAATGAACAAGGATATTCACCCACAGTGTTGTTTATATAAAAGACTAGAAACAACTTAGCCATTTGACAATCAACATCAGATAGGGTTAAGTAAATTATAATATATTCACACAATGGAATATCTTGTGGTCATCATAAATGATGGTGTAGACCTACACTGACATAGATTTGTCGAATGAAAGGGATGGTTACAGATGAACATGTATAATATGATCCTATTTATATAAAATACATATCTATGTATACATTCATGTATTTGTGTGGGTGGATAGATGGATGTCTGAAAGGTTCTTCACTAGAATGTTAACATCTTTGATTGGTTAGATTTACTTCCTTTTATGGGAAATATTCTATATTATATATATATTTTTCTATGGGTATGTTCTATTTTTTACTGTAATGAAAACAATAAAGCTCTTTTCCATCTGGGAACAAAAATTAAATAGATCAGCATATTTAAAAATGAGTAGGATAAATAGACAATACAAGGCACAACTCCACACACATAAATTTTACAACTTAGATGAAATGACCATTTCTCAAAAACACAACTATCACAATTCAGATAATTTGAATACTCCTATAATTATTATTTTATTTTTATTTATTTATTTTTAAATTATATTTATTTTATTTATTTATTTTTTGAGATGGAGTCTCGCTCTGTCACCCAGGCTGGAGTGCAGTGGTGTGATCTCAGCTCACTGCAACCTCCACCTCCCGGGTTCAAGCAGTTTCTGCCTCAGCCTCCCGAGTAGCTGGGATTACAGGCACTAGCCACCACATCTGGCTAATTTTTGTATTTTTAATAGAGACAGGGTTTCACCATCTTGGCCAGGCTGGTCTTGAACTCCTGACCTCGTGATCCTCCTGCCTCGGACTCCCAAAGTGCTGGGATTACAGGCGTGAGCCACCGCTCCCAGCCTAGAATCATAATTTGAGATGGAGTTTCGCTCTTTCGCTTAGGCTGGAGTGAATTGGTGTGATCTCGGCTCATTGCAACCTCTACTCCCTGGGCTCAAGCGATTCTCCTACCTCAGCCTCTTGATAGCTGAGATTATAGGTGCCTGCCACCACATCCGGCTAATTTTTGTATTTTTAGTACAGATGGGGTTTCGCCATGTTGGCCAGGCTGGTCTTAATCTCCTGACCTCAGGTAATCCACCCACCTTGGCCTCCCAAAGTGCTAGGATTACAGGCGTGAGCCACTGCGCCCAGCCCTTTAATTATTAAATCAACTGAGTCATAATTTTAAAACCAAAATTAAATAAAAAATTTCTTATAAAGAAATTTCTAAGTCTGGATAACTTCATTGGGAAATTCTACCAAACATTTAAAGAAGTAACACCAATTTTATGCAATTTCTGTCAGAAAATAGAAGAGGAAACACTTCTCACACCTCACACCAAAATCAAAGACAATACCCAAAAGAAAACCACAGACCAACATCCCCCATGCATATAGATGCAAAATTTCTTAACAAAATATTAGCAAACAGAATTAGACAATTTACAAAAATAATTACATGCCATGACCAAATGAGATTTATTCCAGAGATGCAAGGCTAGTTCAATATTTCAAATTAATCAAATATAATCTATTATATTAACATCCTAAAGAAGAAAAATCACATAATTTTTTTTTTTTTGGAGATGGAGTCTCTGTTGCCTAGCCTGGAGTGCAGTGGTGCAATCTAGGCTCACTGCAACCTCCACCTCCTGGGTTCAAGCGATTCTCCTGCCTCAGCCTCCTGAGTAGCTGGGATTACAGGCATGCACCACCATGCCTGGCTAATTTTTGTATTTTTAGTAGAGACAGGGTTTCACCACGTTGGTAAGGCCAGTCTCAAACTCCTGACCTCAAGTGATCAGCCCACCTTGGCCTCCCAAAGTGCAGGGATTACAGGCGTGAGCCACTGCATCTGGCCACATAAGTATATTGATGGAGAAAGAACAATTGACAAAATTTAGCACCCATTTGTGATAAAAACACTCAGAAAAATAGGACTAGAGAAGGACTTCTTCAATTTGATAAAGAATATTTACAAAAAGACTACAGCTGGCTGGGCATGGTGGCTCAAGCCTATAACCTTAGCACTTTGGGAGGCCGAGATGGGCAGATCATTTGAGCTCAGGAGTTCAAGACCAGCCTGGCCAACTTTGTGAATCCCCACCTTTACTAAAAATACAAGAATTAGCTGAGCGTGGTGGTGCATGCCTGTAGTCCCAGATACTTGGGAGGTTGAGGCAGGAGAATCGCTTGAACCCTGGAGGCAGAGGTTGCAGTGAGCTGAGATTGTGCTATTGCACTCCAGCCTGGGTGACAGGGTGAGACTCTCTCAAAAAAACAAAAAACTACAGCCAACATATTTAATGGTGAAAACTGCATGCTTTACACCTTTAGTTTGCTGGGGTTGCTATAACGAAGTACCACAGACTGGTTGGCTTAAGCAACAGAAATTTATTTTCTCACAGTTCTGGAGGCTGGAAGGCCAAGATCAAAGTGTCAGTGGGGTTGGTGTCCTCTGAGGCCTCTCTCCTTGACTTGTAGATGGCTGCCTTCTCCCTGTGTCTTCCCGTGGTCTTCCCTTTATGAGTCTGTGTTCTAATCTCTTCTTTTATTTATTTTTATTTTTTATTTTTTTGAGGCAGAGTCTCCCTCTGTCCCCAGGCTGGAGTGCAATGGTGTGATCTCGGCTCACTGCAAGCTCCACCTCCTGGGTTCACACCATGCTCCTGCCTCAGCCTCCTGAGTAGCTGGGACTACAGGCAGCACCACGCCTGGCTAATTTTTTGTATTTTTAGTAGAGACGGGGTTTCATCGTGTTAGCCAGGATGGTCTAATCATTTCTCATAAGGACCCCAGCCATATTAAATTAGGGCCCACCTTAGTGACCTTATCTTAATTTGATTACCTTTTAAAGACCTCATGTATTAGTCTGTTTTCACACTGTTACAAAGAAATATCTGAGACAGGGTAATTTATAAAGAAAATAGTTTTGTTGTTGTTGTTCTTTTTTCTCTTTTTTAAAAAAGCCAGTCAAATTTAGTAGTGGAGGGGATTGTATACCAACTTTAGTGACACTAATGTAGAAAACAGGTTTAATTGGCTCACGGTTCTGTAGGCTGTACAGGAAGCATGGCAGCTTCTGCTTCTGGGGAGGCCTCAGTAGGCTTCCAATCATGGTGGAAGGCAAAGCAGGAGCAAGCATCTTACGTGGCCTGAGCAGGAGGGAGACAGACAGGAGTGAGGTGCCACACACTTTTAAACAACCAGATCTCACAACAATTCACTCACTCACTCACTCACTCACTCACTATTATGAGAATGATAGCACCAAGGGGATGGTGCTAGCCCATTCATGAGAACTCCACCCACATGATCCAATCATTTCCCACCAGGCCCCACCGCCAGCAATGGGGATTACAATTTGACATGAGATTTGGTGGGGACACAGATTCAAATCATATCACCCTATCTCCAGATACAGTCATATTTTGAGGTAAAGGGGATTATAGCTTCAACATATGAATTTGGGCAGAGGGGTAGGAGGGAAACATTTTAGCCCATAATACCCTCTAAGATCAGGAATGAAGCGAAGATACCCACTCTCACTCAGTCTTGATCCAGTTATAATTTTGGAAGTTCTAGCCAAGGCAATAAGGCAAGTAAAGGAAATAAAAGGCACACCAATGCAAAGGAGGAAATAAAACTGTTCCTATTTGCAGATAATATGATATTCTTGGTAGAAAATCCCAAAGAATCGACAAAAAGAAATCCTAGAGCTAATAAGTGAGCTCAGCAAGGTCACAAGATGCAAAATAAACATACAAAATCAATTGGATTTCTGTATACCAACAATAAACATGTAGATGCTGGAATTAAAAATATAATACCAGGCTGGGCATGGAAATCCCAGCACTTTGGGAGGCGGAGGTAGGCAGCCATGGGCTCAGGAGTTTAAAACCAAAATTAGCTGGGTGTGGTGACACACTCCTGTGGACCTAGCTACTAGGGGAAGTCGGGGAGGAGGCTGAGATGGGAGGATTGTTTGAGCCCAGATGGCTGAGGCTGCAGTGAGCTGTGATCATGCCATTGCACTCCAGCCTGGGCGACAATACCAATTAAAAAAATTTTTTTTTTAATTTTTTGACAGCGTCTCACTCTGTCGCCCAGGCTGGAGTGCAGTGGCACAATCTTGGCTCACTGCAATCTCTGCCTCCCGGGTTCAAGTGATTCTCCTGCCTTAGCCTCCTGAGTAGCTGGGACTACAGGCACACGCCACCATGCCCAGCTAATTTTTGTATTTTTAGTACAGACGGGGTTTCACCATGCTGGCCAGGCTGGTCTCGATCTGCTGACCTTGTGATCCGCCCACCTCAGACTCCCAAAGTGCTGGGATTACAGGTGTGAACCACTGTGCCTGGACAACAATACCATTTATAGTCACTAAAAACAGAAAAGGCTGGGCGTGGTGTTTCACGCCTGTAATCCCAACACTTTGGGAGGCCAAGGCGGGAGGATCACTTGAGGTCAGGAGTTCAAGACCACCCCGGCCAACAAGGCAAAACCTTGTCTCTACTAAAAAAACAAAAATTAGCCAGGCATGGTGGCTCACGCCTGTAATTCCAGCTACTCAGGAGGCTGAGGCAGGAGAATCACTTGAACCTGGGAGGCAGGGGTTGCAGTGAGCTGAGACTGTGCCACTGCTCTCCAGCACGGGTGATGGAGTGAGACTCTGTCTCAAACAAACAAACAACCCAGAAAAAAATAAAAATAAAAAAAAAACTGTAAATCTAACAGAATATGTACAACACTTGTATGCTGAAAACCACACGATGCTAAAGAAAGAAATCAAAGCAGATCTAAATAAATGGAAAGGCATACAGCATTCATGGATTGAAAGACTCAGCATAACAAAAATGATAATTCTTCCCAAATTGATATGTAGGCTTAATGCAATTCCTATAAAAATTCCAACAATTCCTTGTAGATACAGAGAAGTGTATTTAAAAATTTATCAGGAAAGGCAAAAGAACTAGAATAGCTAAAACATTTTTGCAAAAGAAGAATAAAGTAGGATAAATCAGTCTACCCTATTTCAAGGCTTAAATAGCTATAGTAATCGCAACTGTGTGGTATTAGCAGAGGGATAGAAAATAGATTAAAGGAACAAAATAAAGAACTCAAAAATAGACCAATGTTAATATGCCCAACTGATTAAAAAAAATTTTTTTTTAATAGAGATAGGGTCTCGTGGCCGGGCGCAGTGACTCACACCTGTAATCCCAGTACTTTGGGAGGCCAAGGTGGTTGGATGACCTGAGGTCAGGAGTTCGAGACCAGCCTGGCCAACATGGTGAAACCCCATCTCCACTGAAAATACAAAAATTAGCGGGCACGGTGGCGGGAGCCTGTAATCCCAGCTAGTTGGGAGATTGACACAGGGGAATCGCTTGAACCCTGGAGGCAGAGATTGCAGTGAGCTGAGATTACGCCATTGCACTCCAGCCTGGGCGACAAGAGCAAAATTCTGTCTCAAAAAAAAAAAAAAAAAAAAAAAAAGCCTGGCGTGGTGGCTCATGCCTGTTATCCCAGCACTTTGGGAGGCTGAGGCGGGTGGATCACGAGGTCAGGAGATTGAGACCATCCTGGCTAACATGGTGAAACCCCGTCTCTACTAAAAAAACACAAAAAATTAGCCGGGTGTGGTCTCGGGCACCTGTAGTCCCAGCTACTCGGGAAGCTGAGGCGGGAGAATGGCGTGAACCTGGGAGGCGGAACTTGCAGTGAGCCAAGATCACGCCACTGCACTCCAGCCTGGGCGACAGAACAAAACTCCATCTCAAAAAAAAAAAAAAAAGAGATAGGGTCTCCCTATATTGTCCAGGCTGGTCTTGAACTACTGGGCTCAAGATATCCTCCTGCTTTGGCCTCCTAAAGTTCTGGGATCACAGGCATGAGCCAACTGATTTTTGACAAAGATACAAAAGCAACTCAATGGAGGATAGGTAGCCTTTTCAACAAAGGGTGCTAGAGCAAGTGGACGTGCATTGACCAAAAAAAGTACCATGACATAATGACCTAATTCTTTTTTTTTTTTTTTTTTGAGACAGGGTCTTGTTCTGCTACCCAGGCCAGAATGCAATAGCACCATCATAGCTCACTGCAGCCTCACACTCCTGGGCTCAAGAGATCCTCCCACCTCAGCCTCCCAAGTAACTGGAACTACAGGTGCATGCCACAATGCTTGGCTAATCCTGGCTAATTAAAAAAATTTTTTTTTGTAATGATGAGGTCTCACTATGTTTCCCAGCCTCTAATTCTTTTTTTCTTTTTTTCTTTTTTTTTTTTTTTGAGATGGAGTTTCGCTCTTGTTGCCCAGGCTGGAGTTCAATGGCACAATCTTGGTTCACTGCAACCTCTGCCTCCTGGGTTCAAGTGATTCTCCTGCCTCAGCCTCCCGAGTAGCTGGGATTTACAGGCATGTGCCACCATGCCTGGCTAGTTTTGTATTTTTAGTAGAGAGGAGGTTTTTCCATGTTGGTCAGGCTGGTCTTGAACTCCCAATCTCAGGTGATCCACCCACCTTGGCCTCCCAAAGTGCTGGGATTACAGGCGTGGGCCTGTAATATATATAGGCGTGGGCCTATAAATTATAATTCTTATAATTTATATAAAAATAAACTCAAAATGGATCACAAACTTAAATATAAAATGTAAAACTGTAATACTTTCAGAAAAAATAAGAGAAAATCTTCAGGATCTAGGATTAGGTAAGGAATTCTTAGATTTGACGGTAAAAGCACATTTTTGGGAGGAAAGTTGATAAATTGGACTTGGTCTAAATTAAAACTATTGTTCTGCAAATGACATAAGAGGATAAAAAGATAAGCTCAGAGTGGGAGAAAATATTTGCAAACCATATATTCTACAAAGGACTAGCATCTAGACTATAAAAAGAACTCTGAAAACTCAATACTAAAAAGAACAATTCACTTAAAACACGGAGCTGGGCACAGTGGCTCATGCCTATAATCCTAGCAGTTGGGAGGCCGAGGCAGGAGGATTGCTTGAGGCCAGGAGTTCTAGAGCAGCCTGGGCAACAAAGCAAGACTCTGTCTCTACAAAAATAAAAAAATTAGCCAGGTGTGGTGGTGCTCACCTGTAGTCCTAGCTACTTGGGGAGGATATGCTTCTTGAACCCAGGAGGTCAAGGCTGCAGTGAGCCATGATCACACTACAGCACTCCAGCCTGAGCAACAGAGCAAGTCTCTGTCTCAAAAAAAAAAAAAAAAAAAAGAATATGGGCAAAAGACATGAAGAGACATTTTACCAAAAAAGATGTACAGGTAGAAAATAAGCACATGAAAAGATGCTCAGCAGCATTAACTATTAGTGAAATGCAAATTAAAATCACAATGAGATCTCACTATATACCTATCAGAATGGCTAAAATTAATATTGGCAACAACAAATGTTGACAAGGATGGGGACAAACTGGATCCACTCATTCATTGTTGGTGACATTTAAAATGTTACAGCCACTTTAGAAAACAGTTTGTCAGTTGTCTGTAAAACTAAATATGCAACTACCTTACAACTCAGTAATTGTACTGCTGGGTATTGATCCTAGAAATGAAGACTTATGTACAAAAATCTGTACGTAAATATTTTTAGCAGTTTTATTAGTAAATAGCTAAGAACTTGAGACAACCCAGATGAACTCTAATTGTCATCATTTACCCTTTGGAGGTCATCTGGGTTGTTTCAAGTTGATACATTCATACTATGGGATTCTACTTAGCAATAGAAAGAGAACTATTGTACACAAAGCCACTGGATTTATCGCCAGAAAATTAAATTCTAAAAGGTTATATATTGTATGATTCCATTTTTATAACATCCTGTGCTAATAAAATTATAGAAGTGGACAGATGAATGATTGTGAAGGAAACCAAAATATTTCTCCCCCAAATATTGAGGATTGTTACATTAAAGGCATTGAAAGTGCCAGGGAACACTCTGCCTCAGCCTCTTTTGCCTGATGGTGAGACATATATCCTTCCTTACTGGAGACAGCACTTGTGTATTGGCACAGAGAAGGGGCCAGCAGACACCAGAGGAATCTGGGAAAGACTTTACTGTCTTCCCACATTTTCCCACCTTTTAAACCCCTAGAACTCCAGCTTGGGCAACAGAGCAGGACCTTGTCTCTACAAAAAAATAAAAAAAAAAAAATGAGAAGGGTGTGGTGGCACATGCCTCTAGTCCTAGCTACTCTGGAGGCTGAGATGGGAGGATTGCTTGAGGCCAAGAGGTTGAGGCTGCAGTGAGCTATGATGGCGCCAATGCCTCCAAACTGGGCAACAGAGAGAAACCCTGTCATAAATAGATAAAATGAATAACTGACTAGAACTGCTGTCTCCCTTGTCCTGTCATTATGTAAGATTTATGGTTCTTTGTTAAAATGCTACTTAAGCAAGGTCCCTAAGCCACTGCCTTGAGAGAGAAATTCTTTATTATTATTTTTCTACGAGACAAGAGTTTCGCTCTTGTCCCCCAGGCTGGAGTATAGCCTTGTGATCTTGGCTCACTGCAACCTCCGCCTTCTGGGTTCAAGCGATTCTCCTGCCTCAGCCTCCCCAGTAGCTGGGACAACAGGTGCCCACACACACACCTGGCTAATTTTTGTATTTTTAGTAGAGGTGGGGTTTTACCACGTTGGCCAGGGTGGTCTCGAACTCCTGACCTCATGTGACCCACCCACCTCAGCCTCCCAAAGTGCTGGGATTACAGGTGTGAGCCACTGCACCCGGCCCAGAGAGAGAAATACTTTTGAACAAGGGCCTTTCCCTCATGATGGGTAGATACAGCACACATTGAACTTCTGCTTTTCTGTTCTTTTATTTTTTGTTTTCTTTTCTTTTGAGATGGAGTTTCACTCTTGTTACCCAGGCTGGAGTGCAAATGGCGTGATCTCGGCTCACTGCAACCTCTGCCTCCCGGGTTCAAGTGATTCTCTCACCTCAGCCTCCTGAGTAGCTGGGATTACAGGCATGTGCCACCATGCGCGGCTAATTTTTGTATTTTCAGTAGAGACGGGGTTTCACCATGTTGGCCAGGCTGGTCTGGAACTCCTGACCTCAGGTGATCCACTCACCTCAGCTTCCCAAAGTGCTGGAATTACAGGCATGAGCCACTGCACCCTGTCTTCTGTTCTTTTTTTGTTTTGTTTTGTTTTTGTTTTTTGAGACAAGTCTCATTCCGATGATTGATCAGGCTGGAATGCAGTGGCACGATTTCAACTCACTACAGTTTTGATCTCCCCAGGCTCAGGTGATTCTCAGCCCCCCAGGTAGCTGGGACTACAGGTGCACATCACCCCGCCCAACTAAGTTTTGTATTTTTAGTAGAGATGGGGCTTCGCCATATTGGCCAGCCTGGTCTGGAATCCCTAGGCTCAAGCAATCTGCCTGCCTCTGGCCTCCCAACATGCTGGGATTATAGGTGCGAGTCACCGTGCCCGGCCTATTTTTCTTCTGTTAATCTGATTTTTATTTTTAGGAGAGTGTCTCAACTATGAACCTATAAAGGGAAAGAAAAGAAATTATATTTTCTTACCTACAATTGCTAGGGGTTAAGGAGGGGGAGAAGGTGGGAGGGAAGTAGACGATGCTATAAAGGACCACCGTTAGGAATTCTTGTGGTGATGGAGCTGTTCTGTGTCTTGACTGTTCATTGTCAATATTCTGGTTGTGATATTGTAGTATCATTCTGCAAGATGTTACCATTGGGGAAAGTGTGCAAAGGGTATAGGAAATCTCTTTGTAGCATTTCTTGCAACTCCATATAAATCAATAATAATGTCAAAGGAAAAAGTTCAGTTAAAAAAGACAAAATCTGCTTGCTTTGTTCTCTGGCTCCCTTTCTTGGTGTCTGTCTTGGCCTGTTAGAGGGATCTGTTTCTTTTTCCGAGCCCCAGGAACTGTGTCAGTTTACCAGAAAATGTCTCTGGCAACTTTTCTCAATATGTCAAAGGGGCCTGCCCTTTGCCAGGCTGGATGGGAAATAGCACAAACATTTCCTTAGCAGATTTCCGTGATATTAAATGGCTAAAGTTGGCAACAGGGACATTCGTGAATTACATCATGATTTCCCATGGAAGTGTCTATGAGAAGAAAATTAGAATTTAGAACTCTCAGTTATGTTCTCCAAAGACTGGGAGGAAGCAAGTGGGGAAGAGGTCAGTAAACAACTCTAAGTGGATTGGCAGCATTTTGCAATCGTACTGTGACTTCATCCTCTCCTGCTCCTGCCCCTACTGGCAGATACATTTGAATTCAGATGGTGGCCTCTAAGAAATCCTTCTTTTAAATTCACTTTTGGTTTGTTCTCTGTAATCCTTGTCATTTTTTTCTATCAGTCCTTGAGTTTTTGAAGTTAACAAATATGTGTATATTTGTTAACTAAAATATATATATATTTATTATATATGCTGAACTGTCACTTTCACTTGGATGGCATGTAAATTCTCAATTAATATATTTATGTATCACCCGAGCCTGAAGAGGTCAAATACGTATATGTAATTACATATATATAATGTAATTGTTAACTTTAAAAATCCAAAAGTGAGACAACAAAAAAATCTACATTTTTTTTTTTTTTTTTTTTTGAGACGGAATCTCACACTGTTGCCTGGGCTGGAATGCAGTGGCATGATCTCGGCTCACTGCAACTTCTGCCTCCCAGGTTCAAGCGATTCTCCTGCCTCAGCCTCCCAAGTAGCTGGGATTACAGGCGCCTGCCACCATGGCTGGCTAATTTTTTATTTTTTATTTTTAGTAGAGACGGGTTTTCACCATGTTGGCTAGGCTGATCTCGAACGCCTGACCTCATGATCCACCTGCATCAGCCTCCCAAAGTGCTGGGATTACAGGCGTGAGCCACTGCACCTGACAAAATCTACATGTTATATATGCTGAACTGTCACTTTCACTTGGATGGCACGTAAATTCTCAATTAACATATTTATGTATTAAAGGCCAGGTATAGTGGCTCATGCCTGTAATCCTAGCACTTTGGGAGGCCAAGGAAGGAGGAGGCCAAGGAAGGAGGATCACTCGAGCCCAGGAATTCAAGGGTGCAGTGAACCATGATCATTCTACTGCACTACAGCCTGGGCAACAGAGCAAGACTCTGTTTTGAAAATTTCTATCTCTATCTATATCTCTTTATCTGTCTATCTATCTCTCTATCTATCTATCATCTATCTATCTGGCTATCATCTATCTATGTGTGTAATAAATAAAAATTTTAAATGGAAAAATTAATATATTAATTGCATTCTCTAGGATGGCAAAATATGAGTTTTAAAGTAAATTTTGGCCAGGTGTGGTGGCTCATGCCTGTAATCCCAGCATTTTGGGAGGCCGAGGCGGGTGGATCATGAGGTCAGGAGTTTGAGACCACCCTGGCCAACATGGTGAAACCCCGTCTCTACTAAAAATGCAAAAATTAGCCAGCTATGGTGGTGCCCGCCTGTAATCCCAGCTACTTAGGAGGCTGAGGCAGGAGAATCACTTCAACCCGGAAGGTGGAGTTTGCAGTGAGCCGAGATCATGCCACTGCACTCTGACCTGGGTGACCAAGCAAGACTCCATCTCAAAAAACAAACAAAAAAAATTAAGTTTCTAGCTTAGGGAAATGTTAACAAACTGCCTTAAAGTTTTAAATGGTCTCTTTGATGAGAAAGAGTGTCTATGGCCAAATTTTCTCCACTGATTTGCTTATGTTACTTATTCTGATATCATGTACATCATAGAATTTCAGCACCAAAATCAACCTATGTTAGTTGGTGTTAGTTTACAAATAAGGAAAGTGAGTTCTAGAGTGATGAATTTAGTTTACAAATAAGGAAGGTGAGTCCTAGAGTGATTAATTTGCTCAAAAATGCACAGAGAAAACATTAGGATTAGAACCCAGATCAATTGAACCTAGTCCAGTCCTCTTTCTACCTTGGCATGTTGCTGTGGGAAGAACACATGGACAGTAGTCCAGGTTCATACCTCTGTAAATGGGGAGACAGCCTAGCCTAGCGTTTTAAGATCACACACTCTGAAATCACCTGGCTGCACCTCCAGGATATGTGACTTGCAACAAATTATTAAGTCCTCGATGCCTGTTTCCTCTTTGTAAACTGGGGATAATAATAATAATTTCCTCATCTAAAAAATTGGGGGCCAGGCATGGTGGCTCATACCTGTAATCCCAGATACTTGAGAGGCTGGGGCAGGAGGATCGCTTGAACCCAGGAGGTCGAGGCTGCAGGGAGCTATGAATATGCCTGGGCATATTCCTGATGACTCTGCCAAGATTTGCAAGTCATGAAGTGACCTTGGCTGGGATTTTCAGTGACAGTGCATAGGCCATTTCCAGAAAACCTTGCTCTTAAGTATAGCTGTTGAATGAATGGGTGCAAGAGGAGGTTCTCTTCTCCTCTGAGCCAGGATAAAGGCTTGACCTTGCTATTCCTCTATTACTATAGGCACTGACATTCTGCTGTTTTCTCTGAATTTAGCAATGGTCCAAACTTCAGACTGAGTTCTGTTCCCCTTCATATTTTATTTTTGTTATGTTTATTTTTAATCTTTTCAGAGACAGGGTCTTGCTGTCACCCAGGCTGGAGTGCGGTGGCAGCATTGTTACCAGAAAGGGGTCCCGATCCAGACCCCAAGAGAGGGTTCATGGATCTCATGCAAGAAATAACTCAAGGCAAGTCTGCAGTGCAAAGAAAAAGCAAGTTTACTAAGAAAGTAAAGTGGTGAGAGAACAGCTACTCTGTAGGCAAAGTAGGGCGTTCCCTAAAGTAAGGGGAGGAAAACGTCCACCTCAGGTAAAATACTCATATATATATATGATAAAAAAAGATCATGGGGAGACGTGCTCTGATATAAGGGTTTGTGATAAAGGATTAATTTTCTTAATTACTATATTTTGCAAGAATCAACATTATCTTTAAAGCAAAATTTGGGCCAGGCATGGTGGCTCACGCCTGTAATCCCAGCACTTTGGGGGCCGAGGCAGGTGGATCACGAGGTCAAGAGATCGAGATCAGCCTGACCAACATGGTGAAACCTGTCTCTACTAAAAATACAAAAAATTAGCCGGGCGTGGTGGTGCCTGCCTGTAATCCCAGCTACTCGGGAGGCTGAGGCAGGAAAATAGCTTGAACCCAGGAGCAGAGCTTGCAGTGAGCTGAGATCATGCCACTGCACTCCAGCCTGGGCGACAGAATGAGACTCCGTCTCAAAAAAAAAATTAAAATAACATAAAATAAATAAAGCAAAATTCGGAATGCCTTTGTTCTGAAGATATCAAGATATCAGGACACTCTCAAGTCTGGGTCTGTTTAGTAAATGTTATCAATCTGTTCCCTTAACTGTAAATACCTAGAGGCTAGGAATACCTAACTTTCTGGGAATGCAGCCCAGCAAGTCCCAGCCTCATTTTCCTAGTCCTCACTCAAGACGGAGTTGCTCTGGTTTGAACACCACTGACACCATCATAGCAAACCTGAACTCCTGGGCTCAAGCAATCCTTCTGCCTCAGCCTCCTGAGTAGCTGGGAATACGGGCTCATGTGACCACACCCAGCTAACTTGTTAAAATTTTCTTTCATAGAGAGGGGGTCTCACTATCATGCCCTGGCTTCTGTTTCACTTTAATGCACACGGACCTGGGGTCACTGGAAGACTCATTTGGTAGGCTGTACTGGGGATTATTTAGATGAGCCACCAAGAAGGCTTCTGGAAAAGAATTTGTCTCAAGATTAAAGGGCGTCAAGGCACCCAAGCATAATCCAAGCCTTTGCTTCAGGATTGGATGGGGAGTTCTTTTTTTTTCTTTTTTGCCAACCCCAGTCTTGAGCTCTAGGAAGCAGGGACTGGGAGTAAAAACCAAAAGAACTATTTGATTAAAATCTCTGTGATTGGAACCCAGATACCATATCTGACAACACAAAGGTGGCTTTTAAGCGCACAGAGGCCTCAGCAGCTCATTGCTGCAGGGAGCCGCACCCCAGAGGGAGGAAATGTGAGATGTCTTAGAGAGCTGAGAGGGCTCAGGTTTGCCCATGGGAGGCATACGCTGGGACTCCTAGAACCCTGGATGGGTGGGGGTCTGGAATTGTGTTCGAAGGACCCACAGCAGCAGGTGGGGTAGATTCAAAGGGATAGTTTTGATATTAATACACCAATCCCATTTCTACCCCCAGGTTGGTATGATGTGCTTTTAGAATACCCCTTATCTCTAGAGACATAATTTATGAACTCTTAATCTGATGGAGGATATATTAGACAGATGTTAATTAAACAATCTCAAAAATATGTTACTTCAAGCTGTGATAAATCCCATGAAGGAGAAATACAGGGTGTCCTGCTGGTATAGAGAGGGGAATCTGATTTGGCCCGGGGTATGTGTGAGAGAGAATAATAAAGAAAGGGCTTCCTGGGGATGTGATGTTTGCACTGGGGAGGAGAGGATGCAAAGGTCCTGAAGCGGATGTGACCAGGTCAAATAAATGACAAACTGAGGAGGGGAGGGAAGCAGAACTCATGAGATGTTTCTTCTCTGATTTGCATTTTTAAATGGAGAGTTGCATTTGTGAAAGCAGAAGTTAGTGCTCGAAGGGTCCGTCTTGCACAGTTGGTCAGCTCTGTTTTTCAACACATGTGGAGTGGGAGGGGCACAGTATCCAATAACTAGGACTCTAATTATGTCTCAGTCACCAACCACGCGTAGGATTTTAAGCAGATTTCTTTTTCTTTTTCTCTTTGAGATGGAGTCTTGTTCTGTCGCTCCGGCTGGAGTGCAGTGGCACGATCTCGGCTCACTGCAACTTCTGCCTCCCGGGTTCAAGCGATTCTCCGGCCTCAGGCTCCCAAGTAGCTGGGATTATAGGTGCCCACCACCACGCTGCGCTGATTTTTTGTATTTTCAGTAGAGACAGGCTTTCACCATGTTGGCCAGCCGGTTTTGAACTCCTGACCTCAAGTGATCTGCCTGCCTCGGCCTCCCAATGTGCTGGGATTACAGGTGTGAGCCACTGTGCCCAGCTGAGATTTTGTCTTTATTTTATTTATTTTTTTGAGACAGAATTTTGCTTTTGTTGCCCAGGCTGGAGTGCAATGATGCGATCTCAGCTCACTGCAAACTCTGCCTCCTGGGTTCAAGCGATTCTCCTGCCTCAGCCTCCCGAGTAGCTGGGATTACAGGCATGCACCATCACACCCAGCTAATTTTGTATTTTTAGTAGAGACAGGGTTTCACCATGTTGGTCAGGCTGATCTCGAACTCCTGACCTCATATAATCCACACACCTCAGCCTCCCAAAGTGCTGGGATTACAGGCATGAGCCACCCTGCCCTGCCCAGCTGAGATTTTATAACCTCCATTTTTCTACCTGTAGAAAAGGGCAGAGTATTGGGTGGAGTCCTCCAGATGATCTCTACCATTCCTTCCAATGCTTAAAAAAAAATCTAAGAGTAGATTTTAAAGAGCCCTCTGTTATTTCATTGTTAGAGAATGTGTTTGTTCACTTGTTAACTCCTCACAAGTGCCCAATCTTTCCTGTTCACTCTCAGAGTAGGCCTTAGGAGAATAGAGTTTATTTTGCTATTATGTGAAGTCTTATTATTTTATTTGACACATACTGTCTTTCATTTACTCAACACCTGGGCCAGGTGCTGAATAGTCAAAGGAGAAAAGGATCTGTTGGTGCTTTCCTCCCTCCTAGTCCACTGTCAACTTAGAAGACACACATGGAATTGGATTTTTGCAATAGAAAGTAATAAATGCTTTGCTAAAGATATATAGACAGTGTTAAGAGAGAATATAGGAAGGCCACATAATCCATATATGAGTAGTATAATGGGTTACACTTGGAGATATAAAAAAGCGGGCAGGAGGCCTCAATCCCAGCACTTTGGGAGACCGAGGTGGGCGGATCACCTGAGGTCAGGAGTTCAAGACCAGCCTGGCCAACATGGTGAAACTCCATCTCTACTAAAAATGCAAAAATCAGCTGGGGGTGGTGGCGGGCACCTGTAATCCCAGCTACTCAGGAGGCTGAGGCAGGAGAATGGCTTGAACCTGGGAGGCAGAGGTTGCAGTGAGCCAAGATAGTGCCTCTGCACTCCAGCCTGGGTGACAAAGTGAGATATCGCCTCAAAAAAAAAAAAAAAAAAAAAAAAAAAAAGTAAGCAGGTAAAACATGGTAGAAACATGGTAGATACTTAATAAATGGATGTGACTGAGTGAATAAATTGTTGGCCAAAAAAAAAAAAAAAAAAAAAAAAGAAGCCAAATTCTGTAAAATATTTGAAGAGATTTATTCTGAGCTAAAGGTGAGGACCATGACCTGTGTGACACAGTCCCAGGAGGTCATGAGAACATGTGCCCAGAGTGGTTGGGTTACAGTGTAATTCTATACATTTTAGGAAGACAGATGTTACAGCCAGAGACATAAATCAATACATGTCAGGTTTACATTGGTTCAGCCCAGAAAGGTGAGACACCTTGGGGCGGGCGGGGGTGAGGTAGGGGCGGGGGGGGGGGCGCTGGGCGTGGCTTCCAGGTCATAGGTGGATTCAAAGATTTCCTGATTGACAATTGGTTGAAAGAGTTAAGTTTTGCCTAAAGAGTTGAAATCAACAGAGATAAATGTTTGGAGTTAAGATAAGAGAGGTTGTGGAAGCCAAGATTCTTTTTTTTTTTTTTTTTTTTTGATAGAGACAGAGTCTCACTATGTTGCCTAAGCTGGTTTCGAACCCCGGGCTCAAGTGATCCTCCCGCCTCAGCTTCCCAAAGTGCTGGGATTACAGATGTGAGCCACCAGGTGGCCAACATTCTTGTTATGTAGATGAAGCCTCCAGGTAGCAGGCTGCAGAGAGAATAGATGGTAAATGTCTCTCATCATACCTTAAAAAGTGCCAGACTCTTAGTTGAATCTCTTTTGGATCAGAGGAAGACCTGGAAAGGGAAGGGAATTCTCTACCGAATATACATTTTCCCCACAAGAGAGGACTATGCAGGGCTATTTCAAAATATGTCAAAGAAATATATTTTGGGGCAAAATACTTTGATTTCTCTCAGGGCCTAGTATCTGTCATACAATGCTATACGAGAGGCACGTTGGAATTTGGTATCTTATTGCTACAGAGTCTGTTTATTAATGGCAGAGTTTTAACAATTTATTTATTTCCAACTTTTATTTTAGGTTCAGGGGGTACATATGCAGGTTATATGAGTGAACTGCGTCAGTCTTAAGATCTCTTCTGTTTTTTTTTTTTTTTTTTCTTTTGAGACAGAGTCTCACTCTGTCGCCAGGCTGGAGTGCAGTGGCACAATCTTGGCTCACTGCAACCTCCACCTCCCGGGGTCAAGCGATTCTCCTGCCTCAGCCTCCTGAGTAGCTGGGACTACAGGCGTGTGCCACCACGCCCAGCTAATTTTTGTATTTTTAATAGACAGGGTTTCATCATGTTGGCCAGGATGGTCTGGATGTCTTGACCTCGTGATCCGCCTGCCTCGGCCTACCAAAGTGCTGGGATTACAGGCGTGAGCCACCACACCCAGCCTAAAATCTCTATTTTAATGTTAATGCTGGTCAGTTGTGCCTGAATTCCAAAGGTAGGAGAGTATAATGAGGTATGTCCGCCTCCCGCTTCCCACCATAGCCTGAATTAGTTTTTCAGCTTTCTGTAGAATCCCTTTGGCTGAGAGGAAGGGTCCATTCAGCCAGCTGGGGGGCTTAGAATTTTATTTTTGGTTTACGAAATGAATCATATTGCTGTTATTCTAACTTTGAATTGCTAGATGGCTGATGCCAAGACCCTTATTATTGTTCTTTCATGTCATAGAAGAAGAACATTAATAATGGTTGCAATTGTTATGATTGTAAGAACAACGAGGCACTGTATACATTCACATGGGTAATGTTTACTTGCACTACATTTTTTTCCCTTAACTTTTTATTAGGTGTTTGTGTTTACCATTAATCTTTCCTCCCAGAGACTAGAAAGACTGCCCTTAGCCATTTTCATCTTATTGTATTAAATCTTAGAAAGGAATGAGTTCCTTGTATATAACACGAGACAGATAGGAGACTAAAACCTGGGGTAGAGAAATTCAATAAAAGTTTCCTCCCGGAGGATGGGAACCCTAGAGGGAGGTGATATGAATCTGTGAAATGATGCAGTCATGACTGAGCTAAGGAGATAGCAAGGTTGAAGGTTTGGAGTTTTTCTGTCTCTCTTTAATTTGCACTCAACACTTGCTATAGTAACAAATGGGATTGGAAGCCCTAAGTGCAAATCATCAACCTCAGAAGAAAAATGTTACTTTTATGCTGTCCATTAAAACATTTACCTGCTCCATATGCTCCAGCACTTACCCGAGAAAGAGGAATTTGCCCAATGAAAATTGAGAGCACGTTTCTGAAAAATTGTTTTCCATACATCTTGCAAATCACTGTGCTCAAATATGCTAGGTTGTAGCCAGACTGACCTCTGGGGAGCGATTATCAGGGAAATAACCATGAACAGCAATAAGATCGTGCACCGATCTGACTAGCAACACCAGGATGTGACCTTTTTGTGCAGGACGCATTCATGTGGGCCCGCCTGAATTGCCAGGAGCACTGTAATTAATGGGGCACCAGAGAACAGCTTATTCTCTACGAGCTGCTAATTAGTCCTCCTGGAGACACATATCCCGAATCACATCCAGGGTGTCATGTTCCAACTACTGCTTGCTGAGCTGAATTAGATAAGTTTGTGGGGGGCCATGAGGACTAAAATCTCAATATCACACAGCTGCAGTCCTTTCATTTTCTCCCAAAGTGGCCCCACCTAAGGGAAACTATGGTGATTGGGAAATACCTACAATTTCTACTTCCTTTTTGGAAGGATTCATGATTTCATTTGCAATCTCATGAGTATCAAATATACTAAATGTTTTAAACTCACAGATTGCTTTGCTTCCTTTTTACCTGTATGATGTTTTGATCAGTTGGCATGGCATGGAGAACAGTAACTACCACCCACAGTCAGGAGAGGTGGAAACCTACCTGTGGGGCTGCCACGCAGGGCTGTGCAAGTTGTGCCCTGCTCAAGGATGCAAGCTGACGGGAAAATGGGGCCTGAAATCCAGCTCACTGTTGCCCAGCATGTGTCTTTGTGCACATCAGAACCCAGCCAGTCTGACTGTAGAATTCTTAACTACACACCATATGGACTTTAAAACTAATAGCTGACTGAGCTTTCATATCCTGGAAACCAGCTTTATCATCTACCAGCTCTCAGTCACTGAAGACTTAGGAAGTGAAGGTTGAAGCAAACTTTTTAAAACCGAAAATTGATGTACATACTAGGATATTGTCTGTGATTGGTTTTTGCTGAAGAAAGAATCATTCACCCCAGTACACCATTCAATATGAAGGTCGATCAGTAATAGATGTGGTTATTTATTCACAATCTCAGCAATACAGTTAACTTTTGATTAAAGGCATAGAGTTTGACTGCTAGTTGGCAAATTATAAAAGTCAGTACTATAAGCAAACATATTTGGTAGACCAGAAATGGAGGCCAAGTGTGGTGGCTCGTACCTGTAATCCCAGTACTTTGGCAGGCTGAGGTGGGAGGATTGCTTGAGGCCCGGAGTTTGAGACCAGCCTGGGCAACATAGCAAGACCCTGTCTCTACACAAATTAAAAAATATATATATATATAGACATGGTAGCACATAACCGTAGTCTCTGCTACTTGAGAAGTTGAGTCAGGATAATCTCCTGAGACCAGGAGCTTGGGGCTGCAATGAGCTATGATCTTGCCACTGCACCTCAGCCTGGGTGACAAAGCAAGACCCTGTCTCAAAAAGAAAAAAAAAAAAAAAAGAAACGTTGATGTATCTTTCAGGGAAACCATGAAGGTCTGGTTCACCTGATTAAAGGTTGTGTGGTAACTGAGGCTTAACATCATTATACACAATTCTGCTGAATCAGTCTTCTCAAACGAATGCTGTGCCCTTGGAAACATGGTTGGCTTTAGAAGCAAAGCCATGGCCTCAGCTTTTTCCAGCTGAGGAAACATCAGCATATCAACTTTATTATTTTTTTTGAGACAAGGTCTTGCTCTGTGGTCTTGCTCTGTGGCACCATCATAGCTTACTACAGCTTCCGACTCTTGGGCTCAAGCGATCCTCCTGCCTCAGGTTCCCAAGTGTCTGGGATTACAGGCACACACCACCACGCCAGGCCAATTTTTAATTTTTTTGTAGATATGGGGTCTTGCTATATTGCCCAGGCTCATCTTGAAGTCCTAGCCTCAAGCGATTCTCCTGCCTTGGCCTCCCCAACAACATATCAACTTCCAACCTTCAATTTTCTCATCTGTAAAATGCTTTCTTCTCATGATTATTAGAATTAAATAAAATAAGTAAAGCATCTAGCAAAGAGCCTGGAACATCATAGGTTCCCAGCAAATGTTAGTCCTCTCACCCCCAATCTTAAAAATCTTCAATTATTTCTATATTAGTTTCCTAGGGCTGCCATGATAAAATCCCACACATTGGGTGGCTTCAAACAACAGAGTTATTCTCTTACAGTTCTAGAGGCTGGAAGCCCAAAATCAAGGTGTTGGCAAAGCCATGCTTCCTCCGAAGTCTCCCGGGGAGAATCTTTCCCTGCCTCTTTCACCTCTTCCAGCCTCAGGTGATGCTTGGCTTGTGGCAGCAAACCACCTTCACACCTCAGCTTTCCCTTTGTGTGTGTGTGTTCACCTGGTATTCTTCTCCCTGAGTGTCTCTCTGTCCAAGTTACTCTCTTCTTATAATGACACCAGTTAGGTCAGGTGCAGTGGCTTACACCTGTAATCCCAGCACTTTGGGAGGCTGAGGCGGGTGGATCACAAGGTCAGGAGTTCAAGACCAGCCTGGCCAAGATAGTGAAACCCCGTCTCTACTAAAACTACAAAAATTAGCCAGGAGAAGTGGAAGGTGCTTGTAGTCCCAGCTACTCAGGAAGCTGAGGCAGGAGAATCGCTTGAACTTGGGTGGCGGCAGAGTTTGTAGTGAGCTGAGATCACACCACTGCACTCCAGCCTGGGCAACAGAGTGAGACTCCGTCTCAAAAAAAAAAAAAAAAAAAAGACACCAGTTATATTGGATTAAAGCCCATCCTAATGGTCTCATGTTAACTTGATTACATCTGCAAAGATTTAATTTCCAAATAAGATCACATTCACAGGGTGTCAATATATTTTTTGGGGTGTCAAACATATTTTTTTGGG
The DNA here is from genome assembly GCF_000001405.40 of Homo sapiens. Classification (NCBI taxonomy): domain Eukaryota; kingdom Metazoa; phylum Chordata; class Mammalia; order Primates; family Hominidae; genus Homo; species Homo sapiens. The sequence goes on along the minus strand of NC_000004.12, from coordinate 138,970,975 downwards.
GATGCTAGTCAAACCCTTAACGTTTCCCATTGTCTGTAGGAAAACAATAATTAATGGTTGTATGGTGACTTTAGAGTTTACAGAGGGCTTTTATTATCTCTGCCCAGGGAGACAGGACTTTATGTTTTTTTTGTAAAGGGGGGGATTTACCATTTAAACTAGTTGGTGTTTTTTTTTTTTTTTTTTTTTTTTTTTTTTTTTTTTTAATAGGAACTGAAGATATAAATTTAGGTTTGGTGCAAAATTCTCTTGTTTTGGAAAAAAATCACCAGAAGATACCATTTTTTTACTTTTTCATGTTGCAACATAGTTTTCATAATTTTCAGTCAGTAGATGATCTAGTCAATGTGCCACTATTTATTTCCTGGTTGTTGAATAGTCAGAAATCCCTGAAGAGGAATGTCTTGATTGAATCAAGAATTCAACGGACGTATAACTATACAATACTGAACTGGTCTTCCCAAATTGACATGGCATTTTTGTGTACTGGAAACAAAGTAGGTTCTAGAGTCAGATAGACTGGGAGTCATGTCTCAGTACCAGGTCTTTCCAGCTGTGTCAATTTGGCATATTAAAAAAGAGTTGTAGGCTGGGCACGGTGGCTCATGCCTGTAATCCCAGCACGCTGGGAGGCCGAGGTGGGCAGATCACAAGGTCAGAAGTTCGAGACCAGCCTGGCCAATATGGTGAAACCCCATCTCTACTAAAAATACAAAAATTAGGTGGGCATGGTGGTGGGCGCCTGTAGTCCCAGCTACTCAGGAGGCCGAGGCAGGAGAATTGCTTGAACCTGGGAGGCAGAGGTTGCAGTCAACCAAGATCATGCCATTGCACTCCAGCCTGGGCGACAGAGCGAGGCTCCATCTCAAAAAAAAAAAAAAAAAAAAAGAGTTGTAGAACGATATATAAAATAAGCATATGTTTATAGTCACATGAAAAACTATTTATATCTGCTCAGGAAAGGATCTGGAAGGATCCTTAACACAAAAACTGCTAAGATGAGTAAGAATTCATCTGGAAACTGATGCGGGGGAGAGAAGGACATTCATATTTTATACAGGTACATTTGTATTAAAATTTTCTTTCAACAAGTGTGCACTTTTTCTAGTTTTTAAAGAACCAATTTAGATTAGGCGTGGTGGCTCACGCCTGTAATCCCAGCACTTTGGGAGGCTGAGGCAGGTGGATCATTTGAGATCAGGAGTTTGAGACGAGCCTGGCCATCATGGTGAAACCCTGTCTCTACTAAAAATACAAAAATTAGCCAGGCATGGTGGCACATGCCTGTAGTCCCAGCTACTTGGGACGCTGAGGCAGGAGAATTGTTTGAACCCAGGAGGTGGAGGTTGCAGTGAGCCAAGACTGTGCCACTGCATTATGGCCCGGGGAACAGAGCAAGACTCTGTCTCAAAAAAAAAAAAAAAAAAAAAAAAGAACCAATTTGAAACAAATCAAAAGCTTCTGCAATTATATAGGCGTAGGGGGAAGAAAGGCACCTATTTTATTTTATTTTATATATTTTATTTTACTTTGAGATGGAGTCTCGCTCTGTTGCCCAGGCTGGAGTGCAGTGGCGAGATCTCAGCTTACTGCAACCTCTGCCTCCTGGGTTCGAGTGATTCTCTTGCCTCAGCCTCCCAAGTAGCTGGGATTACAGGTGCCTGCCACCATGCCTGGCTAATTTTTGTACTTTTAGTAGAGATGGGGTTTCACCATGTTGGCCAGGATGGTCTTGAACTCCTGACCTCAAATGATCCTTCCGACTCGGCCTCCCAGTGTGTTGGGATTACAGGCATGAGCCACCATTCCTGGCCAGCACCCATTTTAAAGGCAGGTACTTTGAAAGTTGGGAATTTAAACAATTTACCTATACCATTTTCTCTCTATTGTTTGCTAATTGGAAAAGATAATTATAGAGAAAAGATTATTTGAAAAGAGAAGTAAAAATGAGGAACTTTTGTTCTTATTGTCTCTGGTTATAATTTTTTTGGAAACCCATTAATATCTTATTCAGATAGCGGAGACTCGTTCTTCGTCTTCCTTTTTAGGGAAAGAAAACAGTAGAAGAAACTTTGAAAAGATGCATACTTTAATTAGAATTGCTGAAAAAATATTTGAGATTTTTGCTGTGGTAGTTAATGTTTTAACAGGCTTTACTTTTCAGCTGAAACCTGATTTTGCATTGCAAGCAAATGTTCTCATTTTTTTAGATGAAAGTTGCCTTTAGTAATGATTCCTCAATTATTTTCTCTCTTTTTTTCTCAATGATTTTTTTCTACACTTTGGTTTTGAACTTATTTCAAAATCTCTCAACAACTGATTTCACAGGCTCTGTAAAAAAAAAATTACAAAAAGTAAAACAACCCTCAACACGTTCTGTTTTTTCAGAGAATCCATAGCTCAGGATCACATACCATGTCTTAACTTTAATGTCTGCTTTTGAAAAAAGAGTGTATGCTGGCTTTCAAAGACGCAGATTCTTCCATTTTACTCATCACCATTGTAACAAATACTTATTAAAGAACTAGCTTCCTACCAGCAAAGGTGTTAAAAGAGACAAATAAAATAAAAAACAGAAAAACAAAAGAAAAACTAGGAAGTTAGCAATATACCTGGGAAGTGAAATAACTTAAAACAAATGTAATTCCCTATTTCATTTACTTCAACACCTTTTTATTTTATTAAAAAAACTCTTTAAAAGCAACTTTATTTTTTATATTTAAATAATTTCAACTTTTATTTTAGATTCAGGTGGTACATGTGCAGATTTGTTACCTGGGTATGTTGTGTGATGCTGAGGTTTGGGGTAGGACTGATCCTGTCACTTAGGTGCTGAGCATGGTACCCAGTAGTTATTCAACCCTTGCCCCCACCTCCCTCCTCCCTCCAGTAGTCCCCAGTGTCTATGGTTGCCATCTTTATGTCCATTAGTACCCATTCTTTAGCTCCCACTTGTGAGAACATGTGGTTTAGTATCATTTTAATATTATTGTTCATTTAATTTCCAATTGGCTTATAGAGGGTCTGGGTGTGGTGGCTCACGCCTATAATCTCAGCACTTCAGGAGGCTGAGGCTGGAGGATCACTGAGGCTAGGAGTTCAAGACCAATTGGCTTATAGAAAAGGTCTTTATGCGAGACTATTCTTTTTTGATTTATATTTCTTGAAAGGTTACAAAAAGTTTTCACAAATAACTAGGCCTGAAAAAATGGTTTGTTTAATAAATTATGTATTAATACAAATTATTAGGATATATTTTCAGCAAATATAGGAAGTTTCATAATCAGTTACTGACAGATTGAAACATACCAGTTCATGTTATTTGAATACTTGACAGAAAAAAACCTGATGTGATCCTGATGAGTTAAAACAAGAACTAAGTTCAGGTTGAAAGGTCATTGGGACTATTTCGAAACAATTCCTACGTCACTAGTGAGAATACAAAGATGGTTTAGATGACCTTATGTACATATACAGTCATACATTAATTTGTGTAATGGTTCTTGTGGCTGCCAGTTCTCGTTATTCTTTAACACCTTCTTCACCATCAGCATTATTTGAAAATAACTTATTAATCACACAACTCTACATGGTAGTACACATGGAAGATACAAAGATGACTCCATACTCATGAACACAAATTGTGGCTGCTGTTAAAACATTTGACATTGTGCCTTCTGTGAATGAGGTTAGCATAAACATGGCATCTTTCTGCTTATAGATAGAAATATGAGACCCTGATGATTCTCTGTTGCTTCAGCGGACTGAGGATTGATTGGCTGTAACAAATTTTGTGACTCTTGCTAAGCAAGCCCAGAACCTGGCACATTGAGAGCCACTTAAGAAATGCGTTCTGCATTACAAGATAACCTACAACTGAATGCAAATGAAAAGCATCATGGAAACAAGAGTCTCAAAAAAAGTAAATTTAATGCCGGGGCCATATGCTACAATACCAATTTGCGTACTTATTTTCTAGAAAGAAACAAAACAAAAACATATTCTTCTGTGTTACTTACATGGCTTTGGATATTGAAAAAGCAGAATAATTAGATTTTCATTTTTAAATCTTCCTAAATAATGCAGAATAAAAATGTCATTTCGTTTTTGCTTTTTAGAAGATGGTTCATACTGAAAAATATCATTTCTTTCGTATCAGAAATTTGAGACACATCGAAAAATTGAGAAATATAACTTTTAGAGAAACAATAAAATTTGGACATTAGGAAATCCAATAATGCAATTCACATGTTAATAAATTGAAAGAGCTCAAATGATGATCTCATTAGATGTTGAAAAAGCACTCAATAGAATTCAACGTACATTCTTTATTTGAAAAGAAACTATTAACAAGCTTTGATAAGGGCAGAAGCCACTGTAGATATAATGATGAAACATCAGAAGATTTCTATTGAAGATGGGAGCAGGACAGGGATTCCACCATCATCATGTTAGGGATTTTTGTTTCATATTGTTTTCAGAAGCATATTCCAAATGAATTAGAAATTCAAATATTCTGTAATCCCAGTACTTTGGGAGGCTGAGACGGGCAGATCACCTGAGGTCAGGGGTTCAAGACCAGACTGGCCAATGTGGTGAAACCCCATCTTTACTAAAAATACAAAAAAATTAGCCAAGTGTGGCAGCAGACACCTGTAATCTCAGCTACTTGGGAGGCTGAGGCAGGAGAATCGCTTGAACCCGGGAGGCAGAGGTTGCAGTGAGCTGAGGTCACGCCACCACACTCTAGCCTGGGTGACAGAACGAGACTCTGTCTCCAAAAAAAAAAAAAAAAAATTTCAAACGTTAAAAACTTTCCATGAAGGCACTAGAAGGTAGTATAGGAGAAGTGTTTTTGTTTGTTTGTTTTTTTGTTTGTTTTGTTTCGTTTGTTTGTTTTTTGAGATGGAGTTTCACTCTTGTTGCCCAGGCTGGAGTGCAATGGCGCGATCTTGGCTCACCGCAACCTCCGCCTCCCAGGTTCAAGCGATTCTCCTTCCTCAGCCTCCCGAGTAGCTGAGCTGGGATTACAGGCACGCGCCAACACGCCTGGCTAATTTTGTATTTTTGGTAGAGCTGGGTTTCTCCATGTTGGTCAGGCTGGTCTTGAACTCCCGACCTCAGGTGATCCGCCCGCCTCTGCCTCCCAAAGTGCTGGGATTACAGGCGTGAGCCATCGTGCCCGGCCTGTTTTTTTTTATTTTTTAAACGAACTTGGGGGTAAAGATGGCCTTTCAAAAAAGTCTGAAACCACAAAAACCATGAAGAAAAGATGGACAGATCTGTCCTCATAACTATTTTAAAAACTTCCATTTAATGAATGATGCATAATTAAAGCTACGTGTCAAATAGCAGAGAGAGGAAGTGTTTTCACAGAACCATATGAGAACCATAATATTTAAAGGGATTCAAATTGCAAGAAAAAGTAAGTCAAAAGAAAAGGGCAAACTTAAGGCAATTTACAGAAAAAGAAATATAAATGGCTGAGAAACATCTGAAAATTATTTAATCTCACAACTAGGGAAATACGAATAAATACAATAATAATATGCTACCTTCATTCTCCAAAATAAAGTAAAAATATAATCTCACATTCAGCTGATGGAAGTGTTCGTTGTTGTAACCCTTTGTGGAGAGCACTTTGGGAATATCTCTCAAAACAGTAATGCTCAGGCTGGATGTGGTTGCTCACGCCTGTAATCTCAGTGCTTTGGGAGGCCATGGTGGGAGGATTGCTTGAGGCCAGGAGTTCAAGGCCAGTCTGGGCAACATAGCAAGACCTCGTCTCTACAAAAAATAGAAAAAATTAGCCTGGCATGGTAGTGTATGCCTATTCAGGTCCCAGTTATTCAGGAGGCTGAGGTGGGAGGATCGCTTGAGCTTGGGAAGTCAAGGCTGCAGTGAGCTGTGTTACTGCACTCCAGCCTGGGTGACAGAGTAAGATGCTGTTTAAATAAAATAAAAGTAAAAATAAAAATAAAAATAAAATACAACAGTAACGCTCACACGCATTGATTCAGCAACATATGTATAATGCACATGGATATTTATTACAGCAGAGTCGGCATTAAAGAAAATCTGAAAATAGCCGAACTGTGAAAACTAAAAACAGCTACCAAACACTTATGGTTCAGTGATAACTCTACATCTGCAAAGGAGAGTCAGGCAGTGCTGGATGTATTGACACAGAAGATGTTTCTGACTTAATATTAAGCAAGTTTCAGAACAATATGTTTAATACAATCCAACATATGTAATAAAAACATAAAAGATTTATAGCACCTATATGTGTAAATAGATACAGATATATAGAAAAAGTCTGGAGGGGTCCACTGTGAACAGCTAATCATTGCTTCCCATAGAAAGTATGATGTGCTTATGAACGTGACATGTTTTCAGAAAAAAAAAAGTATATTGTGGTGAGTCTCAACCCTATCGGGCCTGAGGAGAGATGAACCGAGATTTTGACTTTTGTACCCTGTATACCTCTGTACTGTTAGAATTTTTAGACAATAAATGTACATTTGTTGTATAAAAAATTAATTATAAAAAGAGAGAAATGTAATTCATATAATGTATAGAGCATTGTTGTTTTTCTTTTTTTTTTTTTGAAATGGTGTCTCACTCTGGCCCCAAGCTGGAGTGCAGTGGCGCGATCTCAGCTCACTGTAAGCTCCGCCTCCCGGGTTCACGCCATTCTCCTGCCTCAGCCTCCCGAGTAGCTGGGACTACAGGCGCCCACCACCGCACCCGGCTAATTGTTTGTATTTTTAGTAGAGACGGGGTTTCACTGTGTTAGCCAGGATGGTCTCGATCTCCTGACCTGGTGATCTGCCCGCCTCGGCCTCCCAAAGTGCTGGGATTACAGGCGTGAGCCACTGTGCCCCGCCGAGCATTGTTGTTTTTCATAAGCAGACATTAGAATGCAGCCAATGTATATGAAATGATTTAGAATTTTTATCCATCAGTCTAAAAAAAATAGTTTTCATCATAGGTGGGAGAATTATTTTTTCATTGATAAAATATTTACTTTCATTAATGTCAGTTAACTTCATTTGCTATTTCTCTCCTTGGAAAAGTTGCCTGCTGGGCCTTCAACCCTGGCTCCTGAGAAAGGAATCTGAGTATAGGCAGAACTCAACTAAATGCAAGTTTCTTTTATCGGAAACTTAGTGTTAAAAGAAAAACGTGTAGAGATATTGCTAGCTGGTTGAAGTCTGTTGTAGAGTATGATGGGTTATTATGAAATTTCAAACACCAGAGGTAGATTTCTCCCTCCCATCCCATCATTTCCTCCCTCCTGATGTGATTCTGATGAGTGAAAACAAGAACTAAGTTCAAGTTGAAAGGTCATTAGGAATATTTAGACAATTCCTACGTCACTAGTGAGGACCCTTTCCCTTCCCTCCCCTCCCCTCCCCTCCCCTCCCCTCCCCTCCCCGTCACTTCCTTCTTGTGACGATTAATTTTATGTGTCAACTTGACTGGGCTAGGGCATGCTCATATAGCTGGTTAATGTTATTTCTGGGTATTTCTGTGATGGTGCTTCTGGAAGAGAGTGGAATTTGAATCAGGAAACACAGTAAAAAAGATCACCGTCATCAGTGTGGGTGGGCATCATCCAATCTGTTGAGAACCCAAATAGAACAAAAAGGTGGAGGAAGGGCTAATTTGCAATCCGCTTGAGGTGGGACACCTGTCTTCTCCTGCCCTCAGACATCAGTGCTCCTGGTTGTTGGGCCTTTGGGGCTGGACTGGAACTACACCACTGGCTTTCCTGGGCCTCCAGCTTGTAGATTGTAGATCACGGGACTTTTCAGCCTCCATAATCACGTAAGCTTATCCCTCATAATAAATCTCTTGCTATGTATCTGTGTACAGTTGATCTTTGAGCAACAAAGGTTTGAACTGATGGATCCACTTATAAGTGGATTTTCTTCTGCCTCTGCACCCCTGGAGCAACAAGACCAATCCCTCTTCTTCCTCCTCAGCCTACTCAACATGAAGATGAGGATGAAGACCTTTTTATTCTTTTCTTTTTTTTTTTGAGACAGAGTCTCACTCTGTCACCCAGGCTGGAGTGCAGTGGTGCAATCTTGGCTCACTGCAACCTCCACCTCCTGGGTTCAAGCGATTCTCCTGCCTCAGCCTCCTGAGTAGCTGGGATTACAGGCACCCACCACCATGCATGACTAATTTTTTGTATTTTTAGTAGAGACGGGGTTTCACCATCTTGGCCAGGCTTGGTCTTGAACTCCTGACCTCGTGATCTACCTGCCTTGGCCTCCCAAAGTGCTGGGATTACAGGCGTGAGCCACTGCGCTCGGCCGAGGATGAAGACCTTTATGATGATCCAGTTCCGCTTAATGAATAGTAAATATATTTTATCTTCCTCATGATTTTTTTTTTTTTTTGAGATGGAGTCTTGCTCTGTCGCCCAGGCTGGAGTGCAGTGGTGCGATCTCAGCTCACTGCAAGCTCCAGCTCCCGGGTTACACCATTCTCCTGCCCCAGCCTCCTGAGTAGCTGGGACTGCAGGCGCCTGCCACCTCGCCCGGCTAATTTTTTGTATTTTTAGTAGAGACGAGGTTTCACCGTGTTAGCCAGGATGGTCTCGATCTCCTGACCTCATGATCTGCCTGCCTCGGCCTCCCAAAGTGCTGGGATTACAGGCGTGAGCCATGGCACCCGGCCTCCTCATGATTTTTAAAATAACATTTTCTTTTCTCTAGCTATCTTTATTGTAAGAATTCAGTAAATAATACATGTAACATACAAAATATGTGTTAATTGATTGTTTATGTTATCAGTAAGGCTTCTGGTCAACAGTAGACTATTCGTAGTTAAATTTTTGGAGAGTCAAAAGTTATATGTGGATTTTCGACTGTGGAGGGGTCGATAACTCCAGCCCCCACTTTTTTCAAGGGTCAATTGTATATCCTATTGGTCTGTTTCTTTGGAGAATCCTGACTAGTATACTTCCTTTCTCTCTTTTTAATATTTTTGGTCTTGGGCTCCTTGAAGAAGAAAAGGCAGGGAAATTAAAGTGATGCAACTGAGATCCACATGTGCAAGGTCAGAGGTCAGTCTCACAGTGTACTTGCATTTTCTTGAATTTCTATTACCCTTAGGTGCACTGTAATAACCTCAACCAGTCTTGAGGCAGCCAGCCAGGAGGTAAAGGGAAGAAGTTGGGACAAGGTACTGGGAAAGCACCCGGCTAAAGGAAGAGCCCAGTGGGTGTATCCAGATGATCAAAGTGTAAGATTCAGAATGGGGAGGGATAGTGGAGCTGGCACATTGCAATAGAAGACCAAGAAAACTGATATCTGGCAACAGAGGAGTTGCAGAGCTATGACCCTAAGTGGTCCAGACAGCTTTGATAATAGCCTCACTGAAAAGCTAACAGTTTAGGGGTGCCGTGGAGGATAGGGCCATCTGATGTTGGCAGATATCAAAACCTCAACTGAACAGATTTGGTTTTAGGACAGAATAATGAGAGTCTCTATGGGGAAATGGGGGAAGGGCCTCATCTCCATGCCTACACCTTCCAGGCAGAATAGGCACCGGGGGAAACTGAAACAGATGTATGGATGTCCAGAACTTTTATTGAGCATACCAGAACTGGGTAGCAAAAATTAATCCCCACCCACCAGCTGTAACCTGAGCTTATCCATGTGTAGCCTGCTTTGGACAAGACTGGTAAAGCTTACTCTTGCGAGGGACCGGGGTCATGGTTGAGAAAGGTTGGGAGGGGCATACCTGTTGTCTGGGGTCTCCTCCAAAGCAGAGACCAAGCATGTTTTGTTGCCAGACGTCCCACGCCTATGTCCATTCCCCAGAAAGATTCTTTTCTGAGAACATTTAAAAATAGCCATGTTGAATGATTTTTCCAGAAGATGTGTTAGTTCATCAGCATGAAAGAATTCAGAAACAAGAGGAGGAGGGGATCTGCCTCTTCTGATTGAACAGAACACTTTCCAGTTTATGCCATGCTTTGTACCATAAGAGTTAAATCCTTACTTTCTTAAGGCAGGTAGTTCACTGCTTCTTATGTCAAGTTACTTGTTACCTCTTATGTTTCTTTGTAGGTTACAAGTTCCCAATAACAGAAAGACAGGCCATCATCTTGTGTTCCTCAGAATGTTTTGTTCTATAACACTGGAACATTAATCTCTTTCCTAACTCAAGCTTTATAACACCTCTCTCTCAGTATGGCTGTTCCCCTGGCACCCTATTTCCCATACATATAGGATTCTGGGAGTGAGGTTATTACTCTTAGCAGAATCCATTTATAATCATACAGTGCTGGCAGGGATGCTGAAATATTGTTAGAACAATATTGAGATATAAATCTTGCTCCCTCCATTGTCAAGTCTTCAGAACAGGTCTATCATTTGCTATTGCTTAACTACCCATTGATGACTTTCGGTATTGATCATAGGTCAGTTAGTTGGTTTTGGCTAACTCAGCATTTTTAGTACTGTACGTGACTTTGGTTGCCATCACATTGACTCCTAGGGGAGGAGATGTTCTGGAATCTGAAGATACAAGACGTTTATTATAACTGTCTCTTATCTTTGCTTTGGCTGTATTTAAAAAAACTTGTTTGTTTTGTTTCACATGACATCATCTTAACCTAGGGCTTGCAAAATGTTGCTTTTTTTCTTTCCTTCTGGTTGTCATTTATTTCTCAGGTGTTCCTGCATAAAACCCTAAGCAACAATAACAACAAACCCTCTTGATAGTTCTAATTTTACACACATTTCTAAAGCATTGAGCTTCAGCCGTTGCTCTGACAGTTACTGGTTTTGAGATCCTGGGATCCCTCCTTAAGGAATCTTTGTCTCAATCAACAGGGGAAAAGAGTTCTAGCAGAAGATGCTTGATTGGGCAAAATTTTTCTGCTTCCATATGGGATGCTTCTGATTTATCCAGGTTTCTTTTTTTTTTTTTTTTTTTTTTTTGAGACAGAGTCTTGTTCTGTCACCCAGGCTGGAGTTCAGTGGCGTGGTCATGGCTCATTGCAGCCTCAACCTCCCAGGTTCAAGCGATTCTCCCACCTCAGCCCCTCAGAGTAGTTGAGAATAGAGGCATATGCCACCACACCCAGCTCATTTTTTAAATTTTTTGTAGAGATGGGTTCTCACTATGTTGCCCAGGCTAGTCTTAAACTCCTGGCCTCAAGTGATCCTCTTGTTTTGGCCTCCCAAAGTGCTGAGGTACAGCTGTGAGCCACCGTGCCTGGCCCAATTTACCTAGACTTAAGAGAGAGAGACATGTTTGGTTTTTTTTACCATGAAAGTGTAGGAGGCACAGGGCAGCCTGAATGTGGGCTGAGTCGACTTGCTCCATGGCCAAATCTGCTTTCTTGAGAAGAGCAGATGGCTCTGGCACATACCTACTTCCTTTTCAGCTTTGAAAATCACAAGAAAGGCTGAGTCAAGTTAGGGTGAAGGCTGCACTGGCTGAATGAAATTCAGAGTTACACTGGGTGAGAAGCCAGTTTCAAAAACGAATGAACAAATGAACAGCAAGATTCATCAAAGAGCCTGTAAAAGAATAGGTCAGAAACAGAAACATTCAGATTAACTGAATCTAGTTAACATACATCTTGCAATTCCACTCCTCACTATACACCCACGAGAAATGAAAACCTATATCCACACAAAACTATGGATGCCTATAGCAGCATTATTCATAATAGCTCAAAAGTGGAAATAACTAGAATGACTAATGAATGGATAAGTGAAATGTGGTATGTCCATACACTGGAATATTATTATTCAGCCTTGAAAGGAATGAAGTACTGATATATAACACGGAAAACCTTGAAAACCTCATGCTAAGTGTAAGAAGTCAGGCACAAAAGACTGCACACTATATGATTCCATTTATATGAAATACCCAGGAAAGGCCATAGAGACAGAAAATAGATTAGTGGCTGCTTAGGACTGGAGGGTTAGGGGAGAATGGGAGAAGACTGGTAATGGGTATGAGGTTTCTTTTATGAAAATGTTCTAAAATTAAATTATGGTGACATTTGTATAACTACATGAATATACTAAAAAGCAATGAATTCTATACTCTAAATGTGTAACTGTATGGCATAGGAATTACATCTCAATACATTTGTTTTTATTTTTAAAGAAAGAAACAGCACGTTTGAAAGGGACCAGTGAAGACATAGCATTGGCGATGGACATTTTGCTCTAACCACTCTCTTCCTGGTGTGGCAATGAGGAAGCCGCACCTCCAACCCCATTTCCTTTCTGGCAATTTTTCCTGCCCACCACCCTCAAACTGATCTTCCTAAAGTCCTGTGTTTCTTGCATCAGAACTGTTACTCACAACTATTGATTCCCACTGCCTCAAGGATTCTTGGTCTCAAACCCACCTTTCCAGCCTGTTTTCCTCCCTGAATCCTCTGTTCCAAGTAGCTTGTCCCCTTACCTTCTGCCAAGCACTCCATGCATTCCTCTTTGCTCACACCATTCACCCAGCTTGGAATACTACCCTCCTATCCTTCACTTTTTCTATCCTTCAAAAGTAAACCAGTACAAAGCCCACCCTTTTCCACTTTTCACTATATGTATATATGTGTGTGTATATATATATATATATACATACACACACATATATGTATATATATTCCCCATGTGGATGTAAGGGTCACACATTTTCTTTTGTGTATATTCTTTTCCCCCTCCCATTACTTGCATGCATTTATTTTGGGGGTACAGTCAGATCTGGGAATATCTATTGTTCTGGGACCCTATTCTGGGGCTTGGTTAGGGATGAGTGGAGCTCCCCAACTCACCACACAATCAAATGATAACTTCCACAACATGAAAGAGCTAGGGATGACTAGAAATTACAGTTTTAAAAAATATTTTTTTCCTATTGTTAAAAGAAATATATTTATGTACAGAACATTGAGAAATAGAGGAGAGTATAAAGAAGAAAATTAAAGCTGTCCTTAAATTTCCCGCCCAATGATAGCCAACATTACCATTTTCTTTTCTTTTCTTTTGAGATGGAGTCTTGCTCTGTTGCCGAGACTGGAGTGACCTTGGCTCACCACAACGTCCATCTCCTGGGTTCAAGCGATTCTCCTGCCTCAGCCTCCCAAGTAACTGGGATCACAGGCATGCGCCACCATGCCCAGCTAATCTTTATATTTTTAGTAGAGACGGGGTTTCATTATGTTGGCCAGGCTGGTCTCAAACTCCTGACCTCGTGATTTGCCCGCCTCGGCCTCCCAAAGTGCTGGGATTACAGGCGTGAGCCACTGCACCTGGCCAACATTACCGTTTTCTTGTATAACATTGTACACGTACACACACACACACACACACACACACACACACACAGTAGCAGTTTTAAAATGCAGAAGCACAGAAATATAATATTTTTCAAAATTGAATTCCACTTGCTCATCAGCTCTCATTTCTGCTGACGGAGGAAAAAACATTGTCTTTGGTCAAATATTCACTCAGATTTAGGGATCTCCTGGTCCTTTTCTCTTGCCTTCATTCTCTTTCTTCGTTTCTTCTTACGCTAACCTATCCTGATTGGTGGAATGATGGTCTTCACAAAGCACACATTTCATCAGGATGTACCCTTCTTCCACCCACTGCTCCCCTCCATGCCCACTCTCCCCGCCAGGTTAAAGACCTTTGCTCTGCAGAAAAAGTACTAATTCCTTAGCAAGCCTCATGCACAGCCTAGCCCTGTGATCTCTCTTGCACCCCATCCCTTGCTACTCTTACTAATGCATTCTGCCCTCTAGCCACCAGAATACTTGCTTTCTTCTGGAGGTAGCAAAGCTTTCAAGCCTTTTGCTCACACTGTTTCTTCTGCATAGAACACCTTTGGCAACTTTCTTCACCAAGCAAATATCTTTTTTAATGTCCAGTTTTAATGTAACCTTCTCTGGGTAGTCTTGACTCACTTATACTGAAATAATCCTTCCCTTAATGTGCTCCCTCAGCACCTTGTGCATAAATACCTCTATTACTGAACTGATTACGCTGTATTAGGATTTGTGGGTATGTCTCCTCCTCTGGAAAGTGAATTTATCCAGGCTTACTCTTACTCATTTTTTTTTTCTTTTCACTCTCCAAAGTGGAATATTACACTCAGAACACTGAAGGTGCTGAAAGATAGTTGAAAATAAAAAGCTATGATATCTCTCAATACAGGCCAGGTGAGGTGGCTCACGGCTGTAATCCCAGCACTTTGGGAGGCCAAGGTGAGTGGATCACTTGAGGTCAGGAGTTTGAGACCAGCCTGACCAACATGGTGAAACCCCGTCTCTACTAAAAAAATTAGCTGGGCGTAGAGGTGCATGCCTATAATCCCAGCTACTTGGGAGGCTGAGGCAGGAGAATTGCTTGAACCTGGGAGGCTGAGGTTGCAGTGAGCCGAGACTGTGCCATTGCCCTCCAGCCTGGGCAACAAGAGCAAAACTGTGTCTCAAAACAAACAAACAAACAAACAAACAAACAAACAAAACCAGCCTGGTCAATGGTTAACATGGCGAAAACCCGTCTCTACTAAAAAATACAAAAATTAGCTGGGCATGGTGACATGTGCCTGTAATCCCAGCTACTCGGGAGGCTGAGGCAGGGAGAATTGCTTGAATCCGGGAGGCAGAGGTAACAGTGGGCTGAGATTGCGCTACTGCACTCCAGCCTGGGCGACAGGGTTAGACTCTGTCTCAAAAAAAAAAAAAAAAAATACACACACACACACACACACACACACACACACACACATATCCCAATACATATGTATTGGTTGATTAAGGAATATGCAGAAAGAAATGTGGGATGCCCAGGTGAGAAAATGTAGACTGTGTTATTTGTTAGCGGAAGCTATTCATAAGCTGGCAATGAAAAGATAACTGTCCGTTTGTGATTCCTCATTGAACTCTGAATCCTCATGTAGATGAGACTGACAAGGGACCTCTATGCACCTTCTAGAGAATGTGCTTTTCAAGTGACTTTTTACATGACTTTTCAAATGGTTACAAGCATTTATGTTAAAATAAAAAAAGTTCAAATCAAATTGATGGAAGAATGGAAAAACAAAATATGGCATATACAAAGGAATATTGTCCAGCCTTAAAAAGGAAGGAAATTCTGATGGATGCTACAACTACGGATGAACCTTGAGACACCATAAACTCGTCACAAAAAGACAGCTAGTACAGCATGTGATTCCATTCATAGCGAGGACCTAGAGTAGTCAAATTTGTAAGTCAGAAAGTATAACGGAGTAGTGGCTTCCAGGGGCCGAGAAAGGGAAAATGGAGAATGACTTTTTAAATGGGTACAGAGTTTCAGTTTTACACAGTGAAAATATTCTGGAGATGGATAGTAAAGATTATTGTACAATAATGTGAATGTACTTAATACCACTGTACACTTAAAAATGGTCAAGTTGGTAAATTTTATATGCTTTTTGGCACAATTTACAACAAAAAATAAAAAAGTAAGAACACACAACCCGTTGTTTTACTTACTATTATTATTATTTTTTGAGACGGGGCCTCGCTCTTGTCAGCCAGGCTGGAGAGCAGTGGTGTGATCATAGCTCACTGCAGCCTGGATCTCTCTGGCTCAAGCCATGCTCCTGCCTCAGCCTCCCAAATAACTGAGACTACAGGCACATGCCACCATGCTTGGCTAATTTTTTTGATGTTTAGTAGAGACGAGGTCTCGCTATGTTGCCAGGGCTGGTCTCAAACTCTTAAGCTCCAGTGATTCTCCCACCTTGGCCTCCCAAAGTGTTGGGATTACAGGTATGAGCCACTGCACCCAGCCCCATTGTTTTGTTTGCTACAGGGGAGAGTCCAGGTTTTGTGGGGCCTGAAGCTTATGGAATTTGGAGTTCCTTTTATAGAAAAAATACAAACAGAAAATTAGGTAAGGAAGCACATATTTATTTGGAATGAGAATAGAAGAAATTGTGTAAGTAAGGGGACCTGAGCATGAATTTCCTTAGCTTTGAGGATAATCTGCTTCTGCTGATCATGAAAATTTTATATTTTATCCTGGTGCTACTGTATGCCTTGCAAATATGACAGCCGGGCTGCACTGCGAAAGGTTGTTACTGTGTGCCCTACAAGGAGGGTTGTAGGATCCGCCACCTGTCTTGTACTCATCAATAGCTAGATGTGGAGTAGATTCAAGTGAATGGAATAACTAGCTTTCTCTTTATTTCCCTGAGACAAGTAATTGAGCCTTCTGTCCAGTCTAGACCCATTTTATCTGTTACCTCACACTGTGTAAATCTTCAGTAAATATAACTGGGCTATTCTTTGTGTGTGAAGTTAATGCATTTATACATGTGCCTTTGGGTGTTTTTCTAGCAGGATTGGTGTGTTTAAATTGCTTGTCAGTCTTTTGGCTCTAGGGTAGGAACAACAAGCACAAACATAAAAATCAAAAAGAATTGCCTTTCAGTAAATGTCCTTTCTGGAGAAAAAGCAGTGCGGGATGGGTAGGATAATTAACAAGCTCCCTCTGGAAGCCAGAGACTTATGCTGTTTGCCTTTGGGACTGATAATGTCTCAAGGTTTATCCATGTTTTAGCTTGTGTCAGAATTTTCTTCCTTGACCAGTGCTGGCCACCATCCCCTTCGTGAGTTCCTGTGGTCATGTCAATGGCTGGATGGTGATGGGGACTGAAGAGCAGAACAACACCCTGGGAGTCAGCTATTACCAGATTGGCTGGATTCACTTTCAGTTGTAAAAAATTCCCTGGCAAATGGACAAAGTCAAAAGTGCAGAAGGGGAATTCTTCCTGGGGAGTTTCTGGGAAGAAAAACATTCATTTTTCCTTACAAAGTCTTAATTGTAGAACTTTCCCCTTCTTCTGACTCATATATAATTGCAATAGCAGATCGGAACTTCAAAATGTTTGTGGGTTACATTTATTCTCAGGCTGTCTTTAAACCACAAGACATAATTTTGAAATATTAAGAACAGTCATGATGTAATTTTTATATTTAACCCCAGAAATGTTATTTGAGAAGAAATAGAGTGGTTGAGGAGTAAAGAACTATTTCAAGCACCAGATTTCTTAAATTATTTCTGGTTTCAGCTACTGTGGGTTGTAAATAAATAAATCCCTCAACTAATGAATAATAGGGCTATAAGACTGGGCTCTAGAAAAGAAATTACGGACTGGGCACGGTGGCTCACGCCTGTAATCCCAGCACTTTGGGAGGCCAAGGCAGGCGGATCATCTGAGGTCAGGAGATCAAGACCAGCTTTGCCAACTTGACGAAACTCCATCTCTACTAAAAAACACAAAAATAAGCTGGGCATGGTCATGGGCGCCTGTAATCCCAGCTACTCTGGAGGCTGAAACAGGAGAATCGCTTGAACCCAGGAGGCAGAGGTTGCAGTGAGCCAAGATTGCACCACTGCACTCCAGCCTGGGCAACAGAGCAAAACTCCGTCTCAAAAAAAACAAAAACAAAAACAAAAACAAAAACTGAAAAGAAATTACGGCTTCACCCAGTTATAGAAGCAATGAAGCCATGTGTGTACATTGGAGGAACAGCTTTTTGTTTTTTTTTTGTTTGTTTGTTTGTTTTTTGAGACAGAGTCTCGCTCTGTCACCCTGGCTGGAGTGCAGTGGCATGATTTTGGCTCACTGCAACCTCTGCCTCCTGGGTTCAAGCAATTCTCCTGTCTCAAGCCTCCCTAGTAGCTGGAATTACAGGTGCCCACCACCACGCCCAGCTGATTTTTTGTATTTTTAGTAGAGACAGGGTTTCACTATGTTGGCCAGGCTGGTCTTGAACTCCTGACCTCGTGATCTGCCTGCCTTGGCCTCCCAAAGTGCTGGGATTACAGGTGTGAGCCATTGCACCCACCTGAGATGAAGTTTTGCCATGTTAGCCAGGCTGGTCTTGAACCCCTGGCCTCAAGTGATCTGCCCGCCTTAGCCTCCCAAAGTGCTAGGAGTACAGGTGTGAACCACCTTGCCCGGTCACAGAAACATTTTTATCTACAGAAAAGAATGAAAACAACAACAACAACAAAGAAAAATGTTCTGTGATTCTACTACCCAGAAATAATCTCTGTAAACTTTTAGGTTAATGTTTATGTGTATTTACGTTCAGTGTCTGACATAGATAATAATTTTTACATAAAAACATATAATTTGAAAATTTAGAGAATATGCCAAATAGTAGACCCTCTGCATTCAAAAATGTAACATTCAGAGGTGTGAATATTTTTAGCAATGTGGAAGGTCTGTGACATGTAGAAACACAGTTTTGCTGACAGGCTGGTGGGCAGGACTGAGTCACCTGGCTGGTGAGTCAGGTAGTGGCTGCCATCTCAGTTTGGCTTTGCTGAATTCTAGCTGCCATCTCAATTTGGCTTTGCTGAATTCTAGAGGGGAAGAACTCTAATTGATGATTTGTGACCAAGTGTGCTTAGTGCCTCCCAACATTCCTTCTTCCCTTCTTCATTGGTATGACATGTTGTTGCCCAACTGAAAAAATACATTCCTAAATTCTTTTGTAGGTAAATATGTGACTTAATTTTGGCCGATGAGACCTAAACAGAAGTATCACAGCTCCTGGAGAAATGTTCTTTTTCCATTTCTTCTGGGTGGAATATAGTTGCAATAGCTGGAGCTCAGCGCCCACCTTGGATCTTGAGGATGAGCATATAACATAGGGAGGGCCGACTGTGAGCTGAAAGGATACTGGTCCCTGACAATTTTGTGGAGCCACCATACCAGTCCTGGGATGCCTATTCCTAGATTTCTTTTACATGAAAGAGAAATACATTTCTATCTTATTTAAGCCACTGTAAAAAAATTTTGTTTTGGTCCTTATATTTAGCTAAACTTAATCCTAACTAATATAGGCTTGCTTGTGCTATCATCTATCTAACGTGGGAAGTTGTTGACTCACCTGTGGGAAAACTAGGGCAAAGTGATGTCATTGTGGAAGATGGAGCCAGGAGGCATCCTGGCCTTGGTTTAATGTGTATTCATGTCTGTTCTTGCCATGTGCTGTCTTCTAAGACTGAGGTCCTGTGGACACCTGTAAGCACAGCTCTAAAGCTGGGCCTTACTCTGTGTCATTAGGGTGGGTTGAGATTGGGGTGAAATCCTCCTGCCTCATGGGGAAGGCCTGTATTGGCCAGGAGGAGTAGCAGTGAAGGACAACTAGAAGAGGAAGGAATCCACACAGGTATTTCCTCTAAGGTAGCTGTTTTTAAAGTATGTCTGGGGACACTTGGGATTCCCCAAGACTCCTTCACAGAGACCATTGGGTCAAAATTATTTTCTTTCTTTTTTTTTTTTTTTTGAGACAGAGTCTCACTCTATCACCCAGGCTGGAGTGCATTGGTGCAATCTCAGCTCATTGCAACCTCCACCACCCAGGTTCAAGTGATTAGCCTGCCTCAGCCTCCTGAGTAGCTGGGATTACAGACACGTGCCACCACTCCCAGCTAATTTTTGTATTTTTAGTAGAGACGGGGTTTTGCCATGTTGGCCAGGCTGGTCTCAAACTCCTGACCTTAAGTGATCTACCTGCCTCAGCCTCCCAAGGTGCTGAAATTACGGGTGTGAGCCACCGTGCCTGGCCAAAATTATTTTTGTAATAATACTAACACATTACTTACCTTCCCCCAAAATTTTGAGAACTGCTATTCTACTTCTACCTTAAAAAGAGGTCATTTCAAACACACTGACACACACCACCTGCTAAGAACAGCAGCTGAAGATAGTTGTTACATCAGCAGGTTGGGAATGATTCTGTCTAATGACTCTCTTACTAGGCTCTGTAATCCCTGGGGAAGGAGGAACCAAGAACCTGAAGGGAAGGGGAAAGAGTTCCAAACCTGGGGAGGTAGATGTTATGGGCTGAATTTTGCCCCCACCAAATTCATATATTGAATTCCTAATCTCTAGTACATTAGAATGTGACTTTATTTAGAGATAGGGCCTTTAAAAAGGTAATTAAGTTAAAATGAGATTATTAGGGTGGGCCCCAGTTCAGTATGACCAGTGTCCTTATAAGAGATTAGAGGGCCAGGTGCAGTGGCTCACGGGCTGGGCACAGTGGCTCATACCTGTAATCCCAGCACTTTGGGAGGCCAAAGTGGGCAGATCACGAGGTCAGGAGTTTGAGACCAGCCTGGCCAGCATGGTGAAACCCCATCTCTATTAAAAATACAAAAAAAATTTAGCCGGGCATGGTGGCACACGCCTGTAGTCCCAGCTAGTCAGGAGGCTGAGGCAGGAGAATTGTTTGAACCTGGCAGGCGGAGGTTGCAGTGAGCCGAGATTGCGCCACTGCACTCCAGCCTGGGCGACAGAGCGAGACTCCATCTCAAAAAAAAAAAAAAAAAAAAAAAGAGATTAGGGCACAGACGTATATATAGAGAGAACAATGTGAAGACACGGGGAGAGGGCCGCTGTCTGGAAGCCAAGGAGAGAGGCTCAGAAGAAACCAGCCCTGCTGACGCGTTGATCTTGGACTTCTAGCATGCAGCCTGTGGCATTTTGTTATGGCAGCACTAGAAAGTATGGTGGTTTTTTCCCTAACACCCTGCAGAGAGCTGGAGGGGAGAGGAAGAAGGTAGGTCTGCTCGTTAGAGAATTTTTCCACTTTCTATGGCTTTCCACCCACTCTGGCTGTTTTACTTGAGTGACTCTGATGGCTGCGACTCCTTATTTGGAATATTTACATTATCAGTTCCCTAGGGTTTGAAAAAAGTTCTGTAAAGTTAAATGGAGAAACTTTAAAGCAGTCATTTAAAGTGAGTGAATAGGGCCCTAAGAGGGAATCTTCTCCAACTCCTTCATTTTACAGACGCCAGGTGTGGTTGCTCCAGGCTGCAGCCAGGGTAGCTGGCTAGAGTATTGCTTCCCAGTGACGAAGTGCGCAGAGCCCCTGCCCTCGGGTGCTTCCCACCTATCTGGATGTTTGTAAGGCTTTGTAGGCCAAAGGATGGCTATGTCTAGGGTAGGAGAGGAAGCAAGAACCCTAGGTGTACTTTTTTCTGTCTGTCCCCTCTTTTCTTCTCACATTCCCTCCAGATTAGAAGAAGTGAGCTCCTTTATGTCTTATCCTTTCCTACAAGAAGCATCACAGCTGAGTTTGGGTGATCAACTATTCCAGTTTGCCCAGGACTGAGCTCAGTGCTAAAACTGAATAGTCCTGGCTGGGCACGGTGGCTCATGCCTATAATTCCAGCACTTTGGGAGGCCAAGGCGGGCGGATCATGAGGTCAGGGGTTTGAGACCAGCCTGGCCAACATGGTGAAACCCCGTCTCTACTAAAAATACAAAAATTAGCTGGGTGTGGTGGCACATGCCTGTAGTCCCAGCTACTCAGGAGGCTGAGGCAGGAGAATCGCTTGAACCTGGGAGGTGGAGGTTGCAGTGAGCCCAGACTGTGGCATTGCACTCCAGCATGGCCAACAAAGCAAGACTCCATCTCAAACAAAACAAAACAAGCAAGAAAACTGAACAGTCCTGGGCAAACTGGGACAAAGTTGTCACCCTAGGCCTAGCTATCCTAACCCAGTGGGTTTTATTCTTCATACATTGAGAGGAACTCTGTGAAATGAGTCTGGTCCTGTGGACTTGGTTTTATGTGATGCTATAGACATTTAGGAAATCTCTTCAGCTCAGCAGAGCTCAGATAGGGGAATTACTATTTCTCTAAGGGGCATTTGGGGAAGATTGTGAGTGCTGTTTATTGCAACCATAACTGGAGTGTGCTACTGACATTAAGTGAGGTGAAGCACTGCCCATGGCAGTCCTCATAAGGAATAATTGTCCCACTTAAAATGCCAGTGGTGACCCATTGAGAAACTATGCGGGACTGCCTAACCCTGTTTTTCAAGCTCCGAGTCTTGCTAAAGAAGTCAAATCTCCATTCTGTCCTTCTCTGGGGCCCCTAGCCTCAGTGATGTCTCCTGGGAGGTAAGAAGCTTCTAGAGAGTGTTATTTAAAGGAGAAAATTACATGCAGAGGTTTAATATTTGTGAAATGTTATCACTTACAAAACAAAGGCCTCAGACTCTCTGTGATCAGTGAAAAAGGGCTCTGCAGCAAGAAGTAGACTTCTTAGAGAGGAGAAGAGTATGGGACAAGAGTGTTGTAGAATAGAGTGTCCTGAAAAGTAAGATGGAGCATAAAGCAGAATGAGTCTCCTCGCCATAGAGGCCAATGCATCTATGAGAAGAAACAAGAGATCAAGTCCAGAAACTTCTGTACATCCTTTACAGGTCAATGCATAACTATGCATATAGTTCTCGTAACAGAGCAGACCCATTTGTTATCGTCATAAAATTCCAACTGAAAGAAAACATTCAGGCATTGTAATATAAATTTATCTTGGATGGAACAAATTTAGCATCAACATTCTGAAGCTCAGAGTGAGCAAAATGGCTAATCACTCCTGATAAAATGCTGTCTTCATGAGGCTTTTCTGGCCCTGCTGCTGGAGGTAAGAGCCCTTGTAACAGAGCCAGCTCAAAACAATTTCTGGTTTACATAGAGGCTCTTTCTTTGTTATATGTAATAGTCAATTTTCTTTTCTTTCTTTCTTTCTTTTTTTTTTTTTTTTTTGAGACAGGGTCTCCCTCTGTCGCCCAGGCTGGGGTGCAGTGGTGCAATCTTGGCTCACTGCAACATCCGCCTCCTGGGTTCAAGTGATTCTCCTGCCTCAGCCTCCTGAGTAGCTGGGATTACAGATGCCCACCACCATAGCCCAGCTAATTTTTGTATTTTTTAGTAGAAATGGGGTTTCACCATGTTGGTCAGGCTGGTCTCGAACTCCTGACCTTACGTGATCCACCTGCCTTGGCTTCCCAAAGTGCTGGGATGACAGGCGTGAGCTACCGTGCCAGGCCTATATTAGTCCATTTTTATACTGCTATGTAGAAATACCCAAGACTGGGTAATTTATAAAGAAAAAGAAGTTTAATGGACTCACAATTCCACATGGCTGGGGAGGCCTCACAGTCATGGCAGAAGGCAAAGGAGGATCAAAGACATGTCTTACATGGCGGCTGGCAAGAGAGTTGTGCAAGGGAACTGCCGTTTATAAAACCATCAGATCTCGTGAGACTTATTCAGTATCATGTAGGGATTATGGGAGCTACAATTCAAGATGAAATTTGGGTGGGGACACAGCCAAACCATATCACTATAACAAAATTGTTATAATATTCAGTTTTTTTGGAATGTATTCATCCATAAGCTCTCCAATATTTATTTATTTATTTTTTAGAGTCAGGGTCTGGTTCTGTCACATAGGCTGGAGTGCAGTGGTGCAATCATACCTCACTGCAGCTTTGAACTTCTGGGCTCAAGTGATTCTCCTGCCTTAGCTTCCTAAGTACCTAGGACTACAGGCGTGTGCCACCATGCCCAGCTAATTTTTGTATTTTGTTTTGTAGTCTCAGGGTTTTGCTATGTTGCCCAGGCTTGTCTTGAACTTCTGGCTTTAAGTGATCCTCCCACCTCAGCTTCCCAAAGTGCTGGATTACAGGATTGGGCCACTGTTTCTGCCCCCATATTTAACAAATGTGTAGCAGGTCATGTACATAGGCTCACTTAACATCTAGTGCAACCCCCTTCTAGCCTGTCTTCCTTTATAATAGAAGCAGAAAAGCTAAAAATATTTCCCAGACTCTTTTGTAACTAGGGTTCTAGTTTCCACCAAGCATGACCAAATGTCTGGTTTCCCTTGAGCAGTCTGGTTTATGCCTGTTGTCCTGGCATAATTATTGAAAGGGTTTCTCCTTCATGCTCATAGTCACCAAAGGGACTTAGAGTGGTGCTGATGATTGGCTGTTTTGGCAAGTCTGCAGGCATTAGTTCTTCCAGGGCAGGTGGCAGAGTTTCTGATGTGTTACAGGTGATGATTGGCATGGCAATGGTGACAATGCTGTTTCTGCTGGACTAGTCACATGGAATGGTTGGGCATTTTTCTGGGATGCTTTGTTTCTGGCTGTGAAGCATCTAAACCTATTCCCCTGGTCTTCCTGAAAAGTCTATAAGCTTCCCAGTATATTTACCTTATTCCATCGATTCTAAGATGTACATTTCCCCCACTTTTACATTCCTGAAATTGGGATGCTTCTTATAATTCATGACATATTGTAATTTAATTAGCAATAATATATCTTTCTTAATGGATTATAAAACAATGATGTGCCTTAACAAATAATGACATCTTAGCTTCAATGAAAAACAGTAATAAATGCCTTATTGCTTGTCTTTATCTGCTTGGGCTGCTGTAACAAAATGCTATAGACTGGGTGGCCTAAACAATATAAATTAATTTTTTCATAGTTCTGGAGGCTGGAAGTCCCAGACCAAGGTTCCAGCTGATTCTGTTTGGCTGAGGACTCTCTTCCTGGCTTGTAGATAGCTGCCTTGTCACTGTGTCCTCATGTGGCCTTTCCTCAGTGTGCGTGTGTGTAGAGAGAGAGAGAATCTAAGAGTGTTGTCTCTTCTTATGAGGGTGCTCATCCTATAGGAACAGGGCCCCACCCTTATGACCTCATGTAACCTAATTACTTCCTTGGGGCCCCATCTCCAAATACAGACACACTGAGGATTAAGGCTTCAACATATAAATTTTGGGGGATGCAAACATTTAGTGCATAACACTGATTAGATCATAATCAAGTAGATTATATTGTTTGCAGGTGAATATCCTGAACCATATAGAATGTTAAAAAAAAAAAGGAACTTAACATGGCTGGGATAAAGAAACTTACAAAAGTTTCCTAGATCACTTATCCTTTTTAAAATTCTATCTGGTTTTCAAAAAGATATTGTACAAATGGAGACTTTCTGATAGAGAATATGAAATATTTCACAATACCTAACAGTCCCATAAAAACCCGTATTACTTGTTCATTTCTAGGGTGGCCTTAGTTTTTCTCTGTCATTCACCTTTCACTCTCTTGCTATATCTGAATTCCTCCCCTCATTTCCCTTCTTAAGTCATAAAAGAAACTTTTACAAGATACAATTGTTATGCAGCACTGTATTGCATTTTTTTTTAATACTGTTTACCACAAGGTGGTCCAGGACTGAGCAGATTTATGTAAATCAGGTAGTTCCCCTGCGATATTTCTATAACATAATGATTATCATCATCAAAATTACTGAAGTGTGTATGTGATAACTATGATAAATGTCTGTCAGCACGTCTTACTGTTCTTCTGACACGTTTCTTACATTTGATTCTTTCCATTTCCCCAGTACTGTCCTATCTGGCATTTCACTATCTCTCATCTGGATAATTGCAACATTCTCTGAGTCTAGGCTTGCCTTCACCTTCTCCACCTATTCTCTTCACAGAGACCACAGGTATCTCAGGCATCTTAGGAGCTGTGAGGCTTGGGAGTTGTGGATGAGCAGAAGCAGGGCCATAGGTGCTTCTGGTAAGAGGTATTAGACATTTTCCCTACCTGGGTATTCATTCATATTCATTGCTTTGCACAGGAGCTGGGAAAATTCCCACAAGAAAAAACAAAACAAAACATTGAACTCTGTTCAGCTTTGGGATCCACAAACATATTGGATGTATTTGTGAAGAAGTTCTGACATAAACCAGATTGTAGGAGGAACAATGGTTATTTCTCTCCTCTCCTTCCCTCTTTCTCTCTCTGTGAATTAGAATTCATCATAGGCAATTTGGCACAATGGACAAACCTGATATCCAGGTCTAAGTATTTGATAGGGATGATGGTTCTACTTACAAGTTTTACCTGGTTACATGTATAAGACTTGTGGGGAAAAAGCTGAGTGTATCGGGGTAAAACTAGGCCATTGTAATAAAGAGGTGCATAATAATCAAGTGGCTTAAAGCAATAAGAAGTTTCTTTCTTTGTTAACCACAGTCTAGGGCAAGCTTTGCTCTGTGAAGTCATTCAAGTGTTCAGGGGCCTATTATTCTCTACCATCCCCTAAATCCTGGGTTCTAATGACATGTTTGAAACTGAGTCACAATCAATTGGTATTCTAGTTTGAGGGAAGATGAAAGTGCATGGGGAAATACATGTGCAATATTCTAAGGTCCAGGGCTGGAAGTGGCATATATCACTATGCCCATGTGCCATTGGTGAGAAGTCATATGGTTTAATCTATCTTCAGAAAGTGTTGAGAAATGTAGTCCCTAGCCAGGTGCCTGCATGCCCAGCTATCACTCTTTTATGATAGCACTTAGACAGAATGGATTTTGGGAGACAATTAGCCCTCGCTGATATGTTGAGTATTTGTGAATATATAGGATTATAATATGTTGGAACCCAGATGATTTTGACAGGTCCCTCTTCAAAGGGCATCTTCTGGTTCCAGCATGGAGGATTGGGGTGGTGGATCTCTCAATACGGAGTCTTCTCTTGAGGGTTATGCATGCGGTTCTGGACCACCAGTCATGGTGACAGTAAGCTACCATCAGGATTGATTTAAAAACTCACAGGAACACCTCTGGGGGATTCCAGAAAATATACATGAGGAGGAAGCCAGGGAAAGGACTGGACTTCCTGTTACTCAAGCACTGAGTACTGAGAGCATCAAGACTCAGGCTCGTTATTCAAATGTGGAGCACTTATACTAGGCCTGCGCATTCCAAATATTCATAGATTGGATTACTTTGTTTTAATTTAAAAAAAAAATCTTTCTGTCTCTTTTTGCTGCCTAAATAAAGTGCAAGCTTTTTTTTTTTTTTTACATTCAAGGCTCCTCACTGGCTGAGTCCAGCCAACCCTTGAGATCTAAGCTTTCCTCACCACCTTCCATGCTCTGGCTACACGGTGTTACTTACCCCTCCCCAGGCGTGACAGGTGGTTTCATGCCTCTGTGCCTTTGCTCTTACTGTTTCTCCTGCCTGGGATGCCTTTCCTGTCCTGGGTTAGTCTTACTCATCCTTCAAGGCTTATATTGATAATCGTGATCATTGTAATGATGACAGCTGATAGTTAAGCACTGGTTACATGCCTGGCGTTGTTCTAAGCACTTTACATGGCTTATCTCTTTTAACTTCCGCAATAGATGTGAGATAGGTACTGTTATCCTCACTTCCTATTGAAGAAATAAGCATATGAGGGAGTCACTTAGGAAGTGAGTGTCAGAGCCAGAATTTGAACCCAGGATGCTGACTCCTGAGTTGAGGTCTTGACCAATGTTACATGAAGCTTCTCCAACCCTGACTCCACCCCTGCAGCAAATTAATCTTTTCTGTGCTTCCATGAACTCAAACTGAGTGAAAGAGAATAATATTTCACCTTTGGTGTCTGCTTGTTAGCATACTCTAATAGTAGATGTTAACGTGTGGTGGTTAGTTTGATGTGTCAGTGTGGCTAGCCTATAGTACTTGGTTATTCAATCCAACACTAATGTTGGTTTTGCTATGAAGGTATTTTGTAGATGTGATTAGCATCTATAATCAGTGGACTTTAAGTAAAGGATATTATCCTTGATAATCTGAATGGTGATTTAATCAGTTGAAGAGCAAAACTGAAATTCCCCTGAGGACAGCAGAGTTTCCAGCCTGCTGGCCTGCCCCATGGCTTTTGGACTTGCCTGGTTAGTCCCCACATTTTCATAAAAAGAGTCCTTGTAATAAATTTCTCTCTCCCTCTTTACTGGTTTCATTTCTCTGGTAGAACCCTGGCTGATACAGTTGTACTCAATGACATAAGCTGGTGTATAAGGTGTTAATGTCCTTGTTTTTTGTTTTTGTTTTTTGAGACAAAGTCTCACTCTGTCACCTGGGCTGGAGTGCAGTGGCGAGATCTTGGCTCACTGTAACCTCCACCTCCCAGGTGGAGCACAAGCAATTCTTGTGCCTCAGCCTCCCAAGTAGCTGGGGTTACAGATGCGTGCCACCACACCTGCCTAATTTTTGTATTGTTAGTAGAGATGGGGTTTCGCTACGTTGACCAGGCTGATCTCAAACTCCTGACCTCAAGTGATCCTCCCGCCTCAGTCTCCCAAAGTGCTGGGATTACAGGCGTGAGCCACCGCACCCAGCCCCTAGTTTATTTATTAGGTTCTAAGTCTACTCTTGACCTCCTCCAGCATACATTTAAGGAATTTTCAGAATTCCCAAAGTGTTGAATACGATTGCATTTGAACAAGCTCCAGGTTTTCTCCTGGATCACATACCCTACAAGAATCAGAGGGTTATCTTGCATTATCCTTAAAATCCCAAACAAACTGTCATGTCAACAGAATTGGATTTATTAGGTTGATGCAGAATTAGACTGAAAGCAAGGGCAAAAACTGCAAATACTTTTGTACCGACATAATATATGAAACTAATGAAGCTTATGCTTTAGGGCCCCTCTCTTACATGCTTACCAATGTGTTCACATGGCCATCTGTTTTCATGAAGTTTTCAATAGTAAAATATTGTGAAGAAGTAAGAAGTGAATTTGGAAAAATGCTTTTGAGTGATAATTTATTGAATATTACTACTTTTGAAAAATTATTTACTCGATTTGGACATACATGAAGGGTATCTTCTTTAGTTACCTTTATAATTTTTATTAAAGAAAGGAGAAAACTGGCCGGGCACAGTGGCTCATGCCTGTAATCCCAGCTCTTTGGGAGGCTGAGGTGGGTGGATCACCTGAGATCCAGAGTTTGAGAGCAGCCTGGCCAACATGGTGAAACCCCGTCTCTATTAAAAATACAAAAATTATCTGGGCATGGTTGCACACACCTGTAGTCCCAGCTACTTGGGAGGCTGAGGCTGGAGAATCATTTGAACTTGGGAGACGGAGGTTGCAGTGATCTGAGATGGCACCACTGTGCTCCAGCCTGAGTGACAGACTCTGTCTCCAAAAAAAAAAAAAAAAGAAGAAGAAGAAAATTATGAGAAAAAAATGAATGAAATGTGAGGCAAAAGTGATTAAGAGAAAAATCAATGGAAATTTTCTGATATTGAGAAGTTAATTGTAATAAAATGTTTTAGATAATGCCTAAAGTGGCCATCCATGGAGAGGAAGAAGTAATTTTGAGTAGAAATAATGAATAAGGTCTACTATTATTTGATAAAATGTCTGATGAAGAGGAGTGTATCACACTAGGAAAAGATTTACATTTCTTGCTTATTTGATAAAACACTGATATTGATGAAGATATTATAAAATTCATAATGTCATTATTGTGAAGATATTGATGACAATATTGAGCAATTATTATTATTATATAATTATTATTATTTTTGGAGACAAGATCTCCCTCTGTCGCTCAGGCTGGAGTGCAGTGGCACGAACTCGGCTCACTGCAACCTCTGCCTTCTGGGTTCAAGCGATTCTCCTGCCTCAGCCTCCTAGCTGGGACTACAGGTGCCTGCCACCACGCCTGGCTAATTTTTTGTATTTTAGTAGAGACGAGGTTTCACCATGTTGCCCAGGGTGATCTCGAACTCCCAGCTCAGGCAGTCCACCCATTTTGGTCTCCCAAAGTGCTGGGATTTACAGGCATGTACCACTGCGCCCAGCTGATGAGCAAATTATTTAATGAAATACCAATTAATATTTAAGATTAGCCATTGCCCAAGAACACTTGAAATATCCTGAAATTTTATATCTCATTTTTAAAAGAAACTTGAGATTTTTAAAAATTTGACAACAATCCTAAATTTTATATGGTATCAATAATGTGTTGTGAAGCTAAAAGAAACCTTTCTAAACTATCAATAAAAACATATTTTGATGAGTCATGATGGAGGAAAGACTGAACTATCTATTCTTTCTATAGAAAGTGATTTTTCTAAATCTCATTAAGAGGCAAAGGATATGTACCCCCAAAATGCAGTAAAGAACATATCGTAGAAGTGTGTCAGGCAACTAATTAGTAAAAATACAAGTTTTTATTCTAATTTTTGTGATGTTTATGGTATTCAATAGCTTTAAGAAATTGTATAATTTGTGAGGATTTCGTATTTGGTTCTAAAGAGATATTTACCATTGTAAAATTCTTTTTTTTCTCTTTTTTTTTTTGAGGTGGAGTTTTGCTCTTGTTGCCCAGGCTGGTGTGCAATGGCACGATCTCGGCTCACTGCAACCTGCGTCTCCCGGGTTCAAGTGATTCTCCTGCCTCAGGCTCCTGAGTAGCTGGGATTACATTCATGTGCCACCACGCCTGCTAATTTTGTATTTTTTTAGTAGAGATGGGATTTCTCCATGTTGGTCTCAAACTCCCGACCTCAGGTGATCCGCCTGCCTTGGCCTCCCAAAGTGCTGGGATTACAGGCGTGAGCCACTGCGCCCGGCCCAAAATTCTTTTTCTTATAGAGGACCCAATGTCGTATGAGCGCCAGGATCCTCAAAACCTAGATTTCAACTTTCACTAATAATTCTCTTCTTATTTGTTGTCTTTTTCTCTCTAAGAACCAGGGACTTGATGTCTGGGATTTCAGAGCATATGATGACATGTAGAGAGCCACAAGGTCAAACCTCACAGCAGGCTTAATTTAAATTTGTCTCAGTAAACTGAGAAATTATTACATATCCTGAATCATAGGAGCTGCTTGAGTGTAACTGATACCTCAAATGTTAAATTAGCGAATTCCAGGAATTTAGCATAAAGCTTTATCCTTAGGGAGAGTTACCTGATATCCACTGGAAAAGTAGCTCAGTGCTAGCTTCAGACTTTAGGATCTTCCAAGTGCCCTTATGTTGTGATTGGATGCTGGCTTTCAAATGTCCCATTCCATTGCGTCATAGAATAAAGGGCCTTCTGTCCTTTGGAACCGGGAAATACAAGTCAAATAGATTTGATGGGGCCCTGTCATTTTTCAGTTGGTCAATAATTCTTGGCTCCCCTACCATATCCAGTGATGGCTTACTGAGAACAGGGAACGATTTTTAATGATGTAATCCTGAGTTAAGCAAGCAGCTATGGCGTGGTGATTGATGTGTATCTATTTAGAAAGATTTTTGCCTCATAGCTAGAACAGGTAAGGTCAAAGATGGTCATCTCCCCTATGAGGAAAGGCTCAAGTTCCTTCTGCAGTCGAATAGCTTTTTCTTTAAATCTGGAAGAGGAATTGGGAGTGGGGAAAACTTCTCTGCATAATGCTCACTCAGAGATGGATGTTAACAAGGGATGCCTGGGCTCTGCCATGACCTTGACAGTGTTCTGGCTGGCCTTATTTTGGTTCTCATAGGTGACTGTACACCAGCATTTCCGCTTGGCTTCATGCTCCCTTGGTGGGTTCTGTGGATGAGAGAATATAGGCATGAATTCTTGATAACAGCTGTGACACAGCACCAAGGACCCTGCAGAAATTCCTGTGTTGGCATTTGAAGGTCCACCAATCAACATCATATTTTACTTCTCTCCTATATTTATCCTGCATTTGAGTCAGAATGTACTATTTCTGACTCAATAAAAGGAGAGTAGCACTCAGATGATCTTTTCCTGATTTGTGATTTTACTCATGCTGTTTCCTTTACCTGGAGTGCCCTTTCTTCCTATTGCACATGTCAAAAATTTTATCCAGGGGCTGGGCGCGGTGGCGCATGCCTGTAATCCCAGCACTTTGGGAGGCTGAGGCGGGCAGATCACGAGGTCAGGAGATCGAGACCATCCTGCTAACACAGTGAAACGCCGTCTCTACTAAAAATACAAAAAATTAGCTGGACGTTGTGGCGGGCGCCTGTAGTCCCAGCTACTCGGGAGGCTGAGGCAGGAGAATGGTGTGAACCTGGTAGGCAGAGCTTGCAGTGAGCTGAGATCGCACCACTGCACTCCAGCCTGGGCAACAGAGCGAGACTCCCTCTCAAAAAAAAAAAAAAATATTTATCCATATTCGATTCATCTACACCAAGTAGTTCCTGATCCTTCTACATGATTGCCTCCTCTCTTTGGGAGTCCTCTTTAGCACTTTATTTCTGTTTTGATGAAGGGACTTGCCTTGTTCCATCTGTTGTCACCACAGCACGGACATTGCTCATGTTAGGCACCTGCGTCTGTTAAATCGGCAGTGACTATTTCCTCCTGAATCAGGTTTGAACTGTCTACCTGCAAAGCCTGAAAAAATCCCCATGATGACAAGCTACTAGAGTTCAGGGGCAGCTGATCATCCCTGATCCCTTCCACTTTAACTTTAAAGTGAAAATTACTTTTCTGACCTCAGGGAGAAACCATATTTCATCTCTTAGGTGTTATGACCCCACCTTGTCCTCACACAAATTACTTTTAGGACTATAGGCTTCTTTAGACAAAGTGTACCTTAAAACATCCACAGTTCTCTAAATATCTAAAGAGAAAACAATCTTTCTCATAATTTCAAACACTCATGAAACTTCCATGATAGCAACCTTGCATTTCCATCTGGCAATTATTATACTAGAAGGGAAGCATTTAGGAGTCATAGTTATAAACCTAGGTCTTCTGCCCTCACCCAACTTTCGTGTTTCAAGTTCTTTTTCAACACACTAGATGTCACTCTCTACCCACCGAATTTCAGAGCTAAGCACTGTGGTGAGTTAATTAGAAAAGAAAGCTATTTGGAAAAGGGTTCGTAAGTAGCTGCAAAACATATTTTCAATTACTTCCAAATAGAACATTTTCCCCCACAGTTTGCAAGAGGCGTTCATTATTTCTTTGGTAAAAAGAAACCCTTCAAAACTCGTTAAAGGAAAGAGGAGTAAAGTCAGTAGTAGTCTTTTCTCTCTCCAGCCTTGTGGCATGGTGATTTAGACAGGTGTGGAGCTGTGCTGAAATATAGTTTGCCTCTGAAATTATTTCCTCAGCAAAGGACAGAGCCTCAGGAGGGGGCTGGCATTTAAAGCTGTTCCCAGAGATGCAGGGAAATCCCACATCCAGCCCTCTCAACAATACCTCAGAAAGGACCCTTTGCGTATAAAGGAAGCATTGATGACTTAAATTTCATTTTCTTGATTTAACAGGCATTTTCAATCATGAAACATACATGCGAACCTTCTAATTGGATTGCCAAGGTGAAAGAAAACTAAAGAAATACCAGTGCAGAAAGGAAGTTCTTTATTTTCAGGTTGCTCAAGCTAAAACAATAAGCAGCATTTCATGGATGACTGGCATGTCGCCTTTTACTCCTCAAGGCAGACTCAAGAGTTTTCCCAGAAACAGAGGACGAGGCAAGTTAGTGTGGTATTACTTTATTTAAATTCTGTCTTGATTTTTACGCCACAGATGCCCCCTAAGTGACAAAACTTCTTTACAATTTAAAAACTTTAAAGGGAAGTAGGGATCATTTTAGTGGTTCACTGTGATATTGTTCTACGTGGCTTTGGTAAACCCTGGGGCATATGAATTGGCCAGGAATTCCAGAACTGCTTTTCATTTTAAGTAATTTAAACCTTTTTTTTTTTTTTTTTTTTTTTTTTTTTTTTGAGACAGAATTTTGCTCTTGTTGCCCAGGCTGGAATGCAATGGCGTGATCTTGGCTCACCACAACTTCTGCTTCCCAGGTTCAAGCGATTCTCCTGCCTCAGTCTTCTGAATAGCTGGGATTACAGGCATGTGCCACCATGCCTGGCTAATTTTGTATTTTTAGTAGAGACGGGGTTTCTCCACATTGGTCAGGCTGTTCTCAAACTCCCGACCTCAGGTGATCCGCCCACCTCGGCCTTCCAAAGTGCTGGGATTACAGGCAGGAGCCACTGCACCCAGGCTGTAATTTAAACTTTTAAGATACAAATTGAAGGCAAATCTCATCCCTAACCTTACTAAAACAATAATATCCTCAAAATGACAATAGATAACATGACAGTTTAAAGTATGGGCCTGACATTTCAGGTGTGAATGGAATTGTTTTCTACTTCCTAAAAATCTGCGGGTGCTGTGGCTTGGATCTTTGTTCCCTCCAAACCTCGCGTTGAAATGTGACCCCCACTGTTGGAGGTGGAGCCTAATGGGAGGTGTTTGGGTCATGGGGTGGGTCTCTCATGAATAGAGTAATGCCCTCCCGTGGGAGGGAGTTCTCCCTCTATTAGTTCTTGAGACAGCTCGTTGTTAAAAAGAGCCTGGCACGCCCCACCCCATTTTCATCCTTTCTCTCTATGTGATCTCTGCACATGCCAGCTCCCCTTTGTCCTCCGCTATGAGTGGAAGCAGCCTGAGGCCCTCACCAGATGCAAATGCCCAATCTTGAGCTTTCTAGCCATCAGAATCGTGAACCAAATAAACTTCCTTTTCTTTATAACTTACCCAGCCTCAGAGATGCCCTTATAGCAACACGAAATGAACTAAGACAGTGGGTCAGTTATGCTTGTAACAAGAACTCATGTAGCAAAGATAAATTCAAATAACCTTGGGGTCTGCTTTGCACCTATGTGTGTGTACATACAAATAAAAATTGTGAGGTTTTACAAGAAATTATGCCTACTGCATTTTAGATCATTATATATGCTTTGAATTTAGGAGAATACTCAAATATGTTTTAGTCTTTGGTGAAGCTGAATCACTTGTGGCTACCCCTTAATCATTATTTTAAAATTATAATTTGACATTATTTAGCTGGTATTAGAATGTGATATGCTCAATTTTTATGTGTGTGTATGTATGTGATGACGTTTTGAAACAAGTTTTGGTCTACTTATACAGGTCTCAGTGAGACTAAGTTTGAATTACAGCTAAAGCTTTTTCTTCTCAAATGACAACTTTACATATATGGAGAGTCCTCAAAGCAGGAGAGAGATATAAAAAAGAAATTGAATTCATTCATTCAACAAGCTTCTAGAGGGCACTTACTATCTCTTAATAAGAACTTCTCCCATTACAAAAGTAGCACACATACATTGTAAGAATTTGGAAAATACAGATGGGCACACAGAAGAGTATACACCCCACCCATAATTCCATCCTCCAGAGATTTCAACATTTATGTTTTGGTGACTTATTAATGCTTGATTGATATATTTCTAGTTCTGATCTCTATCTGTCTATTTATCTAAGCTATAACTTGCAATCATGTTGTGCATATGCATATTATAAACTCCTTGTCTCCTATTTTTCTTTGTAATTAAATATTCTTCTGCAACACTATTTTTAATGGCTGCAAGGTGTTTTGTTATTCGGAAAATTTAAAAAACTAAGTTCCAATGGTTAAACAATCTTGTAGCTATCACTTTTGTATATTTATGATTAGTTTTTAGGATACAAATTATAAGTGGAATTTTTAGGTTAAAGGATGAGAACGTGGTTGCTCTATGTTGCAGATTACCTTCTTATCTTTTAAAGGTCAATTTGCCTTTATTTCTACTAGCAGTGCACAAACATTCCTGGATCTTCTCACTGTTGCCTTAGAAATCTTTTTATAGTGACTTCTGATGCTTTCCTTGTCTGCTTAGTAAAATGCAAACAGGTTTGTTTAACATCAGCCTTAAGATAAATGCCTTAGCACGTTAGTAAAGGAATTTTTATATTAGGTTAAAAGAAGAGCAAATAAACAATAAAAAGTAATAGTATTGCATCTCTGACTCTGCATTTATTCCAACAAGTACAGCTTATTTTTAATTACTGGTGATAAATACTTCATAGTCTACTAATAAACGTCCTGCAGTATATTTTGAAAAAGGCAATAAACGCTTTGTCAGGTGAGAATTCACTATAGTTCTTGGCCTCTAAATCTCTGTTGAAAAGAAGGATAAAACTGCCAGTTTTGCTGGTAAGAATTATTGGAAAGACTGATAAGCAAGTAAGACTTAGCAAGGTTCTGAAATAATTACTGCCATCAGGACAAAATTGGGAAAATAAACCTGCACATTCATGTAGTACTAATATTAGGTCAAGTCAGTGCTTTTTCTTTTTAAACATCAAACATAGTGCTTGGGAGATAAATGAAAAAGTTAAGAATAAATTAGTTTAGGAAGAAACCCCTGGTTGGGGTTGAATTTGCTGAATAGATTAGGGATGAACTTGTATTTTCTCTGTGGTGGGGGGAATTTGAAATACTGTTTTTAGTATAGTTAGCAAAATTGGGGCAAAAAGATTCAACTCAGAAAATATGCAGTTCTAAGTTATGATCCTTATTGGTGCTGACTTTAGAGATACTACTGGGAATCAGGAAGAAATTACTTTTTATTCATTTTGTGAAACGTTCTTACTCTTCTTATTTTCCTAGCACATATTAAAACTTTCAAAATAGAAATAGATTTTTTTTCTGATTTAGAAAAAGGTTATACACTCATTGTAAAAAAAATTACATAGCACAGAAAAGTATAAAGAAAGTAAAAATCACTAAAAGTAACACTACCCAGCAATAACTACTATCAATATTTGAGGAACATCTTTTCAGACAGCTGACACTGTTCTCTCAACAGATGCAGAATTTTATGCAAACGTGTTTGTCTTACATATATTGTTCAGTAACCTCTTTTCTTTTTTTCAGAAATATATGTTGTGGCCACATTTTGAGGTCAATATGTATAGATTACGGCATTAACCTTTTCTGTTTTTGAGATGGAGTCTCACTTTGTCACCCAGGCTGGAGTGCAGTGGTGCAAACATGGCTCACTGGAGCCTGGACCTCCCGGGGTCAAGCCATCTTCCCTTCTCATCCCCTCAAGTAACTGGGACCACAGGCGTGTGCCACCTTGCCTGGCTGTTTTCTGTTTTTTTGTAGAGATAGTTTTACCATGTTGCCCAGGCTGGTCTTGAATTCCTGAGCTCAAGAGATCTGCCTGCTTTGACCTCCCAAAGTGCTGAGATTACGAGCTTGGGGCATGCCCCTGGCCAACATCATCATTTTTAATGGTCACTTAATATTCATTGTACAGATGTGCAGTAAATGTTTTTTTCTTTTTTTTTTTTTTTGAGATGGAGTCTCGCTCTGTCGCCCAGGCTGGAGTGCAGTGGTGCGATCTCGGCTCACTGCGACCTCTGCCTCCTGGGTTCCAGCAATTCTCCTGCCTCAGCCTCCCAAGTAGCTGGGACTACAGGTGCCCACCACCACGCCCGGCTAATTTTTTGTATTTTTAGTAGAGACGGGGTTTCACCATGTTAGCCAGGATGGTCTTGATCTCCTGACCTCGTGATCTGCCCATCTTGGCCTCCCAAAGTGCTGGGATTACAGGCATGAGCCACCGTGCCCGGTCAATGTGCAGTAAATGATTTTATCTTAATGTGATTTTTTAAAACAAATTATCAGAAAGACATGCTCTGAAATGTTTTTTTCCTAAACATTGCAGAAGGCATGAAGTGAAAAGTCATCTCATTTATTCATTCTTGTCCCCAATTAATTCTACCTCCCAAAGGTAACTTTATGATCTCCCTAGGATGAGACAGGACTAGTAAAAAAAAAAAAATGTACACACATATTTTCCCAGATGCGATCATTTTATCTTCTATAATTTGCTTTAAAAAGTTTTACACTGTATTGTGTACATTTTCCAGGTCAGTGGATATAAAGTGAATTTCATGCGCATCCGTGTGAAGAGACCACCAAACAGGCTTTGTGTGAGCAATAAAGCTGTTTATTTCACCTGGGTGCAGGTGGGCTGAGTCCGAAAAGAGAGTCAGCGAAGGGAGATGGGGTGGGGCTGTTTTATAGGATTTGGGTAGGTAAAGGAAAAAGGGGGGTTGTTCTCTGGTGGGCAGGAGTGGGGGGTCACAAGGAACTCAGTGGGGGAGCTTTTGAGCCAGGATGAGCCAGGAGAAGGAATTTCACAAGACAATGTCATCAGTTAAAGCAGGAACAGGCCATTTTCACTTCTTTTGTGGTGGAATGTCATCAGTTAAGGCAGGAACTGGTCATCTGGATGTGTACGTGCAGGTCACAGGGGATATGATGGCTTAGCTTGGGCTCAGAGGCCTGACATTCCTGTCTTCTTATATTAATAAGAAAAATAAAATGAAATAGTGGTAAAGTGTTTGGACAGCGAAAATTTTGGGGGATGGTATGGAGAGATAATGGGCGATGTTTCTCAGGGCTACTTCGAGCAGGATTAGGGGTGGCGTGGGAACCTAGAGTGGGAGAGATTAAGCTGAAGGGAGATCTTGTGGTAAGGGGTGATATTGTGGGGTTGTTAGAAGAAACACTTGTCATGTAGAATTATTGGTGATGGCCTGGATACGGTTTTGTATGAATTGAAAAAGTAAATGGAATAAGAGGAGAAAAGCAGGTATTAAAGGACTAAGAATTGGGAGGACCTAGGACATATAATTAGAGTGCCTTAGGAGATTCATCATAGTCCTGCCAGCAAAAATTATTTATTTACTTCAAGAGTTAAGAGCGGTGGTTTGGGGATAACACCAGGAGATATCAGCTGTGCTGGCTTGGAGAAACAGTGTAAACTGGCAGTGTAAACAAGAGCAGGGCATGTATGAGTAGTTGAGAACGGTGAATAGAAGTAGGACTAGACAGAAGACAGTAGGGATGACAAGTTTTTGGGGCACAGTCCAAGTTGGTCTAGTGTCTGGAATGAGACTGGGGCCTAATAAAAAGGAGCTCAAGTGGGCTGTACCTTGTAGCATTCCGAGGACAGGCCTTAATTCTGAGAAGCGAAAGTGGTAAAAGTATTGTCCAGTCCTTTTTAAGTTGGTGGCTGAGCTTGGTGAGGTGTGTTTTTAAAAGACCATTAGTCTGTTCTACTTTTCCTGAAGACTGAGGACTGTAAGGGATATAAAGGTTTCACTGAATACTAACACCTGAAAAACTGCTTGGCTGATTTGACTAATAAAGGCTGATCTGTTATCAGACTGTATAGAGGTGGGAAGGCTAAACTGAGGAATTATGTCTGACAGAAGGGAAGAAATGACTGTGGTGGCCTTCTCAGACCCTGTAGGAAAGGACTCTACCTATCCAGTGTAAGTGTCTACCTAGACTAAGAGGTATTTTAGTTATCTGACTCGGGGCATGTTGAGTAAAGCTAATTTGCCAGTCCTGGGTGGGGGCAAATCCTCGAGCTTGAAGTGTAGGGAAGGGAGGGGGGCCTGAATAATCCTTGAGGAGTAGTAGAATAGCAGATGGAACACTGAGAAGTTATTTCCTTGAGGATAGATTTCCACGATGGAAAGGAAATGAGAGGTTTTAAGAGGCGGGCTAGTGACTTGTACTATAGCATAGCCTGCCTTTGCTGGTGTGTGGCGATTAGGCCTGGTGGAACTGCCATCAATAAACTAAGTGCGATCAGGGTGAGAAACAGGGAAGAAGGAAATGCGGGGAAATGGGGTGAACGTCAGGTGGATCAGAGAGATGCAGTCATGAGGGCCAGGTGTGGTATCAGGAATAATGTGGGAGGCCGGATTGAAGTCCCGGCCAGGAACAATGGTAATTGTGGAACTTAACAAAGAGTGAGTACAGCTGAAGGAGCTGGGGAGCAGAAAGTATATGCGTCAGGTATGAGGAAGAAAATAGATTTTGGAAGTTATGAGAAATGTAGAGAGTAAGTTGAGCATAGTTTGTGATTTTGAGGGCCTCTAAAAGTATTAGGGCGGCAGCAGCCGCTGCACTGAGATATGATGGCTAGGCTAAAACAGTAAGGTCAAGTTGTTTGGACAGAAAGGCTACAGGGTGCAGTCCTGGCTCTTGTGTAAGAATTCTGACCGCACTAACTGTGCCTAGGAAGGAAAGGAGTTGTTGTTTTGTAAGGGATTGAGGTTTGGGCGATTAGTCGGACACGATCAGCAGGCAGAGCACATGTGTTTTTATGAGAATTATGCCGAGATAGGTAACAGATGAGGATGAAATTTGGGCTTGACTGAAGTAATGGGGGCTGTCTGTGAAGCCTTGCGGCAGTACAGCCCAGGTAATTTGCTGAGCCTAATGGGCGTCAGGGTCAGTCCAAGTGAAAGCAAAGAGAGGCTGGGATAAAGGGTGCAGAGGAATAGTAAAGAAAGCATATTTGAGATCCAGAACAGAATAATGGGTTGTAGAGGGAGGTATTGAGGATAGGAGAGTATATGGGTTTGGCACCACGGGGTGGATAGGCAAAACAATTTGGTTGATAAGGCGCAGATCCTGAAGTAACCTGTAAGTCTTGTCTGGTTCTAGGACAGGTAAAATGGGGGAATTGTAAGGAGAGTTTATAGGCTTTAAAAGGCCATGCTGTAGCAGGTGATTGATAATAGGCTTTAATCCTTTTAAAGCATGCTGTGGGATGGGATATTGGCATTGAGCGGGGTAGGGGTGATTAGGTTTTAATGAGATGGTAAGGGGTGCATGATGGGTCACCAAGGAGGGAGTAGAGGTATCTTATACTTGTGGGTTAAAGTTGGGGGATACAAGAGGAGGACGCAAAGGAGGCTTTGGATTGGGAAGAAGGGCGGCAATGAGATGCAGCTGTAGTCCAGGAATAGTCAGGGAAGCAGATAATTTAGTTAAAGTGTCTCGGCCTAATAAGGGAACTGGGCAGGTGGGGATAACTAAAAAGGAGTGCTTAAAAGAGTGTTGTCTAAGTTGGCACCAGAGTTGGGGAGTTTTAAGAGGTTTAGAAGCCTGGCTGTCAATACCCACAACAGTTATGGAGGCAAGGGAAACCGGCCCTTGAAAATAAGGTAATGTGGAGTGAGTAGCCTCCGTATTAAGAAGGGGAAGTACTTACCCTCCACTGTGAGAGTTACCCAAAGCTCGGCGTCCGTGATGATCTAGGGGGCTTCTGAGGTGATCAGGCAGCGTCAGTCTTCAGCTGCTAAGCCAAGAAGATCTGGGAAGGAGTCAGAGAGCCTTGGGCCAGAGTTCCAGGGGCTCTGGGAGTGGCTGCCAGGTGAGTTGGACAGTCCAATTTCCAGTGGGGTCCTGCACAGATGGGAAGCGGCTTAGGAGGAATCCTGGGCTGCAGGCATTCCTTGGCCTGGTGGCCAGATTTCTGGCACTTGTAGCAAGCTACTGGGGGAGGAGGTTCTGGAGGAACGCCTGGCTGCTGCGGTTCAGGTGTTTGGAAGTTCTTGTGTGCTGGAGATGTGGCTGGGGTTTGTCTCACAGTGGAGGCAAGGAATTGCAACTGTTTTCTATTATTGTACACCTTGAAGGTGAGGCTAATTAAATCCTGTTGTGGGGTTTGAGGGCCGGAATTTAATTTTTGGAGTTTTATTTAATGTCAGGAGCAGATTGGGTAATAAAACGTATTTTGAGAATAAGACGGCCTTTTGACCTTTTAGGGTCTAGGGCTGTAAACTGTCTCAGGGTTGTTGCCAAAGGAGTCATGAACTGGGCTGGATTTTTATATTTGATGAAAAAGAGCCTAAACGCTATCTGATTTGGGATAAAGAAAAAGGAGCATTAACCTTGACTATGCCTTTAGCTCCAGCCACCTTTTTAAGAGTAAATTGCTGGGCAGGTCGGGGGGTGGCTAGTCAAATGAAACTGTAAGCCGGACCGGGTATGAGGAGGGGAGGTGATAAAAGGATTATAGGGTGGAGGAGCAGAGGCTGAGGAAGAATTGGGACCTAGCTCCGCCTGGCGAGGAGCAGCCTGGGGAGGAGGGGAGGTCAGATGGGTCTGTAGAAAAGGAAGATTAGAAAGACTCAGCGATGCTTGGGGTTGGGACTGAGGGGGGCAGGTGGGAGGGAAAGAAGGAAGATTTGGGACGAGTTGCATTGGGCACAGAGACTAGGAAGGGACCGATGTGTAAAAGAATGCCTGGACGTCAGGCACCTCAGACTGTTTGCCTACTTTACGATAAGAATTATTTAGATCTTGCAGGATGGAAAAATTCAAAGTGCCGTTTTCTGGCTATTTGGAACTACTGTCGAGTTTGTATTGGGGTCAAGTGGCAATGCAGAAGAAAATAAGATGCTTAGATTTTAGGTCAAGTGAGAGTTGAAGCGGTTTTAAGTTCTTAAGAACACAGGCTAAGGGAAAAGAAGGAGGAATGGAGGGTGGAAGGTTGCCCATAGTGAAGGAGGCAAGCCCAGAGAAAAGAGAGTAGAGACACGGGGGGAAGGGGTTCAGGGGTTCTTACCCTCCAGAAAAGTGGGAAAGGGGTCGGGGCACAGAAATACGAGGTCAGGGCATGGACATAAGGGATTGGGGTGCAGAGAATATAAGAGGTTGGGGTGCGGAAATAAGGGATCAGGGCAAAGAGATATAAGGGGTCGGGGCATGGAAATAAGGGATTGGGGCACAGAGATAAGAGGTCGGGGTGCAGAAATAAGGGATTGGGACACAGAGATATGAGGTTGGGGTACTTGCCCCTCCCCCAGAAAAGCAGGACTTGCTGCTAAGGGTGAAGGAGAAGGGGTTGGGGGTTTCTTGCCCCCCCAGAAAGGTGGAGAAGGGGTAGAGACACGGAGAGAAGGGGTTGGGGTACTTGCCCCTTCCCCAGAAAAGCGGGACTTGCCGCTAAGGGTGAAGGACCAAGGCAGGTGTCCCTGCGTGGTCTGACACCTCTGAAACCTGGGTGAATAATCAGAGAGGCGTCCCTGCAATGATTAAACACCAAGGGAAGGCTGCCTTCCCTAGTCCGTGACCGGCACCGGAGTTTTGGGTCCACAGATAAAACCTGTCTCCTTTGTCTCTGCCAGAAAATGAAAGGAATTGAAATTAAGAGAAGGGAGAGATTGAAGAGTGGAAAGGAGAAAGTGGTTGAGGGATAGTGAGAGAGGTTGGAGAAGAGAGTAAGAAGAGGCCGCTTACCTGATTTAAAATTGGTGAGATGTTTCTTGGGCTGGTTGGTCTGAGGACCTGAGGTCGTAGGTGGATCTTTCTCACCAAGCAAAGAACAGGAGGACAGAGGATTGATCTCCCAAGGGAGGTCCCCCGATCCGAGTCACGGCACCAAATTTCATGCACGTCTGTGTGAAAAGACCACCAAGCAGGATTTGTGTGAGCAATAAAGCTGTTTACTTCACCTGGGTGCAGGTGGGCTGAGTCCGAAAAGAGAGTCAGTGAAGGGAGATAGGGGTGGGGCCGTTTTATAGGATTTGGGTAGGTAAAGGAAAAAGGGGGGTTCTCTGGCGGGCAGGAGTGGGGGGTCACAAGGTACTCAGTGGGGGAGCTTTTGAGCCAGGATGAGCCAGGAGAAGGAATTTCACAAGACAATGTCATCAGTTAAAGCAGGAACAGGCCATTTTCACTTCTTTTGTGGTGGAATGTCATCAGTTAAGGCAGGAACTGGTCATCTGGATGTGTACGTGCAGGTCACAGGGGATATGATGGCTTAGCTTGGGCTCAGAGGCCTGACAGTGATCTAATTCTTTTTTAACAACTGCAAACATAGATGTACTGTGATTGATTTAACGTATACCCTATTGTCTTAGTCTGTTTGGGCTGCTATAATAAAATATTATAAACTGGATAGTCTATAAACAATATAAATGTATTTATTTATTTCCCACACTTCTGGAGGCTGGGAAGTCCAAGATCAAGACACTCACAAATTTGGTATCTGGTGAGGACCCACTTTCTGGTTTGCGGATGATATCTTCTCATTGTGTCCTCACATGGTGGAAGAAGTGAGGGGTCTCTCTCAGGCCTTTTTTATAAGGGCACTAAGCCCATTCACAAGGGCTCTATCCTCATAGTCTGATCACCTCCCAAAGGCTCCACCTCCTAATATCATCACCTTGGGGGTCAGAATTTCAACATGAATGCTGAGAGGAAACAAACATTCAGACCACAGCACCTATGGATCAACATTGAGGTTATTTCAATTTTTAGATATGCTAAACAATGCTATAGTGAACAGCCTTGCATATTCATCTTTATAAATGTCCCTATGTCTCTTTAGCAGTTTCCTGGCAATGTTATTGCTGAGTCATTTCATATTTTGATCAGTGTAGTCAAGCTCTTTTCCAGTTGCTTTCCACTTTAGGTTTGTACTGGGTGCTGATATTTTCATTTTCATCTTTTCTAAACTTCTGAGTAGAAAATTTTTGATCACTGTTGTTTTTATTTGTATTTCTTTAATTATTAGCAAAGTTAAAAACATTTTATAATGTTTAATGTTGGTCATTTGAAGTTCTCTTGTAATGTGCGTATTAGTGCCCTAAACCTGTTTTTTATTGGAACGTTTATCTTTTTCTTATTGTTTTGTAAGAGTTTTTAAAATGACCAATAAACACTGTACTTTTTCCAGTCTATGTAAAAATCTGACTTAATATGACACACTCTACCAACAAATCACTACCTTTGGCTTAACTGATGAGAAAGGAAAATGAACTATGGGTTGCCCCATCTTTCCCTTTCCTTCTATGTCCTTTTCAGTGTGGTTGGCTAATATAGCGATGTAACATGAGTGAGAAAGA
Source organism: Homo sapiens (assembly GCF_000001405.40). Taxonomy (NCBI): domain Eukaryota; kingdom Metazoa; phylum Chordata; class Mammalia; order Primates; family Hominidae; genus Homo; species Homo sapiens. The sequence goes on along the minus strand of NC_000004.12, from coordinate 138,926,773 downwards.
ATATGGTAGGGTTCCTTGGTTGTTCTTTTTGCTTAAACAGTATTGATTCTTTCAAGCTAAACTGGTTCAAAGGGAAAGCACGGCCTCTTGGCTGGGTTGTGGGGTAGGGGGTCACCTATCACTGAGTTACACTGAACTTTCATGCATCATGGGTCCACCAGAATTCTCTGCATGGGACATCACAGGTGGTATATGTGAATGGGAGGCAAGGAATGGTGTTACTGCGCATGCACACATATTGTATCTCCTCTGCTCACGCTCATTCTCCTTTGTCCCATGAGACTTCACTTATAAAACACAAGTTCAAAGATAAAATTATTAGGAATTTTAAGATGGCAACAATGGAGTATGAAATCAAGTGCAGGGCCTTCTGAGTGAGGGCCTGTGGGACTGTGTAGGTTGTAGCCCGGGAAGCTGGTTCTGTGGAGATACCATACGAATTCTTGCTGGTAGCTGGGCCTGGGCCATGATTTAGGGATCAGACCACTGGGGAGAAAAGAAAGGGACTCTGACTCTGCCAGCTGGTGTGAAAAAGGATCTGAGCTCTTTGTAGTTAACCCGCAATAGTCTTCTATCTCCCTAATAACATGGCCCCCTCTGCAAGCCAGCTCCTTTCTCTATACATGTGCATACATTTCCAGCTGGCTAGGACATTTAATTTAACCCATTTTTGCTCATAGCTTCAATGAAGGGTGTGGGTGTGGGCTGCATGTCAAATGCCCTAGCTTGCTCCCCATAAGGATAGTCCTGAGCTCCATACCCATAGCCCATCTCTTCTCTCATACGTAAATGCCCTGATAAAGGGGAAAACTTGGAGCATTTCATAAGTACACTTACAAAATAACTTTTCTTCCTGAAAGCATGTTTGCTTTCTGGCTGAGCAGTTGCCTTTATTCTACCCTGGATACAAGTGCATTCCAATGACTGGTGAGGGACCCTTTAGATAAGTTTGTAAAATGCTTGAAGACGCTCCCAGAAAAAAGACACCATCCAAGCATAAGGCTCTGTAATCACTTCTTTGGAAGTCTGCATTTTCCAAACATTTACCAAACATTCTTCCCCGGTGACTTGCAGATCAGCATGGTTTATTATAAGCAAGGCCATACATGGCTTCTCATATTCTCCTCACTGGTCTGTCGAGGATCTTAGTCTTACTGACTTTCCAATCAGAACAAAACCATCCATAAATAAACAAAGCTAAGAAAGCTAAGAAACAAAGCTAAGAAACAAAGACTGAGGTGAGGGAGATTTGAGTATTTTTTTTTCCTCTACCAACAAGTGAAGAATTGAACACCTTAATCCATCTGATCTCCCAGGTGGAAGCCACAAATCTTTTTTTTTGTTTTGCTCAGCATATTGGCACAGTGAGAAATTCATTTTATACTCTCTGGCATCTCTCTTGTAAACTCACCAAGTCTCAATAAGTTCACAAAGAAGGCAGAGACAAATAACCCTAGAATGCAGGTGATTGTTTATTTATGTATTTTCCTTGTTACATACCCACCTATACCCAAGGCCTTTGCAGAAGAGCTTAATAAATGTAATAGTAACTGACATTCATCACACACTGAGCTGCTCTTTCCATTTCCTGTGTCCTTAATAGATCCCTACAGAGGGTAGGGAAGAAAGCTTAGGCTATTGTCAGACGATTGTGTTACTTCTCTCTCTCCAAACTCATCAAAAATTCTTTTGCTGCTGTCTGAGTGAAATGTATTTTTGAAGAGATGACATGGGTATCGTTTGTAGATATCTTTACCAACATTTGGCCACCATTTTCCTTGACCTCACATCATTCTAATGTATTCCCAACATTTGCCATTCTCCCAAGAGCGCCTTAAACGTCAGAGGAAGGAGGCACAGGACATAATAACATCTTCTTGCACTTAGGATCATTGCTCAGGAAATTTTAAAGCACTTACCAGTGTAAGCGCCCTCCATTTCTCTGATAAAAATAATGAAAAGTGCTTGGGTTTATGATGATGGGCCTCTGTAAATTCTGATGATGGTGGACACATACATTTATAGAAAGAAAGTTTCTCTGTATAAGGTAACATTTCCAGGTCCTTCCTGCTGGGAGACTTGCTTATTCTCCCCCTTCTACTTCCTCTTCTACTCCTCTTCCTCCCCCACCTCCTTCTTTTTTCTTTTTTTTTTTTTTTTTGAGACAGGGTCTCACTCTGTTGCCCAGGCTGGAGTGGAGTGGTGTGATCGTGGCTCACTGCAACCTCGACCTCTCTGGGCTCAGGCGATCCTCCCATCTCAACCCACCTGCATAGCTGGGACTACTGGCACATGCCACCACACTCTGCCAATTTTTGTATTTTTTGTAGAGAAAGGGTTTTGCTGTGTTGTCCAGGCTGGTCTTGAACTCCTGGGCTCAAGTGACCTGTCTACCTTGGCCTCCAAAAGTGCTAGAATCTCCTTTTTTTCTTTTTATTTTCTTTCTTTTTCCCTTTAGTTTTGAGAGAGAGTCTCACTCTGTCGCCCAGGCTGGAGTGCAGTGGTGTAATCTCGGCTCACTGCAACCTCCATCTCCCTGGTTCAAGCAATTCTTGTGCTCCAGCCTCTCAAGCTCACACCATGCCTCGCTAATTTTTGTATTTTTAGTAGAGACAGGGTTTTGCCATTTTGGCCAGGCTAGTCTTGAACTTCTGGCCTCAAGTGATCCTCCTGCCTCCAAAAGTGCTGAGATTACAGGCATGAGCCACCATGCCCGCCTCCTTTTTTCTTACATTGCTTTGAAGAAATAAAAATCTTTTTCAAATTGATTACTTTGATTATTCAATTTGCTTCGATGTGACCTCTGATCATAGGTTGTATAACAGTGGTGTAGTCTTTGCAGTGTTTGGAAGGTCTCAATGACAACCCCCGTTCCTTGGGTTTAGACAATAGTCAGCATTCAGATTTATTCACTCCTTTTTTTTTTTTTTTTTTTGAGACAGAGTCCTGCTCTGTCACCCAGACTGGAGTGCAGTGATGCAATCTTGGCTCACTGCAACCTATGACTCCTGGGTTCAGACGATTCTCTTGCCTCAGCCTCCCGAGTAGCTGGGATTACAGGCGCCCACCACCACTCCCAGCTAATTTTTTTGTATTTTTAGTAGAGACGGCGTTTCACTATATTGGCCAGGTTGGTCTCAAACCCCTGACCTTGTGATTTGCCCACCTCGGCCTCCCAAAGTGCTGGGATTACAGGTGTGAGCCATTGTGCCTGAGCTTATTCACTCCTTTCAAAATGGTCAATTAGTTTCCAGATACAAATGAAAATGAGAGCTGATCTGGCATGGGGTGGGAGGAAGCTTTTAGGCTCAACTGGGTCTTCCAGGAAATCTCCTCTCCTCATTTCTTTCCTCCTCACCCCTTAAACTGGGTAGAGACTCCTCTTAGCTGCTTCCATAATACCCCTACACATATCTCAATCATTGCACTCACACCTTTTTTTTTCCTTTTGGCTGTATTACCTGGTGTTACAAGGGCACTTATTAATCTTTGTTAACCAAAGTTTAATGGCCAGACTAAAATATTTCAATTGCAGTGATTTTCTAAGATTATAATTCAGAGTCGTAAGAATTTCCAAATTAGTAATAAAGCTTCTTTATATACTATTAGTACATTTCTTATTCTATTAGCAGAAACATAGAAAGTAATATCAGTGAGGACATCCACTGTGGGAAGCAATTCGATCAAAAAATCAGGGAGTGCAAACCCGAGTGTCTGCTTTGGTCACTTAGAGAGTGTACACTTGCTCATTGCAGATATTGGAAAGTAAATGGGGGACAATTTGAGGGAATCACTGGGTCCAGAGAATAATTTCTGATTTCTCTTGTCTGTCCCCTTTTACGTTAGGCTCTGTTATTTTTTAAATGTCTGGATTCTGGATGATAAGGTTAGAATTGGTGCTGATTTTATCACCGGGATGATGTATCCTTTAGATTTTCCTTTCTATTTTAGGGTTTTATGATTAAGATGAATTTCAAAACTTAAGCAAATATTAAATTCAGAATAATCAGTCTGGGCTCCTATGAAGTCCTATGTGTGTTCTCTCCCTGTGGTACGGATGGCCTGTCTCTCCAGGCACCTTCCTGGCCTCTGCTTGGCATTCTTCCCATGGGCATCTCCATGGGCATGTCCTTGCACTGCACATTTCAATTTCTGGGAGGATGCCCATCTCTGGGTGCTCTGATGTGCACCTGGTTTTCATGCCTTTCCTAAATGCTCCCCCAGCCCCATCAGTCTCATGGCGGATACTGCCTGAAAGGGCCTATCTGGCTCAACCCTCATGTTGTTATTACTTTCTTTCCAAAAAGACCTATTGAGCATCTACTATATGCCAGATTTTGGACCAGGAAATGGGGACACAACAGAGAAAAACATAGACTCAAGCTTCTGGACTTTCAAGATTCTCAAATTTTTATAGCTTTTGCTGAAGAGAAACTAAGATCTATTCAGCTTTAAAAAAAATGTTTTTAAATTTTTTTATTTTTCGAGATGGGGTCTCGCTCTGTCACCCAGGCTGGAGCACAGTGGCACGATCTTGGCTCACTGCAGCCTCTGCCTCCGGGTTCAAGTAATTCTCCTGCCTCAGCCTCCTGAGTAGCTGGGATTACAGGGGTGCACCACCACACCCGGCTAATTTTTGCATTTTTAGTAGAGACAGGGTTTCACCATGTTGGCCAGGCTTCCATTCAGCTTTAAGATGACATCTTTTTTTCTAGCATGATTTCCTTTGTGAATCCACAGGGGAAAAATAGGAAATTAAAATGCACAACTGTAAAAAAAAATCATAAACTTTTCTTTCTTTCTATTTTTTTTTTTTTTTTTTTTTTGAGACAGAGTCTCACTCTGTTGCCCAGGCTGGAGTGCAGTGGCACGATCTCGGCTCACAGCAACCTATGCCTCTCAGATTCAAGCAATCCTCCTGCCTCAGCCCCCCTAGTAGCTGGGATTACAGGCACGCGCCACGATGCCCAGCTAATTTTTGTATTTTTACTATAGACAGGGTTTTGCCATGTTGGCCAGGCTGGTCTCGAACTCCTGACCTCAGGTGATCCACCCACCTCAGCCTCCCAAAGCACTGAGATTACAGGTGTGAGCCACCATGCCTGACCAAATCATGAACATTTTGAGCCTCTTTTATCACCTGTAAAATTATGGCAACATTCAAAATACCTAGACTTATCAATTTAAACTTTTAATGTACCATTATTCTAAATGAAATGATTAATTACATGACTTTGTATGAAAAGAAAAATAATTGTGGTTCTTTCCTACCCCGAACACCTTCCACTAAAGTAAACTTCATGTGTGCCACACAGCCACGTATAACACCAGCTATTTTAGTGCCAATAACAAATAATTAGTTTGATTATATAGATTGTTAATGTGTTATATA